>NC_000006.12:51351367-51997051 GCF_000001405.40 Homo sapiens
GGCAGAGATCGCACCACTACACTTCAGTCTGGGTGACAGAGCAAGACTCCATCTCACAAAAAAGAAAAAAAAAGGGCAAAAGAAGGCAAATGTCAAAAGGAAGCTTTGCTCATGATGTTGGCAAAGTGAGAGGCTCACTTGGGGCATGACAGGTCCTGCAGAGAGGGTGGAGCTTGGGCTATAGGGAAGGAATTATTCTTGGTACAGAGGATGTATCCAAAAGAAGTCTTGGGAACAAGCAAAAAAGTCAGAGGTGGTCCACATCTTCTCCACTGTGCAGTGAGGACAGGGCTCTTGAGTAAGGGTCTCGCCTTTGGGTGGTCTCTGTGCTGACAGGAGGCACTGATGCTGGCCTGTTTGTGCAGTGAGGCTGCCCGTTTTGTGGCCTGGTTTCTGTTGCTTATGGATATGGTCATAGGTCAATGGGAGGTTGGTGTGAGAAGCCTGAGCAGGCTATGGCAGCCTGTGCTCCTGAGAGTCAGTAAAGAGTGCCGCATAACAAGGAAAATTCTGAAAATCATTCACTTTCACATTAGAGGTTGCTGAGCTGTGGCACCTCCTCTTTCCTTTAACAATCTGGACCAACGGCCTAAAGAGCAGAATGTGAAAAAAATAAAATAAAATTGAAGACACTGTAACGAATGAAACAGGACTCTCTTTGTCCTTTAAACGAGAGGCTAAGCCTCATTTAGTACTTGGGTGATTTGCCTAGAGTTTTCCTTTTCTGCCCAACAATTTTTCAAGCCTTCCATAGTCAACCATTACCACCTTCCAGGTATTCTGTTCCTGGTGGTTTAACAGAGAATCTCAGGGTCAGAATAAATGACAGGGATCACAGCGAGTTCTCACAGCTTACAAGGCCATGGCCTTCCTGCCAGAGGTCTAAAGGGGCTGGAGACAGGGGCTAGAAGAGAAAGGGAAGGAACAGAAAAAGCCAAGACAGTTAAAGGAATGGATGACAAAGGAAACAGTGAGTTGGACATTTTTTTCCTCTGAATCTTTTCTGTCATGACTCCTTTAAGCCACTGAGAAAGAAATACAGAGAAAAAGACCCAAAAATAGATAGATAAATATATAGATAGTTGCAGAGACAGATGAACAAACACACAGAAAAAAAATGAGCTATAAGTAATCATGACATTATCATGTATTTTTCTTAAAAAAGGGCCACTTCTATTGACTCAGTCTTGATTCTCAAATAACAAAACTGAACTAGTACAGTACATTTAGTTCTTTATTCTATGCATATTTACTGAATATCTTTTACACACTTCCATGTACTTATCCACTAAGAATGTATTAAGTACCTACCAGGTACCAGGAACTATGCTAGGAGTGGGAAATACAAAGGTAAATAAACAAAGTCTCTTCCCTTACTTAGCTGTGAGCCTTTGCCTCAAGGTGTGCTGAACCCATGGGATATTTAACAAATGTTGGATTGAGTTGCACTGTTATTGCCTCATCTTCAGCAGGGTTAGGACCTGGGAGCACCAGTTTCACCACTTCTCCGGCATTAACTAAGACAATGCATAACCACAACTCAGATGATATACGTGATCCTTTGTCCTTCTTGTTAGGATCTATCTCTAAGCTTTGAGTTTGGGAGAAGGAAACATGCCATTGGCATAATAGACTTTAGGGCAGAAGAGTCCAGGTTCTTGCCTCTCTGGCTGAGCCACAGGCTTTTCTTATGGGAAACTCACCACCTTCATTAGCAACACTACTCTGTCTTCATTATTTGCCGGGCAGACTCATCTGGTGAATGCCACTGAAATGAGATTCGTTTTTTTTTTCTTTTTAATTATTGACACACTAAGCTTCCTCTCCCTACCCCACCTGATGCATACATATTTGGAAAGAGGGGAAGACTGAGTGAGCTGTGACATCGAGGTGGGAAGCAATTGACAGCTGCACTGTAGCTTCATAACATCAGGAAAAGCAAACTGAAATGGATGGGGTTGTGTTTATCCTTTAAAGTAGAAACATAAACTTAGAGTAACAGTTCTTTCCTTTTGGTGTACTTTGTTGACAGTTTTGTCTTATTTTCATGTAAGTGGACCTCATTCTTCATGTTGGCTTTTATCTTTATATTTACGCAAGATGTCTAAGAAGTGTAAGGTTCCAGGGAGGTCACAAAATGGGGCACTTTCCTATGGTTTGTGCAATTTGTCAAAAAAAATATGGATGAATAAGAGTTTGAAAATGATATAAAGCTAAAGCCAGTCTGTCAAGAATTTTTTTCTCATTTTAAAAATCCATTGAAAATTTTCAGAATTTTTCACATGACTGCACCCTATACCAAGACTCATCTCAAAATTATCTATTTAATTAATGCTTCCCAGATTTTGGATCTCAAGCGCCATTTAAAAGAAAGAAAGTCAAAACAATACATGAGGAACTGACATGAAGTACCAATTTTAGGTTTGCTTTTCTAGAAAATAAAAGCTAAAAAAGTAACAGCAGCTACCATCAACTGCCACCATTATTTTCCAAATGACCTTTGACATCACAAAAGGAAGAAGGGAACAACTTCATACAAATGGACGATCCCTTCAATTTAATCATTTAGGTTTTTTAAAAACTCACAACATTGGCTTATGTTTTTCATTTTGCAACACACCAACGACAGGTTCTCACAGACCACTGAGGGAGCAGCCTGTGGTAACTCCTGCCCGGCATTACAAGTTCCAGTGATCTAGAAGAAGGAAGTCTACCATGGAGATCAAGTCCACACAGGCCTTCCTAGACAGAATTCATACTCTAACCATGGGGAAATCTTGGATGTTACTCCAAGCCACAGTTTCCTCATTTGTAAAATGGAGTTGCTGTTATTTACCCTGGGAACTACTATGTGTGATCAATCAGTTAGTGTACTGAAAGCAACAAGCAGAGGGCCTTGTCACAGGCTACCACAAAGTAATTTTCTTTGTCTCCCTCTCTTCTTAACAATAAGGCCTGAACCTTACTCTTTTCATTCCCTAGAACACCTTGCAGTGAGCTTTGTAGTTAGGAAGTAGTCAATGAAGATGTACTGCATTCAATTTGTATGAATAGGACTCATAATGTCGTGTTTGTTATGCTTTGTTTATAGTAAATCACCTTATTAAATTTATAATAAATCACTTACTTAGTAATTACTCCTTGTCTTGTCTCACTTACAAAGTCTATGTAACTTTTGGATTTAGGGATGATATCATTCATTTTTCTACTATCACCTTCCTCCCAAGTACCTGGCACAGTACAGGTTATATCCTAAAGGCTGTATAAATACTTGATAATTAGTCACTGATTAAAGGACACAATCTGTCCCTTTGGGTGCACTGAAAAGTGTGTGTGTGTGTGTGTGTGTGTGTGTGTGTGTATGTGTGTGTCTCCATGCATCCATTCTTATGGGCCTTTTTTTTTTCAGATATTTCAGTCCAACTTGGAACTTCGGTAATAATTCTGAGTTTACAGACATTCAGCAAGTATGATCAGATTGCACTTTTGGAAAAATCTATTTCAAGTGTGATAGCTTGTGTGCCTAGGGCAAGCATTCTTTCTTTTCCTACTAATAACTCAACAGGTTCAGCAGGCAATAGCACTGCTTACAGGTTCTTCATTCTTCACAGGTGAGGACAGTATTACCTTGTATAGGCAACTACATTTTACTTAGTGGTGATCTGATTACCTTGATCTTAAACATTTTAACTTTGCACTATCCATGCCCACAGAGAGTTGGGCAAAATGAGAAGGGCCTGTGGAAAATACACATCCAATTTTATATTGCAGTTGTATTGGCAATTGCAACTTAACCAGCTTTACTGCTACTTCTAGAGGGAAGTGAAATTACATGCACTAATAAGATTTGTGGAGAAATGGATATGATACATAATACAAGAGCATTCCTTGATGAAACAGCTAATACTAAGTACATATATGGAAATCTAATAAATACATTTTTTACTAAGGATAATTTTTTCAATACTCAATAACAGAATCACTGGGAAGGACCATCTAGGGAGTGTATGCTGTGTTCCTACATCTTTCTGAATTAAAATGGTATTTTTCTCTTTAATGTGTCTTTGGTGAAGGTTCATTGAGACTGGGATGTGAGGAAAGAAAGGACACTCAAAATATTTTTTAGATCCTTTGAGACTTAGTGTCTTCGCAGTGACTTGGATCTAACCATATCAAAGCTTAGGAACTTCTCAGGAATTAATTCCATGATACTGGTAAACTGAACATGATTACTAAGATCTGTGTTTTCTTTTTATCTTATTGGATATCATAGTTTGATTAAAATATTTTGAAGAAACAACTCCAGTCATTTATAGCACTGGTGTTGAATCATGTTGAGTTTCTGAAAGCATCTTCTGTGACCCAAATGAAGAGTAACTAAGCTTTCTATTATCCAGCTTATTGTTGAACAATATTTACTGAGTGTTTGCTTTGTGTTCAGTGCAGCTTGATGCAGTGTTCCTAATCTCAATGAATTATCCCTGGTGTCAATTCTTGCTTAGCATATAAGAGTATCAAAATACAAGTACAAAAGTAAGTAGATATAGATATAGATATAAATGGAAGCACCAAATTAATTATGGCTAATTTCTATCAAACTCTTACTCAGCTCTTTTTTTTTCTTCCCTACCCCTCAGCTCTTATTGGAACTCAATGGCTTTTTAGGGGGAAGCAGACAGTTTGCCTTTTTTCAGAAATGATAGACATGCCCTGACCCACTCTAATTTGCTATTAACAATTTGTTATGCAGCTCTCATCTTTGAATTTATCTAAACCCTTCCTGTGCCTATTTTTACTTTCAGTTCATATAAATAATTGCCATAATAAATTCCACATGTTAACTTATTTGCAGTTAAAAGCTTCCTTTCAAACTTCAGCAATGTTTCCCTATATTTGCTATCACAGGATAGAGTAAAAACTAACATCTCTAATCATTATCCCTACTTCACTTCCATCACTTTCAAATTGTAGCTTTATAATCTTTAAAATTTTCTTGGCATTGAAAACAATAACAACAATAACAACATTTTATAGAAACGATTCATTGAAAGACAACTTTATCTAAATTGTTCAATTCAGCCAACACTTATAGAGTTGATGCTGGTGGCCAGGCACGGGGATGCAAAGTAGAACAAAATGTAGCTCCTGCCTTCCAGGAGCCCTCGATGAGCCAGACAGACAAAGTATAAATGGATTAGCATAACACAAATACAACTGAGTTGTGTAAAATGTTATGGATGGCAACACAGTTGGGAGAGAAATTGCTCCTGAGAGACAGAAATCAGTGAAAGATTCAGAATTGAGGAGATACTTGAGTCTTAAAGAGAGAGAAGCCTTGTCTCAAAGATAAGTAGTGACAAGCAATTAATACGGGGTTAAGGACATGGGGTTTGCAGTCAAACAGAGCTGTATTTGACTCATATTTCTGCTATTTCATAGATGTGTAACCTTGGGAAAATTGCTTTATGTTCTAAAACTAAGGTTTCCTTTGAAGTGCAATGAAGATAATGATGGTGCACTCCTAGTTTTGTTGTGAGAATCACCTGCTATATGTGTGCATGGTTTGAATGTATGTGTTCCTCCGAAATTCATACGTTGGAACCTAATACCCAGTGTACAACATTAAGAGGCTGGGGAGCTTTTGGGAAGCGATTAGATCTTGAGGACTCTGGCCTCATGAATGGATTTGTGCCCTTATAAAAGAGGTTGAAGGGAGCACCTGAATGCCTTTTCACCTCTTCCACAATGTGAGGAAGGAACGGCACACCCTTACCAAACACTGAATCTTCTGGCACCTTGATCTTGGACTTTCCAGCCACCAGACCTGTGAGAAATAAATTTCTATTATTTATAAATTACCCAGCCTATTCTCTTATAGCAGCAGGAATATACTAAAATTGTATTTGAAACCTTTAGCATAGTTCCTGCTACATTTAAGCATTTATGAGATAACTACCATCATCATCATCATCATCATAACCATCATCATTTTGACTATTCAGATAGAGATCCAAGTTCTGATTTCATCCAAAGTCCTTAGAGTGGCATTCAGTTGTCTTTTCTCCTTTCATGGTTCCTAATGAAAAGTATCTGGAGCCTCAACTTTGTGAATGGTCTTCATGAGTATTTACTGGAGGCTGGGGGCTGGGGCTCAGGAGACACTGAGAGAAACACAAAGATGTCACAGAGCATACTACTTAAAGTGTGGGCCATGAACTCTATATTTGAATCACCAAGGGCACTTGTTAAAATTCAGATTTGTAGACCAACCCTGTCTACATACTTAATAAGAGTCTTTGGGATGACACTCCAGAATCTCTTTTATAAGCTCCTTAGGTCAATTCACATACATACCAGCATATGAACATACTTTCCTATGTTGACTTAGCTCCAGTTTGCTCAGGATCTTTTGTTTACTAGAGGTTTCTCCAAAGCCCTGGAGTTCTTCTTTCTTTACAGCTCCTCACCTCAACTTCCTGCCAGAATCATTTATAATGTGATGCAGTTCCCTTGCGTACTCTCTTACCCTCAACTACAGGTTACTCTTAGTGAGACTTCAAATTGTTATGTAGTAGATACTTTGCCTTATCTTCCTGATTAGGCATCATCTAGCTTGATCCACATCTATTTGTAATATATCTATCACTCATGTATTAGATATTATAGATTTCTAATATTTCTGTCTCTATCTCTGACAGCTCACACACGCACACTTCTTTTTGGGCAAAACTCTATAAACTCACACTGACTCCGTATCAGTGAGAAATTCCTGTGTGTTTCTTGTTGTACAAATCTTTATCTGCAACATGATTTTGTCCAAGTTCCTTTCTATAAAAATGATTTTCTGTTCTATTAGTTCTGTTCTAGACTATTAGTCCATTTTTCATTGCTATAAAGGAGTACTTGAGACTTGGTAATCTAGAAAGAAAATAGGCTGACTGTCATAGTTTTACCCTAAGAAGAATAGCGGGACATGGATATGCATGTAGAAAGGCTGCATAGATATCAATTGCAACAGTCTTGTACTTCACCTTTTCTGTCTTAGGGACCATTTATTGGCTACAGAATTAAATAATTATGCCCTAACTCTTTTGTATATGTAAGAATTTTACAACTGTTTGGTGGCTTCTTAAACTGAGAGGTTTCAATCTTTCCAGGAATAGTAGATAAAGATATGCAGAATAACTAGCTGAAAAATCAAAGATCCTGACTTTAAATTTGATGCCTTAAAAGGTGAAGCCGAGAAGTATAGTAAAAGAGAACTTAAATCAGGGTCAAGAGACTAGGGTTGAAGTATGGCTCCAACTCTAATTAGCTATAAGAATAGATCAAATTCACTTTGTATTTCAGGTCTTCAGAGTATCAATGTCAGGGATTGAATCAGAGGGCTTCTAATGTTCTTTCCAGCTTTACCATTCTATGTCCACATAAGTTTATAATTCCTCCCTATTTAGAACTCACTGGGCCGTCAATATCATGGTACTGTAATTGAAGGACAAATTCTTGATATGCACCTTGAAATTAATATTTGTGATTATATATAGTGTTAATTATGATTTTTTTAAAAATTAAGAATGTTAGATTTAACAGTTTATTTGAGAAAATAACAATTCATGAATCAGGCAGCACTCAGAAACAGAAGAGGCTCAGAGATCTTTTCCCAGTAATGGTAACAGTTGGCTTTTTTTTTTTTTTTTTTTTTTTGAGATGGAGTCTCACCCTGTTGCCCAGGCTGCAGTGCAGTGGCACAATGGCACAATCTTGGTTCACTACAACCTCTGCTGGGTTCCAGTGATTCTCCTGCCTCAGCCTCCTGAGTGGCTGGGAGTACAGGTGCCCACCACCATACCTGGCTAATTTTTGTATTTTTAGTAGAGATGGGGTTTCAACATATTGGACAGGCTGGTCTCGAACTCCTGACCCTGTGATCCGCCCATCTCAGCCTCCCAAAGTGCTGGGATTATAGGCATGAGCCACTGTGCCCAGCCAACAGTGAGCTTTTATAAACTGAACATGAAAGCAAAATAGAGAAATCACCTAATTGTCTATAGCTAGGCATCTGCCTTACTTGGGCATGGTGTGATGAGTTGGCTGCATATGATTGATTGAAAACCAGGCTATTTGTTACAAAAATATAATAGTCCTAAGTCAGGTTTTATTTTGTTTACTTACCAAGTTAGATTGTGGTTTGTTAGGTAGGAATTTAAAGTATGAGGACAGGCTCAGACTAATGGTCTCCTGCTTATTTAATGATAAATACAATATTTTTTATGGTATTTATATATTACTTTATAGTTTTTACATTTTATGTTCCCCATTTTTATAATAAAAACAACTCTTTGAGACATGTTTTACAGAATTATTGTCTATTTTTCAAACAGAAAAACTGAAGCTAAGAAAGTTAGATGATTCACTCCATGCCACACTGCTAATACATGACAGAGATAGAACTTAATCTAGTAAACTTTGCTCCATGCCACATAGCTGCTCAGATTTGAATAGAGAAGATAATGTTTCTGCAAGCATAAAGTAGGCTTAACAACTGTGAAGCCAAAACTTCACCCCAAGAAGCACCACAATGAACTATAGTATCTAATGAAGTTAACAAAACTACAACAATCCGTGGCTCTCAAGAAGATGGGCAGATCTGTTCAGGTTGCTAGTTTATAAGATAAAAGTGAAAAGATCTAATATTTGTATACAACATTGTAGTTTTCAAAAGACATGCAAGTGTAGTAATATTTAGAGTGTTTTTTTAAGACTCAAGCAAATTATTATAGGCTGAAACCAAAGCTCAGATAGATGCCACTAGATAGAGAGATTCCAGGTTTTTTGATTCCCAGACTCTAGTCCCACTCCACCACATGGGGTGACCCACCGTCCCAGTTTGCCTGAGACTGACAAATTTCCCAGGACATAAAATCTTCAGTGCTAACTCTGTGAAATTCCCAGGAAAACTGAGATAAGTGGATAACCCTACCACCACATTTTTAAAGTTGACACATAATGGCACAGTTCTCATTTTACACCAGGCAATCAATGGTTAAGTCGACAGGTCTCTGAGATCACTAAGTGACCCATCTTGTTATCAAGATGAAACAGGAATAATAATGATAATTGTGTAACCAAGATCTTGATTATGATACTAATCAAAACATTTGCCATAACAATGTCAATTATCATTAAATAGCATTTCCTTACTTATAATGTGGGAACCAAGCCAACAATATAATAAACCACCCACGATGGAGTGAGGAGATGTTGTCTTTGTTCTGGAAAAGGACCACATAAAACAAACTCTAGAAAATTATTTATAAACTGATGTGATAATTTGTGTGTGTTTTTTAAAATTGTTAGGTCCTTTAAGTGCACTTTTTTAAATTCCAAAACAGAAAATGTCACTCACCCAGAACAGAAATTGACTTTAAAATGTAGCCATTTGAAGACACGGTACTCTCTCCTGTCATAAATAGAAAACAACTTCCTAGAGTTTTTATTTCTGTTACTTCTTTTGTGACACTTTATATAGTTATCAAATGCTTTGAAACTACCCTCAGACTATAGATGTATTTTGCTTTTGTAGTCTCTCAATTCTAATATCATTGATGAGTTTATTATAGTACTGAGCTCTTTTTAATCCCTGTCAACTTAGATTAAGTCAAATTAGTTCTCATTTCAATATTGACAAAGATCTTGTTTGACAGCAAGAGTGACCTCTGGTTTCCTCCCAGGGACATCTTGTCTACAGAATAAATCGTCAACTTTTTCTTAGAGGATGGCTTAGACATCTTAGGTGTTTCTCCTTAAAGAGAGTCAGAGAACACGAGGGAAAGGGCTGAAAATCATGGCTCAGGACGTCTAAGTTAGACACAAGGAGGGACTACCTGGTTTAATGTTTGGGAAATCCTGGGATTTATTCCTAACTTATGCCAAAGAGTTTCCTTACATGGAAATACTGAGTGAAATGTATTTAAAAAAAACAGGTAGATTTGAGAATAGTTCTGACCAAAGTTGTAGTGAATCATAAAAGTTTGATTGGAAGGCAAGCAGTGAAGTGTGGGATAAGAGATTCATGGGAAGAAGGGAGCGGTCACATTTGAAAAGGTTATGCTGTCATGCATCTCTAGATTTGAATGTGTTTGAATCTACATTCAAAGCTGAGTAGCATCTCAAACCAGCTTCTTTCAGTCAGGCTGCTGAATTTCTAAACTTTTAAATTGTTTATATGAGAGTTTTTTTTCTGTTTTCTTAATAAAATATGGGAGTGAAAAGAATGATGGACATTATTAATAACTAGTTGCATGCCCTCATTTTTTTAGACAAGGATACTTAGGCTCAAAGCTGTCAAATGATTGACTCTACTGGGGATTTGCAGAGGAGTTCTGAATCCAGGCTCCTTGTCTCCTTTTACCATGCCTTTACATTGATCATCTCTTCTGATCCCATTTATTACATCTAAGAGGTGTTTTCCCCTCACTGTGTGGCAGTCTTACTAACTATACAAATAATCACAGCAGGTTGGTGGACTAAAACAAGTTACATCATCTGTCCCATAGAGTTTGTATTCTAGGTTGGAGGCCCTGGTAGTGCTCTGAGTCTCTAGTCTACCAAGTTTTTGATGTTCTTGATGCTGATATCTCCTCATTTCACTTGTGCTCAGAGTGAGGGGACCACTTCGTTCTGCAGAGTTATTAGGAAATAAAATGTGTATCCCCAAATAGGAAGCACACAAAGGCTATGAAGCAAACTGTGTGAATAGACACAAAGTGTGCTACAACATAATAAAATTGATTTTGAAAAGAGATATAACAGAAGGTAGATGTTCAAATGAATATTATTCTGTGTATCCAGTCAAATGTTGTTTGCATAGTGTTGGGGTCCCACTTTAAAAGGCACCATCAGTTTCAGTTTCTTGAGGCATAAGGGCTATCAGTTTGAGAATTATAATCACATCTAAATTTAAACAAAAGAAAATTGCTACCAAGAAGGATCATCCATCTTTCTGCAGATTTCTGCCCTGCTCATTTCTATCCTGTTACATGCTGTGAGCAAAATATTTTTGCTTAATTCAATCAAATTGAATGTAATAGATGAAGAGTTGATGCCAGACAACTCTTCACTATTACTCAAAGTTAAATGTTTTCACGGAGAGTACATGTGAACTACTGAAAAGAATGCATGGTCTAAAAACATTCACAGAGAGGAATGACAAATGCATTTGCAATAATTGGGAAGCATTTTTTGAATGTTTGCATCACTTCAGAGTGACAGATTTGAAAGGTAACATTTTTTGGTTCTGGTGTATTTGTTGAAACCTCAAATTGTATTTGCATGATAATTTTCAAATTGTTTATGTTGAAATATGACAGGTTTGTCAAGAGAGTTAGAAAATATGTTAACATTTCAATCTTACCAGGCTCTGACAATTATAGCAGTGACTTTAAATTAAAGGTTTGATTACATAATCTTGTTTTTACTTGTTTAAAAAATATACAATAAAATTGGTCTTTGATCTGAGATCAGGAATTATAGACTCTAGTTGGTCGAATATCCACATTTTGGAATGTAATTATATTCAATCATCCTGTCTAGATTCAGATATTTTTAATGGCTGGGATGGATGTATTTGATTAAAATAACACTCAGATAAATTAACTACTTCTTAATTTGTAGTTTGTTAGACAGAAATCACTCAGCCTCCAGAGTTTATTCAAGTGTTTCTCAAAAGGCGTGTGTAGGCACTAGAGAAAGATACATTTTGTGTGTGTGCAGAGTTGCAGTGAGCCCTGGCCACACACTAAAAACCAGAAGGACTCAGGCAAAAGTGTGATAAACGAAAATGCTCCACACATTTCCAAACATTTATTGGTGGCAGGAGAGGAGGTACTGACTGTTGTTGAAAACTTCTGATCAGATAAAAATAATATAAATTGTGAAAAGATAAAGTAGAGATTATTAGTAGTTGTGGGGCCTGGAGCAAATTATTTATCCCTGGACCTCAGTTTCTTCATTTGTGTAAAAAGGTTAAAAATAAGGAACCTCATAACATTATTATTAATGTGATGATAACTAATGTGATAATGCATATAAAATTCCTGGTGAATCTTCTCATAAATAATAGGCAAAGAGTATATAATTAATTAATTGCTATTGCTTCTTTCTTTTCCTAATTTTAAATTTTCTTTTCAAAGAAAAGACTAGACTTCATTGCTGGGCAAGCAGGGCTGTTGTGGCAGATGCATCTGGACATGAAACAAAGGGCCTCAGAAAGTGGGATTGGGGATGTAGCTGTTCTAGAAATGGAATATCCTCCTAAAGCAGATTTGAGAATTTCACTTGGTTGCAACTTACATGCATAGTTCACTTACTGAACATTTAATTCTCACTTGAAAAGTAAGTTTTTCATGATGTCCAGCAAAAAGTTTCCTATGAAGAGGTTTTATCTGTTGCAGACTGGTTGTGACCAGCAGTAACCTCTGAGGAGCTGATATGACCCTCAGATTTAGATATTTCAAACAGCTCTTCCTGATAGAAAGAAAAAATTAGACTGAGTAGTTACTGGTCATTTTTCTGAAAATTTGGCTTCTAGAGAAGCAGCAACCTTAGGTAGGTGTCTTTGCAAACTCTCATGCATGTTAGTTATTTGTCAGTTTTAAGTGTTATAAATGCTAGATTATCTTATCTAATTCTTCAATTCTGTGTGTTTTTCTAAAACACAATATCATGTACTAGAAATATTGGAAGCATTTTTTCCCCAATAGTGTTTAGCTTGTTTTAACTTCTTAAACCTGAAACAGTTTCCCAGAGATTCCAAAGTGCATCAAATACCAGTGTCTGGTTCTTCATTGCCTCTTCGAATATACCTACATAAAAAGGTCAAAATGTTCTCAGCTGTCAGTGTCTCCTTCAAAATGGAAGCAGCCCAGAGAAGAAACTGTTCGCTACAGGATTCATTGTTTCCAAGATTCAATAAACACTTATTGAAAATCCACTTGTGCTAGGGCAAGGTCAGGAAAACCAGGACCAGTCACATGGACAAGCTAGTGAAATAGATTAAGAGTAATAGTAGTAAAAATGACTCTAGTAATAATGTTTATTGACTCAAATGTTCTAGGCAGTTTTTCTGAGCACATGAAAGTATTAACCAATTTAGCTCTCCCATTAATTCTATGAGGGGGTTATCATTATTGTTTCTGCTTTACAGATAAGGGATTGAGCCTCATGGAATTATATTAATAACTTATTTTGTGTCAGGCCAAACAATCATTTAATGATGGAGACAGGATTTGAAACCAGGCAACTTGGTTCAAGACTTTAGCCCACAGAAGGGCATGATTTGCTGTCTAGAGAACCAGAGAGGGAGGTTCCACAGAAGAGATACCAAAAGATAAATGGGTGTCCTCCGGGCAGGTAAGAAAGAAAATGGTATTCTAGGCAGAGGGAACAGAATTTAAACAGGCTTACAAAACACAACACGAAGTATACTGTGGCACTCAGTGCCAACTCAGAAGGATAATTTGAGAAAGTTTAATACAGGAACTGGTTTAATAGAATGGGTGAAATTTCAGGAAACCAACAATGGGTGATACAATGCCCCTAGGGGCTAGTAATAGCAGGGAGTTATTATCACCTCAAGGCCTAAAAGGAGCCTTTAGTAGAGGAATGTAGCTGACACACAGCAACCTAGCATGGGGGGAGCAGGGAATACATCCCCAGATTCACTGCCCACTCCCCAACTCTAAGCTTCTACCTGTGCTGTCCACTGGCTGAAACCAGCTGGAAACCTGAAGGCCAATGAATCCCTGAATGCTGTCCATAAGGGTCAGCCTCCCTGGGTGAAGAGCCGGGTAAGTATTGTGCACAGTGGATCTGGACAGGCAAATGGACAACCTCCGGAATACAAAACCAATAAGTTATGAAAAAGTTTTGGCAAATTTTTGAATTGTTTTGGACAACTTAACTTTTGAGTAATTTCCAAAGGCCAAGTGCATTGACTGACAGTAGAAAACCTATGTCTTTCCCTGGAGAAAGATCATAAAACCATAGTTAGTTATGTTTGATGGAAATCTGTTCCCAGATGTTTCTGAAATATGATCCCATACAAATACAGTAGTAACTTAATACTAGCTCACACTGAGGAGGTTCGAAAGCAAACTTTTCTCAATTGCCCTTAACTTAATTAATATTTTCATAATTAGCCAGGAGACTTCCTGAGTGAAGATGAGATAGATGAATACTTTCAGCTATTAGTGAATTATCTGGGCACAGAAACAGCCCTGTGTTTCTTTCAGGCAGAAAAATAAAATAATTTACTTTCATCTGCTTCTAATTCAAAAGTAGACAGAGTGAATTTGATTCAATATCATAAAAAAATCACCTTTGGCTGAGATCATGCATGGAAAAATTCAACCCCAAAGGACAGAATGTTGGAACAAAATATGCAAGCAAAAAAGTGGGCTGAATAAAAAGGAAGAAAGAATATTCCAGTTGAAATCTACAAATAATATGAGCTTACCTATTAATGTTCACTTCTGCAAATAATCTAAGAAGATGATTACAGTGCTACCACCAAGGAAGATGGAAGACCTACCCCTATGGACAAGCTGTTCAGAGCTTGGGTAATTGAACTACTGAATAATAAATATAATAGCTAACATTTGTATTTGTCCAGACAATGTAAAAAGCACACTCTCTCTAAAAGGTAAGTTATTATTAGCTTCAATTTATGTATAAGGAAATTGAGGTTTATAGAGATTAAATGAGTTTTTCAGGATTCCATATCCAATAAGTGATATTGTTGAACCATGGACTCAGGTCTTTTTGACTCTACAGGCGAGCACATTTATTTAAGAAAGGGAGAATAAATGTCAGGGTAACACTACAATAGGCATACTGATCTTCAGTGATGTAAATTAATTGATTCAGATATCCAGTAAACTTGAAAAGACAGCTGATGACTTACCACTTCTGTGGTGGATATACAGTGTCTTTCTTCATTTTGTTTCTAAGCTTTATGCATTTCCTGAGTAGAAATCAGAACCACTGGTAGACTGTAAAACTGCTAAGATAACCAAAGCTAGGCCAAAAGCACAGCATTTTTTTAATGTGGGATATATGAGCAACCGTGATTAGCCCAAGGCTGACCTTGACTTCAGTAGTGATTCACAGAGAAAGTTTCTTAGAGAAAGGTGCCTCAGGAACTTTGTGCAGTGAGACCTACGCTTGTCTTGTAAGCTAACAAGGTTCGTAGTATTCCCTGGTATGCCTATTTCTCATAAAATGGTGATCAATCAACAACTAGAGGTGAAAATATGTACTAAGCCTAGTAGACTTGGGGTCAATCAATTAATACGGTTAAAAATATGTATTAAATCAATTAAAATCTCAGACTAAACCATCTCTTGAGGTTAAGGTATTTTCATTTATTCCTCTTGTCTAAAACTAGGAATCCCATATATCTTCTATTCTGGGATTAGGTAAATCTGTCTTGAGCTTATAAAAAGCCCTCACAACATAATAGTTATTGAGTTATTGACTACATGTGGTAAATGTTTCCATGTTCACCCAATCCATATTTTTATGGCTAATTGACCCTAATCAGTTCCCCATTCAGATTTTATATTTATATACAGTATTAAAGAACACTTATTAATATATGAAGTATTCTTGTGTCAGGAAAGTAGTGTATTAAGTCCATCCTTCTTTTCTTCTTCTTTGCTCTGATATATTATATATATATATACATATATCTGATATGTATATACAAATATATATATATTAGAATAGAAAATGTCTAATTCTTTGGGACATAAATGTATATATACACACATACGTGTGTGAGTGTGTATGAATGTGTGTGTAGGAGAATGTGTGTGTGTATGTGAGTTTGTGTGATTCCTATTGGTCATGGCATGCAGAGATAAAAGGCTAGGCAGCACTCTGAGGCAGTGGGGCTGCAGTATATAATTATGTACCCCACTCATGACAAAATAACCTAGAGGGGCAAAGGGATGGTCTACAAAAGAACCACCCTCACCAGGAATGCTGGCAGGAGAGGCAGGGAGTGTCTTCTCTTTGCTTTTTATAGCAGGTTATACTCCTAGTATCTTGCAGGTACATGCATTGAGGCAAATCCCTCAGGCCTGTCTGGGGAGTGTGAGGCAATCTAGAATTCGAGGGGACCATTTGGCCCTGACATCAGGCCTCCTGGTCTGCTTTGGTGTTGCCTCGTTATTCTACTGAATCCTTCAAGAATTTGTAAAAACAGAAGCATTGTCTCCAAAGGAACACACACTAAAGTGTACATTATGCTACCTATGAGGGAAAGATGAATCCATTGTTTGTATATAAACGTGAGCTGATTTTCAGGATGATCCATGGTGTCTCATGCGTGGGAGCTTGGGAGTTGGGTAGAATCCTTGTCTGAGGGTTGGAGGCTCTCTTGAAGGAGGCACACAGAGACTACTGAGGGAGCTAAGCCTGGAATTGTGCAAGCCTTCATATGAAGGAAAAAGGAGAGTATTCCTTGTCTATTCTTGTAGACAAGGAATGGGGAGTCAGGGTTTGCCATTGTATGTTTAGAAAATAGAAAGAGGATGAATTAATAAAAGAGTCAGGGATGAGACCAGGCAAAAAGGAGCTTCCCAAAGAACTACTGAACCTCTTTTTCTATTTCCCAGTTTTACTTTTGTTCAGTCCTGTCTGTAAGGGCAGTATGGCCTCTTTGGTAATTTATGACTACAAGTGTGTTTCTTTATTTAATGTTTTTTAGTAAAAGGAGGTTGAGCGTTAAGAGATATGAACTCAAATACTATTTCTCTCTAACTTTGGGACTTTCCATTTGATCACTCCCTCAGCTTGCACCTTTTAAAATTATGATTAACATCTGCCCTATCTCAGTATTGAAAGGCAAAAAAATGTGAAGTGACTTTGAAAAGTATAAAGCGTTATATGGGTGTAAGAGTAAGTATGATTTCAAAATTTTCCTTCAAATTCTCTTAAGATTTTTGTAAGACTAGTTGATCACTATACACATATTCTATTTGTACAAAATTTGCTGTGTTGACTGCATATATGTGTACGTATGAACACAAACAAACATATGCACTTAGTTTCCTCTTTCTCCTTATTTTAAAAATCATTATTATCGTTTGATAGGAAAAAGACAGAAAAACATTTTATAAGAGTTTAAGCAACAGAAATATAGGAAAAGATAATATATGAAAATAAACTAGACAACGAACATTTTTATAAGTAACTTTAAAATCTAAAGCACTTATAAGTTATTTGCTTTTGAGGTTTTTTAAACGAACCATCTAAGAAAGTTAACTTTTTTCACTTAATTTCCTACAGTGGGTCTCCATAGGAAATAATTGGAACAATCTATGGAACACTTTTTTTCTGTAGCTTCTAAGCTCTTTTGTAAAGTCAGTAGCAAAACTGCCTCACCAACAAAATATGAATAACCATTTCCGTTTCACTCCTATAATCTGTTATTTACTCCAGAGTCAATGTATTATCAAATGTGGAATCAGCAGTTCTCTTATATGTAATTATAATGGCAATGATTTAACCCAGCTCATCTTATTTTCAAGCTGTCGACTCTCAGGGATATGGTACCGGTGTATGATGAGCATTTTAGAGTAGTTCCCTCAGAAATGAGAGACTCATGCAAAATATAATCGATGCAAGGAATTTTTCTTTTAAAAAGTTAAGACAAATAAAAACATGAACATGAACTTTAAAAAAGAATTTACTTAAAATATATAATCTAGTATAAATTTAATGTATGGGGTTGTGAAAATAATAATACACTTTTAGAGATGAAGTATTCAAACAAGAAAGCAAGGATGTAAAGAATGATAGGACAGATGGAGTAAGGAAAGTAGGCATTACAGAAATGTAGAAACTAGGCAAAGGCTGAGATACTCCTGTAGTGTAGAATGTAAGGCTAAGTGTGTATTTATGTATACTTGTATTGTATTGCATAATTAGGAGCTGGGACTCTCAATTAAATAGCACTGTGACCTGAGTAATAAGAGTGTTTATTTAACTGGTTAAGTTTATTGGATTTAAATATTCATGAACTGACACAACTTGATTATGACACCTTCTTTACAATTGTGATACAGAGTTATCTACACATACTTAAAGGATGGATGAATTATTCATGTCTGGGCAGCCCCACTGTTGAGTGTCTGGCTGCTTGATAGATATGAGTACTCCAGCCAGTTGGCCCAATACATAAACAGCATTTAAAGTCAACAGGACCCTTACCTGGTCCATGTGCTAATATTGCATGGCAGATACCTGCTGATGCAGCATTATTCTCCCTCATCAATTAGAATAGAAAACGTCTAATTCTTTGGGACATAAAAGATGCCCAAAAGAAACTTGGCATCCTTCTCTGCTATCCACAGGTACAATTTCCTGTTCAGAAAGGCAAGTGTTGGTAATTCATAATTCCTCTTCATGGTACTGATATTTTCCCATTCTCCCCTACTGGATCTTGGGGGTTAGAAGGTGACATTAAAACTTGTGTGTATCCTATACTTACCTTGCCTAACTGTGTACAGTCTTAGTTATTCAGAGGAAAGATAATCTGTTTCTAAATCCATCTCTGGACTAGAAAGTTAATGCATACTCTGCTAAAGCATATTTGTCAATTTATTACACTGTGGAAATTCAACCACTGCTTTAGGATATTAAAGGTAACACTATGCTCTGCTATCACTATTCAATATTGGGGATACTATGGTAAGAAGTTGGATGGTGTATTGCAGCTGGCCTTTAACATAAGATTTAGGTTCTGCTATTTAGTGTTTATTTATTTGGCAATTCACTTAATCTATCCAGGATTGTGGACTCAATAATATTCTCATTTCAAGGATATGGGAATTATAATAATACCTATATAATGAGTTCTCTTGGAAATCTATGAAGCATTAACAAATCTGCTTTATTAGCTCTGAAGCCTCACAAGGCAACAGAAATCATTCTAAAATGTCCCCAGATGGTCATGTTGCATCCTTTAGTGTGGAATATGTTAGTCAAGTTTTGCACATTACAGAAGTTTTCATGCATCACAAAATCAAAATGTTTATAGCTTCACTCCTCTTGTGTTATTTATTTTCAGAGGTTTCTTAGATCCATTCAGTTTTTTAACCATAATTTTAACAGCCTTCAAAAAACAAACATTAAAATATCATGTTCCATGATCAAGCTATGAATGTCTCTGGTGCTTACATATCAAGATGTCCCAGCAGCAGCACATAATAGGTGCTCAGTAAATAAATTATAAAGAAATTTTGGGAAGAGGGTAATCAGAGCATGTGTCCTTGATTCTTTCTCCCTCCTATGGTCATCATGAGGCATCACTAAAGAAAGTGTGTTTGGTACCCTGGAGGCTGGGCCTGAGCATTTGGGTTCTAAGGAAATAGACGGTTCAGCATTTGAGTTTTAGGTAGGCAGAAGCTAGGATTCCAGTCCTAGAGAGGAGACCTTTTTTGTCCCTGAAGACCAAGGAGAAGTCTAGAATTCTGTACCTTCCCGAGTGTTTAGTTGATAAGATGCCCTCCAGCAAATAAATGTTCCATCATCCTAGGGAGACTTGCCAGTCCAGGTGACCTTGGAGGGAATGGGGAGCAGCAATGTGAGTGGGTTGAGTTGCTTCCAGCCTCTGAGATTAGGAGAGGGCTGCCACACATTCCTAGGAGGTCCAGGAGCAGAAAGCCTCAGCAGAGGGTTAACTACCAATTTGTTCTCTGATTGTCCATAAAGATAGAGGTTGTATTGTCTTTCCCAATGTTCTGATTTTTCACTGTTTGATTTGACTTCTCGAGGCATATATACCATAATGAGACAAAGACAAATTACAATTAAGGGCATTAACAATCTGATAGAAGACTTATCTGATTGTCTGGAATGGCAGCCCCTCCATTGAAACACAAACAATGGAAATGTCAATCGAGAAATTTTATTTAAAAAATTGAACTCTTAAGTGAGTAAATTGGAATATACACACACAAAATGCTTCTGTTTAGAATTTAGGAAACATAGTCCATGGCTTTCAAAATCCAAAAGGTGATTTTAAAAAGAAGACAGAACTTGTTGAAAACGGGTGTGGTAAGCTGGCAGATCAATGGAAGAAAAAGCTCAGGCCACAAACAGGCAAAGATATGGAATTCATGAGAAAAGGTGAGAGACTGAGAGGGCAGGTTCAGCACTCACATGCAAATAATGAGTTCCAAAGAGAGATAAAGAATAGAGAGAGGAAGAGCAATACTTATGTGGATGATAAAAGAAAATTTTACTAATGTCAAGAGGGACTTAAATGAACAGATTGACTGAGTCAACTTAATCTTAGGCAGAATTAATAAAAGACACTATTTCGGGATATTCCTGAATCTATGGAAAAGAGCATGTGTCATAAGCTTCCACCCAGAAGAACAAGTCACTTACAAAGAAAAGATCAGACTAGCATCAGATTTCTCACTTATAATCTTGAAAGCCTTAAGATCACAAAATGATAGTGACTACTTAGAACAGAAGGAGACCAACATAGACAAGATGACATTTATCTGAGGAAAAATTCAAGAAAATATTTTAAATAATCAATAAATGATTCATAGTAGCAAGGCATAAATGAAGAATACTAATAATATTGGCAAGCAAGAGGTTATGTAATTCATAAGTTAATATAAATGGCTGGGAAATGTTGAAACAACTTGGTAATGTATTTGTTAGATAATGGTTTTTGAAACAGAAGAGGCATTATATGAGGGGAGAAAATAAAACTAATAGCCTGGAACCAAAGTTTAGCTTAGTAAAATCTAAGAGTTGGGATATAGGAAAATGACTCCAAAAGTAATATTCTGTCTTGCTGGGCTGCAGTAAAATAAGGAAGAGTAAGAAGACTAACTCTCATATTGAAATACAATCATAATAGTTAATATAATAATTATATTAATTATGTTAGGAATAGAAGAGTCATAACTAATCACAATAAAAATTATAGTAGAACTTCCAAATTATTAAGAAGAAAAAAGGGAATGAACAAAAAGTTGATTAAGCTGAAAAATATACGAAAGGGTAAAAGAAAAAAAAACATAGTGCATACTAAACATATCATGAAAAGGGTAAATTCACTCATTTAGTTATTCCACTAAAAATGAATGGGATGAAATCCTCTTCCACCATACAGGAGGCATGAATAGTGGTCATGTAATATTGATATTAAGCTACTAACATGAAGACAAGGAAATATTTTGTTAAATTAATTAACTTATATGTGCAATTTCCTGGATTTATCTCCCTAGGTTAGTTAATATATACACTATGCCATGCAACCCCTTTTGTGAGTGTAGCTATTTCTATTGTGTGCCTTCTCAGTAGGGAGTAGTCCCTGTGTCAGACCTTTGGAGTAGACTTCGCTCTCCAAAAACAGCCCACAGGTGGGATTTTGGGCAATGGGACACAGGGACCACACTTGAATTTGGTGTCAAGTAGGCCAAGATCCCAAAGCTATCTGTGCCCTACACTTGCCTTATAGTTTTATACAAGTGACTTCACCTCAGTGAGATTCTGTTTTCTCATCTGATGTCACAAATGCTTACAGTCGTTGTGATAATTGCACTTGTTGATGCATATGGAATATTTTGGAAATTTCTGGACATAGCAGGAAGTCAGTGAATAGCAGCTATTTTATTATTTTCTTCCTTTTCTGGTCTGCGAGACTCAGCTAATATGCCTTCACAAACAAAATTCACAGATTTGGGTAAGCCACATCATTAAGACTTGACACAGCCAGGAAGAGTGTGGAAAGAAAGGAACACACATACTCTAGAGATCTCCCCAAACCTTAGAGTACAGCAAAAGGTGCACCTGCCAGAACAATGTATTTCATGCCAAATTGCATATGTTCAAATGCAAAATTTCAAATTCAGCAGTGTCTATTCAAACCCGCTTTAATGTTCTTCTGAACATTCTTGTTTGGTAGTCAACTGTGCTCCATTTTCAAGTATAGCGATGACAATAATTTGTATGTCATAGTTACAATATTCCCTGAATGCGATTACTCATCATGATCATTGAATAGTTTACCCTTTTCTCTCTTCCCCTTTGCTGTGACTTTTAAATTTTTCATTTTGTATATATGTTTTAAAACTGTGTTTTAGAAGTTCATCTACTAACAGTAGATTTTTGTTATGCATAATATTCTATTAAAAAGGGGATCTCAAAGGCAAATAAAACATACTCCTTGATCTTACAAAACTCAGGCTATGATGAGAACACAAGCAAAGAAACAAATTTATTACAGAAGATGCTAAGATAGGGAGAAACTCGGGTGCTAGGAGAGCATGAATGAGAAGTCTTTAACTCAGACTGGAGAATTAGCAAGGGAGTCATCTGTGAGTCTAGTCTTGAAAGAGTGTTAGATTTAGAAAGATGGAGTGGGGTGGAGTGGAGTAGAGAGATTGGAAGGCTGAAAAAGATGGCAAAGGAATAATGAAAGCAAAAGGCCAACACTTATCGATAGGTCTGTTGAGTGCTTGTGAATGTTGATTTTAAAAAATAATAAAAGACTCCTTACTGGATGCTTCTGGCATTGACTATTCCAAAGGCCCAGGACTCATGGATCTTTCACTATTTTTTAACCAGAAGAATCTGTGATTCTGATTTCATTTGACAAAGTTCCTGGGGTTTTTGCTTATTTGGGGACATGTTCCCCTGAAGGAAGAAAATTTAGGACCTTAGGGGTGGGGAGAAACAAGTAGTTTTGAAAGCATCACATTTGTTATTTTCCCAAATGACAATCATTACCATAGACTGAGTTCTCACAAATGCATCCCCTCTCTGTCTTCGAAGTCGATCACTAAAGAGATCCACATCTTCTAGTTCTACATATCACCTTTTTAGGAGACCAAAGACCTCTGCTTCATTTTTCCTGGATCCATTTATCTTGGCCAGTTTTCAGTTTTTAAACCCTCCACTCTAGTGGCACCATGGAGTTTTCCCAGTTGGCTGAAAGTCTTTAGTGTTGGGGCTTGACTTTCAATTTATCTATGCTTACATTTTGTTTTCATTTGTCACATGATCTCTGGCCAAAATCCCTACATTCCTATGTCATGAGAAAGCTCACTCATGGTCACAATAATAGATTTTAGGCTTTTAAATCAACTGTCAGGACCAGAAGGTTCAAAATTGATATACAATTAGAATACTTATTGGCCAATAAAGGTCTTCTCCTCTTATCTTGAGGTGTCAAAGCTGGTATATTTAAGACTACAAATTAAAAATTTGGAGGGAAGAAGGAAAATAAAAATAAATTTTATTATACTGGTAATTTTATGAAAAGTCTACAAGCTTTTATGCAGAATAATGTGACTTTCGTGCACAGAAAATATTCATTAAAATGTGTGTGTGCACACATACACACATGCACACTACAAAACAACAAAAGGATTAACCTTTTCTGGGATAAGGCAACAAAGTACACAAGCATCATATGGGCTATGCAAACCATGCAAATTATTTAAACATTTTTTGGTGTTTTTAAAGCTACAAATTATAATCTCAATAGATATCGAAATTAATTATGTAGCTCTTCTAGCTTTCCTCTCTTTGTGGAAAGAACCTACACCTCTTCTTTCTCTGATGTGCTTCAACAATTGTTCACATGCCCTGAAGTGTCAGATGTCATCATCTAAAACATTTTTGCATCAGACTGAAGTCAGTTTGATCACAGTTTGGGATCATAGTTGTTTTGGTAGGGTGTGCTCCCCTGTAATTTCTTTCACCTCTTTAATATGACTGCAGTTATGTGCAGGGCTTACCCATTAGTGTGGTCTCCTGAAAAGTTCTGGGAGCAGGTTTGTTAAATCTTTTGCTTTCCTATGGGATGCAATTGGATAAAATGGGAGATTTATTCCTTCATTCGTCCTGGGTACAGAAAATAAAAGGCAGGAGCACTGAAGTTCTAATGCTAAGGCCCACATTTTTTCTTTCTATATACTTCTGCTTCACCTGATTTTACATCTTCTAGCATTTATATACGTTCCTAGGAAAACCTTGTTGTTTACCTTCTGAGCAATGGTCAGTCAGTAAAATCTTTAACCTGGAGGCAGACTAAGCTGTCCCTAAATGATCAGGGCAGCTCCCCACAGCACTGAGGAGTGCAGGTGGCCGTTTCAGCTGACAAAAATTTTCATAGGCCTTACAGGTAATTATAACTTTATAGATTGACACTAGACCTATAAAATGATGCTGAATCCTAAATAATAGAGGAGAAGAAGGAGGAAATGTCTTAAGTAAGTCTAGATTGTTACCAACTTGGTGTCAACCCTTCTCAAATTCGGAGTCTTGGCAGCTTTGAAATTCATAGTGGTGGGTGGAGATGATGCTGATGGTGCTGTATTGATCAATAACAATACAAGATTTTATCTGGGAAATGCTTCTTATTAAAAGAAGGAGTGTTCTGGGAAATGAAGAAATTTCCAAAGACCTCCTGGTTTGTCAAATAAATAAATGAATGAATAAATAACTGAATAAGAAAAAATCCAGGTTGAAGGGCAATTCAGTCAAGTTACCCTAATGTAGCCTGTATTTTTTTCTATTCAAATGTGTTTGCCCCGAAGCTAAACAGCCAGCTGTGTTCTGCTGGGTGATGTATGAAGCAGAAAGAACACTGTCTAATTTTTATATCCAGTTGAGCCTGAAGTACCTTGAGATGGGAAGAGAGGTGGCTCATCTCACTCCCACTCAGGAATTATTATTCATGCAAGAATCACTCCTCAGTTATCTGGTAGCCCTCCCTAATTCCATTAACCCCTCAACCACTGGGTAGTAAACAGGGGGAAATTGTGATCTAATTAAAATTAATTGGTTGCATGACAATTAAGAAGGAGTTTTTGGGTTTTGTTTTATTTGGAGGGGTGGTTGTGTTTTATTTATTTGGTATTTCCTTTTTAGGGAGGGATAAATATTCTCTAGCTCTCTTTTCATACATTTATTTCACGTTTAATTTGTTTTAGAATAGTCACCTGTATTGGGGTTAAGTGCTTATGTAAATGAGGAAGTGTAGCAGAGTACTTATTTAGCTATCTCCTTAGGTAGAAATCCTCATTGGAAGACCCCTTCACCTGGGCGATTTAGCTCAAACAACAACCCTTTGGCTTTTATGGGATTCTGAGAAATTGTTGGTTAGACTTTTGCTTCCTCACTCACCCCACAAAACACTTACATAGAACCATTTAGAAATGATCTCAGAAACAAAATCAAGTGCACACAGAATTAAATAAAGGGCTCCTTGCTTTTGACAAAGACCAAACAGAGAGTAGGCTGCTGAGTTGGATATAGATAATTATTAATTAACATTATATTTACATGACTGTGGAGTCAATTGAAATAATGTTTACAGTGTGTTTTCGTAGCATTTATAGAGTTAAAAAGGAGACTGAGGCCATACCAATATAGTGAAGAAAATTGAGATTCCAGCAGTGATTCTAGTGCACTTAGTCTACTAAGCCAAAAAAAAAAAAAAAATAGGGTTGCAGTATGTTTGATCCAATTGTGAGGTAAGGTATTGAAGATTGCATGCAATACTTAATAGGTACTAAAAAAAGTCTGTAAATTTCATAGCCATCTGTAGATAAGAACTTGTAGAAACTCAGATGTTAAAAGAAAAGTGACATATGGATCTTAAAAAAACACTGCTGCATTCTAGTTCACCAGCTACCAGGTACTCCCAAGCCATGCCTTCCCCTGTGTTAGGGAGGTGAATGGCAAGGAGGAAAAGCTTGCCATGGCCCAGCTTTGTTAGGGATGCTATACACCACTTACTGCTTCCAGAGAGAAGCAATAAGTAATAACAGATTCCTCAAGCACAGTCACAGTTCCAAATAAACTGTGTTTGGTGCATCAGGAAACAGAATGACACTCTATTGGTTGAGAGCATGAATTCTGGAGACAGACTGACTGGATTCAGTTCTATCCCTGTGTGACCTTGGGTCAATAGCGTAACTTCTCTGTGCCCCAGTTTCACTATCTATAAAATCATGATATAATAAGACCTACCTCATACATAACCATGTGAATTAAATGAGTTAGTATTTGTAAGGAGCTTAAGATAGAGCTTGACACATAGTAGTGTTATTTTTTAAACTTTTTATTTTGAAATAAGTAATGCTCTCTGATGAGCTGGGTATATATTATTTTTGTTATTGTGTTGCTGAGTTTAAGTCAATGCCTTACACTAAGTGAAATCCCTTTAGCTTAAGTCTCATCTCATTTGTGAAGAAGTTCCTGGCCATTTTATCCCTCCCTCAATGATTCCCCATATATCTGAACTGAAAAGGGGAATTAATATTTGCTGAGCACTCACAACGTGCTTGAAATTTTACGTGTCACCTTCTATTTCTCACAATAACCCCGCAAAGTGGGTATGATTACTTCCACTCGACAGATGAGAAGACAGAAAAAAGTAACTTCACCTCTTCTCTTAGACTTAATTTGAGCATATATAAAATGAGGACAATGATACTTTCCCCTCAGAACATTCAATGAAAATGACTTATAAACCATAAAATTATATGACTTTATAGTTCTGAGAGAGAAATATTACTGTTTTGTATCACAAGTTAGTTTAGCTTTCTGGATTGTCTCTGATTTAAAGAAGCCAATAGTCCCTACTTACAGACGGTGCATATAATGCGTAGTAGAAGCCCTTAGGGACCCCGTAGTTGGTCAGTGCAGGTCAGAGTATAGTTCCCCGAAATTTCCATGGCATTCCTCTTCAGCAGCTTCCTCCTCCACAGAGATATGGCTGCCTAGTGGCTTCTCTGTGTGGTCATAAGAGGAGTCAAAGGACTTTGGCCCCCGGCAAAGAAAGTGGAAATGAAATGGAGTGGGGTGCGGTGATCATAAATTCTGTCCCCTCAATATTTCTGGTCCTCCTTAGCATTGGGTTAAATTAGCACCTGCATGCTTGAGGTCAGGTGTGGTCATATGACTTGCTTTGGACTGTGAAAACCGATACACATCACAACCCATGAAGGTCTTATAGATGAGCAAGATTCTATAAGCCTTGTTGTTTTAGGCCATTCACTTTGGGGTATTTGTAACAATAGCATAACCTAACCTATCCTGACTAACACAAGTGGAAAATGTGTCCCTTGATATGATGTATTTGGAAGTTCTATAGTATTAAAATAAGGCAGTTGCTTTTGAGATCTGTCAGTTGAGCTTGGGGAAGTTGTTGGGGACATAGGAAAAGAGGAGAGAGAAGATAGTGAATAGAAGGATCTAAGTCACCCAGGTTTTAAGTGGCTACCCTAGCTTGAGATTAGGTGCCTGGTTCTTTGGCAGGCATTTGTCTTTGATACAGAGCTGGGCGTTTTTCCTATAGAGGTCACCTGCTCTCCTGATTTTGCCACCTTCTATTAATAGCACAGTAATTCATTTGGGAAAATAAAAGGCAAATGGCAGGTGGTGAGAACATATTGAAAAACGTGACACACTAGAGTAGAGATATAGAGTAGAATTGGTTTAAATCACTGTTGCCAAAAGGTGAACCTCAGTAGTCTTGCAGAACACCTGAGAATGTCCAACGAACCAAAGTTATTTAAGAGAGACCACTGAAAGTCTGTTGCCTGCCATTTTCTCCAGTAATATTAGACTTAGCCAAACCTTTAAATAGATAGTTGAGTTTAAAAGAAGAGAGAGAGAAAAAGAAAGACAGAAAGATGAAAGAAAGAAAGAAAAAAGAAAGAAAGAAGAAAGAAAGAAAGAGAAAGAAAGAAAGAAAGAGAGAAAGAAAGAAAGAGAGAAAGAAAGAAAAAAGAAAGAAAGAAAGAAAGAAAGAAAGAAAGAAAGAAAGAAAAGAAAGAAAGAAAGAAAGAAAGAAAGAAAGAAAGAAAGAAAAGAAAGAAAGAAAGAAAGAAAGAAAGAAAGAAAGAAAGAAAGAAAGAAAGAAAGAAAGAAAGGGAGAAAGGAAGAGGGGAGGGAGGGAAGGAAGGAAGGGGAGAGGGAGGGAGGGAGGGGGCGGGGAGAGAGAGAGAGAGAGAGAATGAAAATCCCCCTGGTGTCAGAAACATAAAATAAATAACTTAAAGCCAGGTACAAATCTCATGAACTGGTACTGTCAATGCCCAGAGAGATACCCGATTGGATATAGGCTTTAGAGTCTAAGGAATTGGGTTGAATACCCAAATAAAGTGAAGAGATGTGGCCTTAGGCCTGTGATAGGTAGGGAATTTGAACTTACATAAGGACAGACCCTTAAATGATAGAACTAGAAAGATTCTTCCCACTGGCACAAGGAAGTGACCTGGATGCATTTTTCTGCCCTGGGCTACGAATGGACAAAAAGTCTCCCATGAAAAACTGAAAACACCAGGCTTGCCTGCACAAGCTGTGGGCATGGGCTATAATTTTCACTACCTGCACACTACAAGACATTCCCCCAGGGGATAAATTAATGTAGAATTGAGGCTAGACAAGGACATTCCTAGAGTGCCAGCAGGAAACATAGGCAAGTGTTCTCTGTGGCAAAACTCCCACAGTGTCCAGCTTCCTGTGAGAAAATAGTAACGTGCTAAGCTGAGCTCACAATAAAAATTGTAATCCATGTAAGGGAATGAAGAGACCTTAAATACATCTATTTTAAGTAAGTAAAATAGCATGAAAGCCATGAAGGAAAAGAACCCATTATAAATCAGAATAGGCATATTGGGAAAAGGTCCAAACAGAACTTCTAGAAATAAAAAAAAAAGTTATTGAAATTTTGTAAAACCTAATTTGGTGTAATAAACACCTGGTTTAGACTTAGATAAAGCATTAGTGAATAAAAAGACTTTTTTTTGTTTTGTTTTGTTTTTCTGAGACAGAGTCTCGCTTTGTCACCAGGCTGGAGTGCAGTGGTGCGATCTCTGCTCACTGCAACCTCTGCCTCCTGGGTTCAAGTAATTCTCCTGCCTCAGCCTCCAGAGTAGCTGGGACTACAGGTGTGCACCACCACGCCCAGCTAATTTTTGTATTTTTAGTAGAGACAGGATTTCACCATATTGGCCAGGATGGTCTTGATCTCTTGACCTCGTGATCTGTCTGCCTTGGCCTCCCAAAGTGCTGGGATTACAAGCGTGAGCCACTGCACCTGGTCGAGTTTTTTTTATGTGGGTGCGAAGGACATTAAATCCAGACAGAAAGAGTGGGATGCAAGAAGCCATGGTGAACAGGGAGCTGGCAAGCTGTTGGTAAATCTATATAAGCATAGTCTGTGGGGAAGGGGTGAGGCAGACTGAGGTCTTGCCTGGTGTGTGGGACTGGTGGACAGAAGGAGCCCTGACACAAGAGAGCATGAGGTGAGCCTCCACCTCACCAAGAAGAGGGTTTGAGCAGAGAGGGCTGGGGAAGGGATGCTTAGTTATCCCCAGGGGACTGCCGTAAATTTTCAAGAGGTTTTTAATTTTGAAGTTCAATTTTTAAGCCTAGTTATATAATAAACACCGGGATACTCATTTGCTGAAAGTCTCAGTACTCGGGCTTCTGATCCCCTTCTTCTTCTTCCTTTTTTGTTGTTGTTGTTGTTGTTGTTGTTGTTGAGACAGCTTAGTTTGGGGAACAGACCCATGTTACATTTTCTGCTTTGGATCTTGGACCAGTAAGACCTGTGAGTGGCTAACAAAGAAAACGGTTGATACAACATCACACATCCCATCTCGGTGCATCACCACCCTGGCCAGTCTTAGCCTCTAGTAACTTTTGGAGCTTAGGTTCCTGGTATTTTACCTGCTTGGTTTGGGCCATGTGCTTGCCCAAACCTGGCTTCTGACTGGTTCACTCCTACCCTGGTTTCTGTCTCCTTCGACTTAACTGCCCTGTGCACCCACCCTAACTTACTCCAGCCCTTTCCTCCTCAAATCCATCACTGTAATCTTGGTCCATTCCCATTTGTTGCATTTCTACTCCTGAGTGGTCACTCCCACCCTACAAGGCTCAATGATAACATTTGAAACTCTTTTCATATTTATCTCCCTGCCACAAGTCCTTTCCTCCTTCCTGTTGGTTTAAGGGCTGTAGTTTGATTCAGGGTGCTTCAGAATTCCATGGAGGGGCGGTTAAAACAGATTGATGTGCCACATCTCAGAGTTCCTGATTCACTCAATTGGAGGTGGGGCCTAAGAATTTGTATCATTCACAAGTTCCCGGGTATTACTGATGCTGCTGGTCTCAGGGTCGCAGATTGACAATCACTGGGAGTCCCTATCCTGTGAAGAAAACCACATTTTCTCTCCTATCTTCTTAGATTATTCTTGATTGTGCTGTCTTTGCATTTTGTTCCCACCATTATTATGGTGTAGACAATATTGTATTATATTATATTATGTTATATTATATTATATTATATTATATTATAATTAAATTATGTTATATGGGAATTATTTGCCTATACATTTATTCAGGTGAAAGTCCTTTATCTAGGCATAATCCAGATATCTTAAGAGACTGAATCACCTCTTTTAGTTTCTGTTCAAACCATTTTGAACCTAATATCTTGTTGTCTCCTTGACATAAAGAGACAACTGGCATGGGAGAGTTAAAAGTCTAAGTTCTATCCTTAAAGTAGACTAGGGCACTGGAAGGCTGAAGCTTGAGACCTTGGCAACAGGTATTTGCTCTTCTGCAGCTTCCTGCAAGGTTGCCATCTGCATTTATTTGTAGCTAGCTCTTCACGCTTACAATATGTTTGACAGTACACTAGATGCTCTGAACATCTTGTTTGTCTATATAAGAATTGCATGGGAGGAAGACACAGAGAGCTCAAGGAACCTACCTAAAGATCTCACAGATGATAAGTCACAGAGTTGGTTTTCAAAGCCCGGTCAAAATAAACTCAATGCTCATGCTCTTGGGCATGGTGTTGTTTTGCCTTACCACAGTTTATTTCATAGAGCTGTATTGGGAAGGGCCACCCCATGTGGATGTGATATTGCCTGCATGTACTGGCTACATGGAACATTCCTGAGAGGATGAGTTCTTCTTAGCATTAGGGTTCAGGGATGAGGAATTGAGATGGATACTGGACTAATGCATCCTACTTTACCTAGAAGAGTACACAGCTTGTGATTTGAAGTAGATGATGGGGCAAATCATACCCATTATCTATTAATCTCTTGGTGAGAAAAAAATTATTTATAATATGGTATTTTTCTATAATACTGCATAATATTGGTATCTAGTATATTCCAGGAAATGAGTGGTTTCTGCAGTTGATAATGAAGAAATGTTAACGCACATTAATCACCCTGAATTTTCTTTGGTGAAAACATCCTCCATAATGTTGCTTCCAAAGGAATCCATTGCTATATCTTCCTTGACCTGTTTTTATTGCTAATAGTAAAGCACCTGGAGGTCCTACTCCCACCCAGTGTGTACAATTGCTAAATAATTTATAATAGAATTAGGGAAGTGTTTTTTGACTTGGAGCAAAATAACTTCCATTTCCTCAGGATAAAATGCTGTGTCTTTGTGTTTTCTCTTTTTCTTTCTTTTCTGTTGTTATTAGCCTTCACCTGCACTTTTTTTAAAAAAATTGGAAAACCTCCTTGAGTTTCTTTTGCATTCATTCAGCCTCACTTAATCTCCTGTCACAGGCCAAAGGAGAATTACTTAATAGCATTGATGTAAACCATATGTTAGAGAAATTGAGCTCTCTCTCACTGGTTAGAGAAAGAATTAGATAAGGCTGGTCTTCATATAAATAGTTTAAGGAACAGCAAGAGTCTTCTCTTTCAAACTACTGATACTTGACATTTCTTTAAGGCAATAGTTCTAAAACCCAGTTGCTTAATAGAATTATGTGCTTTAAAGAAATAGTAATGCCCAGTGCTTTTCCCCACCCCAAGACTCAGATTCAATTAGTCTGGACTGAGACCTGGGAATCAATATTTTAAAAAACAAATCAAAACCAAAAAAACAAGAATAAAAAATACTCCAGGTGACTGCAACTGCTTTAAGGCATTGGTTCATATGTGTTCTTTTCTTCTTACCCAATACACCTATGAAAATTGAGACACTGGCCTGAGGACACATGAGATGCTACAGAAGCTAGGAAAGGGTTTATATCAGAGTTGCTTAGACCATTGGTTCTCAAAGTATGGTATCTGGGAACTTGTTAGACATACAAATTACTGGGCCTGACAGAAGAACTTTGGGGGTGAGGTTCTACAAGCCATATCTTAACAAGCCCTCCAGGGGGTTCTAATGCCCACTGAAGTTTGAGAACCATTGTGTAAGAGTCTTTTTACCCAGAGTATGTTTCAGTCTCAGCATCATTGAGAAGTCTGTTCGAAATCCAGAAAGTCAGCCCTACTTCAGACTCACCAAATGAGAATCAACATTTTATCAGGAACATGTATTATTTTTTATGCATAATAAAGTTTGAGATGCATTATGTTAGAGGGAGAAGTATGTGTATTTTTTTTTAATTTCACTGATCCCTTTTAAGATGTATTAATTAAGACAATGCTAATTGTTATGAAAGATGAGTTCAGTAATCTTTGGCTTAACACAAGACAAGTATATTTTTTGTTCAAAGTGAAAGTCCAGTTGGTGGTAGAAGTTGTGTGTTCTGCACAGTCATGGCTTGGGGATGACAGAAACTGCTACTTGCAACAATGGCTTCCCAAAGAAAGTCATCCTGAAAATCAGCATCCAGTAGCAAAAGGGAGAAGAGAGAGTGGAGAATCCTTTGGGCAGTTTTCTTGATCCTGGCCTAGTAGTAGTGAATCGCCCACATTCCATTGCTCAGAACTCAGCCAAACAACTCCACCTAGATGCAAGGGATGACTGGAAAAGATAATCCCAGGATGGGCAGTGCAATCCAGCAACAACTCTACCTCCCACAATGGAAGCATGAACTTCTAGCAACTAGTAATCGAGCTTTGCCACAGTAGGGAGATTTAGGAAGAGAGAGGTAGGACTTACTCCACTTCCCCAGAATCACCCTGGAGAGTCTTCAAGGCAAAGTCCTGTACCTTACAATTAGTTCTTTGTATTTTTGTATGAATTGCAGATACACTCTTATGGTTTTTAAGTCTTCTCAGGTATCAGCTTCAGAAGGTAGTCATTGTAGAGATTCATATACAATGAAAGTATATAGGTAGAGAACAATTAGAGTAGATGAAAACTCAAAGAAAAGAGGAGGCCCGAGTGGCCAACTGATATTAATTGAAATTAGTGTTTACAAGGCACATTCACATTTGTTATATTTTAGATGTAGCAACCTTATTAACTAGTTGTTATTGTCTAAAATTTTCGTAAAAGGAAAACAGGTCCCAGAGAGGTAAAAAACTTTCCTGAGGTCACAAAGCTGGTAGATCCAAGGCTTTCATATTCAAAGGCATCTTTATTGTAAAATGTGACAGAGTTGTGACAGACAGGCTTTGAGGGGTCCTCCATCATCCCTTCCTTCTTGTTGTTCATGCCCTTGTATAAACTTCACTTGAGGAGTCTGTGGGCAGGACTCATGATGTACTTCTAATCTACAGGATATGACAAATGGGATGAAATGTCACTCCCATGACTATGTTGTCTTACTAGCAGATGACTCTTTCTTGGTAGCAGATTTGCTGAAGAATCCGTCTCTCCTCATTGCTGGCTTTGAAGAAGCAAGATAACAAATTAATTAATCTCAAAATGTAAGAAAATGGATTCTGGCAGCATGCTGAGGAAGCTTGAAAGTGAATTCTTCTCCAGTCAAACCTCTGATGAGAACTCAGCCCCAGCTAACACTCTGATTGCAGCCTTGTAAGCCTAAAGAAAGGATATAGCAAAGCTATGCCCAGACTCCTAAACCACAGAAACTGTAAAATAATATATGTGGTTTTTTAAGCTGATACATTTGTGATCTTCAAGTTTCAAAGGCTTTGGGCTGTATTTTTATGTACTTTTAGTCACACATGGTTTTTGTACAGCCCAGTTAGCTCTGATCTGACAATTACTTCATCATTGATCTTCCATAGGTACAATTGCATTTTCAGCATCCAATTATTCATAAAAAATACAAAATGATAGCTACTGGATTTTCCAGTTGCCAAATCTTTATTAACCCAGCCATATAATATTTCATATTAATAGGGGCAAAGGATGATTTGATATATTTTATTGTAATTTCTTGACTCAAATTTTTAAAAAACACACGGAAAAGACTGATAGTATCTTTTTTCCTAACTCCTTGATGCTATTGTCATTTTCTTTGACCTCTTTTTATCAGAAGTTTTCTCCCACTTATAGCAGCTAATGTAACAGCTGCATGTTTGTGCTTATAAAATTTCATAAAATATTAGGAACCATTGCTTGTATGCTTTGTTTTTATTTTAAAGCTCTCATAGGATCCTATTTTGCTGAATAATTGAAGTATAAGGGCTTCAATCACATCTTCTACTTTTCCTACGTAATGAGTCCCACTCTACCTATTCACATTGCAGGCTATGAAGAAACCATGAAGAAGGGCTAGACCATGAAGGACAGGAGGAGGGAAAGTAGGCAAGGGGTGTTTTGGGCTCCAGCTGGGATCAGAGAAAAAGAGACACAACATTGAGTCTAAGCTCTCTCCCTCTAGCCCACTCTGGATATTTTGTTACAACCAGAAGGATAAGAAGAAGGATGAACAAAATAAATTATGCTCTTTTAAGATAGAAGTCAGATTCCTCTATTTTCTACCACCAATCAGCTCTAAGCAAAACCCAGTGCTGATGCTGTATGTATTTCAAATAATCTACATTTAGACTTTTTTTTTTTTAAAAAAAGCCTGATTTTAAAAAGTATGTGTTAAATGTTTTCATTCTAGGATTCCGTTAAAGGGTATCTATAGATGCATACCCACAGGTAAATTTGCCTTTTGCATATAAAACTAAAAAGTGTATCCTATTCTGTTTTAGGTACTGTAAATTTAATTAAAGGGATACTATCTAAGCCAATTACAACACTATAATTAAGACCAGGGGTCTTATCTTGGACGTATTCATTCATTCATTCATTCATAGTTTCATTAATCCAACTATTATTTACTGAACAACTACTATGTTCTACCTGCTGCCAACATGGCTTAGACCAGAGCTTGGAAATCTACAGTTCAAAAGTCAAATCCTGTCCACTGCCTGCTTTTGTAAATAAAGTTTTAGTGGAACATAATCATAACCAGTTGTTTACATACTGTCTGTGGCTGTTTTTACACCAGAGACCATGTGGGCTGCAAAGATGAAAGTAGTTACTATCTGGCTATTACAGAAAGTTTATGATCCCTGGCTTACAGGATAAGAGATATTGTGCCTGAGTTAGTTATCTGATTTGAATAATGAGGACATAAGTGTTTACCTGGTGAGACTTATATTGTTCGGTGTACATAAAAGTGATATTTTAAAATATGAAGTAACAAGAACTATCACTCATTGACAACTCGTCAATGAGTCAGGTGTTTTGCTAAGCTGTTTATACCAATGAACTCATTGATTTCTTACACCTACAAGGGAGCTACTCTCATTGGTTCCCTGTGACAAATAAGGAAATGGAAAAATCCAGTTTAATTAACATGGTTAGAGTGTCACTGCCAGAAACAGCAAAGCTTGTCCCCCCGGCTAAGGAAGATACATTCTCAGTTCCCTTATCTGCCTATCAAGACTGAGTATCTTTCTGGGCAGGGTTGGAGGAGAGACTGAATGAGAAAGCCAGCCTAAAGGCCTGGCTCAGCACAGAGTTGTGACATTATAATACTAGATTGTTTCTGAATAATCATCCTTAAAGATTATTTCACCAGAGCTGCCCAACAAATATATTTGGGCAATTATCCATTTTGAGTATATTTATTCTTTATGAGCACTTATGTCCAATGACATAAATGTGGTCTTAGAAATTACATGTAAATTGTATGCGCTCATGTACTATTTCTGTCCTGTCTGAATGTCTTGAATTCAGTTACTTAACTCAACCTGTCCTATGTGTCTAATGAAGTATTAAAGGCTATACTCTTTCTGTAGAACACTCAATATTAAATGATCCATTTTACATGTTATGCAAATCTTACAGTGGCATATGCTGTGAAACATATTTGGGAGTGAGGGAGGGAGTGGGTAGGTAGGTAACCACCCTAAACGATGAATCACTCTCTGTTTAAATGCTGTTCCATTAATTCAAGTGACATTTTGATAATAGCATGCTGTCAGTCCAATGGTCTGACCTATACAACAACCTCTAATTATTACTAATTAAATAATTAATTATTCATAGAAGTGCATGCCATTAGCATAGCAGAGATGTGTTGGAATATGAGTTATATGAGGTTTATGAATCTTCAGAAAATAGATTCTTTAATAAATTAATAAAGGGGCTCTGGGGTTTCATTAAAAGGTGGCTGGAGGGTGTGCTTGCCTGTTTCCAAGGAGACCACAGGTGGTTCGTTGCTTTTTTTTTAAGTTAAACTTGTTTGGGCTAGATGATTTTTTTTTTCCACCCTTTTCTCACTGCTCTGTCCTCAGGCAGAGAACGGAACATTTTAATGAAACCCCTGTTGTCTTCATATCACTTTGATCCCCCTGTGTTCTCTCCAGTCTACACATTGGCCAGTCGGATGAAGGGTTTCAGATTTTCCCCCCAGTATTAAAAACTGTGGCATGCCCTCCATGAATAAACAACATTGCAGTGGAGACCCAGTGAAAGAGAAAGGCAGAGCAAACAAAGGGATGAAGGAAAATGCATAAATTCAAATGACACCGGCCTCATTTACCCACTTAATTACCCTGACTCCTGACTCTGTTAGCCACTGCGATTATTTTTCCAGTTAAGTCTGATTTAAAGAACTGAAAGAAAAATAGGCTCATCCATTTTTTTCTCCCTCAACAATCTCTTTGCCACATGGAGTTCCACTTTTTCGTTATCTCACCATAATAATGATCATGGTAATATTAATATCTTCCAGCGCTGCTCACTAAATAGTGATAAAAATAGTAATATTAATGTTTTCCAACATCCATTTTTGATGCTCTGAGGCACATTATAAATTCTGTCTTTGTTTAAGCAGTGGGGAACCCACAAAATATCATTACAGTTATCATTAGAACTCAAGGGCACTCTCCAGAAACTGAAACCTAAGTGGGGCTATGTCAGCAAGCATTCCAGGGCCATGGATGAAACAAAAAAAATGGAAAAATTAATTTTTTAATACTGTTTCAACATTTGACCTATTTTGGAAAAGACACCTTTTTTTTTTTTTTTTTTTTTTGATCTGCTGGTTATTCTCACAAATGGCGAAGCAGCTTGTTTGTTTTTCTGAACTTAGCCACAATCAGCCCTTCAAAGTCAGTAGGGTCCATCCATTTTTCTCCCACTATCTTTCACCTTCTACAAACAGGAGGGGAAATGGATCTGCAGCAACAGCAATGATGTGCTTCCTATGCTTCCAGAGCCATGCGACTCTTTACTTAGGTAGTATTATATCCAGGTGAGGGATGAAAGAAAGAAAAGGAAACCTTCCCATGACTGAGCTGTGGAAGGCCAAAGTGGAAATGCTGAGTACATTTTCATTACTAACGGAGCCTGTTAAATGGAAACAAAGCTTTCCCTGGAAACCTGTAAAAGAAAATACCCTCTAGTGTTAGGCTTAATTTTCTGACATTTCCTTTTACCTTCACCCGCTCCATATGAAGAACCAGCTGCAAGCTTTGGCATACCCCAACCACTCTGCTATGGCTGTCAGTCACTGGGAGACTGGAGATACCTTTGCACAGTTGGGGCATGGAGTTAGCAGATCCTGGCCTTAGTTCAACACTGTGTGGCTTTCTCCATTTTTTTCCAGCTCCCTGGCTTTGGCAGGTCTTTTTTTGTTGCTTTTGTTTTTATTTCTCTCTTTTAAATTCTCTTCCTTCTCTTCCCAGCTCCTCAGATACACCTTCATCTGCTCCCATGTCTCCTCCACTCCATCGCTATGTGTCTACTTGGTTATTTTCTTGAAGCTGTCTGCTAAGTGGGCAGTTATTTTCATTTTATTTTTAATTTGGCAAAAAAAAACATAGGTGGCACAGTTTATAAGTATCTGGACTGGAACATACAATCAAGAGAGGTAAAATAATATCAAGCCATTATAGTTAATTGCTAACACAAACTGATGTTTACTAATACTTATAGGAATAAGAGTCATTGTAGGAAAATATTATTAACCCCATTGGCATCCAGGGCTCCACCCTCCTTTCTAAAAAATGAACTCAGGGAAGATTAAAGCCTTAATTAAACACATACTTTATTTCTGTATTGGCATTAAGTTTTCACAAACGACAGCCATTTAATGTAAAACTGACATTCTGGCATCAATCACATGCCCAGAAGAGTCAGATAATCACCAACAGTTTATAATAACACCACACCAGAATAATTAATAAAGTATGAAGTTCAATGAAAAGAAGTGTGTGCTCCCCAATAACACAATGAGAAGATATTCAATTCCATGCGTTAATATAAAGGTTTGAGGCTCTGAAAATTAGTGAAAGAAATTAAGTATTTGGAGGCTTGTGACAACTTTGCCCATCCTATCCATTTCGGTTTCTATTTTTTTCTTCACTTTTTTTTTTTCTCTGGCTTCACTAGATGAGATTTACTTCTCAAATTTGCTGGCTTTCAAAAGTATACCAATCCTCTAGTAAATTCAAACCATGTTAATATCAAGAGAGAAATATTCTGTTACAATATAATGATTATTTACATTCTTAAAGATATATAATTGCCTATTAGCTCCAACTTTGTATAAAGAAAGAGCTAGGTGATCTCTTGAAGTTTTTCCCAGACTTCTGAGTCCATCATTAACTTATCAGCCTTATGGCAATGTCTGTGCAAGCCCAGTGAATTATTGTTCTCTGTAAAATCAAAGCAAGAGGTTAGTAAAGTTAGCTATTTCATGCTGAGGTTTGAAAACTTAAAGTGAGCTTTTAGAGACACTGTCTTTACTTATCTAAGCCAGTGATTAATATTAATGAGGAGTATCATGATAAATCTTTCCATGCAAGCATCCATCCATCACTCACCCATGAAAACTTGACCAAGTGCTATGAGAAAATCAGCATTCTGAATCCTATTTGCAGACTTAGAAAACAAAAATGAAAACTTAAAAATGAAAACTTGGTGTTGTTCAGAATTATTGTTTGGAAGCATGTTTTAAACCCATGAAAGATCTTAAGATTGGCCTCCAAATTTGTTGCTACTCTGTTCTTTAAAGCCCATTCGTCTTGCTACTCTCAAAGCTGAATATTCTGTATCTATTGTCTTCTGACCCCCATGGAGCCATAATCAGGGGGTCCATTCCATGGGAGTAGAGCTGCACTCTTACTCTTATTTTCCCTTCTACATGGGCTTGAATAGTACTGAGTCTTCTACCTACCTCAGCTTCTTCCCCTACTCTTTCCCACTTTCTTTTTTCTCCTTCCTACAGACACACATGACCATTGCTCAGCTACAGTGAGACAATCTGGAGAGAAGTCTGTGTTTTATTTTAATTCTATAATGTCCCCCCATTCAACATGTTGCTGAATATATCATAATAAATATTTTTGATGAATAAGGTTGAATCAAGCCTATTAAACAATGTGGCACTGACTGGCTCTTAACTACTCTTTTAATAAATCTTTTTAATAATAATTTATATTTATACACTCATTAACCTCTATGGTGCTATTATCTGATAAGTGATAATGTACTACCTTTCTCAGAGACATTTGCCTTGTTAGAAAATATTATCTTTATGAAAAGTAATTATATAATAGTGATGCTTCATACACATTAGGGGAAATAATTTTTGATGAGGAACTTCCAATGTCTCTCAAATTTTGTTGCCATATATTGGTCTTGTTCTGGTTCTTTCATTAGTTGCATTTAGTATTTTTCAGCTACTTGTATGGTCAAATCATCATTATTCTGAGTGAGTAGAAAATCTTTGGACTGGATCTCAAAACAGGATTTTTCTTGTGGTATTAAGTTCCTATTGTTGTCATAATAATTACCACAAACTTAGTATCTCAAAACAACACCAATAGATTATGTTACAGTTCTGTAGGTCAGAAGTTCAACATTGTTGTCACTAGGCTAAAATTAAGGTGTCGGCCGGGCGCGGTGGCTCACGCCTGTAATCCCAGCACTTTGGGAGGCCGAGGCGGGCGGATCACGAGGTCAGGAGATCGAGACCATCCTGGCTAACACGGTGAAACCCCGTCTCTACTAAAAATACAAAAAATTAGCCGGGCGTGGTAGCGGGCGCCTGTAGTCCCAGCTACTCGGGAGGCTGAGGCAGGAGAATGGCGTGAACCCGGGAGGCGGAGCTTGCAGTGAGCCGAGATCGCGCCACTGCACTCCAGCCTGGGCGACAGAGCGAGACTCCGTCTCAAAAAAAAAAAAAAAAAAAAAAAAATTAAGGTGTCAGCATAGCTGCATTTGTTTCTAGAACTTCTAGAAAAGGATCCATTCTCTTGACTTTTCCATCTTCTAGGGGCCACCCACATTCTCTGGCTTATAGACTCTTTCCTTCATTTTCAAAGCCAGCAATATGCATATCTCTGACCTTACTTCTGGAGTGACATCTTCCTCTGAACATAGCTAGGAAATAATCTCTGCTGTTAAGGATTCATGTAATCGTATTGGACTGACCCAGATAACCCTGGATACCTCCTCATCTCAAGGTCTCTATTCTTAATTAGATCTACAAAGTTTCTGTGCCATGTAAAGTTATATGTTCACAGGTTCCAGGGCATAGACATCTTTAAGGGCTGTTATTCTTTCTACCATACTCATTATACCATAAAATATTTCAGAAAAAGGATATTGTCAAAAAGAGAGTTAGAAGATCAGAAGCATGGATACTGTATTATTAGGATTGAGAAAAAAGCAGGTGTCACACACAGGCTGAATAATCAAGGATGATTCAATAAAGACAATTTATAAAGGTAAGGGGAAGGGTAGAGAAACCACAGGGATGGGGCAGCACCACAGGGCTAGTGACAGCACCAGAGCCATTACTAACCCTTAACTGAATGGGCACTTGGAACAAGCAGTTACCAGAACCTGGTTAGATATCTGTATAGAGAGGGCTGCCTGACAAACGTGATGGCTTTTTGGTATATGGGAGTTGTCAAACGGGAATGACTGTGCAGGGAGATAATTTGGGAAATAAATGGACAAAGACTACTTTCCTCCATCCTCCTTCAAGCTTTTGCCAGTGCCATATCAATTATCCTCCACCCCATTGGCTGCTTCCAACCAGCAGAGGACAGCAAGGGAGCCCATCGACATAGTCCTTAAGTGCAAGACAGGATGAATGAGAGTGGGAAATACATCTCGATTGACAAACATAAGATGTTTTGTGCAAATGGCAAACAGAGCATCATGTTGGAGGAGGTAGGCACAACTTGAAGAAGATGAGACTATCCAGAGGCAAACAAATATTTATAAACAAATGGGCCAAAAAAAAGCTCTATAGGGACTTATTCTGACACCAATGACCATACTAAAAGCCTATATGCCCCAGATTCAGAGAGAAGGGACGGGACCTTAAGGACATAAAATCATGCCAGACAGTAATGGAGCTAGGCGAATACTCCTCAGTTGAAATCTGCATAGAAGTAATGACAGTCATAGATGGGAAATCACTCTGCGTGAATACTTTACACATACTATTTCGCTGGCCAGGTATGATAATTTTCCTGGTTTCAACTAGATCCTGAGTTGAATAGGACAATGAGTGGGTATTAATATTTATTGAGCACGTCCTATGAATTGGACACTTTGCATATATTATTTTAAAAAACACTTGTATAAACCCAGAGGCACGTGTTACTATCTTCATTTCACTGATGAAGAAATGGAAACTGAGTGACATTCAGTCATCTACTTGTACATTCACTCATTCAAGAATTGTTTATTGAGTGCCTACTGAGTGCCACTTAGTACATGAAGTATTTAGATACAAAGTTAAATAAGGCATAGTCTCTGTTTCTGTTCTCTCTTAAGCAGAAATATACATTTTAACAGATAATTTCTATAAAATGTGGAGCATAAGGAAGAAATATGTTCTTGAAAGCCCACCTGAATTCTTCCTTTAACCTGAGCTCATGCTCTTACCATATAAAGTATCAGTTCCCTGTCTTTGCATGTGGGTCTCCTGGGTGTATCCACCACTGGCAGAGAAAGAGTTTTCCATGATTTTGTGTTAACCAGGAGAGCTGTAGGCAACTGAGAGTCAGAGTCCATTCAGATAGCAAGATACGTGACAGAAGGTTGACTGTATTTCCTTTTTGTTTATTTTTATCCTCTCTCTGAGTAAAGGGAAAAGAAAAGAAGGCCCAATAATATTCAATGGTTGTTCACCAGGGTCTAATTTTGAAGAATGTATTGAATGGAAAGAAACTTAAATTTGGTGTATCCATCCTCTTCCATCCCATTGATGTGAATATTTCAAATGGTTCATACACTACACACTCTTTCAACACACACACAGACACATACCCATACACATAAACTCCTACAACAGCTGAGTCTGGGTCCAGGCTTCTAATCCTTCTCAGTCCAATGTCCCAGGTAGCCACTTCCAACGGGTCAAAGTAGTCCTTGAAATGTGTTAAGACCAATGAAGAGTAGTGAAACACTTGAGACTATGTATGTCAGTGGTAGGCTGTTAAAGTGGTCATGATATGCTATAAGGATACAATTTTAGGCTCTCAGGAAGCTATCAAAGAACTTATTGCTACTTCTTACTGTATCTCTGCCCAGTGAGCTCTTAGTTACCTCTTTGATTGCTTTGCAGCATATATGTAGGTGATTTCCTAAAGGTTTGACATCTTCTAAACATTTGGCCATTCCAGGTTAATGGTTAATCTGGCTTCAGTAGCTCTTAATAATGTGTCTTTGTCCTCAGGGTCCTTGCTATGATTACCTTTAGGCAAGGTTATCCTTGAGAATCCAGGCAAATGGGGGCTAGAAATATATCTTACAAGTCCTTCCTGTAGATTTAGAAAGCAAAATCTCCAACTTAGTTAAGGCTAAAAGCCAACACAAAGGAATGGATCTTGGCCTGAATGTATCTTACAGCCTTAAATAGGCTACAACTAGACTCAGTCAAAGACTTCATCAGCCTTGGAGATCTGCTAAGAAATCCCATTTTCCAACTTTACCAGATGAAGCTTGGGAGGACAATTTAATGCCAACCTTGAGGCTGACTACATGGAAGAGAATTACTGGTCTACTAGATGGCCTGATATCTGAATCATACTTAGTTATCAATCCTCAGTTTCTTGTACACGATTATACAGTGATATCTCACATGCCAAGATACGGAGGTGGAGGAGTCACATGGTGTCTGTCACCTGAGAGAATTTGTAAGGAGACTGGGAGTGAGTCTGTATAAGCTGGAGCTCCCAAGAGCGCTTCTTGGCCTTTTCCACTTCCAGTGTATTTGGATAAATGTATATGGGTATTTCTGACATTACCCTTAGCTGGATATAGGAAATTGAGTTATATGCAAATATGAAATGCAAATGAGAGTCACAGGTCTGTGCCTCTGCCACAGACCTAGAAATGAGAAAGGAAAAGGATATAAGCAAACTGGCTATAATGTTCTAGTTTCCACCAAAGCTTTGGTCATGTTAGTGTAGATGAATCAGTGAATAAGTATCAGTTACCTCATTCATATACCTCCTGCCTTTCTTTCTTAAGTATTCCTAGACTTGTTGAGTCTCACTTGAAATATACCTTAAGAATACAATTTGAATGCTAAAAGTTATAAACCCATAACTTCCCATTTGAGGAGAGATATCAGACTAAACAAACATCACAGCAAGTCCTCTGTGGTCACTTTATCTTCATGAAGCATCCCCTTATTATAAAAATATATGTTATAAATGTGTCTTTTCTATTATCTAATAGATAACACATAAATATATACAAACATGTAACATGACAGTACATACCATATAACATATAGATGTATAAGATACATGTGTTTTTAAAATCTATGTGACATATCACATATCTATGCAGCACATGTATACATGTACACATATGTGATGCAAATATATGCACACATGCAAAATGTTTATAGCATATGTTGCATGTAGCATATATGCATGCAATACGTATATATGTATTATAAGTCATGTGTGCACAGTATGCACATATATAAATATACATTGCACATTTATGTGAGTTGGTAAGTATATAACATATATCACATAAATAATATTGATAGCATACAAAATATATATCTATATAACATATGTACCTAAACCATAAGATATATATGTGCATATCTCTATATAACAGAAGACATAATCTTCATAACTATTTATAACTTCAGAACACATACATAAAACACACACAAATAACAATTTAAAAAATATGTGTACATGTATAATATATTATAAATATGCTCTCCTTTCTCTTCCAAATTGAAATTCATAAATATAAAATGATTTCACATGCAATTTAAATATTTAATAAAATGCCCTTTAATAAAGAAGAAATAGAAAGCAATTATAATAACATAATATGCATTCCAATTTGGAAAATCTTAGGCATGACTACACTAGAAGTCATGGTGATTAATTAGATTTTTTTCTTTACCCACTTACAATGACTATCTTTGGATTAAGAGTTATAAAAAGGTCGTAAGTCATTGCAGTCAAGCCAAAGAGGAAAATTAAAGAACTGAGGTATAAGCAAATACTAGACTAAAAACTAGCATTAGGTTACATAATAACAGGCCAAATTTATTTGCATAATATGAGAGCAAGAGAGAAGTAATCCTAACTGAAGTAGGGATATAATGCTAATCACCCCATATATTTGCATACATGAATGGACTGTGATATACAAAACAGTCATGAGTGATGTAGGACAATTCTTTATTGTGTCAGACTGCTCAAACACTGCAGGACATTAGCATCCCCGGATCTCACCCACTAAATTCCAACAGCACATCCAACTATTGGGACAACCAAAATTGTCCCTGTAAATTTCCAAAGCACACTCAGGGACTAGACCTCTCTCCTTGAGAGCCACTGTTATGGGAAATGAACTAAATATTGCTTTTATCCAGATCTTCAACCTCCAATTAATGGATCTGAATGAACAACAGCATACAATTTAATTTGAGATTAATAATTCTATTCTGTTCATATTTAAAGCAACTTTACAATGTTTCCATATACTGAGTATTCTTAGCTGTCATATCATACATGTAATAATGTAAATAGGTCTCAAACATTTGGTACATTTGGTCTACTCAGGATAGTCTAAAACTCTAGGAGAGGTCAACATGTTAGTCTTGCCACCCATAAGACCACTTATGCAATGAGGATAATGCCACAGTGATATATATAGATGTCATAGTGAAAGCAGCCTTAATAATTAACATCCTTTTGTACTCAATCTCATTACTAATGTGGTTCACATATGGCCTAGTGAAACTCTGTACACAGGAAAATTGTATTAAAATATATGAAGAGATAGCTTTCAAGGGAAAATGTCACCAAAGCATAATACATTTTCTCAGGGGTATCAAGAAGGAACAGTCTTTTAGCTTTGCTTGGTGATTTTGGGGGCAACAGAAAATGACAGTATGAGCATGATTCAAAGACCTTTTCTTAGGACTCATTTGCCCTCGCTCACAAGGTCATTGCCCAAACTACCAAAACTTCCCAAATATAGGGTTTGAGATGACCACCCTGATTCCATGCATCCTTATAACACTCTCTAAACAACAAGGAGTAAATAGGGATTTCATTGCTGGCATTCCTGTATCCAACCTGGGTGATGAGCTACATTTAAATGCTTCAAAGTCACAGAGAAGATACAAGTGTGATTTGCATTTTGTTCTGAACAAAATCTTAAGTAGTCACATTTCATACATCAAAGAGAGTAAACTCACAGTAAGAACCATTGCATATGTTATCTACTCTTATGTGAAAATGTATGGGGAGGTGCTGGACTTCTATTTGTCATTGATTAACAATAACAGCAAATATTTGTGGAGCATTTATAATGTGCCAAGTATTCTTTCAAGTGCTTCACTGATACTAAACCATTTAATCCAGACAACAACTTTCTGTAGTATTTTCTATTTCTCCAAGTTACAGATGAGAATTTGGGGTCCAGAGAGATTGAGTAACTTGCCCATGGTTACATATTAGGAAATAATACACATGATTCAGATCCATATAGTCTTGTCGCACAGCCTTCTCTTTTAACAAATACACCCTATTGTCTCTGTCATTCTTTACTGTCCTGCAAAAGAAATGTATCACCTGTGTTTTAAGAATTAAAGAGAAAAATTTTGTGGTTGGCTAATCTGGTCTTGATGCCTGATTATAAAAAAAAAAAACAAAAAAAAAATCTATAGCATTGTCAACAATCTATTTCCTATTTCTAAAAGAACTTTTAATTTTCTCACTAGCCTTAAAAAAAGTGTCTTTTTTAAAAAAGCAGCTGACTTTCCATCTTATTAAATGTCTACCTTGCATAATGTCAGAGAAACTCATTCTAATGCTGCCCAGGAAAACTAAGATTAATTGGAGTTAAATCCGATTGAAGGCTATGTAAGCTATGTTCTTTTGGTTACCAGATCCACTCTTCTGTTTGCATGGATCAGCATCCTACCTATTTTTCCAACTCCCAAAAGTATTAGAAGCCACAAGCACAGCTCGCTCCATTTCTCTTCTCTTTTTATGCCTCCCCTTTTCCTTGTAACCAGTATTATCCATGGGAGAGGTTCCACATGGGATTTTCCAAGAGGCCAGGCCAGCTTGACACACAGGGCCCTTCCTTACTCAGCCCAACCGCAACCCTCTTCCACCTCCTGCTTCCCCTCATCCTTTTGATTGTGTGTGCTTTTCCCTTTCATTACTGCTAATGGCTCTGAATGGGTCTCTTGTGCATAAGGAGAGACAATAGTCTTCATTTAATGGTATTATTTACAATAGGAAAAATAGTTTTAAAAAGAGAAAGTGGGAGAGACAGTTATAGCAAGAGGCTTGACTGTGAAGCCTCTTTTATTAGGGGTCTGGCACCCTCCTCACCTTTTCCTGGCCATCAGCCAAGCTCTCCTTCACTCCAGAGCGGCCCTTGAGTTTTGCTACAGTTTCCGTATGATGCCACAGCAGCCAGGCTCTATGGTGTGACTCATTTCCGCAGCAAGAGTGCTCCAGTACATTAACAGCTTTCTCTTCTTTGATCAAGTGAGACCAGGGCATCCATTCTCATGGCCAGTGTTTTCATATGATTAGTCTTTTCCCAGGCACACCTGCATGGAGGACAGAAGGCTGCCTGTAGAGGAAGCTGCTGAGCCTGATTTCATTGGAAGAGTAGGTGAAGAAGGGACAGCTGAGACCCCGGGGCTACTCTGGCCCAGGCATGGTCCTTGTGAGAATTTGAAAACTCTGTCTTCTTTGAGCCAGTGGATTAGGAAGAGTCGCCTGTCTCAGTGGACACAGCCCTACAAGCCCCCCACTGAGGTCCACACACACTTTGCACAAATGCAGGACTACATGCAGCAACTTGAGCAGGATTTGATGTCTCTACCAGCCATTTGAGCTTCAGCTGACAATAGCAGTGACATAGTGCCCCGGCAGAGGGCATGGTACCTACGCCCAGACTGTGTCTAGAGTTTGAATCTCGGGTTTACCATTCGTTGCCTGTGCAGGTCTATTATCTTGGGCAAGTTATTTACTTGTTCCATGTCTCAGTTTCCTTATCTGTGAAATGGTTATGCAATAATAGCATCTAATTCAGAGGTCACTGGAAGGATTATGTGAGGAAACTTACAGAAAGAATGCAGAACAATGCCAACCATAAAGAAAGCTCTCATCAAATGCTGTCTGTTGTGACTTATAAATAGCAAAGTGCTAAGGTAACCTAGACCTTAGCAAAAATTGAAAATTGCTGATGTTACCTCCAGGAATTCCAGCCTTATCCTCTGTACTTTTTTTAATTATCTGAATTCTCCCCATTTTTGAGTAAAATAACCAATAATGACTGACCTTTACTTTGTGTTCATTATATGTCAGACTCTATGTTAAATACTTTGCAAATATGATATTGTTTAATCATCCCAACAACTTTCTGAAATAGGTTCTTCTATTAACCCTGTTTTTCAGATGAAGAGCTTGATGCTCATAGAAGCTGAGCAACTTGTTTAAGGTCCAAAAGCCAGCAAGTGGCTCAGGTGGCATTTGGGAAAACCTCTTATCTGTATAAATATGCATAAATTTAATACCTTAAGGTATTGCTTTTTTTCTTTCCTACTTTTGTGTCGTAAAATTGTATATTTCTTAATATTCCTGCTGACTCCTTTCTGAAAGCAGAGATCACAGTATGGCCCCTTAAGACCTTACAAATAGTTTGGTATGACTGCCTATTTAGAAATAAAATGAAAGTGGTAAACTTATAAATGAAAACATCCTACCCACAATGGTATGAGTTTAAAATAAAGTATAATGAATTGCCCCTTCCAAGGGGCACATTTAGTGTGGAACAAAGAAATCAGTCACATCCTCTCAAATGCCAGCGAGGCTGGTGGAGATGGGTTGAGGCTCTGTGGGTTGCTCAGTGTCTTCAAAATCAAAGCATTATCAGCCATAACCACTTTTGTGTATTTTTAAGTCTGGTTCTATCTTGTGTCCTCGCTAGTTTTTCTTTTTCTTTTTTGTTTTTTTGTTTTTTGTTTTTTGTTTTTGTTTTTCGAGACAGTCTCGCTCTGTCGCCCAGGCTGGAGTGCAGTGGCACGATCTCAGCTCACTGCAAGCTCCACCTCCCAGGTTCATGCCATTCTCCTGCCTCAGCCTCCCAAGTAGCTGGGACTACAGGCGCCTGCCACCATGCCCAGCTAATTTTTGGGATTTTTAGTAGAGATGGGGTTTCGCCGTGTCAGACAAGATGGTCTCGATCTTCTGACCTCGTGATCCGCCCGCCTCGGCCTCCCAAAGTGCTGGGATTACAGGCGTGAGCCACCGCGCCTGGCTCATGTCCTGGCTAGTTTTTCAAGTAACACCTATTAGTATTAGTATTAGTATTTTAATATAGATAGCTTTGCTAACAGACTATATTTTTCTCATTCCTTTCCTAGACTATTATTTTATTTGTCTCTTTCTTATTTTATTTATTCAATTTTCTTCAAATTGCACCATTTGTTACCTAGCCTGAGGGAGCACTGGCTATTAAAACTGCACTAATAATTTTAATTGACTTAAAATTATGTAAGAACAGCACAGCAGCCAAGAAGTATGGGGCCTCCAAATAGGTGCAACAGCAGAGAGAATGTGTTGAACAAAGCAAGGTGGCTTTAGGTTCTGAACCCCCAAATTCAGCAAGACGTTACTGAAGAGGAGATGGTCTCATCGGGAAGTCCATATGGGCCACATTGCAATGCAGTTATGCTTCTATTTTAGCACACATTATAGTGGAAAATTTAAGTTTCCAGAACGAACCATTGGGGCAAGAGTGCCATGAGGTGCAATTATTTACTGTATAAAAGTTGTCTCCGTTGAATATACCCTAAGAATATTTAAAATTTGATTTAAAAACTATTTAAACTATTTATACTTAATTGTTTCAGACTGTACCTTCACTATAGCATAAAATGCATCTATACATATCTATACCTCTGACTAACCCTGTTCTAACATCAAATCTAACAAGAAGTTTAAAACAGAATAAAGAAAGTAAAGGTGGTGGAAGTATCTACTGTATGTCAGAAAGGTAATTTGTATGTGGGCATCTGAAAAGTAGTGAAAAGACAATTGCCTTTCAAACGATATTGGGTGGCTGTTGTAGTCTCAATTTTTCTCTTCTTAAAGTGGGAGAACACTGATACCTGATCCAGCAACCTTTGTAAGTGGAAAGAGATGATGCATGAAACAGCATTTTGACTGTCACAGTGCATGACATATTTATGAGGAATTACATGGCCATGCTTTATGGAAGGTATATGTGTTCTAGTGTCAGCTCCCAGAAAGTGGAGCCTAGTGGAGTAATTGCACCACACAGGCAATCTTAGCTATAACATGATGGCAGCCATCTACTCTCCTTTAAGATCAAGCTGGAGAAAAGTATAGTTATATAACATATTGGAAATCTTAGGGATTATTACATACAACTTGTATATTTTACAATGGAAAAGCTGAGAGCCAGAGAATAGTAAGTACTGGCCCAATGTCACCACCTAATTACAGGCTGTGGCAATAATAGAACTCACATCTCTCAATGGTTCACCATATGGTTTTCTCTGCAATATCATTGTCACTACTTAAAAGTAATGTGACATCTTCATTTCCTAGCACTACTCCTCATTTCCATTTTAGTCAGGACATATTACCTAACCGATTTTGGAGGGAGTTGTACATTCATGTGCAGTGCCACACAAATGGCATACAAATTATTTCATCTGAAATACAGGCTCAATTGCATATTATGCTAATAAAAAACATATATCTCATCAAAAGCTATCATGTAGTAACATCAGTATATAACTGATGTTATAGAAATGCAATACCTTCCCAGTAGATAACTGATGTTATAGAAGTGCAATAGGATTTAGGATTTAGTTCTGCCTTTGTAACTATTTCCTACTCTTAGCCATAGTGGAAAAGGCCCACAGTCTCCTTCTAAAGACCTTGTAGTACTTAGAGCATACCTCTATTAGATCACACATTATCTCCAGCTGTCAGGCTGGCAGCTGACAGCTATCAACTACTGTATCTCTAACAATAAGCACAGTACCTGAGTACCTAATAAATGCTAAATTAAACTTTGATGAATGAAAGAGGAAAATGAGTAAATGGACAAATTTAGAAGTGATAGCCTGTTGGGCTGGGGTTGAGGCAAGATTCAAGTCTTGGGAAGGTTATGATAAATCAGACAAAGTTCTTATTTCAGCAGGATCTTTTTCATTAGACTCCTCCCCACTAGGACCCTTCTTGAGTCTTGAGTACTGAGCTCTTGATTGGAACCTTGATAACAACTCGCTACTGCTATGTGACTTTAGAAAGCTCTGCTTCTGTAATATCCATCTTATTATTTTAAAAATAAAGTGCCTGAATCTGATCAGAATCTGAGTTGCTTGTTAGTCTAGGCTAAGGCTGGCGGATTAGTCATACATGACAAAATGATGAAATGGGCTGGGGAGACACAGATACGATGAATACAAGCATTGAGAAAAGTCTTACCGGAGGATGGGTACAAGAGATTGTATCATGCTATTCTCCATACTTTCGGTATGTGTGAAATTGTCCATATAGAACATATAAATAAGTTTTGTTTTGTTCATGAGCAACTAGGCCTATGAGTAGAAGTTAGAGCTAGAGCAGCAAAATATATTGAATTTGGGAATTGGGTCTGTGCTAAAGCAGCACCAAGAAGAATGTCCCATGGAGACATACTGGTGTCTGGAGGTGCCACTGACGTTCTCTTCTGTTGACTCCTGTGCCTTTCAATGCAGTCTTCACTGGAGTTGGAAGCTCAAGCTTGTTAGGGTAGATCCTGCTCTTTCACTCCAGTACTTTTGTCACCCTCCATCCCCTGTAACTTTGATAACCATGGACAATGACAGTGATAGAACCTTGGGTCAGGTTGGGGGCTCAAGTTGGGAGGCTTGGTTACTTCCGAGTTGGATGAGGATTTTTGCTTATTTCAGCAGGATCATTTTCATTAGACTTCTCCCCACTAGGGCCCTTCTAGGGTCTTGAGAACTAAGCTCTTGATTGGAATCTTGATAACAACTGGTTACTACTATGTGACTTTAGAAAGCTGACCCAGCCTCTGTGGTCTCCATCTCATGATTTTCAAAATAAAGTATCTGAATCTGATTGGATATTTCAAAGGTATGCCTCTACTCATCAACATTTTACTATTCTTTGTTGCTGAGCACAGATTTGGTCTGAACATTCTTCTCAATGTAGTATGACAACTGGCAATATCTGGCATCTCTATCAAATAATTTCTGAGTTCCTTTTAAATGAGCATGTTAAAATACTAAATGCCCATGTTCTGGTTTCTTGTATATTTTAGAATTTGTGACCTCTGGTCACAAATTCAGGTGACTGAAATTAGATGATTTTCTCCATATAACTTTAGATCTTAGCTGATTATATTGTTGTTTACTACATTCAAAAATGAATTCATACCATGTAGTCTATCAAAGTTATCTATCCATTTATGTATTTATTAAATAAATATGGAGTCCTCACCTTGCATCCTCTCATTTCCTGGGTAAATAAGAAGCTGAATTAGACGACGACCTTGTCCTCTGGGAGCTTTCAATCAAGTAGGAAAAATAAGGAAAGACATATGAATACTTAAAAAATCAGGCAAGATGTGATAAATGACAAAATTGAAACATAGATGAAATGTTTCGGAGTTTAGGAAATAAGAAAATATTTCTCACTGGTGTAAATGTATATAAAATTTAAACATGAAAAATCTATTAGAAGCCCTTTTTGTCCATCTGATGCAAGAACTGGCTTCCACAAATGATGACCAGGAGCCTGTCATTATCCAAAAGGAGTGATTTGATAGTCTATACCAAACCTGGATATGTTCTACTGACTTTTCTGTTGTTTTTCATAAACTCAAAGAGACAAAACTGCTCAGATATATTTTGCAAGGTTACTTGCTACAGCTTGAATTTTATGGGAGCTGGCATTAGATTACAGAGTAAGCCATACAGCTGAGGAGCAGTTAAATGTGGTACATCTGTCTTGGCTTCTAATAGACGTGCACTGATGAAAGTGGTGGGCATTTGAAGGAGGAGTATCTGTACTCTTTCTGAAAGTGAAAGGCTTAGTGCAAGATTTAGTCTGTAGTCTATAGTACACATTAAAACTTATTCCACTGTAGTATTTAAAAACTTGACACTGGTTCCATCTTTTCAATGAAGAAATATACACGCAAAGAACTGAAGTGTATTTCTTAAGTAGCCACTTTCACTTCATAGAAAATCTTGGACCAGAAAGCACAATTCCTTGTTTTCCAAGCTACCACAAAATCATAATTTCTACTATTAATTAGGTCTGTTTTTCTTTCCATTAACTTAAATCATCCACCATCCCCCACCATCAACTGATCCAAATTTTTCAGACTGCAGAAAAACTTATCATACAATTGTTCATCAATCTATATTGTGAAATAGCTGATAATCCTTGCAAGTGTTGCAAGCTTTGTACAAGAGCTAAGTCTGTCACTTTTTATTTGTGCTGTCTTTCCCACCTGGAAAACTTTGATTATGGGGCATTTCAAAGGGGCCACACACCAGGACAGTTAAAGAGGGTTAAATGACTGTGCTTAACTGAAGATTGTTTAGGTGCAATTCTAAATGCTCACTGTATGCAATGAACAAAATAAGGCTTAATTAGCTTCCTGGAAGACTGCTTTTATTTTCAGCTTTTTCTTAAAAAAAAAAAAAGAGCTCACATTAGCAATGTTTTGGAAAGTATTTCCTTTATATATTTAATTTCTTGCAATGTGGTATCAATATGTTCCCTTTAAAGTAAAAAAAAATTATTGCCAATAACTTAGTTTCATGTATTGAGATAGCTATCACATCCAATTTCTATATGCCTGTGAAAGATACCCCCCAAACTACACACAAATGATATAATTTCATAAATGTAGATGCACCTAAGTAGATATGAAAAGGAGGGAAATTTACAATTATAAAAATACATAGCTAGAAAGCCTCATTTATCAGAGATAACATTGAATTCTATAGAATACCCTGGTGCCTGCTTTCTGCACCTGCACCCAATAGACTGAGCATGAAAATGCAAATGAACAGGAGGAGTATACAGTATGACAAAACAGGAGTGTAGAAAATGCTTGATTTCATGCCTGCCTTCTAAATAACTCTGAAGTTTTAATTTATTTTCTTAACATATTGAACAATGGTGACATTTCTAACAAAGCACATATAATTGGACCAGAGTAAAAATAAATTAGTGTGTATAAAAGGAAGACGAAGCCAACATTTTCTTGGTCTCTTGACATTATCTACCACTGTCCAGTTCCCTGTTGTTTTCCTCCTTTCCTTTGTTTCAATTTAATTCTATCCAGTTCCAGAAGCATTAATGGAGTATATGCTGTGTGCCAAGCACTAGACTTGGTACAAGAGCTCTAGAAACAAATAAGATGATGCCCATGTTGCCAAAGAACTCAAAGGTGGAGGAGAGGAGCTGCACTTGCCTCACTGTACCATAGTTTACAACAAAAAAGTGAATCCAAAAAGGATTCGGAAATGGAAAGTGAAGATGGCTGTTAGGGCAAGTCTTTCCAAATGAATAGATACATGAAACAAGTGTTCAGGGATAAAAGGTACTTAGCTGGAGGAATAAAGGAGGAAACAGCATTCCAGAAAGGTATAAAGTAGAGAGAGAATCCAGGTTTCCAAAGGAAATGTAAGTAGTCTAGTGAGATTATAACGTAGACTTTAAGGTAACAAACACCAAATTATGAGCAGGGGAAAAAAAATATGGGATCCAGAAAATAAATAGGAAAAAATAATTTTGAAAGGTGTTGGGTAATCACAGGTAGAAGTGAATGCTGAATGAATTACACATAGGGCTCACATAATTTTTAAAGGATATTTAGGACATTTCTAACGATAACCAACTGAAAATAAAGCTCAGGCATAGTCGTCAATTCAATGATATGGACTGGGTATCACTATGTACCAATACAGTTCCTGGTCCTGCAAGAATGGAAGTGAGCAAGATGAGTCGGATCCCTGCTCCAGTGGGGCTTATGGGCTGGTAAGGGGAACTGACACTAAAACTAAACAGAGAGATGAACAAGAGAGTCTCAGATCATGAAGACATGAGGACAAGTGGCACAAGGTGAGTGATCGCCGAAGAGAGTGCTTAAGGGATGCCGTTTCTGAAGAGACTTTTTGCACAGAAACTTGGATAAAGTGCAGAAATTAGATGTTGGAAGATCTGGGAGCAGAGTTTTCCAAAAGGAGATAGCATAATTGACAATTGCAAGCAAAGCGAGAAAGGTAGCCTGACTAAAGCAAAGTAAGCAAGGGAAAGAGTGGGAGGACAAGAAGTCAGAGAAGTTGGAATGGAGCAAATCATAAAGGGCTTTGCAGGCCATGGTAAGAAATTTGAACTTTATTCTCAGTATAATGGAAATATTGATTAGTTTTCATTGGAGGGTGCATATGATCTTATTTGAATGCTCCCTTTGCTTTGTTCCAATATTTGTGGTCACATCATGTGCATAGAATCCACATCCATCACGAAGGATCTGCAGACTATGTTTCATGTGTTCAAGACAGAAACAATGCCTCTATGTGACTCTACAAAGATGACTACTATCACTTCCTTTCCTTTCTATGTACACGTGTTGCTCCTAATGTCAAGGGATAGAGCCCCGTTTCCCTTTCTTTGAATCTAAGCTGGATTTAGTGACTTGCTTGACCAATATAATGTGGCAGAAGTGATGGTCTGATTTTCAGAGGCTAGATCATAGAATTTCTTACATTTTTCACTGGATCTCTTTGGAAGCTCCTTTTTGGAACTCTCCCCCTAAAATCCCAGCTAACTCACAATATAAAACCTAAGCTACAAGGAGGGGTCATGTTTAGGGCACCTCAGTGGAAAGCTCCAGCTGAGGTCCCCGCTGACAGCCAGCATCAGCTGCCAACAGTGGCTGGACTGGATAAACATCAAGTCCAGTCAAGACTTGAGATGACTGTAGTCCCAGCCAACATCTGACTACAATTTTACAAAAGTCCCCAAGCAAGAACTTCTCAGGTGAGCTCATCAATTTATGAAATATGGGAGATGTTAACAAATAATTGTTTTAAATTTGGGGTGGTTTATAATGCAGTGGTAGTTGATCAGAATGGTCTCTTTTTTTAAAATAATTTAATTACAAGTAATTGTTTTTGAATAATTTTTTAAAATTACAAACAAAAAAATCAACCCATTCCTAAAATCACCCACAAACATAATAGAAAGCACTTTGAAAGATATACCTCTAAACACTCTAAAATGTGTACAGTCTCACATAAATGAAATATTTTAACTGAACTGGACAGGTTATTTCCGGGAATCTTTCTTCCTCAAAATTAAAACAGAAAAACAGTAAAGTGAAGACACACAAACACACGCGCGCATGCACGCAACCCAAAGCAAAACCCATTCCACTACTGGAAATATTCCAGACAGGGGATTGCCTGAGCCATTATTTGTTTCAAATTAGTGATGTATTTATAGTACCTGATATACTCTGGCTTACAGCCAATTTTACGGAAAAAAATCCATTTATAAGTGATTCAAATAAATCATGATTCCTTAATATAATGCAAATACATTATGTAACCATTAAAAATGTAGGTGTCTAGATACACTAAAAAATGGAAAAACGCCAAAGAGACCAAGTTAAAAAAAACAAGGTGCAACTCATCTGTGTTTATGGTATGATCACATTTGTTTAAAACAATATACATAAAATGACTGTATATGCATAGAAATTATCTTCATGATACCCAAGAAAAAGTAATAGCAGTTACTGCTCCTGGAGAACAGAATGAGGATGTCAAGGTCAGATCCAAGAGTGACACTCACTTTTCATCTCCCCCTTTCTCAACAGTATTTCAATTTTATACACAAGCATGTATTATCTTATTAAAAGAGAAAATTTTAACAATGACAAGAAAAAAACCACAGAACTCATGACTGCCATCTAAGTGGCAAAGAAAGATGCCTGCTAAATTTGAGTACATGTTAATAATACATTTTATGGATTACTTTTCTACTAAAATCTACTAAAAAGATACTTAGGCCATTTCTACTGTGAACTTAAATGGCATAAAATATTTACAAAAGCCTTAATGCAAGCACATAAGCTAATTTCAAACAGATCTGGTTACTTACCCTCCAACCCTCACAAATAGTGAGAATTTTAGATGCAGATTTCTTGCTGAAAAGTCATACAAACCACTTCTTCAACCTACCCTCTGCCCCACAATCAGTTCCCTAAAGCACAAACATATGATACTTACAATTGATTTGAATGATTGAGAGAGAACTTAAGTCACCCTTGTTAAAACTGCACTTAAATGTTGCGACAAGCTGGAACATTTATCTTCCACTCATCTTAGACTCCATTATCACCAAGCGAAAATTTGAATTGGTGACTTATAGAATGATCAGACAGAAAAAATTCACCTCCAGGATTGGATGGAAGCATGAAGAAAATAATGCCTCATTTATCTAAATGGTTAAATGAATTTGCTAGAAATGATCAGTATATCTTTTTTCAATTCATAAAATGTCTTACTTAGGCCAGCCCACTGTTCCAACACATTATCTTCTGGCAGGCACTCTGTGAAGCTGTCCCACATTACTTTCTACTGCAATACCCAGGGACAAAGTGTCATAAAAGTAACAAGTGTCAAGTCTCCTTGTCTTTTATGTAGGTCTTTTAAAAATGAGGCACAGCGCCTTTTCCTTCACTTTGAAGAGCACAGCAACAGTATTTCCAAAATGAATCTGCTCTCCACAGGCCCTCCCAGCCCCAAATTAAAATGTTAAATAGTACAACAAAATCATCATAATATTCTTTGAACTTAGAAAAAAAAACCCAACTATTTCAAGGCACATTTAATTTAATATCAAGAGTGCAATACAAAAGGCCCAAATACAATGAAGGAACACATTCCCCCATTAACACCAACGACAATGCTCTTTCAAACATGTGCCTGTTGAATGGAATGGGGATTTCATAAAATTCACTAAAAAAAAATGCAGTGAGTCTCATCACAGCTAATATCCTTATACAATCTAGTTGTGAAATGAATGTTTATAATGCTTCAAACAGTTTCAACCTGAAGTTTGATACCACACCTTCATGTCTGTACAGTCCTCAGTAAGTTTATCTACAGTTTTTGCAGCCATTCAAAGAACAAACCATTGAATAAAACCACATTGATTAAGGCTCAAGCAAGTAATACAGAGCCCCAAACTAAATGGTTAAATATATGTGCTACTTGTACGGACATCTATTATTTGATTCTCTCATGACTATCAAAAGTTGTTTCTCAGCAAATAAAACCTTTAAAGGCAAAATTCACCTCATTTGAGTTTTGACCCAGAAGTACAACAATCATGAAGTCCACAGTCTTATTGGCAAAACTGATACACAGTGTCTCTAAGTCACTATGCTCAAGGTTAAGAGCGATGCATATTCCATTTTTACATTTTACTGGAATTTTACATTTTCACTTCATGATTTAAAATCTCTAGGTTTTCATTCCTTCAAACTGTCTGAAGACACAGTGTGCCACAGACTTAAGACTTCTGTTTCTCCCTCTATTTTCTTCAAACAGAAACATTTCTCAAGTGTCTACATGTTCTAGAAGGGGAATTTTTCGGAGGTGGCCACTTCTTCGGAATAGTCCGATGCCATCAGGCGTCTGAAGCAAGGGGAAGGGGAAAAGAAAAAAGCTGAAACACAAGGTTCATCTGGTAAGTTTTACATTAAACATTACAAGCTGGACAGTGTAAGAATGTGGCTTTTTTTTTTTTTTTTTTTGGCTCAAAAAGTCTGAGTCTTGGTGTGGAAACGAGTACTTGGTTGTCCCACCACAGCTTTCTCGTAGTGGGACTGTCAGGGAAGTCTTAACTGGGGAGGATGATTTGTTTACCTATCAGGCGTAAACTTCCAGGCACTCAGTTCATTTTGGGCTTGTTCCAGTTTGTCTTTAGTCTGTTCCAGTTCACCTTTCATTTTTAGGAAAAACAAGTTGATCGCTGGGTCTACCATTGTTGATCTCAGTTGGGCAACGCTCGGCTGCTGGACTTGCTTGAGGTACTGGATTTGAGTAGTACACTCTTGCATCTCTTGTTCCTTGGTTGCTAGTCGCATTACAAGGATGTTTTCCCTGCGTGCAGACTCTTGCTGTTGTTGCTTTAGTTTTTCTTCAGACTCTCTTAGGCCAGTTACATCATTAGAGTTTAAGATCTGTATACTTGCCCTCCAAAGCTTGTACGTATGCTTCATATTGTTTCCATCTTAGAATTAACTCATCTGTTGCCATAACTTTGAAGTCTGTTTCACTCAGTCGAACTTTCTTGGGAAGAGGTTCTTCTCTGGTCATCTTGAATCGAAGAGTCGCCTTTCAGGCATGGCGGGCAGTCACTTGCCCGCCGCCGGGCCCGCCAGGAGAGGAAAGGTGAAGGGAGGGAGCGAGGCCGCCGGCCTAGCCCGATCGGAGCCTCGAGGCGCAATAGAGCAGCTGCTCCCCGGTAACACGCCCCGTCCTTTCCGGGGAGCCTGGTGCGAGCTCCGCGGGCGCCGGAGCTCAGCAAGCCCAGAATGGTCTCTTTTGCTAAGAGTTCACGATCTATTCCAACCATTCTCCTGATGCCAAATTTGGCACTTCAGACATCACTTATCCCTCACTCTCTGTTTTTTTTTTTTTTTTTTTTTCTCCTTGGTTTTTCCTAAATTTCAGAGGTTTTCTTGTGAACCAGAAGCAGATTGTTTCTTCACATACTCTTGGCTTAAATTCAGGAATAAGTCAGCCATCCAGCTCCAGATATCCCAGAGCTGAGCTCAATGATCTCTCATAAGAGCCATGAAGAACACCTGATCATGAATTCTCTTCCACAGGGCATTCTGCTAATGCCTCCCCACCTCTTTCTTCTTGCAGTTTCAGGCATCTTCATTTAAGTATTTTATTGTTATTGTTAATCAACCAAATGATGTTCATCTTTATCGGCAGGCAGTTGGTGACTGCATTTTTAGGTCACCGTGATTCTGCAAATGTGTATATTTTATCCAGATTAGATAATCGTGACTGTAAAACACAGGACAGTTCATTGATTAATTGATCATCACAGAGTGAGATCTCTTCTTTTTAACATACCAAGGCAACTAAAGTCTGATTATGTCATTTGCTATCACATATTAGATTGGTAATAGTTTATAATTCGTATCTGTATATTACTTACTGCTTAAGTAACTGGTAACAAAAACTGTGTTCTTTAACCTTATTCTGAATCATCAAGTCAGTGAGCTTTAGATAAGGATAGCTATAAATGTAGCTCTTTCCACATCCATAAGCATGGATAAAGACAGGATTATGTAGAACAGAGAAAAATAAAACCCCTGACCTCACACAACATTAAGATCTTTTTAGGAAAAAAAAAAGGAAAAAGTAGAGCAGATATCCTGTGGAACCTTCGTGTCCTTCCATTCTTGGAGGTAAAAGGCTGAAGCCAATCTCAAACCACAGGAAACATTTTGACTTGGAGTTACAGTGACTGAGTTTAAGTCAACAATTAGCGCCAGTCGTCTGTTGGCTCAGCAACCCATATGGAAATCAGTCATAATAAATTATTTTCTATGGTCTTTCTAATCTTACACAAAGTAATTCTTTATTGCCTTACTAGGTTTATTAAAAAAGGATTTTGATGGCTCTAAATAGCTATCAATTAACTTTCTATTTCCTGTTATAAAATGTGAACATTACAATAGTCTTGAGTCACCCATGAACCCAAGGGAAAAAATCACTTTCGTCATCTGACCTCCTTTACATGGGGCATAAATGTGGCCTTTATATATTGCTAATCATAACCACAATAGGACTAATCATGTTCTGATACCAAGTTAACTTGAGGAATTAGAAGAGTTCTTTCTAAGTCTTTAAAAATCTGAATGCAACCCAGAAGTTACCCAGAGGAAGTCTTTTTTGGAGGGCTTGGTTTTGGCAGAACCGAGTCTGAGGAAGGGGCCTTCTGTGATTGGTGGCACTCTGGTGTTGCTTCATATGTTGCTCTTAAAAAATATTGAAGTTTCTGTTGAATTATTTTTCCTAATGATGAAAAACAGCTGAAATTAATGAATGCTGTGAATTTAAATAACATCACACCATTAGTCATAAATATCTCAATAGTAAACAAGCATATTACCATTAACATTTCAAATGATCAACAGAGCTGCTCAAGCTACACTTTTTTACTGGGCAAATTTATCAGTTCAAGGTTGGCTCATATTATTGTGCCTTGTCAATTCATATTATTTGGCTGCAAGATACACCAACATATTTTGTTTTGAATAACTGCTAGTTTTTCTAAAGTGATCTATTTGGGAAGGAGGTGGCCAGAGGGAGGACTGAGGAAATATAGTTAACCTAATTACAATATTGTGTTATTTTTCCTTTTAGTAATTTGTACAGGATGTCTTCAAATGTCTTTCTGTAAAGAAAATGTAGGCTTTTTCTTTATCAGTCAAAGTAAATGAAAATGCTAATTGATTTTAAATGAAATTATTTAGGTTAATTTTAATTTTTTGATGTTTGAAGGCAAAGTATCCCTATGCACATATAAATGGTGCAAGTCTGACATATGTAAGACTATTTGGTCAGATCACCTAAGTTTTATGAAGAAGGCTGTGTGGTGGGGGCCCTCAAAGGAAAGGCAGGGACTAATGTTTCCCCCACGGCATGCTGCTCTGCCTTGCTGCATGGGAGTCCCAGCCTGCAATTCCTTTCCCCCATTTGATGCCTTAGGGAAGAGCATCCTATTTTCTGTCAGCATCTGCTCAGGAGTAACCTCCTTTATGAGACCTTCCCTAATTTTAATATTTTGAGGTTTTCTACCACTCAGCTTCCAGAGTCTCAGTAGCATCTCTAGTAGTGGGCTCATCTGATATTATGTACATATCTTTCCCCTATCCCCTTCTTCTGACTAAAAAATAAGGAAATATTTAAAAAGTCTATGGCCCCCTTAGGGCAGAGATTGTATCTTATTCCTGTTTCCCTCTTTATATCCCATGGATTTAGTACTGGCAGCTGTAGATACTTCACAATGAAAAGGCTGTTCCTAAATGGAAGTCATTTTGTAGAAGTGTGATCTTCTTTCAAACATGGTTACTATGCTGGGAAATACTGAAATTTCTTACCATTTAAACCAATTACTTGTATGATTCTCTTATCTGTCACGGTTAACCTTTGTTCATAATGTTGAAAGGTTTAAATGCCCTATGAAAGGTGATATGGTTTGGCTGTGTCCCCACGCAAATCTCATCTTGAATTGTAGTTCTCACAATCTCCACACATCATGGAGGGGGGATCCAGTTGGAGGTAATTGAATCATAGGGGTGGTTGCCTCCATGCTGTTCTCATGATAGTGAGTGAGTTCTCAAGAGATCTGATGGTTTTATAAGGGGCTTTTCCCCGTTTGCACTTCTCCATGCTGTCACCATGTGAAGAAGGACGTTTGTGTCCCCTTCCACCATGATTATAAGTTTCCTGAGGCCTCTAAAATCATGCTGAACTGTGAGTCAATTAAACCTCTTTCCTTTATAAATTACTCAGTCTCAGGTATGTCCTTATTAGCAGCATGAGAACAGAATAATATGAAAGGGATGAGGCATAAAAGTATAAGAATCATCCCTCCCTAAAGTTGAGCGAGTAGAATTTTTCCAAATAGATAAATAATACTTCTTAGTTCGTTGATCATTGATGTACATAAACTGTGCATGCTTATTTAAAATAAGGGATGACATAGATAGGTTGTTTTTTAACATTAATGTGTTGTAGATTGGCTGAAATACTTATTGAAAATGCAGATTCTCATTCATCAGGGCTAAGTGGGGCTCAGCCATGTGCATGTTAAACAAGGATTCCATGTAAGTCTGACAGTGGTGCCAGCCAACTGTACTTTGAAGACACACTACTGTGGATGAGAAGCTTATGTGCTTAGGAACTAGTTTTCACATATGTTATTATGTACTTCTGTATGACTTTTTTTTTCTCTCATCCGCTTAGAATACAACATCACCAGGACAAAGACCTGATCTTTTACTTTCTTCTCAACTCCATTGCACTGAATTCAGCACTCTACCCTTATGGTACCCTCAGGGCAGGCATGGATGGAAAATCCTTTCAGTTCTTAGTTTATATGAGGCTGGGAGAAAGGGTGAAATCTGAGGTGGGTAACAGAACACAGAGGGCTTCACTTTTCTCAGGTGTCATATAAATATTTCTGGTTTTTAGTATCTGCACATACTAACAGAGCAGACGAAAGACAGTACTTGTGAGTCAACACACATTTATGCCCATCTTCATAAAATGCCACTGCCTCAGACAGCATCAGGGCTGTTGATCCAATATCAATCTACTGGCACCCGTATATCACTGCCATGCTTAAAGGCTGTCATTCCTGGAGTCAAGCCTTACCTGACTCCAGGGATGAGCCTGAACTCTGATCCTCACTGATAGGCTCCTTGTGAGGGGCTCCTGCCTTTCTTTCCAGCTTCAACTATTTTACCTGCCTCAGATACACCACTGTCCAGCCATATGTGACTTCTTGGAGGTTCCCTAATATTGTAATGAGCTCTTTTGCAGTGTCCATGTACATACCACCTCCTACCTAAAAGGACTTTACAACTTTGAGTTCCCTGTTAATGCCTACTCAGTCTTTAATGCTCAATTCCATTATCACCTCCAATGGGAAGCCTAAAGTGACAAAGCCAACTGTTCTGATGTGTTTAATTTCTCTCTTTTCAAATGCTCATCAGGCTATCATAAAAAGCTAACACTAGCTAACCTCAAATATATTAGCTCATTTAATTGTTTTAACAATCCTATGAGGCATTTTTCCATTTTACAGATGAGTGAACTGATGCATTGAGAGGTGAGGTAACTTGCCCAAGTCTACACACCAGTAGTAACTAAAAGAGTTAGGATTCCAATTGATGTAGCCTGTCTCTTGCCCCAAGCTCTAAACATTTACACCACAACTAAATAGTCTTTTACTTGTGTGCCTTCTCTACTAGGTGAAGTATTCTTTAAATACAGGAGCCATGTCTTATGTTTCCCAGGATTCCAATTTCCTAGAAAACTGCCTAGTCCACAGTAGATATTCACTTATGCGTGATTCGATAAGTCCTTTAATGAAATCACATGACTTTCACCTTGGCCAGAATTGCAAGGGCAGTGGAAGCCACACACACAAAAAGGCCTACTTGAGTTATCCAACCAGAGCCCATTAAGACCACCTAGTTACAGCCTATGAGGGCTTCGGAGAGACTTTTAATTTCTACACTGAAGCAAGAAATTAGTAAAATGCAATAAAACGCAACAGTAACTTACTTGCAGTTGGCTTCCAGAGCAGAGATGTCAGCTAGGAATGACTTGTTCTTTTGGACTCATAACTATTTCTGGATTTCTTTGTGGCAAGGGACATTAGTTTCACCTCATGTGATGTGAGGCAGTGATGGGCCTAATGATCAAAGTGCCAGTGATGCTTTGTGCTCAGAGGCCTCTGACTATCATTCCTTCCCGTCAATGTTCCCAGATAGCACAGCCCAGTGCAATTTCAGAACAATTCGGTCTTCTGAGCTTTTAGCTTTGACCTTTTAGCACATGCCTGAACTTGAAGGTGGCTGTTAGTTGTTCCAAGCAACTGAGCAACTTCATTCCTAACCAAGCACATACTCCATGCTTTTGGGTCAGATAGACCTGGGTTTAAATTACAGTTTTACCATTTACCATGTTTGAGTTTAGACAATATGTAGGGGTTCTTTAAGCCTTAGTTTTCTTGTCTCTAAAATAGAATAAACAAAAATATTCACCTTATAGGGTCACTATGAGGATTAAATGACACAATTTGTATCAAGCATTTCTGTGCAAGGTCACATGTCTTACAAGGCTGGGTCCAGGAAGCAAGTTCAGTTCTTTTGATCCCAGAGCCTGAACTCACAGGCCTTAGTCCCACAACACATGTTCAACTTGCTTAGATGGATAAATGTAGGCTATCCTCATTGCTTTTCATGGTAAACTTCTTTTTTATCCCGCTCCAGTGGACTCTGCCTTCTGGCACCACCACACCACAGCAATGTCTCTCTAGGTGGTGAATGATGATAGTTGACTATGCTGACAGTTCATATGTCATCAACTATTCTATTAATTTGCAGTGTTCAAACAGTTTGAGTTTCTGTCTTGTTTGCCTGATGTGCTGAGTGGTTTGGGTTGGCAAGATGACAATGCTCCACAAATTCATTTAGATTTAGCTCTCAAGCTGATGGGGCATTCTTTCATCAATTGGGGTGACTTTCATTCAGTTAACCAAAAGAAAAGAGCATGGAAAAGTGTCAGGGTGAGGGTTCTATGGACATGACACCATAGTGGCACATAGCACTTCCACTCACATTCCATTGTTAGAACATATACAATATGAACATATAATTGTGAGGCCAGGTAAGGGAGGAGAATGTTGACTTTCTTGAACACCTAAAACTCTTTGCAATATTTATAGGAAAAAATAAAAATTATTATTAACTTTAATTTTTCTAATATCAGTTCTCAGTGTACCTTTACAGCCCCTTTGGAACTACCTCTGTACTTTCCCACCATGTTGTTTTTATCAGACTGTTTATTCTATTTTAAATAATTCAAATCACTTTCTTTCATCTAAACCCCTTTAAAGGAAAAGCACAGTGCCAACTCTTTCACTGTTTTCTTTCATGCTTTCTCTCAGAAGGTGGAGGACAAAGGTGAACAGCTAACTTTTTCTACCTTAGGTCACTTAAGATCAAATTATAGCAAGTTAGGGTAGGAAGAGGCCCTAATAATGCTTAGCTCAAAGTTTTGTTCATTTGTTTGTTTTACGTTTTTGTTGTTGTTGTTGTCACTTTGCATGGAAGAAGAAGGTAAGACCCAGAGAGATAAAGGAGTTGCCCAGGGCTGAACCACAACTGGAGACCAAGTCCATTGGATTCCATTTTTAGTCTCTTACTGACACCTCATGTTGTCTCCTTTTGCTGTAGGGCCAGCCCTATATGGGCAATTTTACTCATTATTGTTTCCAGAATTTCTCTAATTAACCTAAAGTGTGTATTAAAGCAATAAAGTTTTGAAGTTTGTAAAAGATACTGCCAGTAAAATCTTCCTTGTATAAACTGACTGATTAAAAGATTTTTTTTCCTATTTCTGCTTCATAATTCCATACATTTTGAAAATCACTTAGTTTTTCCTGGTGATTTCTCAATTTCAGTGAGAATGAATGTGTGTGTGTGTGTGTGTGTGTGTATATATATATGTATATATATATGTATAATGTATATATATAATTGTATATATATAATCTTAATTCTTGGCAATTGCATTTAGTGATAATTGTTTTTGTGCATTAGTCCTAATCACTTTTTAAGCAGCAAAGCCTATTACTGTTACAGAGTGAGTTTCAGATGCCCTGCAGATTTGAGTAATTTGGGGTAATGCAGCTGTGTGTGGTAAAAAGATTTTACAATGCCTATAAAATGTTGCCTCATGACATGTTCAGCAGTGAATCTGTGGCACCATATAGCAATTTCAGGGCTTTTCATTAAATACCAGATACCATTTACATTGTGCAGTTTTTAAACAAGAGCCATCCTCTGAGATTAGGAGAATCTGCAAGTTGCAAGGCATTTGGGAGTCCTGAATACATGGAAGGGTCTTACAGATATTTTTCTAGAAACAAACACAAAAACAACAAACAAAACCAAAAACATTCCACGAGAGAATTGTATTTTATCTACATTGTTCTCAGCTGCATTGAAGGGTATTAGCACTTCTTTTTCCTTTTCTCATCTCCCCAAAGATGATCAGAAGATCTGACTTGCAGCAAGTAGTTTGCCTGAATATACAGTTTCCCATGAAAACAGAACAAGAAGAGAATGGGCAAACCACAGTGGATTGTATATTATTTCCTTTAAGTGTTTGGAATCACCTATCTTGGCTTCGACTACCTTTGTTGTTATTGGAAGTTAACAGATATAATTATTAAGTCAATTATTTATTAATTCAAATAAGTTACACATATTTATTTAGTCACAATATGTGCCAGGCAAATGGTTACAAGCCCAGGATAAACAATGACTATAAAAAATAAGATCAATTTTTAAAAAATTGTTTCTGTCCTCAGAAAAGATCAAAGAGTTGTAGCTATAAATCAGAAGCTCTGGCTTCTAACCTAAAGTCAAGACTCAACTGGACATTTTTACTTGCATGTTCTAACATTGACTTAAACTCAGTCCATTCAAATCAAAGTTCATTATTTTTGCTGAAACCATCTTTTATCTTTGACTAAAGAAAATTATTGTATTCTATAACAGCAAAGCACCATATAAGTGTTTGCTTTTTATTAGTGTTATTAATACTAGCACTAGCACATTAATATTTAATACTAGCATATTAATAATTATCTAAGACACACAGAAAATAATATTTTGGTTTTTTTAAAGTATTTTCCTCCTTTCCTTTCTTTTTAATGATTTATTCATTTCAATAGGTTTTTGGAGGAACAGGTGGTGTTTGATTATATGAGTAAGTTCTTTAGTGGTGATTTCTGAGATTTTGGTGCACCCATCACCCAAGCAGTCTACACTGTACCCAATGTGTAGTCTTTTATCTCTCATCCCCCACCCACCCTTTACCCTGACTCCCCAAAGTTCATTGTATCATTCTTATGCGTTCACATCCTCATTGTTTAGCTCCCACTTATGGGGGAGAACATATGATGTTTGGTTTTCCATTCGTGAGTTACTTCACTTAGAATAGTGGTTTCCAATTCCATCCAGGATGCTGCAAATGCCATTATTTTGTTCCTTTTTATGGCTGAGTAGTATTCCATAGTGTGTATATACATTTTCTCTGTCCACTTGGTTGATGGACATTTGGGCTGAATCCATATTTTTGCAATTGCAAATTGTGCTGCTATAAACATGCGTGTACAAGTATCTTTTTCGTATAGTGACTTATTTTCCTCTGGGAAGAAACCCAGGAGTGGGATTGCTAGATCAAATGGTAGATCTACTTTTAGTTCTTTAAGGTATCTCCACACTGTTTTCCACAGTGGTTGTACTAGTTTACATTCCCACCAACAGTGTAGAAGTGTCAAAAAATACCAGATGTTGACGTGGATATGGTGAAAAGAAAACAAGATTTTGGATTCATCAGTTTTCCAATTCCCAAGTTCTGTCAACTAGTGCAGGCTAAGCACATCCTTTCTGGTAGAGTGTATTCACCTCTCGATGTCTGCTGCCTCCAGTCTGCCTCCTTTACTAATCCATTCATTATTCTTTACCATGTAGTCTGTTTCTCAAGCTTTGCGATATCATCATAACTAGGTCACAGACTCTCAGATTTCAGTTCATACATCTTCAGCCTCTTCTCTTAGCTGTGATGAAGACTAATATAAGTTAGGAACTGAAAAATGAGTTCAAGTTCAGGCCCTGATTCTAACCAACTGTGTAACCCAGTGAAAGTGGAACAGCTTTTGAACCTCAGAATACTCTTCGGTAAAATAAGGAGAATAATTCAAAACTCAAGAAGTTGTACTGAGAATTAAAAAGAAAAGAGTATATTTAAAAGTCATTTATGAATGTAGACCTCACACAAATGTAAAGCTTAGTATTATGCCCCATAGTTTCTAGCTCAGCACAATAAACATTAGTAGATTAATTGATTGGTTGATTTTAAGGGAATCTCCCAAATACACTAAGGCCCTGGAAGCTTACAAGCAAATATTTGCTTTTATGTTGAAGGATAAAACTTTGAAACTGGTCCTATTGCTCTCTGACCAATTTATTCTCTGAACAGAAATAATGGCGTACGTTCATTCTTAATCCTGATGCAGATACCTCTGTGTGTTTTCTAGAGTTTTGCATTGTATGTCATACTTACAATACTGGGATTTTGTCTTGTAGCTCAGTTAGGTTTCAGGATATTTTAGAAAGAGAATTGAACTTTATTACTTTTTTAATCAATTTAACTAAAATTTATTGAAGATACATGTAGGATGTGCACATATATATTATCTGTGCCATGTAGTGATAAATTCTAGAAATACACAGACAATTTGAATGTATAAATTCTATCCTCCAGGAGCATCCAGTCTGGTAAGGGAGTTATATATGACCTCTTTGGATTCCAGAGACCTACTCATATTATTTGCTGTGTTTCCATGTGCATATCACTTTACCTCTCTGAATCTAAATTTCCTTAATTATTAAATGTGATTACTTCATGGAACTATATTGAAAATTAAGTATGCTAGTATATATCTATCTGACAGACACACAGAGAGATAATAAATGCTCGATTATTTTCCTTCCTTCATAATTTCATGTAAGTTAGGCCTTAACTAAACAAATAGGTGACTGTTCCAGTTTGGAGAAAGAGTCTGACCAGCAGCCACAGACACCATCCTAACCAAGATAGTTTTACGCCCTGTTCATCAGGCCCCCAGTAATATTAATATAATGCTTAGTATTTTATTGACTGAATAGCATGTGGCAGGAGCTTTATATGCATTATCTTAAGTCTTTATGACAACTCCAACATGTAGAAAGTATCCGCATTTTCTCAGGTGACAAATTAGGGTTGAGGCATAGGTATGAAGGGAGGGGGCTGTGGAAACTGACTGCTTTAACAGGAATCCCAGAGCTACCTATAATTGCTATGGGACTGACCTTGGATAAGTTTTGAATTTTCAAAACTTGAACATAGCCACTTCAGTAGAATGACAGAACCTTACATAAAAGGGATGATGAGATTAATATGGCAGATGGGAGGCAAGACTGTCTGGCAGCTTCTACTCAGTCAGATAGAGTAGCATGTGGAGACCCACACCTTGAACTTTTGCTCCAAGAACTACCACAGAAACATAGCAGGAAAGCCGAAAGAATCCACAGATCCTTGAAGGAACTATATCACCACTGCAGGCTCCCTGAGATGCCAAAAACTGTGAGTCTGCTTGGTTTCTCAATGGGGAGGCTTGTGGTCTGGGGCAAGTTCTCAGCCCTGGTCACCAGCTGCCTGGAAATATACTTGATGATGTTAGGGGAGCACAGTGGTAGTGAGACTGGCCTTTAGGACTATGAGCTGCGTGGGAGCAGAGTGAGGCCCACGACTGCCAGCTTTTGCTGGAGACCTGTATGATACAGCAGAGGAAGCCATAATACCCCTAGGAATATAACTCCATTGGACTGGGAACCACACTTCTATGCCCCATAGCAGCCACAGCAAGCCCTGCCCAAAAAGAGGCTGAGCTCAGACATGGCTATCCCTGGCCCCACCTGGTGGTCTCTCTCTACCCACCCTGGTAGTCAAAGACAAAGGTCTTAATCTTTTGGGAACTCCATGGCCCTGCCCACCACCTGAGAAACCTGAATACTTAACCAGGTGTCCCTAGAGTGACAAAGAAACAATAGACTTAAACTGTACCCTACAACAAATGGATTTAACAGATATTTACAGAATATTCTACTCAACAACTACAGAATATACATTCTATTATCAGCACATGGAACATTCTCCAAGATAGACCATATAATAGGCCTCAAAACAAATCTCAGTAAATTTAAGAAAATCAAAATTATATCAAATACTCTCTCAGAACACAGTAAAATAGAATTATAAATCAACTCCAAAAGGAACCTTCAAAATCATGCAAATACATAGAAATTAAATAACTTGCTCCTGAATGATTGTTGGGTCAACAATGAAATCAAGATGGAAATTTAAACATTCTTTAAACTAAATGATAATAGTGATACAACCTATCAAAACCTATGGGATACAGCAAAAGCAGTGCTAAGAGGAAAGTTCATAGACTTAAGTGCCTACATCAAAAAGTCTGAAAGAGCACAAATAAACAATCTAAGATCACACCTCACAGAACGGGAGAAACAAGAACAAACCAAACTTAAACCCAGCAGAAGAAACAAATGACAAAGATCAGAGAAGAACTAAATGAAATTGAAACAAAAAAATACAAAAGATAAATGAAACAAAAAGGCAGTTCTTTGTAAAGATAAATAAAATTGATAGACCATTAGCAAGATTAACCAAGAAAAGAAGAGAGTAGATGCAAATAAGCTCAATTAGACATGAAACAGGAGATATTATATGAACACCTTTATGTGTATAAGCTAGAAAGCCTAGAGGAGATGAATAAATTCCTGGAAATATACAACCCTCCTAAATTAAACCAGGAAGACATAGAAACTCTGAGCAGACCAATAACAAACAACAAGATTGAAATGGTAATTTAAAAATTGCCAATAACAACAAAAAAATGTCCAGGACCAGACGGATTCACAGCTGAATTCTATCAGACATTCAATGAATTGGTACTAATCCTATTGACACTATTTCAAAAGAAAGAAAAAGGGGGAATCCTCCCTAAATTATTCTTTGAAGCCATTATCACTCTAATACCAAAACTGGGGAAGGACATAACAAAAAGAGAAAACTACAGACCAATCTCCCTGATGAACATAGATGCAAAAATCTTGAACAAAATACTAGGGAATTGAATCCAACAGCATATCAAAAAGATAATCCACCATGATCAAGTGGATTTCATACCAAGGATGTGGGGATGGTTTAAGACACATTTACATTAACAGATATTTACAGAACATTCTACCCAACAACTGCAGAATATACATTCTGTTCATCAGCACATGGAACATTCTCCAAGATAGACCATATGATAGGCCACAAAACAAATATTGGTAAATTAAGAAAATCAAAATTATATCAAATACTCGCTCAGACCACAGTAAAATAGAATTAGAAATCAACTCCAAAATGAAGCCAACTTATAGGTCAATAAATGCGATACACCACATAAACAGAATTAAAATCAAAAATCATATGATCATCTCAATAGATGCAGAAAAAGCATTTGACGAAATCCAGCATCCCTTTGTGATTAAAACCCTAGGCAAAATCAGCACACAAGGGACATACCTTAAGGTAATAACAGCCATCTATGACATACACACAGCCAACATTATTAAACAGACAAGGATGCACATGTTCACTACTTCTATTCATCATAGTATTGGGAGTTCTAGTCAGAGCAATCAGACAAGGGGAAGAAAGAAATAAAGGACATCCAAATCAGTAAAGAGAAAATCAAACTGTCGCTTTTTGCTGATGCTATGATCGTATACCTAGAAAAAACTAAAGACTCACCCAAAAAGCTCCTAGAACTGATAAATGAATTCAGCAAAGTTTTGGGATACAAAATTAATGTACACAAATCGGTAGCTCTGGTATACCCCAACAGTGACCAAGCTGAGAATCAATTCAAGAACTCAACCCCTTTCACAATAGCTGAAAAAAAAAAAAAAAACCTTAGGAATACACCTAATCAAGGATGTGAAAGACCTCTACAAGGAAAACTATAAAACACTGTTGAGAGAAATTATAGACAACACAAATAGAAACATATCTCATGCTTATGGATAGGTAGGATCAATATTGTGAAAATGACCATGCTGCCAAAAACAATCTACAAATTCTGTGCAATTCTTACCAAACTACCACTATCATTCTTCACAGACTAAGAAAAAACAATCCTAAAATTCATATGGACCAAAAAAGAGCCCTCATATTCAAAGCAAGTCTAAGCAAAAAGAACAAATCTGGAGGCATCACATTACCTGACTTCAAACTAAACTATAAGGCCATAGTTACCAAAACAGAATGGTACTGGCATAACAAAAGGCACATAGACCAATGGAAAAGAATAGAGAACCCAGAAATAAAGCCAAATACTTACAGTCAACTGATCTTCAAAAAAGCAAACAAAAACATAAGGTCAGGAAAGGACACCTTATTTAACAAAAGATGCTGGGATAATTGGCGAGCCACATGTAGAAGAATGAAATTGGATCCTCATCTCTCACCTTATTAAAAAATCAACTCAAGATCGTTCAAGGACTTAAATCTAAGACCTGAAACCATAAAGATTCTAGAAGATTAACAGCGGAAAAACTCTTGTAGATGTTGACTTAGGCAAAGACTTTATGACCAAGAACCCAAAAGCAAATGCAACAAAACAAAGATAAATAGATGAGACCTAATTAAACTAAAAAGCTTCTGCACAGCAAAAAAACAAGCAGGGGAGTAAACAGACAACCCAGAGTGTGGGAGAAAATCTTCACAATCTATATGTCTGACAAAGGACTAATATCCAGAATCTACAAGGAACTCAAACAAATCAGGAAGAAAAAACAAACAATCCTTTCAAAAAGTGGGCTAAAGACATGAATAGACAATTCTCAAAACAAGATATACAAATGGCCAAAGGCATAAGAAAAAATGTTCAACATCACTAATTATCGGGGAAGTATAAATCAAAACCACAATGCAACACCACCTCACTCCTACAAGAATGGCCATAATCAAAATATCAAAAAATAATAGATGGTGGCATGGATGTGGTGAAAAGGGAACACTTTTTCACTGCTGATAGGAATGTAAACTAGTACAACCACCATGGAAAACAGTGTGGAGATTCCTTAAAGAACTAACACTTTGGCCCAGAAATAACACTACTAGGTATCTACCCAGAGGGAAAGAAGGCATTATATAAAAAAGATACTTGCACACACGTTTAGAGCAGTACAATTTGCAATTGCAAAAATATGAAATCAGCCCAAATGCCCATCATTCAACTAGTGGATAAAGAAAATGTGGTATATATACCATGGAATACTACTCAGCCATAAAAAGAAATGAAATAATGACATTTGTAGCAACCTGGATGGAATTGGAGACTATTATTCTAAGTGAAGTAACTCAGGAATGAAAAACCAAACACCATATGCTCTCAGTCATGTGTGGGAGCTAAGCTCTGAGGACACAAAGGCATAAAAATGATACATTGGACTTTTGGGACTTGGGGGAAAGGGTGAGGGATGGTGAGGAATAAAAGGCTGCACATTGGGTAGAGTATACACTGCTTGGGTGATGAGTGCACCAAAATATGAGAAATCACCACTAAAGAACTTATTCATGTAACCAAACACCACCTGTTCCTCCAAAACCAAAATAGGAAATAAAATAATTTTAAAAATTATTTTAAAGAGGATGATGATGATGATGATGAAGATGAAGATGATGATAATGGAGAAGAAGGAGGAGGTGTTTGCTGCAGTAACTAGTTGGAGAAGGGCTCTTTGACAAGTGGCTGCCCTGAGATTCTCATAACACATGGGAAAGCATATAGGTGACCTGTATATATTTGGCTCACTCCAAAGCTCAACTTGGTCCACAGGTACACAAAGTTATACTTTGGCCACTGCAGATCAGCTAATTTTTTTTCCTCTTGAAGCCAAGGCAATAAACTATATTTTTTCTTATTGTAAATGTTGAGCACTCCTCATTATTGAGTAGTTCAAGCATCACCTATCTGGCTGACATTAAAACCTAAATTCATGCATTTTTTTTAAGTTCTGAGTGTTTGTAAAAAGAATTTCCCAACCAAAGTATTTACATTTATTGCAAGTAATTTTTGTTTAATATTTTTAAGAAGTAGGCCAATCTGGCAATATAGTGATTTAGTTTTACAGTTAATTAAAAGAGAAAAGCCTCCTTCTGCCTAAATGATCTGTGGAAACCAATAAAAGTCACTTTGGGGCCTGGATAATTATCTCAACCCTTTTAACTCTGCTGTTCTAGGCTCATAGTAGACGCTCAATGGAAACTTGTTGATTGATCTGCCTTTGACTATGAAGACTTGACCCAATAATTCTGAAGGCCAAATGCCCTGGGCACTCAGGAAAAATATGTTTGTTTACTGCTGCTCATGTCAGAGTCATAAAACCCTATAGAGAGTAAAAATTTCTATAGTCATTAGAAAAATAAAATAAGGTAACACAAAATGATGGGAAAATACATGATACTTTCTTTAGTAACAATTTATGTTGTCCTACAAGTCAATGAATCAAAAGTTATCTCTTACATCTTAACCCAAACCAAAGGTAATATTATTATCATTCTCTGATTGGTAAATTTAAGTTTTAACAATTTTTTCTCCATTGAAAAGGTAGAAAGCAGTGAGTTTTCATATTTTTGTCTGTATGCTAGATTCAGCAACATTGAAATTCAGGATGATTCTTTATGCTTTGGTTTTTAAAGATGTAAAGAAAAGGTGATATCTATCTTGAATTAAATTAGAGGATACGTGTAAGGATCTGTACTCTCTCTGCAGAGGTCTAGTGGTGCATGAAGTGATTCCCTTGGAGCATTCATTTTGGACACTGGACTTCAACTGACTCCTAAGATAGTATAAATGGATATGAAGACTTATATTCAGTTTCTGAAAAAAATTTAATAGAAATAATCATATCTTATTTTTAGTGCAATTTTAAGGCATCATTTACATAAAATAAAGTGCACAGATTTTAAGTGCTCAACTTGGTGGGTATTGACATTTAATATATAGCATTTCCATTAGCCTAGAAAGTTCTTTATGCCCCTTTCCAGTCAATTCTTAACCATTTGGAGGCAACCATATTTTAGTTTCTATTACCACAGGTTATTTTGCCTGTTCTTGAACTTCATGTAAATAGAATTGTACAGCATTGATACCTTACTTCTGGCCATAAAATTACAAAGCACTTTTAATTTTATTATTTCATTAGATTTTTTTTAATTTCCAATTTTTATTTTAAGTTCAGGGGTACACGTGCAGTATGTGCAGGTTTGTTACACAGGTAAACATGTGCCATGGTAGTTTGCTGCACAGATCATCCCATTAACCAGGCATTAAGCCCAGTATCCATCAGCTATTCTTCCTGATTCTCCCCCTCCTCCTCCCACCCCTGCCCTCTGACAGGGCCCAGTGTGTGTTGTTTTCCCCCATGTGTTCATGTCTTCTCATCATTTAGCTCCAACTTGTGAGTGAGAACATGTATTTGGTTTTCTGTTCCTGCATTAGTTTGCTAAAGATAATGGCCTCCAGCTCCATCCATGTCCAAAGGACATGATCTCATTCCTTTTTATGACTGAATAGTATTCCATGGTGTATATGTACCACATTTTCTTTATCTAGTCTATCACTGATGGGCATTTAGATTGACTCCATGTATTTGCTATTGTGAATAGTGCTGCAGTGAACACATGCACACATGTGTCTTTATAATAGAAATATTTATATTCCTTTGTGTCTATGCCCAGAGCAAAAATCCTCAACAAAATACTGGCAAACTAAATCAAGCAGCACATCAAAAAACTTATCCACCATGATCAAGTAGGCTTCATCCCCGAGATGCAAGGCTGGTTCAACATACGCAAATCAATACATGTGATTCATCACATACACAGAACTAAAGACCACATGATTATCTCAATAGATGCAGAAAATGCCTTTGATAAAATTCATCATCTCTTTATTTAAAAACTTTTAATAGACTATATATTAAAGGAACATACCTCAAGATAATAAAAGCCATATATGACCAACCCACAGCCAATAGCATACTGAATGGGCAAAAGCTGAAAGCATTCCCCTTGAAAACCGGAACAAGACAAAGTGGCCCTCTCTCACCACCCCTATTCAACATAGTATTGGAAGTTCTGGCCAGGGCAATCAGGCAAGAGAAAGAAAGAAATGGTATTCAAATAGGAAGAGAGGAAATCAAACTATCTTCTTTGCAGATGGCATGATCCTGTATCTACAAAACCCCATCGTCTCAGTCCAAAAGCTTCTTAAGTTGATAAGCAACTTCAGCAAAGTCTCAGGATACAAAATCAATGTGCAAAAATTGATAGCATTCCTGTACATTATTAGATTCTTATGTCAACAGATAGCGCTAAAGGTACCAAGATACTAATTTTTACAGACGGGGCCGCTGAAACTCATTGAGTTTTCATGACTTGCTTAAAGTCATAGTAGAAGACTTCAGAGGCAGAATCAAACTTGGGTGTTCTGATTCCAGGTTCAGCACTCCTGTTGAATTCTACTGGATTCTGGAAAGATATTTGGACTCATTATCATAACAGAACAATGATAATAATACTTGAGTCTGAATTTCAATTTTGCTCTTCTTTATGGATGTGATTTTTGGTAAGTTATTTTGTTCATTTCAGTTACTTCCTCTATAAAACGAGAATAGTGATATTCTCATTCCTGGACCTGACATATTCTTGTTTGTACTCTAAGTCTTTCATTTCTTCATGATTTCTGCTAAAGACCCTGTAAATCCTCTAGTCAGCAAGCAGTTATAAAATAAATATTCAGGCTATTACACACTTGGTTTAAGTCTTTTGATCATGTGTTGTTTCCATTTTTCTCTCTCTACAAAATCAGGAGCTCCATGAAAACTGAGTCCATTTCTTGCTCACTTCCATTTATCAACTGACTAGAAAAATATCTGGCCCAGAAGTGATGGTCATTATGAGTTCACTGAACCTGTAACAAGTAACGAGACATAAGGGCAGGCAAAGCTCTTTTGTCTCTACCTACCTACCTGAGTGGTTCTTGCCAGATGGAAGTTGCACATCTATGGCTCTTGTAAATATGATGACGCCATCCTGGGAAAAATTTGTGGGTTCTAATAAGAAGGCATAAAAAATTAGATGAGATAATTTCCATGGTCATGTTAAAAGTGTTAAATTATACCAACCTACAAATAATCACATTTGTAAGTTGCATAAAATGCAAATCAGTTTAGGAGCAGAGAGTCAACCTACCTCTTAGAGATGGATGCCTGTAGGGCCAATGGAAGGACCACTTTGCCTACTGCTACACTTCCTCAGGTGGCCTCCTACTAATTCCCCAACTCTGCTTTTTGCCAGCTACCTATTGTTAACTGCAGTGCTGTGGTGGTATTAAGGGAAACAATAATGTCTGTTAATGCTGTCAACACCTTGGCAATATCTGCCTTTCTTCAATTACTTTTGTTTACAAATTGCTCCTAATTTTGTTCTTAAAGCTAGTTAAGAACAAGTGCTGCTAGGATTGATGGGAAGCTAACTGCATGATTAAGTAATTACGGTTTTAAAGCTTGCCTTACACTAGGACTAATGATATGTCACCCAGTAGCAGAAACCCCAGATAATGAATGAGAAATGTTTATATGTTCTTAGTTGCTTTTAAATCTCCCTTCACGCTAGAGCTGATGCTATGCATGGGTACTGGGATGAAGAAAAGCAGTGACAGCTCAGCCTCCCCAGCCATTATGTGGAACTGCAAACTCCCATGAAGGCCTCTTTTCTGCTCCAGCCGACGCTTTATTTTTTGTAGGGTTGATTGTTCAGTTGGTCCACTGATGAAAATGCTACAACGTTTTGTTGAATAAAGAGCTGAATTAATTTAAATAGTAGGTGATTGTCCTTTCACTGCAGGGACCAGATTTAGAGTTGATCTTTTGCGTATATAGAATAGGATTAGAGTCAGGGCTGAAGGGTTCCTGTCACCCCTCCTCCACCTGTGGACTCTTGTGTGCGTATTAGGGGAGGTGGATGTTGGAGGAGAAAGACACAAGGGATGGGAGAATGAGGAAAGGAGGTCCTTCATACTGACATCCGAAGATTCTTAGATCATTTTTAGGGGTACATGACCTCTAAAGAGTAGAGAGAGGCATCAACTCTTTTTGGGGGCTGTAATCCTGGAGGTGGAGTTAGAACTCATTACCCTCTACTCATTGTAATATTTCCTCAACTATGAAATAAGTTTTCCAATTGCACAGCAGTTTTTTTTTCTAGGTAAAAAAAGTGGGAACATAATTTTTTATGTGTGTATATGTATAAAATTACTATGTTTAAATATATTTCATATATAATTTTATGTATAAATTTTATATGCATATGCATTTACATATAATTTATATTCACATTTTATTGAATATCTATTTATATATATGTATATATAGCAATACCTGCAGATGAAAAGCATAGCACAATAAATACAAGTTCCTATATGTGTAAATTTATTATAATGAATGTTTATATATTTATATTACACATAAATTCATCAGTATATGATATGTGTAAATGCATACTATACCCACATAGACACATATTTACATATTACATATCTATACACACATTCTCAGAAGATATATACTTTAGCAATAATGTTAGAAAATGCATGAGCTAATGGGTGTGTTCTAATGTGATGTTTTCATCTATTCGCTTATACAGAATGTGGAGAGTAAAACAATTCTGGGTGTAAAAGTAGGTTCACATTGGCCAGTTGCTTATTTTACTTAAACTCTAGCAGATTTTCTTCTGATAAAATTTGGATTATAAATATCAATCACATGAAGTTGCTGTGAGGAGTAAATGGGATTTATATGGAATTTATCCAACGGTTCTGCACGTAGTAGGCACTCAATAAATAATTTTCTTGCCTAAGAACTGTAATTTTACTCAAAAGTTGAGTAATAGTGACCCCTGAGAGAAGCAACAGACAATACAATTTTCTCTGCTTGTGAAATTCAAACTAGTTATCTCTTACTGCTGAATAATAATGGCTGTAATAGACTGAGGAGATTTCCATTTAAATAAGTGGATGATTTTAGCTGACTCTGGAAATGTAAATGTACCCTAATTAATGAATGCCTTAATCGTTCTTCCTGTTTCTTCTTTATAGACACATTGTTTCCTGCCTAGGGGTGAATACATTTGGTGTACATACATTCAGATATGAATATACATACGCATATACATTTTCAATGTACCAGCTTTAATGGAGAAGAACAAAGGATATTCATTAGTTAGAGCTACAAAAATCTCTTCAAGGACTTCCATTTGCATCAGAATAAAGTCTATCTTTCTTAGTCTGGCATTCAAGGCCTTCTGAATCTGACTTCAACTATGTTTCACGAGATATTTCATCTTCCCTGGCAACTGGCTGTCTTTTGAATTTCCAGCAGACTTATTCTTTCTATCAATAATATGACATTTATGGCTCTATTTAAAAGACTTTTGATGCCTCACTTCCCAGAACAAAGAAACTAGGTTTTGAATTTAACTGATGAATACTTTCCATTACTTAAAAATATATATTTTTTAGCATATAATATTACAGGTTTAAGTTAGAAAAATTTTAATATATAACACACTAGGAAAAAATTACCTTTGATCCTATTACAAAAAGATAAAACTTATAACATCATAAAAAGATATTAGTTAAGTTCCTTAGAAGATTTTTTCATGTTTTAAAAAAATAGAACCCTATCAGATTATTTATATACATATTCCATGTCAATTTTTGAAAATTTAGAATTCTGTTAGGCATATATATTTTATATCATGCATTTTCAGTAATATTTTATAGGTGTTTTCACAATTTTATGATACATTATTTTATGAAACATTATTTATGAAACATTTTTAATAACATGTTAATAATGCTCCTATGAAAGAGTACTATAGTTAATTTACCACATCCATTTATTGTTGGTAATGTATGTTATTGTACTCGTATTCCTCTAACCAATACTGATGAAAGAAATTGCTTTTATTCCCAAATCTTCATTTCATGTCTGGTTCTACTCTCAGAATATACATTCTTTAAGTTGCATCATTATCGTCAAAAAATATAAATTTTTAAACACGTATAACTAAATCATTTTCCAGAACAATTCTATTCACTTACACCCTTCGCCAAACAATATTGAGTATCTCTCTCACTGCCTCTCAAAATATCGCATGGCCTTACTTTTTAAAAACATTTTTGGCACATAACTCAGTACAAATTTTCATATCTATGTTTACTACAAATATAAAATATTTTCAAATTGTAAACTTTTCCATTCTGGAAAAGAAATCTGGGATCAACCTTGTTTCTTTAAAATTAGCTTTTTTTTCCCCTCATCTGGTACTTGACTTTTAAGAAATTTATTCCAGAAAATTGAAAGTTTGCATAAAATATATCTAGATATTGGTCTCTTTTACTTCTCTCTTGTTGCTTTTCTTGAACATGTTCAGTGATTTCACTGTGCAGATTATAATTCTGGGGAGGTTAATATATCCACTGATGTTTCAAAAAATAGCCTGCAGTTCTTTTGCTAGAGAGGCAGGTTGTTCTTCCTGCCTCTACCCATCTAATTCAGGATGAACATTCCAGGATGCCGGATATGAGTATTCACTACTTGTCACTCCTGGCCACTGCATATTTGATGTCATCGTCTCTCAGAGGGACACCACAACAGAGGTCCTGATGGAATTGAAAACAGGGAACTTATGGAGGGAGTAGACACATCTGAGCACCTGAATCACTGGGGTCAAACCTAGAGTAAATAATTCATGATACATCCCAATTTTTTGATATAAGAGAATTTGGGGGTGGAGGCATTACAGAGGGGAGTGACTGAATTTGTTTATTCTCTCTCTCTTTTTTTTTTTTTAACAATTTTTTACTAGTTTTGCTTAGTTGCTTTGTTTTGTGGGTCTTGACACGAGTTGGTGACTAAGATTTCCTGATTCATCCACCCACGCTGTCCTACAGTTGAGGGCGATTCTTCCATGAAATTGACAAAGTTTTCAACTAACAGACCTTAGTTTTCAGGTCTGTTGAAACATTGCATGTTTTTCTGTTCTCCTGACTAGATGAAAATGAATCAAGCACATATTTCTAATTGCACATCATGCTCTGGGTGTATTTTAAATAGAGACACTTACATGACTGGCAAATAACATCTCAATGACAGTTATAATTCTCAACCCTAGTCATTGGTCCTCACAACCAAGAAATGATATGACCGTTCTTTCTAGGACAAACAGCCTTTTTCAAAATTTGCTTTTTTCTTTTTTTAATTAAAAAATATAACCAGAAATTATAACTCGTTGAGTTGCTATTTAATGGATTGGTAAAAAAATAATTTTTGAGTTATAATTTTTCTCTCAATTCCTAACACATTAATACCTAATTTTACCTTCATGTCCTAGTAGCAGTTACTACCAGGCAAGTTACTTAATGTGGCAAGTTACTTAAGGCAACAGTTACAGTGATATAATTTGAAGTTTCTTAACCCAACCATACCTTGTGTACATAAATTTTCTCTCCTATCCCGTCGGGCCACATAGAAAGAAGATGTAAAGATTAGTTTTCATATTCGTATCCTAATATGTTCACAGCTACTCAAGGGTAGATATCTACATTGTGGAATTCTGTGGGTCATCTTCAAACAATGAAAACTCTTATCAATCCATCTATAATCTTTCATCATCTAGCAAGGTATTAATCTACCATCTATCATGTCTGTCTCATCTACCTATCTGTATTTATAACGTTTTCTCTGCATTATTTTTAGTCTACATTACAGATAATGTTTCAAATGTAAATAACCCTAAGAACAAATACAGGTTGACAAAGTTAGGCTCAGAAAATGATATCTCTTGGATCCTTTTGAGGATACAGGTTTTGATGTGGGGATGGGAAACAGGGGAGTAGGAGAGCAGAGGATCAGCTCACTTTGGTTTCTGTCATAATCTCCATGCACCCTCCCCAACACATTCCCATGCCTGAGTTAGAATGCAAAAGAGTGTGGAAATTACTGCCTCAGCTAAAATGAAAATAAGGAAGTACCTACCTTTTCTACCACCTGTGGATCTGCATCGCTGCCACATAAAAAGGGCAGCACATTTGTATTATTGAATAAATGGTTTTGGTGCACTTTTCCTCTCAACCCTTTAAGACTCAAAGTTCAGTTAGGGCTAGGGTCAAGCTATTAATAATACTTGTTTGTCTGGGGTTAACAATGAGCATTAACTTCTAGTTCACAGAAGTGAGGAGGGTGAGGAAGGGGATGAAACATGTCCCCAGAACCAAGTGACTTGCTGGGTTGGGTGAGCCAAGCTAATTCTTTTAACTTTGCTTAGATTCATGTGCCAACAAAGTTTAAAAATATAGTAATGAGGTAATAAAATAAGAAGAGGCTTGAGCTCCTTGGGCAATGGAGGTTCATTATGTTATTATGATTAGAGAATTATGCCCATTAAATATGAAATAAATAAAATAAAATATGAAAATCTAAGAAGGAAAGAAAATTATGCCCATTTTCCAGGACATTTATTTTTCATTTTTAATCATCTGACACTGTGGTTCTCAACCATTGCTGCATATCGTGATCACCTGGAGGAGCTCGGAAGGCATGCCAATGCCTGAGTCTCATCCCAGGGCAATGAAATCAGAGCCCCCTGGGGCCATGTCATCAATGCTCAGGTGATTCTAATGTGAAGTCAGGGATCAGAAGCACTGTTCTAATGGCACATGAAGCCAGTTTTTGTGTGGCACAGATTAACTTGGGGTGGCAATGGCCGGGGATGGAGTAGTTTTCCTACTACATGATTAACTCTGCTAGCTGGCTCTGGTTCTTAGTACAAAGGACATGTTTAAACTGAAGTCAAGTAAAGTTAATGCCAGTCGCCTGTCATTTCTCTGTCCATTATAAGTGACATATCTGCACCCGGTGTTTTAATCCCAAACATGTCACTGTTTTCATGTCATCATTCCATTCCATGTTGCAGAGATCACTCTTGTCAGTTCCCATTCATCTGGAAGGGTCAGGCCCACACTTAAAACCTGAGGTCCAGCTTGTGCTTCTGACAAGGTCTGTCATATAGCGGCTGTCACCAGGCCCAGTGCACATTGGCTTCAGTCAGCTGCCACTTCAAACCACAGTTGGTTGATTGTTAGGAGTTCGACTTACCAACTACACCATCTGACACAAGAACTGAAAGTCAATGGCAAAGGAAATTACTTGAGTGACACTATTGGATTTTTGGCCATGTCTCCCTGAGGTGATGTAAAAGTCTTAATTCTGCCAAATCCCCTCCGAGGCATAAAGCATACAAACATAAGGGCTGATAGGGAATCTTTAAGGCAGTCTGCAGAAATGTTCAGAAAACTTGGCTGTTTATTCTCCCAGGTTGGTAGTAAAACTAGAAGTTAGGAATGAGTCCAAGGGTTGGAAACGAAGTTGTGTCTAGAGGCAGGTACACTGGCATTCTGTTCTCCATTTTTTTCCCTTCATCAAGGGCAGAGGAGTGGAAGGTGAGGAAGAAGGTAAGCAATGGACCATTCATTGTTTTTCTACTTAATAATTTATATTTTCACAATGCCTATGGGTAGTGATATGGAATGGAAATTAGGAATATAGTATTGATATGCATAGGTAAGAAGAGTATGATTTAATGCCTTGAAGTGTTTGTGGGTAATCTCATCTTACATGAAATTACTTGGGGAATATTGGGCCTCACTTTAAGAAAGATGTCCAGTGCTGTCTTTCAGAGCACATCACCCTAAGTCATCCATCCCAGAAGCTTAGAGAAGGGTCCCAGCAGTGATTCACTGGATTGTCCCCTACTAAGTTCATCCTTTACATCAAACCCAACAGTTTAGCAATATTCTGTTATCAATGAAATGAGTATTGATACCTGCCAATGTTTACAGAAAGCAGAGAGCCACATTGGGAGGAACTATAATAGTTTATAATATATAAGATATTACAAAATAAACATTTTCAATTGACTTTTTCATTTCAATATTGTCAAAGCTGCTGATTCAATAGACAAATCCCAGAAAGCACATAAGAATGCCTAATATATAGTAATGCTCCTGAGAGAGGATTTTGAGTTTATGTGGATTATCTATTCATCCATCTAATTCTTGGCAAAGTTATTAGAAAAGAAAACCATAAATGCAATGTATTAATAAATCAAAATATATTTGGAATGGAAAGTTGAAAACGTAATATTTTTTATTAATTTTCATATGCGATAGTTTCTCTAAAATGACCATGAAAGTCAATAAAAACTTGTAATCTTCTATATAACATATTCTCTTCATTTATTTTTTCAGAAAAAAACACACCCTGAGTGTGATGATCTCTATAAGAATTTATTCCCTATCACAAAGAGGTTAACCTAAGTGAGGCCTGGATTCAAAGAGCAGGTACACAAGAAACACTAATTAGTTGCTAAAGAAGAAATTCAGTTTTCAAAGGCTGGATTGATGTATTATTATTTAGCTTAATGATCACTTACATTGAAATTCCCATTTCCCTAAGCCTCACTTCTTTTTCAGCGAGGCCACCCCTTGGGAGGGCACAGAGAATCTGCACATTCCCATGCACAGTGCCCACAAAGATTTACTTAAATTGCTACTCTTATTGTGACACATGCACAAATTCCATTTCCTTTTTCTTTAGTATAGCCATATTAATAAAAACTGGAAATTTAGAGGTTTATTATTTAAACTTTATAAACACCAATGCCCAACATATGTAGAGTGTAAATGTCTAGCACAACAGGGTTTCTCAGCATAGAGAGAGCTGACACCTGCTGGCAGTTCTTCATGTTCTCTTGGTGATCACAACCCCCTCAGCTGTCACACAATGTTCAGAGACAATTAAACAAGTGTCTAGGCCGGGCGTGGTGGCTCACACCTGTAATCCCAACACTTTGAGAGGCCAAGGCAGGCAGATCACCTGAGGTCAGGACTTCCATACCAGCCTGGCCAACATGGCGTAACCCCGTCTCTACTAAAAATACAAAAAATAGCTGGGTGTGGTGGTCTGCACCCGTAATCCCAGCTACTAGGGAGGCCGAGGAATGAGAATCCCTTGAATCTGGGAGGTGGAGATTGCAGTGAGCCGAGATCATGCCACTGCACTCCAGCCTGGGTGACAGGGTGAGACCCTGTCTCAAATAATAAAAAATAAATAAAAATAAAACAAGTGTCTAACCAAAGGCCAAGGAGCTCCATAAGTAAATACTTGAGTCTTGTCCACTATGCATATATGCCAGCCTATCTAGGGGAGAAGAGGGAGCTTGATTGACTCCAGAGTACATCGGGTAGTAGATAAATTAGGAGAAAAATATTAACTCTTTTGCAGTGTCTGGCAAGTAGGGCTAGACGCAGTAGCAGAGCCAGAGAGTGGGGGCATAGAAGAGATTCAGAATATGGGGAGAGACTACTTCTGACCCTCCCATATCCAGCCCCTTTGCTAGGAAGTATGCACCCTGCTAAGGAGAAGATTGTATTGAACAGTCTCTGATTTGATAGAGGCCCTAGAACTTCTACTATGGTTCTCCCTTCTGAAAGAGCTAGGTACTATAAAAGGGTATTGTTTTCCTTTTGACCAAAGAAGAGGTGAGCTTTGGAGACCTGGAGGCACACTAAAGATTGTAAGAAACTCCCTATAGTGACAGCCAGCAGAGATGGTGAGAAAGAACAAATGAGAGAAAGGAACAATGCTGCTGGCAAGCAGATTATGCAGCATTGGAGTTCTAGTTTGGGCCAACCCCATTATGTGAGCAGGAAAAGTTGGCATTTAAGCCTCAGAAATCCATAGCAAGATGGCCTACACAAAGGCCTGAAATTGAACTGCAGTGGAGCTCTAGTGATATTTGAAACAGCTTTTCTTTCCCATTTCTCTTCCTTTAATAGCCTAGAGATAGAGGACAAATGATGTTGGGCAAAAGGGCTAATATTTTACTATGTGGTTAATGGGTATGTTGATCGTACACCTGCGGACAAACCCTGAAAGTGACCTTCTCTTGGAATTTAGAGGGTGAGGTTTAGGGAACACTTTTCTTAGATTGTTGGCATGGGAAACTTCTACAGGCCTAACAATAACACTTTTTAATGTTTGTTTAGCAGCTTATTTTTCAGTGTCTCTAAAATATATGTAAAAATTCTTTGACTAAATAATATGCAAGAATTATATCTCCAGATTAGACTCCCTAAACTATGAACTGTTGGTACCCTGCTTTATTGGTCACTGTGTTCTCAGTCACAGGCATGACACCATGCACATGAGTACTCAATAAATGTTTGTCGAAAGAATGAATAAATTAATAGAATGGATGCATCTACCATCTTGTATGTAAAATTAAGATCTCTAGAGCTAATGAATGAAAATATACAATACTTAGCAAAGGTATATGACATTATGCACTGTTTGCAGCACAGATTAAGGAGTGCATCTGATTAATTTCAAAATTACACACTTGCTTATGAATGGCTTTTTCAGTAATTATAAAGAATTTGTCTTAAATGCTTTATTGATAAGCTGTTTCTACTCATCAGCCAGAGCTAATGCATGTTAATATATGCAGGCTGTGTATGTTACCTGGAATTGTCAGTGGCTCATTAGAAGTGTGCGAATGATGTAAAACCAGGAATCCTTCAGTCACCTTTGTCGAGATTCAAACTCAAGTACAATATGTTTGAAAACTATTTCTACCCTTCAGGCATATTGTTACAGAAATAAAAGAATTTAGTCTCTATTTCCAGTTTCATTTTAATATTCTCTATAGTGAAAGTTGCTTACAACACAGGCTCTCAACTAGGAGGAGCCTGTGCATATACTAAATATCAGCAGATAAAAGATGACATTTTTATAGGAACCTAGAATGAGAGATGAAGCAGATTTGCAGTTGTTGGCTGTACCATCTTCTAGGTGTTCATTTTGCCTATGTTCTCAGTCATATATTCATTTGAGAAATGTAGAAAGAGGCCAAATGGTTTAAAGCTGTGTTGTCCAATATGGTAGCCACTAACCACATGTGGCTTATTGAGTACTTAAAATGTGGTTAATCTGAACTCATATATGCTCTAGGCATAAAGTGTATGCTGGATTTTGAAGAGTTTGTTTGAAAAGCAAAATGTATGCAAAAAATGTGCTAAAATGATATTTTGGTTTAGATAAAATATATTATTAAAAGTAAGTTTACATTTTTTAACTTTTAAAATTATTTTTAATTGACTAATGTAAAATTGTATGTATTTAAGGTGTACAATATGATGTTTTGATACATGTACACTTTGTTGAATTGTTTAATCAAGATAATTAACGTATCTATCACCTCACATGTTTATTTTTATTATAAAAATATAAAGTCTACTCCATTAATAATTTTCAAGTATACAATATATTATTATTTACTAAAGTAACCATGCTGTAAAATAGATCTGTGGCAGTTTTTCCTCATGTCTAACTGAAACTTTGTACACTTTCACAAATATCTTCCCATTCTCTGCCTCTCCTTCCCCACTCCCAGCCCCAGTTAACAACTATTCTATTCTTTGCATTTTGAGTTAAAATTTTTTAGATTCTCTATATAAATGAAATCAGGTATTATTTGTCTTTCAGTTACTGGCTTATTTTTCTAAGCATAATGTTCTTCAGATTTGTCCAGTTTTTCACAAGTGACAGAATTTCCTTCTTTTTAAAAGCTGAATAGTATTCTATTATAGATACATGCCACATATTATTTATCCATTCATCTGTTGATAGACACAAGTTGATGCCATATCTTGAATATTGTAAATAACGCTACAGTGAACATGAAAGTTCAAATATCTCTTTGACATACTGATCTCCTTTGCTTTGGATAAATATCTAGAAGTGGAATTGCTGGATCCTATAGTAGTTTATTTTTAATTTTTTAAGGAAATTTCATGATGTTTTCCACAATGGCTAAATTAATTTTTATTCCCACCAACAGTGTACAAGCGTTCCCTTTTGTCCACATCTTTACCAAAACTTATCTTTTGACTTTTTGATAAAGCCATTTTCATAGATATGAGGATATACCTCATTGTGGTTTCAATTTGCATTTCCTTGAGGATTAGTAATGTTGAGCACATTTTTATGAACTTGTTGGCCTGTATGTCTTATCTTGAGAAGTGTCTGTTCAGGTCCTATGCCCATTTTTAAATTGGGTTATTGGTTTTCTTGCTCTTGAGTTGAGCTCTTTATATATTTTGCATCTTAGCCCTTTATCAGATTTATGGTTGCAAATATTTTCTCCCATTCTGTAGGTTGTGTCTTTATTCTGTTGATTGTTTTCTTGGCAGTGCAAATGTTTTTTAGGTTGATGTACTCCCATTTGTCTAGTTTTGCTTTTGTTGTCTGTGCTTTTGGCATCACAGCCAAAAAATCTTTGCCCAGACCAATGTCAGGAAGCTTTTCTTCCCTATATTTTCTTTGAGTAGTTTAGCTGTTTCAGGTCTATAATCCATTTTGAGTTGATTTTCGTATATCATGGGAGATAAGGGTCCATTTAATTTTTCCACATGTGAATATCCAGTTTTTCCAAAATCATTTATTGAAGAGACTATCCTTTCTCATTGTGTGATCTTGGTAACTCTGTCAAAGATCAGTTGATCATAAATGTGTGGATTTATTTTTGGGCTACATTTTCTGTTCCATTGGTCTATATGTCTATTTTTATAAGAGTACAATGCTGTTTTCATTATTATAGATTTATAGTAGATTTTGAGATCAAGCCATGTGATGCCTCCAGCTTTGCTCTTTTGTTCCAAGATTGCTTTGGTTACTCATTGTATTTTGTGGTTCTGTATAAATTTCAGGATTGTTTTTTCTGTTTCTCTGAAAAATGCCATTGGAATTTTGATCAGGATTGCATTGAATCTGTAGATTGCTTTAGATAGTATACACACTCATGAATATTGCATGAATTGCAATATTCTTCCAATTCATGAGCAGTGAATATATTCCATTTATTTGTGATTTCAATTTCTTTCATCAATATTTTATAGTTTTTAATATAAAAATCTTTCACCTCCTTGATAAAATTTGTTCCATAGTATTTTAATTTTTTATGTTATTATAAGTGGAATTGTTTTCTTGATTTGTTTTCTGGGTAGTTTATTGTTAGGGTATAGATATGCTTGATAGTGACTTTTGTATGTTAATGTAGTATCTTGCAACTTTACTAAACTAAATTGGTTTATTAGTTCTATTTGTGTGTGTGTGTGTGGAGTCTTTACGGTTTGTATTATACATAAGGATCACATATCTGCCGACAGATAATTTAACTTCTTCCTTACCAATTTGGATGTCTTTTATTTTTTTTTCTTGCCTAACTGCTCTGGTTAGGAATTTCAGTACTGTGTCGAATAGAAGTTGTGAGAGTGGGCATTCCTTATTGTTCCTGATCTTAGAGGGAAAGTCTTCAACTTTTTACCATTGAGTATGCTATTAGCTGTGGCCTTGTCATATATGACCTTCATTGTGTTGAGGGATGTTCCTGGTATACCTAATTTGTTGAGAGTTTTTAATCATAAAATGTTCAATTTTGTCAAATGCTTTTTCTGCACCTAGTGGTAAGATCATATGGTTTTTGTCCATATTTTGAAAAATCCTTGTATTCCAGCAATAGATCCCACTGGATCATGGTGAATGGGCATTTTAATGTGCTATTAAATTCATTTTTATAGTATTTGGTTAAGGATTTTTTACCTATGTTTATCAAGGATATGGGTGTGTAATTTTCCTTTCTTGTAGTGTAGTCTGGGTTTGGTATCCGAGTAATGCTGGCTTCATAAAATAAGTTTGAAAGTATTCCCACTTCTTCAATTTTTTAGACAAGTTTGAGAAAAATTGATACTAATTTTTCTTAATGTTTAGAAGAATTCAGCAGTAAAGCCATCAGGTCCTGGGCTTTTGTTTAATGGGAGACTTTTTATTACTGATCCAATCTCCTTGTTATGGTCTGTTCAGATTTTCTATTTCTTCATGATTCAGTCTTGATAGGTTTTATGTTTCTAGGAATTTATCCATTTCTTTTAGCTTATTCAATACGGTGGCAAATAAATGTTCATAGTAGAGTCTTATAATCCTTCATATTTCTTTTTCTTTTCTTTTTTTTCTTTTTTTGTTGTTGTTTTCGGAGATGGAGTCTCACTCTGTTGTCCAGGCTGGAGTGCAATGGTACAATTTTGGCTCACTGTAACCTCCACCTACTGGGTTCAAGTAATTCTCCTGCCTCAGCCTTCCAAGTAGCTGGAATTACAGACGTGCATCACCGTGCCTGGCTAATTTTTTTGTATTTTAAGTAGAGACAAGGTTTCACTATGTTGGCCAGGCTGGTCTCAAACTCCTGACCTCAGGTGATCCACCTGCTTCTGCCTCCCAAAGTGCTGAGATTACAGACGTGGTCCACCATGTCCCTGGCCTGTTTATATTTCTGTGATATCATTTATAATGCTCCCTTTTTCAATTCTACTAATTTGAGCCTTCTCTCTTGTGCTCTGATCTTTATTATTTTCTTCCTTCTACTAACTTTGGGCTTAATTTGTTCCTCTTTTTCTACTTCCTTGAGGTGTAATGTTATTTGCTCAAAATCTTTCTTCTTTTTTTGATATAGGTGTTTATCACTATAAACTTCCCTCTTAGAATTGCTTTTGCTGTAGTACTCCATAAGTTTGGATATGCTGCATCTCCCTTTTTTTTGTTTAAAAATATTTTTAAATTTCCCTTTTGATTTCTTCTTTGACTCTCTGATTTTTCAGGAGCATGTCGTTTGAATTCCACGTTTGTGATTTTTCTAAAATTCCTCCTGTTATTTATCGATTTGTAGTTTCATGTCATTCTGGTTGGAAAATATACTTGGTATGATTTCAATCTTTTTGAATTTGTTTACCTTTTTTATTGCCTAATATATGATCTATCTTGGAAAATGTTCCATATGCGCCTAAGAAGAATGTGTATTCTGCTGCTGTGGATGGAATGTTCGGCATATGTCTGTTAGGTCCATTTGGTCTAAAGTGTAGTTCAAGTCTAATGTTTCTTTATGGATTTTATGTCTGAATAATCTATCCTTTGTCAGTAGTGGAGTAATAAAGTCTGCTACTACTATTATACTGTACTGTATCTCTCCCTTCAGATCTATTAATATTTGCTTTCTCTATTTAGGTGCTATAATCTTGGGTGCCTATATACTTACAATTGTTATATCTTATTGATGAATTGACCCCCTTTATCATTATATAATGACTTTCTTTGCCTAAAGGAGAGTTTTTGACTTTCTATTGTGTCCTATATAAATATGACCGCCCCTGTTCTCATTCAATTCCATTTGCATGGAATATCCTTTTCCACCTCTTCACTTCCGTTTTTGTGTGATTAAGGCTAAAGTGAGTCTTTTGTAGGCAGCATATTGCTGGGCCTTGTTTTTTTGTTCACTTATTCTATATCTTTTAATTAGAGAAGTTACTCCATTTACATTTAACATGATTATTTATAGGAAATGACTTGCTATTAATATTTAATTAATTGTTTACTGACTATTTTGTAGTTGCCTTGTTCCTTTCTTCCAATTCTGCTCTCTTCCTGTTTGATTTGTTGAATGTTTGTAGTGGTATGCTTGGATTCCTTTCTTTTTATCTTTTGTGTATTGACTAGAGGGGTTTTTGTGTGAGTGTGATTGTCATGGGACTTATGTAAAATGTCTTATAATATTCTAATTTAAACTGATTACAAGTCAACTTCAACTACTAACAAGACTATACTTTTATTCCATACACACACATTTTATGCTATTGATGCCACACTTTACATCTTTTTGTACTGTGCAGACATTAAAAACTTACTTTAGTTATAGTTATTTTTAAATATTTTTGTTTTTTAACTTTTATACTAGAGTTAAATTAATTTACACACTGCCATTACAGTATAGAGCATTCTGAATTTGACTATATATTTACCTTTGCTAGTGAATTTTATACTTTCATGTGTTTTCATGTTGTTACTTAGCATTATTTTGCTTTAACTTGGAAAATTTTCCTTAGCATTTCTTGTAAGGTAGGAAGGCAGGTCTCATGATGATAAACTCCTTTAGCTTTTGTCTTGCAATGTCTTTATCTCTCCTTCATGTTGGAAGAATAGCTTTTATGGGTATTATACTCTTGGTTGGCAGATTTTTTTCTTTCAGCATTTTGATTATTTTACCTCAATCCCTCCTGGCTTGCTTATTATTAAGAAGTCCACTGAAAGCCTTATAAAAGAGGTTCCTCTGTGTGTGATGAATCTCTTATCTCTTGATATTTTCAATATTCTCTTTTTGTCCTTGACTTTTGACAATTTGGTTAAAATGTGTCTTGGAGCATTCTTCTTTGGATTGATCTTTCTAGAGATCCTTTGCTCTTCATGAAACTAGATGTTCAAATCCTTTCCAAGATATATGCAGTATTCAGCCAGCAATTATTTAAATATGTTTTCTGCCTCTTTCTCCCTCACTTCTCCTTCTGGGACTTTCGTCATCAATATATTTGTATGTTTGATGTTGCTACATGGGTTCCTTACTTTTTCTTTACCCTTTTTTCAGTCTTATTCCTTTTTTTTCTCTATTTGGCTAATTTCAAATAACCCATCTTCAAGCTTGCTAATTCTTTTTTCTGCAGGATTGAGTCTCCTCTTGAAGCTCTTTATTGAGTTTTTCCACTCCATCACTGTATTCCTGAGATTCAAAATTTCTATTTGGTTTCTATGTTTTTAATTCCTTCATTAAAATTCTAACATTTTCTTGCACTATTTTTCTGACTTTTGCTGGGTTTTTTTTTGCATCTCATTGAGTTTCTTTAAGATTATTCTTCTGAATTATTTATCAGGCAATTTATAGATCTCTGTTTCCTTGGGGTTGCTTACTGGAGCTTCATTGGTTATTTTTGCTAGTGCTATGTTTGCTTGATTATTTGTTATCTGTGTAGTCTTATATTGATCTGTACAATAGAAGGAACACATATCTCCTCCAGTCTTTATAGACTAGTTCTGGCAGATCTTCTGCTATAATAGTTCTCTGGTTGATGGGATTGCCTCTATGATCATGGTTGAGTGGGGTTGCAGCCAGGTCACATGGCTGCTTCTAGGTTCACAGTGGGGCCCAAGAAGTTGGTGGAACTTTTATCTACTGTTTCTAGTGAGTGTGGAAGCTGTCTGTCCCTGGGTGGACTAGATTGGTCCATTGAACTGGCACTAAGATAAGGATCTACAGACAGTGAACGTATTATAAGGTATGTGGACAGATGTGGCTTTCTCAAGTTCCCTGGGAAGGCACCTGCCAGATCACTCATTTGGGTTCACACATAGAAAAGTACTGTTCCAGTCTATGGCTTAGAGGGGCTGGAGCCAAGTCACAGGGCTGCTTCAAGGCTCACAAACAAGGATGAGGTCTTCAGATCTATCTCTGGGGTTATGGATGTGTGTGTGTGTGTGTGTGTGTGTGTGTGTGTGTGTGTGTGTGTGTGTGTTTTGTTGAGCTCCTGGGTGGGCAGACCCGTTCTCAGTCTGCAGTTAAGAGGGGATGTAATTGATTTATAGTGCCATTTTAAGATCCACATTGAGACTGAGGTCATCAGGTCAGTCTACAGGGGCACTGACATACATGCTTCCCTCTGGGTCCCAGGACAGGCAGAACTGCTCTCAGATTACAACTGAGAGGGGTTGGGGCCAACGGCTGTTTCAGGAATTTCTAAGGGATCAAGCTTGGAAAGCCTGTCCCAGGGACCCAGATGAGCATGTCCTGGAAGGTGCCTGACTGGGTAGAACTACTGCCTGATCATAGCCAAGATGGGCTGGAGCCAAGATTTAAGGCCCTTTCAGGAACTGATTTTGGCATGCCTGCCCCAGGACTCAGGAGGATGTATCTACCTCTGCATCCTCGTATGAGTAGGGCTGATCTTAAACCACAGCTAAAGGATGCTAGAGCCCAGTTAGAGGATAGTTTTGGGTTGACAGCTGGGACCAGTATCAGCAGACCTGTGTTTTTGTTGTTGTTGTTGTTGTTGTTGTTGTTGTTGTTTTTAGACGGAGTCTCTCTCTGTCGCCCAAGCTGGAGTGCAGTGGCACAATCTCGGCTCACTGCAAGCTCTGTCTCCTGGGTTCATGCCATTCTCTTGCCTCAGCCTCCCGAGTAGCTGGGACTACAGGCGCCCGCCACCATGCCCAGCTAATTTTTTGTATTTTTAGTAGAGATGGGGTTTCACCGTGTTAGCCAGGATGGTCTCAATCTCCTGACCTCATGATCCGTCAGCCTCGGCCTCCCAAAATGCTGGGATTACAGGCGTGAGCCACCACACCCAGCCCAGACCTGTGTTCTAAAGCACTAGTGTGTGTTACTCCTCCTGGGCCGCTTGGTGGATGGTTTTGGTAGCAGAATCAATGCCAAACAGGGCTAAAGAAAGTCCTTAGGGGGCTGGGACTGTTTCCAGGTTTGGAGCCTGAACTAGTAGTCAACGAGCCTGCCACCTGGGTGAGGGTCTTGCTCTCTCTTAGCTGCTACTGCAGAAAATTCTATTCTCTTGGCATCATTGGCCTGCATTCAGGTGTCTGGTGCTCATCTTTCATTTGAGCCAGTAATTAAATAGTATCATCTTTTAGTATCCAGCTCTTTGTTGAGGGGCTCAAGAGAGGAACCTGTAACAAAGGTACTGAAACCTTGAGTGCACAGTTCTTGGCTTCTACTTCTAAGTCAATCTTCACAAAATCAGGAGTCACATTAACCAGATAATCACACAATGTAAAAATGTGAACTCAAAGTGTTAACTGACATGAAGGAAAATATAATCAGGCATCAGATCTGGTCTGCAGATAAACTGTAAGGGATGAATGTGAATAAACCAGGTACATGAGAATTCGGGTTGGAAAAAAGTTGGGACAGATAAAAAAAAACACCCTAGAGAAAGGAAATGACATATTCAGAGGCTTGAGTTGAGATGGAGCATGACAACGTCAAATAATGAAGGCCACTGTGACTGGAGTACAGAGGACAACAGCAGAAGGACACCTGAAGGTGGTGGGCCAGACTGGTAAGGATCTTCCAGGACCTGAATATTTATAGCACCATCTTCAGACCACCAGCATTGGCATCAACAGGGAGCTTGTCATAAATGTAGAATCTCAGGCCCTAGCCTGACCCACCAAGTCAAAACCTGCATTTTAGAAATATCTCCAGCCGATTTGTGTACACATTAAAATTTGATAGGCATTGATCTAAAGTTGATTAAAGATTTTTAGTTGTAATACTTAGAGTAATAGGAAGTCATTGCAGGGTTTTTGCAGGTTGGTGAAATAATCAAATATATATATATTTTAAAAAGATTATCCTGGTGAAGTGTGGAAGAACAGAGTAAAGTGGGTAGACAGAGTAGAACTACAGAGACCAGGTAGGAAACTGTATAGTGAGGCAAGAGACAAAAGTAGAATGGATGAGGGTAGAGTCGTTCTACATAGAAAGAGTGGAATGGAGAGATATTTAGATGGTAAAATCTCTATACTTCTGTGGTGCTAAATTGATTTGATGAGTGAAAGAGCTGCCCAGGGTAAATGTCAGACTTCCAAGTTTCACATTTTGATGAATGGGGACATTCTTTACCAAGTTAGAAAAGACTGGAGCAGGACCAGGTGTGAGGCTGTTTGGAAAACATAATGAGTTAATCTCTGAATGCAATGAGTTTGATGTGCTTTTGAGACACCCAAGTGGAAATGGGAAGAAGAAGAGAGAGAAAGGCAGAGAATTATCTATATACACACACACACACACACACACACACACACACACACGTAATCAGAAATGAGTTCTGAGTTGGCAATATAAATTTGACTTTTGGGAGTATGAAAGAGATTATCCAGGGAGAGATGGCCTAGAATACAAGTCTTGGTTCTGGCTCCACTGTGAACTGAGCAAGTGAACTTCTAAATGTTTACTAATCTAAAAAAAAAAAAAAAAAAAAAAAGAAGGATAATAAATGTTTTACATTGCTACAATCATAGAAAAATCAATGTATATGAAAATTCTTTTGAAAACAGGAAGCATATTAAATTGTGCTAATATTGATACTTTATCCAGCTACACAATGAAAGGATATAAAATTAAATCACTTATTACAGAGTCTCAGTTTTCTCACTTGTTAAAAAGGGAGTTATAGGAGATTAACTCTAAGAGCTCTTGCAGCTCAGGGTAGGTCTAAGTCTGAAATATTTTCTCAATTTTGCAAAAGTACTATTCTTTCCATCAACCTTGGTTCTATGGTATATGGATTAGGCTTATGATCCTCTTGCAGAGATGTTCAATATCATATGTTTTCCCCTTTTCTAATTGCAGTACATATTCATAAAATGAAATGACGATACTGAATGTGTTATTTTAAAGCAAATTATCAAACCTTTATTTAGTGTTTGCTTCATGCTAAGTACTGTGAAAGGCAAAAGAAAAGGAAAGCATACAATTTACAGAAATAAAGCATTAGTGTGTAAAATGATGCTAGCAGAATAAAATAACAATAAATACAATAAATAGAAATACAGAGATGTCTTGCAGAAAAATATGATTTATTGTCCTGGTACTGGGAGTAGAGATTTTTAGCATGGTATAAATGCTAGTAGGAGGGAAGTCGTAAAAAGGAGGCACTATGGTCAACTGGAACAGTTCATTAAACAAAAATAATATTTCCACACAATAATAAGATCTGAGGAGGTTATCCCTGGTGAAGAGAATGGTGTGTGTGCAAAGGCCCAGAAATGCAGATCTATAATACATGTCAGTAGGATGTAAGAACAGAAATCTAATTAGGAAAGAAGATCCATGTAGGGAAATAGTCAGAAATCAGGCTGAAAATAAATATTGCATAGATAATACAGTGAGGCATTAATATTTGGGCAAGCCAGTTTAAACTGAGAGATATAAGGTGTTTTGGAGAACAACAACAACCAAAAAACCCAATGTCTAAACTATAAAATTCAAACAAAAAATGTAAAAAGGGTAGCCTTTAAAAATTTTGATCCAAGCTTTTTTTTTTGTATTTACAGGCCCTGCATTCACTTTTTTCTATTGGATAAACATAGCAGATAATATTCTTCATGTATTTTAAATTAAGAATGTGAGGATATTGCTACACTCAAAATCCAGGTGACTATTTAAATGGGAGAACAACATATATAGGATCCAGATGCCCTCCAGTTGTTTGTATTAACTCTTTCCCACAATCACCAGGTATAAGATGATAGAAACAAAATGGAATATGGCTCTGTAGGCTGCTCTTATAGAGAGACCGCCCTAGAAAACAAGACAAAGATTTCCTTTTAAAGGAGAAATCTCTTGATGTGAAAGAGTATCCTGATCTCCGACATGGATCTCATATTTCTGAAGCACAATGTGCCATTTTCTTTTCATGATGCCAAGGAAGATAAGATATCCTCTTTCCATTCAAATGAATACAAATTGGCAGAAACCATTTCTGATTAGTGTTCTACTTCTCCATATCTACCCCCACCATCCTCTATCAACACCTGCCTCCATAATTATACAAGCCTATGACTTTAAAGGAACCTATACTGAAGTTACCTTTATTCACCTTTCCCAAAGCAAACTATAATTGGAAAGTAAAGTAACTGTTCTTCAAAAACAAAACAAAAAACATTGCATATGACTATATGAAAATTTGTTTCCAATGATTCATAATGTTTGCAGCCTAGGAAATTCTGTTAGACTAAAATTCTTCTAAGGAATTTTTCTCCTCACTTTTTTCTCACAGTTACATACAACCTTCTTTCCTCTAGCATGTGAGTAAAGTTTCAGTATCCATTTTACCACTCATACTGGCAATCCTAATGACCCATTCAATTCAACATACATGTATCAATAAACCAACTCTACAACATGGTTCTAGAAGCAAGAGAAAACCCCAAGAGTACCATTGTCCTCTACAGATTTGCTGTCTAGTTGGAAACGCAAGACATTGATGGCCGGACTGTTAATTGATGGTACCGGTATATCTACCTGATACCTTCCTAGGCCAGAGAGAGGACCGTAAGCCACGTAGTCTGTAGAAGATGAATGGCAGGCTGGGCTGGGTGTGGAAGGCTTCATGGAAGAGCAATACCTCAAAGAGTACAGAGTAGAATCTGAATAGACCAAGAAGAGCAAAGATAGTGATCAAGGTGAGAGTCAGGGGATGGCAATCTAGCAGCGGCTAATAGACCAAGTCCTGGTATTAAGGTATTAAGTTTCCTTTATCCGAGCTTTTCCACTCACCTAAAAGAAAAATCTCCTCTTCTGCTATTTTGTTAAAGCTCACCAGACTGCTTCCTTTAAGGTAAACTATCTTTCCAGTCACAACAAGGTCCACCTAGGATGGCGATGAGAACACAATGCCTCTCTTCAGGGAAAGAACAGATAACTAAAAGAGACTAAAGTCAAAAGAGGAGGTTATTCCCTTGAATCTCCTTGATCTGCCTCCACATACTCACCACCAACATACACCTCCTCCAGGGAACAGCAATGAGTCTTAAAGTTTCCTGGACTTTACAGAGTCTTTTGGGTTTCACCAGGTGTTCGATCTCTAATTTGTATGTGACTCTATCAATCAAAAAAAAAAGAGAGAGAAAACACAAATCAAAATGAAAATTATTAGTTTTTTAAAAATCTTGTTGTTTGGCTTAATGCCAAAAAATGCTTTTCTCCTGCTATGCTATTGCTTATTTTCCTTTTCTCTCTTTTACAATAAGCGCCTATTGTAAATTACAAGGCACATGCAAGCATACACATGCACATGCACACACACACACACATACACATACCAAAATTTGGATTCTGCCCTTTCTAATTACAAATCACCACCTGTGGTAAAATTATTGAAAAACAGATGAGCTTTTCATTCCAGCAATAGCCCTAAAACAAGCAGCAGTTCCAACTGCCAGTGTGATGTATAGACACCACAGAGGGCAGATGAGGGATTAATTAGGTCTGTCCTTGCACATTGCCAGGGGAGCACTTCTGTAGAGGTGATTGAAAACTAGAAAGAGTGGCATTAGTCTTCATTGTTGGTTAAAGGCAACAAAAATAAAGATGCAATTGAGTTGACAAAGCTTCAAGGTATGTGGCTGAGTCATTTGGAGGTGTCAAAACGATCAAACTATAATTAATTAGCTAAGTGCTATATTTAATCCCTCAACTTTAATGAAGAATTCTGCATCCAAGAACAAATAGCAAAAGAGGTATCATCGGTTTCTGATATTTGTTAGATTTGGAGGGAGGGTAGTTTTTAGGGGAGAACTAAGCTTTTTTTTTTCTGGGCTGTAATGATCAACACCCCCTGCTTTTAATCTTATTGTCATTTCCCTTTTTCTTATAGAACAGTGGTGCTGTTCTCTGCATTTCTATGAGGGGAGCAATTACAGGCATACAACTCTCCCTGTCAGTGTGTGAAGTCTTTTCAAGGAGGCATGGAAGACTGACTGTGGGTTCTTTGGCTTTTGACTACTTACAGATTCCTTGTAGGTTTTCTACTAAGTATTGGGTCTATTTCAGAGCTGCAGGGTTGTAGCTTGTGGCCATAAAATAATAAACAATTCATAATTATGATCAGGAAAACTTCACTGAATGCCTACTATGTGTAGAGTACTTCCCTCTCTTTAAAAGTCTTTATGCATGGGACCTATGATGATTTTATTGTATTTTTTCCTGTTTTCTGTAAAGTTTTTGCTCACATTATTATTTTTTTAATTGATTTTCTGAGCCTCAAGGGAGTAGCAAACAGGTGAGGGTTGCTCTCTTCCTATGGGGCCTAACTCAGGCACTTAGTGGTTCCTTGATGAGTCTCATGATTCAACTAGTTCTAAGTGAAGGCAGAACTGAAATGTATTAATATTTAGTATTTTAACACATTGGCTATAAATTAGCAAATTTCCTTTCTGCAATTATATAGAACTTGTGTTTCTTTGTATTAGTTTCCTTTTATTTAAATTTGTAAAAGTGTTTTGTTTTCTTTTTCTTACATTATTACTCATGGAGACTTGGGAAAACACCACCCTGTTATTAAAATAATAATAAAAAAAAAGAATTGGAGAGAAGATAACCAGTATTCAAAAAAGCCATTCTTTTTAGCTTTTCAATCTGCAAAATTATTAACATATGTGAAAAATATGGGGATTCCCCTCAGGTGTCATGTAATATAGACTTCATATAAAAATAGTTTCTCCTCTCTTTTAAGGATTTATACTAAAATCTGTATTTTAGTAACTTTTTATATACAAACCACTATTAAAAAGGAAATAAGTAAACCACATTGATAATTATGCCTAGGACAAGTATTATTATACCTCAAATATATTAATTAGTAAATTTAATTAAGTAGTTTAACTATTTATTCTCTACAAAGGTCTTCTTGACTAAAGTAATAGCATAAAGTAGTATAATCAGAAATAACTAACTTATTTTCTCCCTCTCTTAACAAGCAAAATATGGAAGTTAAGCATTTTTTATCTGAAAGTTGAAAGTTTTCTCTTGGAGAAGAGCTATTGTCAAAGAAATGTAGCATCTGCCCTTACTACAAAAGAAAGGAACATTTTAGATTGAGAATGCTTCCAAAAAGAAATCTCTGGGAAGAGCAATCTTCCCATTCATTCCGCATGCTAGTCTTGCTCCAGTTCCCAATATGTTTTAAGCATGTGTCCTGTCACAAAATTGACTGTGTATTTGTTTCTTTAATGCTTGCACTTGGACTATTCATGTAATTTTATCTATCTTCAATATTAAGTTCCTTAGGGACTGGGATGATATACATAAAAAATGGCAATTGGAAAATGTCACAAAGCAAGCAAAAGTTATAACTAAAATGTGAATGTGGGCAGTGTTTTGTGATCATTCCACACACTATGAACTTTCTTGAGTGCCTTCCTTTGCTCATGTGACAAAGAAAAAAAAGCCCTGGGCCACAGTAACCTCAAGCATTTGTGGTGACAATGGTAGTGAGGGCTCCTTAAATGCAGAATGCAATTATCACAAACTTTAACAAAGTGAACAGGCAATAGTGGACAAACCTTCACCCGACTTGCCTTTATTTCACATCTATGACTTGCCAAAATAATGTACTAGACACTGAGCTGCTATTTAAATAAATAACAATTATATTACCATAATTAGACATCTTAATAAATAAACAAGATATCTATTGAAAGAAAGTTTTGGATTAAACATCTTGCTTTGTTTAAATCCCAAAGTACAACTTTGTCTTGTGGTTGTTGTCAAAACTATTGTTAGAGGTGAAATGTAGTTCGTGAATTTTTGAGGTGTTTACAATATAATATTTGCTGCTCTTTAATTTTTGAAGGAGATGAGTCCAGCTGTACATGGAGATGACTATAACCTGTACATGGCTTAAAGTACCAAGGTTCTTCTCCTCTCTGCAAAGGCAGAACTCCAACTATCCTTTGGGGATGCCTTCGTAGGCTCAACATGACTGCCTTTGCTTCAAAAAAACGAGTTTGTGCTATTCCTTATTAGTGAGCCACAAAGTGGGTATACTAACGCTGGTGGTGTTTGAAGTATGGGAGAGGTTGGAAAAATGGGTATTTCTAGATGCTTTATAGGGAGCAAGGAAAAGGCATTGGAGAGGAACAGCTGACCAGTTAGCTGTAAATCTGAGAAATGTTTACACAAGGAGAGACTTACCCTGGGAACCAGCAAGTTGCTCTTTAGTTAATGCTAAAATAATGAACATTCTTATTTCCTTGCAAGAAGTATGTTACTGGCAAGTGAGGAGGAGAGATGGAAGCTTAGAATGAGCTTTCAACAAATGGGTAGAAAATATTTGAATCCATCCCATCTTTCTCATCTTCATCCTAATTTCGCTTGCTTTTTCCCAGACTGTTAGCACAAGCAAAGTGGGGGAATCTAAAGGCATACATTCCCAAATATATTATTCCTCAGTGTCTTCTGAGTTCAGTTCTTAAGAAAAATGTGACATGGTAAGGATAACTATAAATGTACTATTTCAGCACATAGCACACAATCAAAAAAAAAAAAATGTCGGTAGCATATTTTCGTAGCTGACATGTAACAGCACACACCTCTGGGGCCTTGGGCAAACTACCACAGTGTCCCACAAAGTTACCTGGCAATCAAGGCTCTTTACAAGACAACAGTTACATTTATAGCCTTACATATGGTTCAGGACAGTGCCGGCATTTGAGGAGTGCCAAGTGCCAGGTGGCTCTTGAGGCCAGTTAAACCAGTTTCACACTCTTGCACACATCGTGTGGCTAGGTCACTTGTCATCTTTTTTTTTTTTTTTTTTTTTTGAGACGGAGTCTCGCTCTGTCGCCCAGGCTGGAGTGCAGTGGCGGGATCTCGGCTCACTGCAAGCTCCGCCTCCCGGGTTCACGCCATTCTCCTGCCTCAGCCTCCCAAGTAGCTGGGACTACAGGCGCCCGCCACTACGCCCGGCTAATTTTTTGTATTTTTAGTAGAGACGGGGTTTCACCGTTTTAGCCGGGATGGTCTCGATCTCCTGACCTCGTGATCCGCCCGCCTCGGCCTCCCAAAGTGCTGGGATTACAGGCATGAGCCACCGCGCCCGGCCACTTGTCATCTTTTTTCCCCCCACCCCGCCCGAGTTATGGAGGCTGTTGTGCAATAATTTTCTTTGCATATTCATAGTACTTTTCTGTTATTATCTTGACATACTCACTTATAATACAGTTTAAGTGCCAGTCAATCTTAGGAGAACACTGAATCTATTTATTGTCCCAGAGTACTTTATTTTTCTGATTTCCTCCTCAACGGCTATAGCTCTGTTATGCTACATCTCTGAAGTTACTACTTCCCATTGCAGTGGTTCTCCTTTGTAGCTGGATTTCTGCTACACCCTTTTTTTTCTGGAATTTTTTTTGGGGGGTAACTGTTGTATGATCCTTTTTAAAAAAATCAACAACTGGATTGTATGTCATTGTGTGTTCCATCTGGAAGACATCAAAGATCAATAGACACAGATCCTTAAAAACTGTCAAATAAAAACAAACACCATTCCTCCAGTTCCTGTTTCCAAATCCCAAGATAGTGCTAACTGTCAATAGACATACCTATAGCCCTACACAGGATTTGAAGAGACCAGGAGGCAAGCAAGGGCTGCAGGTAACTTGAAAGTGGAGTAAAGAACACAAACTGCAGCTTCTTTATTCTCTGGGAAAATGCCAATTATATATCTTCCATGGCTGTTATTTTCCCAGATGGCTTGGGGAGGGGATTGGAACCTCTAGATCACTAGTTCTTTACTGGTGCAATTTTGCCACCCCAGGGGACATTTGACAAAGTCCAGTGACATTTTGGTTGTCACAACTGGGAGTGTGCTATTAGCATTTGGTGTGTAGAGACCAGAGATGCTGCTAAACATCCTGGTCTCTACACAGCCCCCCCAAACAAATATTATTCATCCCAAAATGTCAACAATGCCAAAGTTAAGAAATTCTGCTCTAGAAATATAGGTATGAAAATAATTTAACTAGTCACTAGAAAGTTTCATTTATCTTTCATGGGATTTTCTCTTTTACCCATGAATTGTCAATTGGTGAGCCATTGCAGTTAGCAGTTTAGGTTAATACAGTGGCAGAAAAGGCGAGAAGAGGAGATAGAGCTAGATAAACTGAGACTGAGTCCAGAAATGAACTGAACATGAATTGCAAAGCCATCTCTAATCACCCAAAGTTTCCCCTACGTTCCACAGTAATTTCTGATTGAAAATGAAAAAAATCAAGTTTTGGAAATACATTAAATCTCTTTCTTTGTTTTAACTAAAGGTCTGCCCAAGCATGTTTGCATATTCAAAATACTTTTTTTTGCAATGTCAGTCTGCAGACCTTCAAATTAAGGAGGATGTACATCCTCATTTTATTCAGAAGAAGTATGGTTGTGACAATAAACAGCTCACACTGATTAAATGAATCTGAAAAAAGATAAGTTCACATTTCAGAATCTCTTGAGTGATTGAATAAGCAATAACCAATCTTATTATGGTTCTTGGGGGATAGAGGTGAAAGAGGTAATTTCTTAAGAAATGTTTAACATTTATTGCATGTGTACTATGTTCCAGGCAATGTACTAGGTTCTTCATTTATCTTCTTTAATGTATACTAACTTTGGGGTAGATATTATTTCCTCCTATTATGGGTGAGGAACCTGGAGTTCAGGAAGGGGAAGTCCCCTGCAGAAAGACACACAGCTGGGAGCAGCAGAGTCAAAACTTCTGATCTGGTCCTGATTACCCTCAAGCCTGTGTATGTGTCTCATGTCAGAGAACTCAGATATGCTGGGGGTATGGAGAGTGGTAATGCTTGTCCAATCAGGGGAGTGAAAAGCTATTTGGATACTAGAAATCAGAGCTCTTAGTCTGAGAATTACAGACTCATGGAGCCTTAGAGATTGTTTTGCCCTAAACCCTTTATATTACTGATGAAGAAATAAGGTCCAGAGATGAGGTGTGATGGATATTAATCTCCACCCCCAGATCCTTTGTCTTTCTATTTGTACCACTGATTATTGCACCTTCTATTAGTGCCTGGAAGCATGTAAACAAGTCAATGCCAAGAAAGTGTTTATCCCTGTCCACCACTGGAGCAGGAAAAATCAGCCAGCTCCTTTTGCTAATATTCCTGATTTGCATTTCAGGGAAGTGGAGTCTTTTCTCTGGAATTCCCTTGCTCTCTGCTGAGACAAAGCCCCAGTTTATTTACCTTTAGGCCACAGTACAAAGCAGCCAGTTTAGTATTAGGAGCACACACTTTGCAGACTTAAAAAAAAATTCTTTCTTTTCAACTTGGCTGGTTAAAACTCACTAAGTGTTAAATCATAATACCAATGGGTTAGGATTAATTGTGATGTTTATTTTGGTACATTTGCCCCAGGATCTGATGTGTGTTTTCACAAATCTAACAAATAATTTTACCTAGAATACCAGACACTGTTCGCCCCCATTAGCCACGGGTGGATTTGAACCAGTGACCTCAAGGTGAGAGGCCACACATCACATTACCGATGCCCCAGGCCACAGGGTTCACTTGCTGGCTGTTTCTTTAATGTAATTGCCAACAGCAAGATCAGCAGTGGGAATTCTCCCCATTACGTGGATCCTAAGGTCTTAGAAATTCAGCAGTTGAGACTCTTCTTTTTGCCTTGGAGTTTGGACCTATTAACTAACAACTTTGCTGGAGAAACTGCAGAGGGATAAAAGATGGTGTGTTTTCAGCATTGTTCTCCTAGAGAAGAAGCAGGATATCAGGTTATAATCATCTGATTTCCTGTCAGCCTGGTTGATGGCTCAAGTCACCAATGCCCATGTTAAGGGAAATATTCGAGAGCATTAGTGATTTGCTGGTACCAAGAGATGTGATGAACATTTAAAAATACTGCCCCTCGATGGGAGAAAATGTATTTCTATTAAGGGACCAGAATTGTGCTACGCTTGTTGGAGTTTTTGCTTGTGCACAGGAATTTAGCTCGAGGTCTATGTCTGTCACTAAAATTGACAACTGCCTATGGCTCTGCACAATTGAAACGTAGATCTTAAATTTCACATCATTATCCAAATAAAATATATCTGCCAAGGGGGACTGGTATTACACAGTTAGAGAACTGTGATACCAGTTGTCTGATTAACATATTGAGAGGAATGTAAGAATTTCTTAGCTGCTTTCCAGAGGGAGGCTGGCTGGGGAGCTCCTGTTAAATGGACTAATTGATCAGACTCCCTGTGCTAAGTACAGAGATGCCCAGTAACGTGTCTGGTCTGTGGAGGCAGGGTTTTCCTGTCATACATAATATCAGTAACAACAACAACAACAAAAAGGAATGGGGGCCAATTCAACATTTCCTTAATCCCATCTTCTAAATGGGAAAGATGAGAAACCACTAGCCCTTGATTACCTGGTCCAGAGTGATAGCTCTTGGGCCTCAGATTTACTCAGCAGTACTCAGAAGGAAGGCACACACCCAAACTTTCCCTTCTCAAAGCCTTATAATAAGAGCCAACACTCGGATAACTGTGACTTTGGAGTATTTATCCAAAGTAATACTCCTAAATATCAAATATGTAATACTCCTAAATATCAAATATGGCTAAATATCAAAGCCATGTAATACTAAAAATTACATGCTTGTTCCTATGAGGAAACAAATGCATATGAGATGAATTCTAGGTGAACCCAAATTATTGTGTCCCTAATTTACTGTTCTTAAAAATGAGGGGGCAGTGGTTTACTCTAAGAGATACATTAGCAGTCATTAGTACATGGTAGGTCACATGTTTTCTGGCTTAAGGCTTAATTCCAAACTCAGATGGGCAGGTTTATGTAACTCAGAAATTTAGATCACAGGAAGTTAGAGAATCACAGATACATTTGGTTTTTCCAAGCTGAAAGTAACCTTAATAATCAGTATTGTACAACTTTTTGTTTTCCCAGATGAGAAAACTGGGGGCCAGGAGTTGAAATGATTTATCACCTAATGAGCTAATGATATTTATAATTGCTTTAAGATCTAAAGATTAGCAAATAATTGTTATAATTATTCCCATGGCATCACAAGGATTCATTCTGCCTTAGTGTAGCCTTGGAGAGGGTTTCTAGAAGTATCATCTCGTGATAATTTTCATCAGCCTATAATCTCTTCCTACACTTACAGGTATATTTGTGGTTTTCATTCAAAACCATCCAATGTCATTCTTTCAATTCTACTTAAATTCACATCCCATTCCCATCCATCTGCTTTTTTACATCAGTGTAATATGGTTTGAATCTTGATATTTTACATTGTGGGGTGTTCAGACATGGCTTAAAAATGTGAGCTGCAAACTCAAATCTGGCTTTTTAAAGTTACTGTGAGACCTGAGGTAACTCACTGAATCTCCCTCTCCCTCTCCTTCTTGTTGACAGAGAGAGGAATTTCTAATTTACTTCTCCAAGTTGTTCAGAGGTACCAACACTCCTTCAATATTAGCTACTATAACTCTAAATAAAAAGATTTAAAAGGATAAACAGTATTTTTGGATCAATCTATCCATTCTGAGTCTCAATTTCCTAATAGGAAAAAAATGAAAATATCAAGACCATTGTCTCAGATTAATTTTGAAGATTAAATGAGAAATGTATAAAACAAAAGTACCTAGCATACTAACTGGCACCTGGGAATACTTTAATTTCCTTTCTGCCTTAGCAATCACTTCTACTTTCTCTGGATTTATATATAATTCATTATCAATACTTTTACAGGTGACATTTTTCATACTCTATCTTGCCTTGCAGTTAGGGATTAGTCCCTTAAAATTCTAACCAGTCTGCACATTTTGGGGTGATCTAGAGTTTATCTCATATGCATTTGTTTCCTCATAGGAAGAAGCACAATGCCTTACTCTATACATGTTCAATATAGTCTTACTTTACTTACTGGTAAATGGGAAGATATTCAGGCTACTAGTCCTTCTAGGTAGTAATGTTACAGATGAAGAATTAACTAAATGGTTCTACTTCAGATTATATAAACTACAACACTATGGAGACTTTCCTTTTGTATTAGTACCAAAAACTGATAAGACATTTTCCTCCATGCTATGGTCTGTAGACCACGGGTAGATAGGGTTGACAAATTATGGCCCATGGGTGTGTAGCCATCTTTTTTTTATAAATAAAGTTTTATGGAAACACAGTTACATTCATTTATTTATGTATTGTCTATGGTATCTTCTGCACTACAATGGCAGACTTGAGTAGTTCAGATAGAGACCATATGACCTGCAAAGCCTATAAAGTTTATTATTTGGCCCTTTACTGAAAAACTTTGCTGACTCTGGTATAAACTCACACTATACTGTATACTATAGTATATAGTACACTACACTATACTATACTGTACTATATTGAGTTCCTTGCTGCCAAAGAAGAAAAAAATAAAACTAAAGTGAAGAAGTCATGCTTTAGCTTTTTAATCTCTTGTGGCCCATTCAAATTAATTAATGTTTATCAATTTGTCCTCTGAAAGTGACTATAAAAATAATATCAATATATACAGGCATATGTTACAATTTATTATTCAACATTCCAGTTTTTTTAACAAAAAACAAGCATAACATAATTCCTTGTAATCCACAGTTCACCTTAAGTATGTATTTACATCTGTGTAGCCTTACATCAACTAGTTTATAATTTTATGATACTGCCATGTCTATATGCATGTGGTGAAACCAGATAGAATTGAAAGTTCTAATTGCTTTCCTTGTCAGGATTTCACAAGACAGTCTTGGATTCCAGGAGTCATGTCCTGATTCCTGCTATTCACAGGGCTATGTGAAAGAAGATTGTTAAACTGGGCCAATAAAACAAATTTTGTACACAAGCACAGCTTTTGTTTACTCTGAAAGCTCACTGAGTGTCATTTTTGTTTTTGCTATCACCTTGGGGATTGTGCATCTCCCTAGAGAAATGTTGCGTGAGTAGGGGCTATAAAGAGTTAAGAGAAAACAGAAAGTGAGAAATGAGAGGGAACTCCAGTCCCTGCGGCTTCCTATTTACTTTGCTTTTAAAAAAATTCCCCTAGTCTTTACTGAGATTCATCAGTACTTTTTGAAATCATAAAGTGTGTTACCCTGTTCAGGACCCAGAGAATTTTATAGTACATACAACTTCCCTGTGGGTCTTAAATTTAGTCTGATCAGTATTCATCATTCCTGTGAAGAACAAACAAAAACATAGTCCCACTGGGAAGACAGAATCTCAAGCATGAATTAGACTCCTTTTGTTCTTTTACTCTTTCCTTCCCTTGAATCCATAACCCAGCTCTGTCAAAGTCAAATAACTAGCAAGTAACATGAAACAATAAAGCATCAGCCACGTGAAACTTCTCTAGGAAAAGAAAAGTAGTGGGATTCGGAACCATGTCAAATTACTTTCAGAGACCCTTGAAAGGTATTTTTTAAAGGCATATCGTTACGAAGTAAAAGAAAAAGCAAGAATGAACATAAAAACAAGAAAACAGATTAGGAATCTTAAATAGTTATAGATTTACCAACTGAATATGAATTTTGGCAACAGTGCCCTGCAACCATGTACATTTTCTTTTAAGAATAAGAGAGGGAGAGAAAGGAGAGAAACAAAGAGAGAGAGAGAGAGAGAGAGTGAGAAAGAGAGAGACGTTACTGACCAACGTACAAAGACTTTGGCAACACAATACTTTGCCCTGCCAACAAACTAATTGAAAGATAGAAGGATGAGAGTCCAAAAAGTCTAATTTTCTTTTTGTGATTATGTTTTATCAAGTCATTTGCTTTCACCCAGAATTGGAGACTGAGACAGCTTGCATCTTCCTCTATCCCTCTTCACTCCTTCACCACCCATCACCAGTTAGGTGAGGAATTAAGTTGAACAAGATTGAATTCAAGGATTTAGAGAATGCAACAATCCTATAGCTATATTAAGAACTCATTTTAGTCCATCAATTTTCCTTCAAAATTCTTAGGTAACTATTTGATTTTCTAAGACATCTTGGGGAAATTTCCTATCCTTCCTTAATTGAGTAATTTATAATGCTAATGAGCTATATGGGTTCACAAATTTAGTTTTCTGGTTTACATTCTTCCATGGCAGATTTGTATGTCTCCTTCCTCTCCTAGCTGATTGGGAACCAGAGCCCCTGTGAAAAATACCTCTAGCATTTGTAAGGGAGAAGAAAGACGGATTTTGCTGGGATCTTGGTATTCCTCACAGCACAGACTAAACATTCCAAAGTGCTCCAGAAACACAGCATACTGTAGGTTGAAAGAAAACTTTGACACCATATAATTCAACTTATTAACTCAGTTTCTGTCATAGCTTTGTTCACACACTGTAGGAAGTAAAGTTAACTTCCACCAACATCAAGTACCTTGACGTGGCTTAGCGTGATGGAAAGTGGAACCAGTTATAGACTCAGATGATCTGAGATCAAATCCTAACTCTGCTACTTGCAGAGTTGTAGGATGGTGGGCATCATTTGAATTTCCAAAACCTCAATTTCCTAATCTAACAAAGATAATAACAATCTCTTTTGTCTCTACCGCATAAGGTTATCATGTTAATAATATGAAGAAATGAATGTAAAGGCACTTTGTAAACTGTAGGTGAGGTACCACATGAAATCAAGGGATTATTCCACTCCATCTTATAAAGGAGCATGACGTATTAAACAAGGAAGTGGGGACAATGAGTCATGGCTACAAGTGATGCCATGACTTTCATATAGGATACCATCTCTAAATGGAGGCAACTTTCTTCTTCAGATAGAAAATACATTTTTTGTGCTATTTACTTGGAGATGGGTATGTGTGTGGGGGGTGGGGGGAGGATCAGAAGTGTTCTAAAATTAAGCTCCTTAAAGCCTTTTCTGATAATTCCAAACTTAATGTACCAAAAAATTTTGTGTTTTGTTTTGTACCCATCTCTGAAATTATTAGATTCTTATCAATCTTACCTTAGAAGAATGTATCTCATGCCTGACTTACTTGAAATAAGTGTAGAATGTGTATTCTGCAATAGGTGTACAGTGTATAAAATTACAATATCTCCCACACAGAAGAAGGATTATGAATATAGTAAGTGATGCAGTCATATAAAACTAAGCTGAATTAGGAGGTTATGCCACTCTCACAAAACTTTTCTTTAGAAAAAAATTCTGGAAATTGCAATTGACTTTATATGTAACCCAGAAACACATAAAAATTAGGAAGGCTGGAGATAAAATTAAAAGAAGAACATTGAAGAGCTGGGATGAATGGAGGCATAAAATATAGAGTAGTCCTTTGGTATCTGTGGGGGATTGGCTCCACAACATCCACAGATACCAAAATTAGCAGATGCTCAATTCCGATAGTATTCGCATATAACGTCTGCACATCTCCCCATGTACTTTAAATCATCTCTAAATTACTTATAATACCTAATACAATGTAAATGCTATGTAAATTGTTGTTATACTGATTTTTATTTGAATATTTTTATTGTGTTGGTTTTTTTTATCCTTTTTTTCAACTTTTTTGAATCTACAGTTGGTTGAATCTATGGATAGAAACCCCATGGATAGGTAGAGCTGGCTGTATAATCCTTGAGACACATTGCTCAAATATGTGAGAAATATAGCTTTTGTGATAAAAAAAAGATTGTGCTTCTAAGTCCCCTATTTATCCCCAAATGGATGCTAGATAAGAGACCTACCTACTCTCTTTGTTTCACAGGCCTGATCTGGGCTATGAACATTTAAATGAAATAATAACCTTCCAGGGCTCTAAATAGGTCTGGCTTGATGATAAAGCTACATCAGATTTTGAACTTTGAGGCAATTATGCAATTGCTCCCCTAATTGCAACAGGAAGCTCACCTTCCCAGGGCAAATCTGGGAAAAATAGGTAGAATTTTTGGTGATATGATAAAACCACCAAAAAACTCCAAACCAGCTAGAAAATGATGTAACATAATTTGTGATTTTATTTGTTCTGGAAATTTTACAAATTTTTAGTTAGTACAGATCACAAGAACAAAGAAAACAAATACCTCAGGACACCTAAACTAACAGATACTTCAACTGTAACATCTTCTAATGAGAGAACCATTGCCACAGTCACATAATATGGGTCCCTATATTATCTTGAGCCTGAGACCGCCTATCTAATTACACTTTACTCTCCCACTCTTCTACTTGTTTTATGACACAATTTACAAGTCCATAAATTTAGTGGAAAGAATGCCTGTCTATAGTGAATGTGAGTACAGAGTATTCCTTTAGTGACTTTCAGGTCAGGTGCTCACAAAATTAAAATTACATGGATTCTCTGTGTAATCTCCAGTCAAATAGCAGAATGACAGTAACCTGATTAGAATGTTCAGGTTTGTCCCAGCTGAGGCTGATTTTGAATCTGAACTCTCATACGCTATAAGTAACATTAAGCCCCTGAAATTTAAAAATGAGTTCAAATATTTTTAAGCAGATGGAAATTTACAAAGGAACTCAGAAGCCTTCAAGTAATGTTTAGGGAAGAACCCTGCTTGCTGTTGCATTTCTTCATTGTATGACACTGGCTTTAAGATTTATAACCTATTACAGTAATATAATGTACGATGAGATCTAATCTCCAGTAAAATCAAGCATACACAATAATAAGCATAGGAGCTAAATCAAGGAATGGTCACAGCTATTTTTCTGGAAAGAACATCTTAAAAAAAAAAAGAATGCCATTGTGATGTCGTTTCAATCATGCAGTGTCAGGAAGCAACAAGTACAATAATAAGTTTATTGCCATATACTGAACTCCCATGCATGCTCTTTTATGAGGACTTCTCATTCATTGAGTTGCATTACCCTGAGAAATAAGGATTTTTATTCCCATTTTAAGAATGAGGAAACAAAAAATATTAGTGAAGTTAAATAACATGCTCAAGTTCATCCAGCTTGTGGATTGCTAAATTGGGGTCAAAATAAGGAATAAAGGGATCAAATGTACAGTGATACTTCAATGAGAAACAGCTTTCTTGAGAATAAAATTAAAATTATTTCATGTCTTACTTTACATTCATTTCATTTATTTATTCATTTTTACCATTCATTCTCTTATTCGTCCAACAGATGCCCCGAGTGCCAACTGTGCCTTTCACTTGCACTTGACTGAAAACACCCAGAAGACAGAAAGGCACAGTTTTTGCCCCCAAGAACTTAGAGTTTGGTGGGGAATCAAGCATATGAACTATTGGTAATAAACAGAGGAACACTGCTTATCCTCTGAAATCATAAGTCAAATTCTTCCATATACTAAGAAAATAAGAAAAATGGGGATACTATTAGGGCATATAAAGAACATTTCTCTTTACTCTCTTCAGGCTGTGGCTTGATCATTAAGAGCTTGAAGGATCATGGTCCTCTGATGACTTCATGTTAGTGCCACCTGTCTGGGCCACGGAGAACCCATGATGGAACTGAGAATCTGAGGAAGAGAAAAAAAAGATAAAAAAAAAAAAAAGGATCATGGACAGGGGCAAAATATTGATGAACTGGAGAGGGAATTTCTTTATATTTCCTGGCAAGGGTGAGCTCTGAAACTGATGTCATAGACAGATCTTAGAGGCCAGCTCCCAGTGGGAGTAAATTATCTTCCCATAAAATTCATCCATATGATAACTATTGATATTATCAGAGAGGAGTGTCTTCAATTAACAAAGATGCATACTCTTAACCATACCAAAAATACTTTAGGCTAATCAAAGGTAGACATTATGGAGGAAACAAGTCATGTTTCATGTCATTGATAAAGAACTTTCAAGTATTCTTTTTTAAGAACACTTTGATAGTTGCCTTGGTGGTGGACTTGGATCTGCATAGCGTCAAGCCCTTCATTCACTGTCATTTCCTACATGGATGAGGGGAACTATTTTAGAAAGGCTGGCATTTCCAAGGGTACCTGGTTAACTTTAAGGTCTGTAAGAGTAGGACCATGCTGTTTTTTGTTATCACTCTATTATCAAAATTTGTCACAGTCCCAGACCCATGACAGAAATAACATGTACATTGGTTAATGAAGAAGTAATTTAATCAAATGCAATGATTCTTTCCCAATTTGTGCTATTAAAAACAACAAATTAATACTCTGTTCTATTTTAATGATAGAAATCTTTTTAGGCAGGTGAGAATCTGATAATGTTTATAGTTAAAAAATGTCATTAATAAATCAATGGGTTCTGAAACCAATTCCCCCTGAAATACTTCTATTGCTATACATAATGTAAATATTTATTATAATCCAATATGAAATAAACTCCTTAAAATTTCCCCATTTCTTTGGAGAATTGGACCTGGACTTATTTTGAGAATAATTAAAAGTGAGGTTTCACCTTGGTTTATGTCAAATCATTACACCAGAAAATAGCTAAGAACATTGTTCTTTATAGAATCATGCCACTAGTATTATTATTTATTTTGATTAAAAGGATTTGTTATTAGAAGCAATATTTTCTCTCATACCAATTACATGCAACCACCAGCTTTTGAAAGACAAAGTAAGTTGCCGCCAGAATGACCCACAAGTTCCTATTTTCCTTTTTGTCTCAAGGTCATGTTAAAAAACATATTCGGCCTTGTATGGCTACTTTTGCTATTTTCTAGTGTTACTGTTCATATGTCCTTTCTCCAGTTTGGGCTGCTATAGTCCTTTGAAGCCTTGTTATTTATTTATTTATTTATTTATTGTTGTTGTTGTTGTTGTTTTCTATCAACTTCAGATTGAACTGGCTTCCTTCTTTCAGATGGCACTCACCATGTCAATGATAACAATCAACAAAAGACACCCATACACCCAAAGCTTGCGCCTTACTGACCAAAACCTAATAGTCTACTTGTACTACCTGCCAACATTCTTAAAAATACACAACATACTCATCCCTATAAGCTCACAGCAGCATTTTCACTAAAGGATGAAATCCTGGAACATTTAATTATCTTGAAAGCAAATGGTAATTAAACACTTTTCCTAACACTGGGAAGCTGGGGTGGTGAAGGAAAGAAAGCTAGGGATTGGAATCCATTATGTGGCAGAAGCTTCTGTCTGGTCAATTTAAGCAGATTGGAGCGGAGGCAGTCGCACATAACCGCCTCAGGTAAGGGAGCGCAGTGTTCCTGTGGGGTTATCAAACCGGCCAGGCCTTGAAGGCAGAGCAAAGCCCTTCCAGTGGGAAGTTCTTCCTAAGTGCTTGCATGGCATCCGCGGGATTATCCCACCCCACTCACACATCATCTGGCTTTAAACTTTAGGCCCTCTGGCAAAGAAGAGACGAAACATCTATTCGTCCCCTCCTCCCTCTTATCCCTCCGTTCTGCCTTTCCCATCCTGTTTCCTAGCAGCCGCTGGCTGAGGCCTGCCCTTCTCTGCCAAGCACCAGGCTGGATTAGCTGCAAGCCAATAGCTGGGGGTCAGGATTAAGAGGCCAGCGTGCACTTTAATACAAGCTGCCTATAATTAATGGCATTATTAATAGCTTGACTGAAAAATTCATTAAAAAATCCATTAAAAATAAATACCCTTTTACAAAAGGCATTGCCTTGGGTAAGAAAAACAGAAAAAAAGATAAAGGAAAATTGATTGGTGGCTTTCAGTTCACAGAAAGACAGACCATAGTTCAAACTGATTAAAATTGAACATTTTAGATTAAGCACCCTTGCCAAAATATTCTCTGTAGTTACCCAATATGAAAATATTATGACATGTCATATATTTATATTTTTATGTATCAAGGGTTGGGATATAAGACACACAGGTAGCTGTTTGAAGTAACTTTCTTCAAGTGAATACTCTTGACCCTCAGTAATAGCAGAATGTCCCGTGAAATGCTGGTTAACTGATTAACTCAGAGCCTCAAATGCAAAAGATCTGTTGAGAGGTGGAATATTCCCCATAAATTTATGACTTGGTGCAATTGTTTATCTACTTGAATATTTTCTGCATAAGTGCTAGCATTGGTCCTTTTTCTTCTTTTTTTTTTTTTTTTTGCATTCATACCACAGTTGTTCTTCTCCGTATATCAGGCTCTGTAACTTGGAATCGATCTTATCGAGTTTTGCCTCAGCCCAAATAAACAGTGTAGAAGGTGACTGGAATGTCTGTGGTTCGGATGTTTGCTAGGAGAAAAGTGGTGATGGAAGGGGAAAGTCCTGTTGGGTACACAGACTCCCCTGCCCCCCTTCCCATCTTCTCCCCTATAAAGGTTTGTTTGTGTTGATACTAAATCTGATCTTTTGGGTCAACTTTTCTCTGAGTCTAATCTGCTCATTGGTGTGAGATGAACATTGTCTTCCAGAGGTACAGGCGACCATGCCCTCTGAAAAAAAGACCCCATTCATGAGAGTATTTGCTTGAAGAGAGCTTTTATTCACTTCACCTGTTATGTTGTGCCTATAGAGCACAAAGCCAAGTGGAGATTAGGCAATTATCTGGTTAATAGGATCAACATAGACAAGAAGTTCATTCAATAGGCATTTCTGACTGCACACCACGCACAGCACAGCCCTGGATGGGTTGAGAGGCACAGGGTGAAGAGAGAACATGCTGCTGCTTAGTTCCTAACACAATAAAGGAAATGAGACATAAACACAGTGAACAACTGACATGCAATTTACAAGCAAGGGAAGAATCATATGGGATTCTATGTACTAAAGTGGGGAATATAGCAAGTTAAAAATTATAAGAGGTGGTTAAGCTGGGGTACATTTCTTGGAAAGGGAAATCAATGTCTCTATATGTTCAGAACGCTCCAGTTCACCCCCTTTTAAACCTGGTAATTTCAGACAGTGGATGCATGCTCTTTTAAAATGAATTAAAGTTCCTTTGTTGCCACTACACTAAGTTCTCAAAATTTATACTTAAGATGGTATTTAATTCCTGGAAATACTGAGAAACTTTTTTTAAAAAAAATCTGGGATTCACAGGGGCACCCACGGATATTATATTAACACTCTGGCATTGTTTCAGCTCTGACTTTTCCCTCCTTGGTACTTGCAGAAAGTTATTAGTGCAGTGTGATAGATATTAACTGAGCAATGAACTTCCCAGTAGAAAGATACTGATTTTAAAATGCCTGTGCTCTGTGATTTCCTCTTTTGTTTCTAATAAAATATGGCCCTAATTAGCAAAGTGTTGACTAACTTCCCAAGTAGGATGTGTTAGTTTGTTCAACATTTTCCACTCTCTTTCATTCTCTTCCTATAATTTAGACTGATGGTAGATTTTCCCTAAACTACAACATTTGCAATTTTCTGAGGTTCTGAAAATTAAAAATAGGTGCTCTGGGGTGAGATCCTCTTGCCTACTACTCCTGGGCATGAAATTCTCAACTTACAGCTTTTACTTCTATGTTAATGTGGAAACCTACACTATTAGTTAAAATTTTTTAAATTATGTTGGTTGGCTGTTTTGTCCGTGTGTAACAAACACATTTAACTAATATATTCCTGAAATATCTACTAATGGAATCAAATAGTGGTGTTGACACACTTTAGATAGAGGCTGCATGTAGGCAATAGAAGCAGGAAGGTAAGAGGGGGGAGGAGAAAGCTCTGCAGGGCGGAGGCAGGATGTTGGATGAAAGGTACTTGAGGAGATGATATCACTGTTGAGCCCTGTCATTTAGCACCTGGCAGGTCCTCCGTTAAGTAAATTAGGTGTAATAGAACACATTGATTTTGGAAAGGAAAATCTTGACTGTTAGGAAAACAAGATCAAGCAAAGGCTGATAAGGCTATTAGTTCTATATTTTATTCAAATACTGTAATCCCACCTGTCTGAGTAGGCTAGGAAATTTACCAAACTTCAAGCACTTGGTGAACAACTTCCATCAAAGAGGGATCAAATAATTACAGACATGGGATGGAAGGAATGTACCCAGGATGTGGTGAAAAATTAGCAAGCATTAGGAAATGAAAGAGGCAATTTTATTAATACAATCATCCACCTTTTTCGTCACTACCAAGGTCAAACAAAACCTGGCATACATTATGTAAACAGATCTCAGTTCAGATGCTGGATCATTCATTCATTCAAGATATCATTATTGAACACCTACTAAATGCTGAAGTTATCCCAAGAACTGGAGACAAAACACATAACAAAGCAAAGAATCTTGTCCTCATGAAGTTTATATTCTAATGAAGGATATGAATAGTAAAGCAGAAATATAAGTAAATATGTATTATGTTAGAAAAGGTGATCACTGGGATGAATGTGTTAGGGAAGTATGTTAGCAAGAGTCAGAAGAGGCCTTCTCACCGAGAAGATGACATTTCAGGAAAGACCTGAAGCAAATGAGGGAATGAGCTAGGTGGCCATCTATAGGAAAGGCATTCCAGGTAGAGCGGACAGCAATATATTCCTTGAGGGTGGAGTATAAGGTGGAAGATGGTGACAATACTTTTCCCAAAGTTAGACACATAAAGTCATTAATATTCAAAATGGTAAGCTGCTTCTGATGACAAAGTAGAAGCCAATGATGAGGGCATGTTGTAGATCGAACCAAGTACTGAGAATCATTGTTTTGACTATGGTGCAAATAGGGTTTGCTATCATTCTATATTAGTCCATTTTCATGCTGCTGATAAAGACATACCAGAGACTGGGTAATTTTTTTTAAAAGAGGTTTAATGGACTCACATTTCCACATGGCTGGGGAGGCCTCATAATCACGGCAGAAGGTGAAAGACACTTCTTACATGGCAGCAGGCAAGAGAGAATGAATCAAAGCAAAAGAGGAAACCCCTTACAAAATCATCAGATCTTGTGAGACTTATTCACTACCACAAGAACAGTATGGGGGAAACTGTCCCCATGACTCAATTATCTTCCAAAAGGTCCCTCCTACAACACATGGGAATTATGGGAGCTACAATTCAAGATGAGATTTGGGTAGGCACACAGCCATGTCACATTCCAAAAAAATACTGTTTTCTGAATTTAGCAAGATGAATGGAATAGGATTTGGGATTGCTAATTCTAAAGCCTACTCAGTTTCACTAAAAGTATTTGCTAAAAATGTTTCATGCACTCAATGCTAGTTTAAATTAAATTCTTTCTCAGTGTCTTTTGGATCATTTTTACCACTATGACTTTTCCTTCAGAAAGAATCTGTTCTCCCAGAATATACTGCTAGATAGCAACCATTGTGCCCTATGCCAGTAATTCATATATCTATATGATTATTTAACAAGTATGCATTGAGAGTCTACTAGGTAACAGTCACTCTTCATAAACCTGAATACACAAGATAGACAATACCTGGTCCTTGTCCTCAAAGAGTCACTACAGTTCAATTTAGGGCACAAACAAGTAATTTGTCATGTGTGGTACAGGGTAGTAAAATGTGAAACCCAGGTAAGCTCAGAGCAATATAGGAACATATAGATGAGAATCTCTACCCAGTCTGCAGACAGGTAATTTTATCAAGAGAATATTCCTAAACTAATCCTTAAAAGATGAAGAGGATCTAGCCAGTATAAGAAGTGGGAAGGACATTTCTTGCAGAAGAAGGAGCAGGTAAAAATTCAAAAAAGTGAGAGATCAGTTAATGAACAATGATTAAAAATGATTGGAAAGGAATTTATGGACAGTGGGACTACACAGGTAGGCAGAGGACAGTGCAGAAAGGGCCTGGCTGTGTTATCTTGAAAGGAAGATGTTATTTATAAATTCACCAGTTCAGTGATATGGTTGGCTCTACATCCTAGAACGACTGCTCTGAGATGCAGTATTAAAAGTGAGAGTGCTGCTACAGAGATGTGGGAACAGGTTAATGGCTCATTTAATTTAGGAAAGAAATTATATGGGTTTGAAGTAAGGTCTTATGAATGACAGTAGTAGTAAAAATAACAAGTGAAGTAAAAATTATGAAGATTATGACTATAAGAGATATTTAACAGATAGAGTGTTAGTCAGGATGTTTTTGAGAGAAAGGGAGGAGTCAAGATTGAACATAGATTCCTGTATTAGTCAAACTGAAAAAAAATCACCAAAACAAAGAAGAATCAGGTTTGAGGGAACTAATAACGTTGACTTTGAACACCTTGACATTGAGGGATCTGTATGATGTCCTCATGAAAATGGCCAGTGGGTAGTATGTAGATATGTTGATCTGGCAAGCAAGATGTGAGTAAAGATGACATTTCTGAAGTCTCATTAAACCGTGATCATATCTCAGTTTATGGCTGACATCCTATATTTAAAATTGCTTGTTTGATGCCTGCACTCCTAAAGAGTAAGCTTCCTGAGGGTGATGACATATTTCCACCTTAGTGTTGCTCTTACAGGAATCCTCAGCCTGTTTTCCACCACCAACTAATGACAGGTAATAACTCTCCCATGTAACATACTCAAATGGGAAAACATAGGGCAATAAACCTTTTCTTCTAAGTATATTGGAATGTAAATAAGTGAGAATGCTTTCTTTTGCAGGTTTTTTTTTTTAATTCTTCATGGCAAAATAGTTTTGGGAATTCTTTGTAAAAAAAAATTTTAAGCCCTGCTACATGTAAGCAGGGACTTTGCCGTCCTGACCACGGTTTTCACAGTGATTAGAACAGTGCTTAGCATAAAGGGACTGCTCAACAGATATTTAATGACTATCTTAAGAAATACTGCAGTGTACTTGGAGACCATGGTTGGTAAACACTGCCCTATGACTTATTAGAGCGCCTAGTGAGTAAAAACCTTCCATTTCTTCATAAAATGAATGAAATGGGTGTTTTCTATAGGCAAGATATAGGAACTTATGTGGTTATTGAGTCACTAAATCTGAATTTTGTGTTAAAATAAGGCCTCTGCTTACCTGTCTAGTCCCATTGTCCATAAATTCCTTTCCAATCCTTTTTAATCATTTGTTCATTAATTGATCTCTCACATTTTTTAATTTTTACCTGCTCCTTTTTCTGCAATAAATGTCTTTCCCCACTTCTTAAGCTGGCTAGATCCTCTTTATCCTTTAAGGATCTGTTTAGAAATATTTTAACACAAAATTCTGTATGAGAACATCATACAGATCCCTCAATGTCAAGCTGTTCAAAGTCAAATGAGTGTTTGTTATAGGCAAGATATAGGATCTTATGTGGCTAGTGAGTCATTAAATCTGAATTTTGTGTTAAAATAAGGAAATCTGGAGGATACACTCTCTAATTTGATATGGAATTATTGAAATCTAAGGTGGCTGTTTGCATTACACCATTCTGTTAGAATGCTCTGATTCTCAGATAGTTCATTATTTACTTTTCCATATTTATCCTCTCCTTAAAGGTTAGAGCTAGGGAGGGAAGCTATTGCCTACCTTGTACCATGTTAGGGGTCTCCGTTAAAACTCTCTCCCTAACTATATTCTTGTATGTTAATTCATGGAGTTCGCAGTAACAGTTTCAATGTTTTCCCATATGTTTAAATATTATATATGCAATTCATATTCACCACACACAGCTGTTATTATGTGTTCTTTAGCATAAATTAATAGCTAATATTTAAATGAAGGTTTTTGGACATGGAATGGGGAAAAAAGATGAAAGGGAGAGAGAAAGCATGTAGAAACAGAGAATCTGAGAGAAGTGCGGTTGAAAACAGGAAAAGTGCAGTATAGGGGAGTGAAAAGACTGAACTCTGAAACCTGACATTTCCCCTGCAGTAGAATAAAGGTGAATGATACTTTGGTACCCTGAAGTAATTAAACTGACTCTTCAAACACTAGACAACCCTCTGCCTATGACTTTGTTTTTTCCATTTTAACTCTTTAAGATAGTCCAAGCAAATATTTCATCACTTCTCTAGGGACTTCCGCTGAAAATTTCAGAACGTCGCTCTGTACGCAGAGTCCTGGGCCCTTTCTAGTACTCAGCTCAAGGAGTCCAGGCTGTGGAAAGGTAGGATAAGCCTTTACCTAAAGCTGGGAGTGGTTTTCCCTCTGGGATGAGTCACCTCCAGGATAAAATTCCTAAGGGGTTATTTACAACAAGTCAGTGAACAGGTTTTTCCTTTCACTGACTTCCATCACCTTAGGCCAGAGTTTCATGTCAAGTCTGTGTATCAGCAGCATAATCACATGCACATAGGTAATGCTGAGTGCCAAGCAGGCTTAGGGTAATCAAACCTGCACTGGGAATTCAAAGAGCTAATATAAAAGAGGTAATTCCTGGCACTCTCAAAGGTCTTGGATTTAACAGGGATATGATCCAATAGAGAAAAGGAAACAAATTAACAATAAAGTGGCAGCATATGGTGAATACAAAATGAGCAAAGCAAACATTATGACAGTAAGAGGTTAAGAGGTGGTGAGTGGAGATGAGTCTTGGTAGTTTTGGTTCCAGAACTCTTTTTTTTTTTTTAACGGGTGCATTTAAATGTATACACCATTCTGAGAGTTGGAAAAATGTTGAATATTCCACAGGGGAACACTTTTTTTTTCCCATCCAAATCAAAATTTATTTCAAGAAACTCTCATATGCCTCCATCAGTTTAGAATTTGGTCAAATAAAATTTTGCTTAAAATCAGTGGGCCAAAAACTAAGATATAGAACCATCTGTATACAGAATTCTATTATAACAGGATGTGACAGGCAATCATATGGAGGTGGGAGAGCCTGGCCAGTGGACTTAAGGGTTAATTAACCATATTTCGATTTGAAGCTTGGAAGTAACCTGATTTTTCCAGCCATTGTGAAGGCATGTATATTAGATAGCTTTGTAAATGATGCATTTCATATGTAAAGAAAGTGAGCTTTTTATTTTTGACTAATTGGGAGGATCAGGACATGTATTTATTGGGGACTCCCAGAAAGAAGATGAACAAAAGGCATGCCCAGTGACTTGGCAAGAGCTCTAAAGAAAGCAAGAACGAGTGTCGTCTCAATTTAAACATGCTGAGACAAGAGGAGGAGGCCAAGAATGTTGACTTTCAAGTGAAACCGAGCCAGAAAGCTTCAGAAATATAAATAAAATAAACACTGCCTTGAAGGAACTTGATATGGATGAAAGCAAATGTTTTCTAATTATTTCAAAATGGTCATGAAGTTGCCTTTTAGAGAATGTAGAGGAATACCTTATCTTGAGGTAAAAGCTTTCCAGCTGGTGGTCATAAGGAGATGGTCTTAAGACATGGGATATCAACAGAGGCTCACAGAATGGGCATTTTTGTTGCACTTAGTTTAGGCAGCACATACCGTTCAGCTGTCCGCCTTCCTCTCTGTAATCGACTCCACTCCACTCTGCACTTGCCAGACAGACACGTCAGTTTTGACAGCAGGTGCCCTGCTCTGTATGCAAAAGACATCCATGAGTATTAACTAAGTTTGCAAGAGGAATTAGGATCTGTAATAAACGCTTTAGCAAAGAGGCTTTTGGGAATAAAAATGTTTCTTCAGGCAAAATTCTCATAAACTAGACATCATCTTTGATTTACAGTTTATAGTATTTTCGTCACTCTATCCAATATCCCCAGCTTGAGGGCTGCTGCTCCATGTGGCATGATTGACTGCCCAAGGTGGGAGGGTAGTTCTGTGCACTGAAGTTAAGTCAACTGAATTAGAAAGTGAGGAAAACATAAAACAAGCAAAACTGTAGCATTTTTGTGGTCTTTTTACTTTTTTTTTTTTGGCTTTTTTGTAGTTAAAAAAAATGTTTATGTATTACTCCATTTACCATGCAGGAAACCATTTCAAAAATTTGACAGCTGTTTTAGAAAAAAGCGTTCTCCAGAATCTCTTTTGATAATAGGCACAAGATGGAGACCACAACCACAACCAACTAGGATACTTGGTACTACGGGATATCAGAGATTCCTTTACCTAGAGCTGTCAAACTTGGAAAGGAGGCCCCTTCAATACAGATGGAAGATGAATCTTTCAGTTCCCTGAACTCTCCTTCAGATTTTAAGGGTAAACAAAGAAGGGGAGAAAATGAGATACAATTAAACAAACTTGATTTAGCATCAATTTTGCTCGAGGTCCTGTGCTAGGCACATTGGCACATCATGTAAACCAGGTAATTTAACGGCATAGGGTATAAAAAGAGCTCAATATCTTATAAATCTACAAGAGGGATTATAATCATTAGTTAACAAATATATAAAAGGATAAGAAAGAAATGAGTAGTTTACATAAAATTTTACCTTTTTTGAGCCATGTTTATTTTCAACATATAAGACTATCAGAATGATTACCTTAAAGGTAGCAGAATATTATTCTACAGAATTATATAAACATATATAGAAATAGTTGGAAAACATATTTAAAGCTATCACTTTGGCAAATAAGTGCACGGGTATGCATGAGTTGTAAGTTCCTTTTTGCTCATTTATTCAAAGAGACAAAGATGGTTAAAAGCATCTCTGAGCATATTTTACACTGAGAATTCTAATGTTAGTGCTTTAAACAATTTAAAAGCTAATATCTAGTTTATGAGTAGGTTTCAAAATAATAATCTCCTTGTCCCTCTTTTCCATACCTCAAAAGTTACTTATATTTGGCTGGAAGGCATGGAAAAATACATGGTTATTGCCAAGATGTCCTTGTATATCTGTGTTATAAGCAATACTGGAAAAAAGAGAGGGAAAGGTAGAAAATGTGCTGAAAACAGTAGTATTCTGAAAAATTAAAGGTTCTTCAGAGAAATCAATAAATGGTAGGAGGAGATAATCAGGCAGTACTTGGGAACTTTGAGAAGTATAATTCAATAGCGTCAGTTAATGCAGATGGTCAGAATAAAATGGTTCCATAAGGGAATTGCTTAAGCTAGCCCTTCCCAGCACACTAAAGACTGAAAAATTTTTATGGTGGCTATGCACCAAGTTTGGAAAAGGTTTATGTGTCTTTAGTATGTATATTGGTTCCAGATCATCAGCTCTGTTTCTAGCTTTGAGTTTTGTCATCTGAAAGAAATGTTCATGAATTCCTGGGAAAATGTCTGCTCTCAGGAAATCTGGGTTTTCCATGAAGTAGATATACCAATACCATGACCAAAACTTAATCTCTATGTCTTCAGAGGACACTGAATGAGGCTATTTTTAACCTTCTTTTTTTAAAATTGCACTTGAAATGATCAAATCTGAGACACTGAATATTCACATTCAACAATTACTATTTGACAACTTCATTTGTTTTTCCTTCTCTTAACTACATTATATCTTTTGTCTCAATGGGTCACAAGTATTCTCTATTTTAATGAAAAGCTTGATGTTATCAAGAAAAAACAACAACATATTTTGAAGCAAATCTGAGCAAATTAAATGTCATTCAACACAAAATTTAACACCACAGTTTCACAAAAAAAAATGTATAAAGCTAAAATTAACGAAACTAAGTAATAAAATCTGGGTAGAGGAAAAAAGACAAAATAACTTTACTTTTCACTTTCCGTCTCACATCCTACAATAATGACCCAAATGGATGCTCTTGAGATTTTTCCCATTGACTCATTTTGGTGTGAGACTGTGCAGAGGATATGCAAGAAATAAGAGATGTCAGATAAAGAAGATAAAGCCTAGTAAGGTAGGTGAGTTTGAGTGGGCCCTTGGGCTTTAGTGTTTAGACTTAGAGAGTATGTGAACCTTTGGGAACAAATGCACATATTCATCTATTAGCCTAAGGGAAATAGTCTCTAAGCAACTTATTTTCAAATCATTTTCTAAAGCTATTGTTCTTATGGCAGCGGGGTGGGGGGTGTTAAAAATAACAGCAAGAAAGCCTTGCTAGATCATATGGATGCTTCATACTCCTCTGCCCTTATCTTTGTGGTCTTCCTATCAGCAGAAACTATGGGGAATCATCCCTTACTGCAGCACACACTGAGACTGAAAAACATGATTGTGTGCTCACGGAGATTGGTTTCTCTGTTTCTTCCTGTAAGTTTCATGATACAACCAGGAGAGTAAAGGTATAGCATAATGAGGGTTATAAATTATAATATAAAGAGGATATATATAAATTTGAAAAACCTGCAAGAGTTTTGCTTTTATATCTGGAGTTATATTTGGGTTAACCCTGATCCCTTTCTTTTTTTTTTAACTTTTATTTTAGGTTCAGGGGTACATGTACAAGTTTGTTACATAGGTAAACTGTGTGTTTACCTATATATGTGGGCTTGCTGTACAGATCATTTTGATCCCTTTCAATTTCTTTTTTCTCCTTCCCACCAATGACTCCTGAATAACCTCCATGATTTAGCAAATAAAAAAAATTCATACTTTGAAGATGATTGTTTACCCCTTCTTCCACAACAACAACAAACACACACACACACACCGTCAATCTCAGGTCTTTTCAAGAATATTTGCAAAGTTATGGAACTTTCTTCTCTTAGAGTCCAAGTTGATCCCTAAAATAAAGACGGACAGAGTCAAGGATACAATTCTAGTCTTTCCGAGCTGGCTTTTGGCCTACTGTGCAGCAGCTGACTCTGCGAACTCGGCATCAGTAAGGGAGGCGCTCTCCCTATTTGTATTGTGTGGGTGTGTTAATCTACCACCCATGTCAAATTGCCTCAGCACTAAGTGTGTTTGAAAGGTTCAGCTTGTGAGGTGGCTGAGGATTTGGGGGAAGGGTAGAAAAAGCTTGGCTTTTCTTATCTCATTCAAATTGGTTTGTCCATCTCTGCTACCATGTGTCTCACAAAAATCAAGATGGGTGACCTCCTGGGGGACTTTTAGTACATTCCCCTCTGTCAGTTGAGGATTATATCCTACAATCTGTCCCCTAGCGCTTTATACACACCCATTTAAAATAACTCCAGTAACAGGATCTTTAATTGACTCAGGGGATGGTGGGGGGTGTCCCAGTATGATTGTCGTTTTGGTTCAAAGGAGAAGAATGAAGTTGATTCTGTGCCTTGTGTCCGAGTAACAATATGTGAAAAGATTCATTTAGTTCTTAATCCTTATGGAGGATCTGAAAGGAGCTGATCGTTTAACAGCCACACAGTGTTCTGCTTTCGAGCTGTTTTTCTTATTTATGTCTTGGTTGTTAAAGCTTTAACTGTTCCCTTTATTGTTCAGTAAAGGGGAAAAAAGAAAGAAAGAAAGAAAAAGACAAATTGGTATTAGCAATTCACAAAGCAAAGACACCACACTTAAAAATGAAATCTACTAAAGTCTTGCAGGAGGTAAAAGTTTGGTTTGGAATATTTCATGAGTCGTTAGAGAACAGAGCCTCCGGCATGATAACTGCTTTCTTGTGGGGAAATATGGAACAATGTAACTAGGCAAAGGAAAGCATCTACTTTGAGTAAACTGATGCAAATGAAAAGAGCATCTGACTTTACCCCAGCTGGATCTGGTCCAGCCATACTGCCTTGCATAGACACAAATGAGTTTTGGAACAGGTATGAGATTGCGTTGGTCTAGGTATTTATAGCAAAAATAGTGGACAGCTTGGCATTTCCATAATTAAACGTTGGGGGGTGGGGAGACACAGATAAGGGTTTTCTCTCAATTTGCATTTTCCACCACATCTTCAGCAGTGAATCAAAATGAGAATATTTTATTACAAATTGGAGGAGCAGGAAGTAAAGGGATTAGGCAGGCTAGTAACTATAAGAAACAAAATGATTGGCTGGGTGCGATGGCTCACGTCTGTAATCCCAGCACTTTGGGAGGCTGAGGCAGGCAGATCACCTGAGGTCAGGAGTTCGAGACAAGCCTGGCCAACATGGTGAAACCCTGTCTCTACTAAAAATACAAAAGTTAGCCGGGCGTGGTGGCGAGTGCCTGTAATCCCAGCTACTTGGGAGGCTGAAGCAGGAGAATCCCCTGAACCCGAGATGCAGAGCTTGCAGTGAGCCGAGATCGCACCACTGCACTCCTGCCTGGGTGATAGAGCGAGACTTCATCTCAAAAGAAAAAAAAAAGATTATTATGTCTCTACAAACAATACTTGCATATCTCCATCTGTCCTTGCCAGGTCATGTTGTTGTTTATATCATTTGGTAAACTAGAGAGAGCAAGCTAAACAAAGTTCCCCAAAGTTTCATGGATGGTTAAATGTAGGGGTGGAATAAAAGTATACTAATAGATAGGTTTCCTAATTTCCTCTGGAGTGGTGAGTGGCTTACCTACTCATATTAACGTGACCTCAAAGTTTAGTGCAATGTGAAACACATATTGAGAAACCCAGTTTGGCTGGGATATGGATTTTTCTTGCCATATTGGATCATGATTCCAGATATGTGCATATGAATACATCCTGATGCAGAGCAGTCCAGGAAGGTAAATATTTGAAACAAAGCAAACAGAAGGGGTATATTTTGTTAAAATAACACAAGGTCCAATAAGAGAAGGGTCATAGTCCAAAGCACACACACATAAACAACACCAGAATCACTAAAAGAACAAGAAATAACATCTAGTATCTACTTAAATCCTGATCTGGAATTTTTCTCTTTTTTTCCCCATCTTTTCCTTTTTTATATTTTTGCAAGAATCAAAGGATTTGGATTTAGTATTGTAAGATGAAATTTCAAAGGAAATTGGCCATCTAGGAAGAAAATATTTACATATGAATATGGCCCTTAAGACTAAATGAAATGACTTGAAAATAAATCATCAGGTGAAGAAATTCTAAGTTATTATTGAAGTAATTTGTGGAGAGACAGTTTAGAAAGGAGCCCATGCTGAGCTATAACCCACCATAAGAGTCTCCAGCTTTACTGTATAACTAAATATTTAGCCAAAAACAAAAACAGAGAACTACAAGCTCTTCATAGCCTTTAGTGAACAACTAAATGGCCACTTCATTCTTTCCCACAGTAAGATTTGGTAATTTAACCAATACTACAAAAATCAACAGTGTATTTTTCTCTAGTAGTAAGGGCTATTATCACAGAGTATAATATAGAGAGAAAGTAATTCAAATATGGTATCTTGCCTATCTTATCTCATGAGTCACCTCAGTTAGTGTTCCAGGGTCCAAGGCCAGCCAGACAAGAGTGTAGTAAGAGGACGGCTTTTACTGTGCAGTGCCTAAAGGAGACTCTTTGTAGTAAAGCATCTTCTTCAATGTGTTGGGTACCCCAAGTTTATGGCCCCTCTCTGGGATAATTTTTTTTTTATTATACTTTAAGTTCTAGGGTACATGTGCACAATGAGGAGGTTTGTTACATATGTATACATGTGGCGTGTTGGTTTGCTGCACCCATTAACTCATCATTTACATTAGCTATTTCTCCTAATGCTATCCCTCCCACATCCCCCAACCCCACGACAGGCCCTGGTGTGTGATGTTCCCCACCCTGTGTCCAAGTGTTCTCATTGTTCAATTCCCACCTATAAGTGAGAACATGCGGTGTTTGGTTTTCTGTCCTTGTGATAGTTGGCTCAGAATGACAGTTTCCAGCTTCATCCATGTCACTACGAAGGACATGAACTCATCCTTTTTTATGGCTGCGTAGTATTCCATGGTGTATATGTGCCACATTTTCTTAATCCAGTCTATCATTGAAGGACATTTGGATTGGTTCCAAGTCTTTGCTATTGTGAATAGTGCCGCAATAAAAATACATGTGCCTGTGTCTTTATAGTAGCATGATTTATAATCCTTGGGGTATATACCCAGTAATGGGATGGCTGGGTCAAATGGTATTTCTAGTTCTAGATCCTTGAGAAATCGCCACACTGTCTTCCACAATGGTTGAACTAGTTTACACTCCCACCAACAGGGTAAAAGAGTTCCTATTTCTCCACATCCTCTCCAGCACCTGTTGTTTCCTGACGTTTTAATGATCACCATTCTAACTGGTGTGAGATGGTATCTCATTGTGGTATTGATTTGCATTGCTCTGATGACAAGTGATGATGAGCATTTTTTCATGTGTCTTTTGGCTGCATAAATGTCTTCTTTTGAGAAGTGTCTGTTCATATTCTTTGCCCACTTTTTGATGGGGTTGTTTTATTTTTTTCTTGTAAATTTGTTTAATTTCTTTGTAGATTCTGGATATTAGCCCTTTGTCAGATGGATGGATTGCAAAAATTTTCTCCCATTCTGTAGGTTGTCTGTTCACTCTGATGGTAGTTTATTTTGCTGTGCAGAAGCTCTTTAGTTTAATTAGATGCCATTTGTCAATTTTGGCTTTTGTTGCCATTGCTTTTGGTGTTTTAGTCATGAAGTCCTTGCCCATGCCTATGTCCTGAATGGTATTGCCTAGGTTTTCTTCTAGGGTTTTTATGGTTTTGGGTCTATCATTTAAGTCTTTAATCCATCTTGAATTAATTTTTGTATAAGGTGTAAGGAAGGGATCCAGTTTCAGCTTTCTACATATGGCTAGCCAGTTTTCCCAGCATCATGTATTAAATGGGAATCCTTTCCCCATTTCTTGTTTTTGTCAGGTTTGTCAAAGATCAGATGGTTGTAGATGTGTGGTGTTATTTCTGAGGCCTCTGTTCTGTTCCATTGGTCTATATCTCTGTTTTGGTACCAGTACCATGCTATTTTGCTTACTGTAGCCTTGTAGTATAGTTTGAAGTCAGGTAGCATGATGCCTCCAGCTTTGTTCTTTTTGATTAGGATTGTCTTGGCAATGCAGGCTCTTTTTTTGGTTCCACATGAGCTTTAAAGTAGTTTTTTCCAATTCTGTGAAGAAAGTCATTGGTAACTTGATGGGGATGGCATTGAATCTATAAATTACCTTGGGCAGTATGGCCATTTTCACGATATTGCTTCTTCCTAACCATGAGCATGGAATGTTCTTCCATTTGTTTGTGTCCTCTTTTATTTTGTTGAGCAGTGGTTTGTAGTTCTCCTTGAAGAGGTCCTTCACATCCCTTGTAAGTTGGATTCCTAGGTAGTTTATTCCCTTTGTAGCAATTGTGAATGGGAGTCCACTCATGATTTGTCTCTCTATTTGTCTGTTATTGGTGTATAAGAATGCTTGTGATTTTTGCACACTGATTTTGTATCCTGAGACTTTGCTGAAGTTGCTTATCAGCTTAAGGAGATTTGGGGCTGAGATGATGGGGTTTTCTAAATATACAATCTTGTCATCTGCAAACAGGGACAATTTGGCTTCCTCCTTTTCTAATTGAATACCCTTTATTTCTTTCTCTTGCCTGATTGCCTTGGCCAGAACTTCCAACACTATGTTAAATAGGAGTGGTAAGAGAGTGCATCCCTGTCTTGTGCCAGTTTTCAAAGGGAATGCTTCCAGTTTTTGCCCATTCAGTATGATACTGTCTGTGGGTTTGTCATAAATAGCTCTTATTATTTTGAGATATGTTCCATTAATAGCCAGTTTATTGAGAGTTTTTAGCATGAAGGGCTGTTGAATTTTTTCGAAGGCCTTTTCTACATCTATTGAGATAATCATGTGGTTTTTGTCTTTGGTTCTGTTTATGTGATGGATTACATGTATTAATTTGCATATGTTGAACCAGACTTGCATCCCAGGGATGAAACCAACTTGATCTTGGTGGATAAGCTTTTTGATGTGCTGCTGGATTCGGTTTGCCAGTATTTTATTGAGGATTTTTGCATCGATGTTCATCAGGGATATTGGTCTAAAATTCTCTTTTTTTGTTGTGTCTCTGCCAGGCTTTGGTATCAGGATGATGTTGGCCTCATAAAATGAGTTAGGAAGGATTCTCTCTTTTTCTATTGATTGGAATAGTTTCAGAAGGAATGGTACCAGCTCCTCTTTGTACCTCTGGCAGAATTTGGCTGTAAATCTGTCTGGTCCTGTACTTTTTTGGTTGGTAGGCTATTAATTATTGCCTGAATTTCAGAGCCTGTTATTGGTCTATTCAGCAATTCAACTTCTTCCTGGTTTAGTCTTGGGAGGGTGTATGTGTCCAGAAATTTATCCATGTCTTCTAGATTTTCCAGTTTATTTGCATAGAGGTGTTTATAGTATTCTCTGACGGTAGTTTGTATTTCTGTGGGGTCGGTGGTGATATCCCCTTTATCACTTTTTATTGCATCTATTTGATTCTTCTCTCTTTTCTTCTTTGTTAGTCTTGCTAGGATTCTAGCAATTTTGTTGATCTTTTCAAAAAACAAGCTCCTGGGTTCATTTATTTTTTGAAGGGTTTTTTGTGTCTCTCTCTCTCTCCTTCAGTTCTGCTCTGATCTTAGTTATTTCTTGCCTTCTGCTAGCTTTTGAATGTGTTTGCTCTTGCTTCTCTACTTCTTTTAATTTGTGATGTTAGGGTGTCAATTTTAGATCTTTCCTGCTTCCTCTTGTGGGCATTCAGTGCTATAAATTTTCCTCTACACATTGTTTTAAATATATCCCAGAGATTCTGGTACATTGTGTCTTTGTTCTCATTGGTTTCAAGGAACATCTTTATTTCTGCCTTCATTTTGTTATTTACCCAGTAGTCATTCAAGAGCAGGTTGTTTAGTTTACATGTAGTTATGTGGTTTTGAGTGAGTTTCTTAATCCTGAGTTCTACTTTGACTGCACTGTGGTCTGACAGACAGTTTGTTGTGATTTCTGTTCTTTTACGTTTGCTGAGGAGTGCTTTACTGCCAACTATGTGGTCAATTTTGGAATAAGTGCAATGTGGTGCTGAGAAGAAGGTATGTTCTGTTGATTTGTTGTGGAGAGTTCTGTAGATGTCTGTTAGGTCTGCTTGGTGCAGAGCTGAATTCAAGTCCTGGATATCCTTGTTAACCTTTTGTCTCATTGATCTGTCCAATATTGACAGTGGAGTGTTACAGTCTCCCATTATTATTGTGTGGGAGTCTAAGTCTCTTTGTAGGCCTCTCAGGACTTGCTTTATGAATCTGGGTCCTCCTGTATTGGATGCATATACATTTAGGATAGTTAGTTCTTCTTGTTGAATTGATCCCTTTACCATTATGTAATGGCCTTCTTTGTCTCTTTTGTTGGTTTGAAGTCTGTTTTATCAGAGACTAGGATTGCAAACCCTGCTTTTTGTTGCTTCCCATTTGCTTGGTAGATCTTCCTCCATCTCTTTATTTTGAGCCTATGTGTGTCTCTGCACGTGAGATGGGTCTCCTGAATACAGCACACTGATGGGTCTTGACTCTTCATCCAATTTGCCAGTCTGTGTCTTTAAATTGGGGCATTTAGCCCATTTACATTTAAGGCTAATATTGTTATGTGTGAATTTGATTCTGTCATTATGATGTTAGCTGGTTATTTTGCCCGTAGTTGATGCAGTTTCTTTCTAGAATTGACGGTCTTTACAATTTGGCATGTTTTTGCAGTGGCTGGTACCAGTTGTTCCTTTCCATGTTTAGTGCTTCCTTCAGGAGCTCCTGTAAGGCAGGCCTGGTGGTGACAAAATGTCTCAGCATTTGCTTGTCTGTAAAGGATTTTATTTCTCCTTTACTTATGAAGCTTAGTTTGGCTGGATATGAAATTCTGGGTTGAAAATTCTTTTCTTTAAGAATATTGAATATTGGCTCCCATTCTCTTCTGGCTTGTAGGATTTCTGTCGAGAGATCCACTGTTAGTCTGATGGGCTTCCCATTGTGGGTAACCTGACCTTTCTCTCTGGCTGCCCTTAGCATTTTTTCCTCTATTTCAGCCTTGTTGAATCTGACAATTATGTGTCTTGGGGTTACTTTTCTCGAACAGTATCTTTGTGGTGTTCTCTGTATTTCCTGAATTTGAATGTTGGCCTGCCTCACTAGGTTGGGGGAAGTTCTCCTGGATAATATCCTGAAGAGTGTTTTCCAACTTGGTTCCATTCTCCTCATCACTTTCAGGTACACCAATCAAACATAGATTTGGTCTTTTCACATAGTCCCATATTTCTTGGAGGCCTTGTTAATTTCTTTTTACTCTTTTTTCTCTAAACTTCTATTCTTGCTTCATTTCATTAATCTGATCTTCAATCACTGATACTCTTTCTTCTGCTTGATGGAATTGGCTACTGAAGCTTGTGCATGTGTCACGTAGTTCTCCTGCCATGGTTTTCAGCTCCATCAGGTCATTTAAGGTCTTCTCTGCATTGGTTATTCTAATTAGCCATTCATCTAATCTTTTTTCAAGGTTTTTATGATCCTTGCAATGGGTTCGAACATCCTCCTTTAGCTTGGAGAAGTTTGTTATTACTGACTTTCTGAAGCCTACTTCTGTCACCTCATCAAAGTCATTCTCTGTCCTGCTTTGTTCCGTTGCTGGTGAGGAGCTGTGATCCTTTGGAGGAGAAGGGGCACTCTGGTTTTTAGAATTTTTAGCTTTTCTGCTCTGGTTTCTCCCCATCTTTGTGGTTTTATCTAATTGTGGTCTTTGATGATGGTGACCTACAGATGGGGTTTTGGTGTGGATGTCTTTTTTGTTGATGTTGATGCTTTTCCTATCTGTTTGTTATTTTTCCTTCTAACACTCAGGTCCCTCGGCTGCAGGTCTGTTGGAGTTTGCTGGAGGTCCACTCCAGACCCTGTTTGCCTGGGTATCACCAGCGGAGGCTGCAGAACAGCAAATATTGCAGAACAGTAAATATTGCTGCCTGATGCTTCCTCTGTAAGCTTTGTCTCAGAGGGGAACCCAGTTGTATGAGGTGTCAGTTGGCCCCTACTCAGAGGTGTCTCCAAGTTATGCTACACGGGGGTCAGGGACCCACTTGAGGAGGCAGTCTGTCCATTCTCAGAGTTCAAACACCATTCTGGGAGAACCACTGCTCTCTTCAGAGCTCTCAGACAGGGACGTTTAAGTCTGCAGAAGTTTCTGCTGCCTTTTGTTCAGTTATGCCCTGCCCCCAGAGGTGGAGTCTACAGAGGCAGGCGGGCCTAGTTGAGCTGCAGTGGGTGCCACCAAGTTCGAGCTTCTTGGCCACTTTGTTTACCTACTCAAGCGTCAGTAAATGTGGACACCCCTCCCCCAGCCAGGCTTGCCGTTGGATCCACTTGGCAGTTGGATCTCAGATTAGCAGTGAGCAAGGCTCTGTGGGAGTCGGACCCGCTGAGCCAGGCGCAGGATATAATCTCCTGGTGTTCCATTTGCTAAATCCGTTGGAAAAGCATAGTGTTTAGGTGGCAGTGTCCCGATTAGCCGATCTTCCCAGTATAGTCTGTCACGGCTCCCCTTGGCTAGGAAAGGGAAATCCCCTGACCCCGGGTGAGGTGCTTCCCGGGTGAGGTGATGCCCTACCTTGCTTCGGCTTGCCCTCCATGTGCTGTACCCACTTTCTGACCATTCCCAGTGAGATGAACCAGGTACTTCAGTTGGAAATGCAGAAATCACCCATCTTCTGTGTCAGTCACTCTGGAAGCTGCAGACCGGAGCTGTTCCTATTCAGCCATCTTGGAATGGACCTCGATAATTCTTTAAGACGAAAATATTCCTGAGAATCATTGTTCTTCTTTCCCTAGCACTATATGAAAGAGTTTTTCATCTTTTTTTCCAAGTCAGAAAAAATTAGGATGAAATAACTGGTTTTGTAGAGATTCATTCTAAAATCAGTAGAGATCAAGAGACGAAGGAGAAGAGTAGGGACAAGAAAGGTCTAACAATATAGAGTGCAAAATTTCCTCCACTTCACTATCTTTGCCTTAGAGTTCTGGCCAGGTCTTTTGGTTGTCAACAAAAATTTGGGTAGTGTCTTCCCAAAGGACAGTTCTAATATTTAATTTACCCAAAAATACTGTCATATGTGTAACCCATTTTTGATGGGCAGTGAATAAAAGATTTCCTTCATGGCAGCCCTTCAACTGTCCAGATCACTTTGACAAGCAGGCCAAAGTCACCTTTATTTTTCCTTTTAGAAATGCCATAAACAAATTCTTAAACATATGCAAATTAGTTATTTAAAACCATATCCTTCAGCATTCATTTCCCTGTGCATGCTGATAGTGCTCCACCCAAATATGCTCTGTACACACTATGTGATACAATTTCCAGCAACTCTGAGCTTTATAGACATTTAGAATTGAATTTTTAAATGATGCATTTGTTTTTCTTCAAACTAGAATAACATTGACTTTGGCTCAGTTTGATCTTACTCTCAAATCTTAAGTCCCTAACCATGTACCTTTCCAGAGCCATCACTAGTTTCTAAAAATGTCTTTCATGTTAATGAAATCATAAAATAGATTTTTTAATTTCCCTAAAACTAAAGCTCTATCTCCTTATAACTTTACATGGCCCCTTTTATCATGCATTGCACACAGTAGGTTTTAAATATATTTGTTGATTTGTGGATTTAATATCAGTTGATAGCATAATAACAACAATAATAATATTACAGTATTTAGGTAGAAAGTCTTCTTTGTGGCTCTGACTAAAGCAATTTCATTATTCTTTAGGTTAGTTAATGCCTTCTAGTGAAACCAATGAAGAGAGGTAAGTCAAGCATTAGCAGGAAAATGATTAATTAGTTTTCATTACCTTTTGAAGATGCAAAGGGATGTATCAACATAATTCCACAACTAATAGAAACTTGTAAGCAAGGAAGCTTCAAGATGTAAAAGTATTTATCAACATAATTCCACAACTAATAGAAACTTGCAAGCAAGGAAGCTTCAAGATGTAAAAGGATTTATCAACATAATTCCACAACTAATAGAAACTTGCAAGCAAGGAAGCTTCAAGATGCCAAAGGAGTGAGGCATTGAATATTCAACACAAGCAGTCACAGCCAAAATATCTTCCATAGCTGTACAACTTCATATTCCCATTAACCATACAACCCATTTTCGACCTTGACCCAATGCTGCCCTGTTTTCTTTTGATTCTGTAGTTCTGACCTGGCGGTCACAGCAGAACATTTTTCCACTGCCAACCTGAGACACTGTGTGCTAGTAGATACAATGTAATAACAAACAGTTTGGTCATTTAAGTAAAGGCATGAAGAAAATTGGCTGCTTTTTTATAAATTATAAAAGCAAAACTAATTGGCTGACTCAGCAAACAAGAGCAGTTCATGTTGCCATAGTGTCAAAAAGGATCAAAGTGGGGACTGGAAAAGTTCTCAATGTTTATTTGCTCATTTTGTTAAGTTCTGTAAATAATAATTCCCTTTATTGTAGGGATGAACAGGATCACAAAAGTCCTCGGCTCTCCTCGATGGGCATTCTGAAGAGTCAAAAGCTGCTGAGCTAGCCACCTTCCCTCTTCCAGGTCTATCATTAGTGCCAGTCATGGAAGTCAGCTTGGATTTGGGGTCAGAATTTGACTTTTAGTACAACATAATTGTTTCTTGCCAAGAGTGTCATTTATTTTAGTCTTAATCAAGCTTCATAAATAAACTTTCTTTTAAGTCTTGCTTGAACAAATAAACCTTTAGATTCTTTGAAAACTATGATAGATTGCATGGTTGGAGTGTGGGCTCTTCCTGAGAAAGATAATGAAAAGCTTGCTTTTTTTCCCCCATGTATATCAAAGCACAAATCTAGATGTGGCTTCCTAACAATCAATATATAAATTGTTAAGACTTGAACCATATTTTATGCATGTTAGTATTGAATAACAAAACAAAAACCACACAATAAATAAAAAACAAAACAAAAAAATCAATAGTCATTGTTTATATTTGAGTATTATACAGAGAAAAATAGGAGGAAACCAGATTTTATTTATCAAACATTTTAATCCTTATAATAACCCTGCAACATGTGTACTATTATTCCCATTTTCAGATATAAAATGTTAAACAATTTTTCCAAGAATTCAGACTAGTTATTTCTGATCCCAAAGTCTAGTTTTTATTTAGTGGTTTTTGTTTTGTTACCATACAGGCATTGTAGGAGAAATTTATCATGGTCCTACCTACCCCCTGCCCCGACAGGGACGTGGCAATCACATATTTCTGTTTTCCTGTATTCATGTTGAACCATTAATGGTGGGCAATAAAGACCCCCAGAGACATCCATTTCTAATCCCTGGAACCTGTGAATATGTTAGATAATGTTGCTATGGTGAATTAGTTTGCTGACAGAATTAAGGTTGCTAATCAGCTGACTTTAAAAGAGATATTAAATATTTGTCTGGATTACCTGATTGGGTTTGGTGTAATCACAAGGTTTTTTTTTTAAGTAGAAGAGAGAGATATGACTATAGACGAATGTTTAGAGAGATGCAATGTGGCTGGCTGTGAAGACATAGGAAGTGGGCAATGAGCCAAGAAATGTGGGAGGCCTTTAGAAGCTGAAAAAGGCAAGGAAATGAATTTTCTCCAAGAGCTCCAGAAAAAGAGTGTATGTACCCTGCCAGCATTTTGATTTTAGCTCAGTGAGACCCATTTTAGATTTCTGACCTCCAGAATTGTAAGATAATGAATTCGCACTTTTTAAACCACTAAGTTTGTGATAATTTTTTACAGCAGCCATGGAAAATTAATACCGCTAGTATATACTATGTACCCCCTTCTTCATTCATCTCTGCTGGCTTTGTACCTAACCCACAGCTTCATCTTCTAATCTGGCTTGCTACTAACCTCAGACCCTGGGCCTTGAAGTTGGTAAAACATTGAAGACCATCTGTTTTAAATCACTCCAATGAACAACACTGAGGACCCTAAGCTAGTAATCCTAGCTCCAATGTTGGACAAGTGAACACTAATAGTAGGACTCATTAGCATGTAATGCTATGTCATTCTAATGAATGTATTGTGAGTCAAATGAAATAAAAGTTATATGCTTTTAATATATCATAGTCTTAAGACTGGAAAGGATTTTTTTAGACTATCTGGTGTAATAGTGTCATTTCAAATTCTTATCTTTCAGATGGGGAAACCAAGAAACTGAGAATCAAAGAGGTTAAATGACTTAAGAAAGATTTCACCTCTAGTTAGAGGCAGAGACAAATCTAGAATTTTTCCTGATTCTGAGTGCAATGCACTTTCCTGACCTTCACTCAACCTGAGTTTGATCTTACAGAGGAAGTCTTTGAAGACCTGCTGGGACAATTGTTTGTTTCCCACAGAATTCTGCGGCTAGCTCTATTTCCTTAATCCTGAAATTCCAGCTCAGTACTTATTTTCCAAACCTGTCACCATTAACTTGATTTTCTTCCTTTCCTCTTCCTTGCTCCCCATCATATGTAAACTCTGATTTATATCTGACCAGGAAACACACTCAAAATATATTTCTCAAGTGTTTACCCAATGGTGCCCCAGGCAATACCAATAATGATGAGCTAAACAATCATATATTATTGTCTGTGAATATTTACTTTGTGACAGAGTCCTAATCCTCTCCCAAATGGTTAGCAAATTCACTGAAATTATTTACTGGAAGAATTCTAATTTTTCAAATAATTCTTCTTTATCTAAGTCCCACAATTATCTTCTCTTATCCAGCTTCCCCCAAGCCCCACTTCAGACCTTACTTACTGAATTTTTTCTAGCTCTTTAACCTCTCTGTAGTACTTCATCCCTTAATGCTTTTGTTCTTACTGATTATTTTCTCCTAAAATATATCCATCATCCTATTTGTTTATACATTTATTATAGAATGCATTTTCTAAACACTTGTGTTAGGAATGAGGCTAGGTGCTGGTGTGGTCATCAGCAAAGTACACAGTCCATGAACTCATAGCAGGTAGGATACAGACAAATGAAATGGCAATTATAAAAGCACATGAAATAAGTGCAACAATTAGATAAGTGTAGATACGTTGTTGGGAGAAACACCTAAGACGGCCTTTGTGGAGGGAATCTGTTTGTGTGTGAAATCATGGCTTGTCCATCATTGTATTGGCTGGGATTGATGAGCAAATGATATGTAATACACACTCAATAAATGTTGGTAGAACTAATAAGAATGATCTGTGGTGAAATGACTCCTGAGACAGTGACTATGTTCTCTTTACTTCCAGGTCACTTTGCATCGTAAACACTTAATGTCTCTCTAGATAGAATTAATCAGAGAGTGGTAGAAACTATTAACACCTGGATACTTCAGTTTTATAAACTAAAAGCTTTTGAGTTATTTTACCCATTGAATGATCTTTATTGCCTGCTCAGACTGAGTAAATTCAAGCACCTGAAGGATAAATGAAAGTTTATCCTTTAGATATAACAGGTTTGCATCCTGGCTCTGCCATTTATGAGTATTGACTTGAGGTTCATTAATTAAGCCCTCTAAGCCCTAGCTGTTAAACGGGCATAATCAGGATACGTTGAAGGAATTAAAAGTAATAACATGCAAAGGAACTGAAACAGTGACTGCTACACAGTAAACACTCAATAAATGTTAATCCTCTTTGCATCCTCCTCTAAACCTTTGATAATATATATTTAGCATAATATTTTGGAATATCTGAAAGTAAATGAAATTATGCACAAGTAATTGAATTTCTATTCATATTTTTGCATAGTAGTTACTATCTGGATACTAGGCTGAAAAGAATAAAAAATTGGAACTCTTTAAGTAAATGCGCTTTTCTGTCTCTTATATACATCCAGTTGGCTATTGAAACAACATGGGAGAAAGGCAGGCAGAAGCAAGATACCCCATCCACTTACCTTATTTTTTCTCTACATGAAATAAATGATTTATATTGAGTTTCTGGATTTTTAAAGTTACCTTTTTTTGTTTTTTTCCTGGAGTCTCACTCTGTTGCCCAGGCTGGAGTGCAGTGGTGCAATCTCGGCTCACTGCAACCTCCGCCTCCCGGGTTCAAGCAATTCTCCTGCCTCAGCCTCCCGAGTAGCTGGGACTACAGGTGCTTGCCACCACACCCAGCTAATTTTTGTATTTTTAGTAGAGACAGGGTTTCACCATGTTAGCCAGGATGGTCTCGATCTCCTGACCTTGTGATCTGCCCTCCTCAGCCTCCCAAAGTACTGGGATTAGAGACCTGAGCCACCGTGCCCAGCGTTACATCTATTTTTAAACAACATGTTTGTATCATTTGGAAATTCAATTACTTGGAAACTTGATGGTCTAGGAATATGTCATAGAGACCTCCGGGTCATCCCCTTTTCTTCTTGAGCCCACAGGGAGTCTACATTTCCAGGCCTCTCTTGCATCCAGGTGTGGCCCCACATGATTGGTTTCTAGTTAATGGAACGTAAGCATGTGACATATGCCACTTTCTAAGCCTACCCGTAAAATTATCCCACATATGATTCTTCATATCTTTACACTTTCAAGCTAATTGGAAAGCATGCACCCCCTAGTATGACCTTGGAGAGATGGCAGAAACACAGGATGGAAAGCACCTGAGTCCCTGAATCACTGCTTGGAGAGCTACTGAAACAGAAATATCCTTTTGGATTATTTGTATTGTTGAGTGAGAAATAACTTATATTATGCTAAGCCACTTAGATTTGGAAGTGCTTCTTTTGCAGTATCCAGCATTATTCCTTTCCAATACATGACTTAAAAGATAAAGATAGAGACTTTAGTTCTAGTCCTCTCTTTACTAGCAATTGGTTTCATTTTAAATAATGGTTTCCCTTTCCAAGGTTTTAGATAGACTGTTTAAGAAGAGATGTTACTTCTTAGTTTTCTTTACATTCTCAACTCACAATGTAGTACCTAGAAAATAATAGTGGCTCAATAAAAATTTGATAAATAAAGTAATTTCATTCAGTAAGCCATTGTTTTTATACTGAGAAGAATCTGTCTGAAATGTTGTTTATTTGCATAAACTTTCCAGTCAAACTTCCTGGGTTCAAATCCTGGCTCAAACACTTAATGACTGACTGTGATCAAGTTAATTAACCTCTCCGCGTCTTAGTTCTCTTATTTGTAAAATGTGGATAAAAACGGAAACCTACTTTGAAGTTATCCCCACTATTATTATGGGGGTTAAGGAGCTAGTAGATTTCAAACCCGTAGAGCAGGGCGTGGCCATAGTAAAGATTTCAATAATATCAACCTGTATTTAGTATTTCTATGTGACAGATGATGTTCTAGTACCACTATTCTACCAAAGGCCAAGCATATGTTCTTCACAGAGCCCACATCTGTATTTTGTGGTGATTTATTGGAATCCTATATGAGAGTGTGCTTTACTGAGAATGATTATGCTGGGTTTCTGAAATCAAGGTTTAGATGTAAGAATATTTGGTGGGAAAATTATGAATAACAGGGAGCTTCAAACTTCTAAAAATAAGTTTTTAAACGGTGAAAGCTAACAAGAAGCTGCAAAAATGTCTTTGCCTGAAATAATTGCCCTGGGATGGTGAGAGAGTCATGTTAATTCTCGAAAGCTAAGCTCAAATGTTACCTCTTCCGCAAAGCCTTAGCTGAGGGCTCCACAAAGCAATTATGAGTTCCTTCTCAGTGCATTTTAAATTGTTCACCTTTTTCTACCTTGAACTGTAGATATATATATGTTTTTGTTTTCTCTTACACTAAATATAAGCTTCTAGTGTCTAAGTCCACATCATTGTACTGATTTTTTGCATCTGAAACATGAAGAACAATGGAAAATGGAACAAACTGGACAATTCTGCTGTCCTTTAATTTTTAGGCTTTCCTGAAGTAACATCAGGGGAAAATGGCACCCAGTATCTGGTGGAAGAGGCAAATCTCTAAGAAAAAATTATGTCTTTAAGAAAATTATTGAAGGTGATTTGATTTTAAAATAGAACATGGGAGTATTTTCATAGCCCTCTAAATGTTGAAAAAAAAAGCAAAACCAAAGAAAAAGCTGAATAGCCATTGCTTTAGGTACTCTGGGAGTAGCATTGGCTGGCTCAAAGCCCTGGGAAGCAACTTAAAGTCATCCCTTTCTAACTCTGCATCACACTACCACACTTTACACATAAGCCGACTCTCAACTTCCAGACCAATGCCAGAGATCAATGATTCATATAAATGCAGCCGGCAGATAATTGGCCAGTTGGGTCAGAATCACCAGCCTTGTTTCAGTGATAGAAACACCTGCCTGAGATAGGAGGTCCGATTCTCTTTAACAGATTCTCACCTGTCTAGCTCAGATGAGTTACATCAATACTGACCATGGAGCTGTGGCACAAAATCTAAGTCTGGAAGTCGAAATCTGAGCTCTGTCCTTGACCTAGCAGAGGGTCTGGCACACATTGAAGAGGCAAATGTCACTGACTGGCTCTGGACAAGCCATCTAAGTTATCTGGGCCTCAGTTCTCTATAATGAGAAATGAAGGATTTGGACCACATTCCTTTTCAGCTGGTTGGCATTTCAGGGTGACAGAATGAAAATGTATGCCCTTTCATAATATCTGTATGAAAGACGAGAGGTAAGGTGTTATTACTTCCTCATTGGCTACCTTCTCCAATACAAGCATGCACACATACGCATAGACACACTTGCAACCACCTACGCATACACTTGCTCTGGCATTATTCATACAAGGAAACTAAAAACAGTTTACTGAATTTTCCTCTAGTGGCCTAACTGCATACTGCGTCTCCCTAGGTGCTTGGTGATGCAGGCAGTGACCAGCTAACTTTGAATCAGTGACCCCCGAAGGATGATACTACTGAACAGGTTATCATGGCTGCAAATATCACCTGAGTAGAAATCTTGGTATAGCCCAGAGATTTCTAAGGACTGTGAATGCATACTTGGTAAAGCAATAATTTTGAGGAAAAAAATCCAGGTAATTAGAATATTTCGCTGTGCTCTTATAATTTATTATATTGACATTTGAGCCATGAACTCTTCAGATCAACCTTTTTCCTTGGGTTGAAAAACATCCAGAGAGGCCCTACCTAGCTCTAGAATTTGAATCCAAGTGTTTTTTTTTTTTTTTTTTCCCCGCCGGCAAGCTGGCAAAACCAGAACACTTATGTAACTGCCAGCTAGAAAAACTGGCTATTCTTATTGGTAATTTATTGAGTACAGAAAGCTGATTAAAAAGCAAAGAAAAAAGCCTTCATCTCACATACATATGCGTACATAAATGCAACTGCCTCCCTGCCTCGCTTTGCAGCCCAACTCTGCAGGCCCCTGGACACATTAGCATTGAACAGGACAAATGGCCTATTTTCAATCAGCTGGAGTCAGCTGCCTCCCACGTGCCACTGCCTCTCTGGCTTCTCATTGTTTTTCAGGCCTCCAGCAGCAGGAGGTAGGGGACATGTGGAGCCACTCTCACCCTCTGGCCTTGAATCCAGTCCTTTTCATCACATCATAGACAGATACTTTCCAAGAACTTGAATGGGGATCCACAACCTCTCCTCTGGCTGCGCATTAATCTGCTCGTTCAAACATTCCTCTGCCTTTTTGCTGGCCTGGCCAACTGCCCAAAACGGTAATACTTAGAGTGGGATGACTTCTTGTGAACAGTAAGTACAGTTCAGGAGGGCAGGGCCATCTAATAACATCTGAGCCTAAAATAGAGCTGAGCTCCCTAAATGCCCATCTGGATCTGGAGTATGTGAATTGCCATAAAATATTAACTCTGGAAGGTGTGGGCATATAACCATTGGGAGGCTACCATGAGTAAAGGTCTGCTGGGTGCCTGGTGATGGATGATAAATAGGAGGCATTTTATTGTTCATCCTTGTCTTTAAGGAGCTGCCTTTAAAGATCTATCTCAGAGTCAGTCTTTGCCTTTAAGAAGCTGCCTTTCTAGCTGGGAAGATAAAACATAACCACATGAATAGCAGAGAGCTTCCACATGAAGAGGAAGTAAATTATGAATTTAACAGTGTCAGAGAGAAGGTGAATTTCCAAGCTGGAAGGCTCATGAAAATCTTGAATGAGGAAGTGGGATTTGATTTGGGCCTTAAAAGATTGGCAAGATTTGCACAGAGAGATTGGAAGGAGGGATAATGATTTCAATAACAAGGCAGGGAAGTATGAAAGCATAGCGTGTGGTGCACTGGACAGGAACTACCCTGGGGTGACTAGGGCAGAGGGTTGGTGACATGAATGATTGGTGGCAAATCTGGGAAGCTGAGCAGAGGGGGTATTCAAAAGACCTTTATTTTCTTCTATGACTGCTGTTGAATAGAGTCATTTGCCAGCTCTCTGCTATTTTTAAGATAACATAGGAAAAAAAAAAGATAACATAGGAATACCTCTTCAGTGCCTCATGGTAATGTGGTGTGGGTGACTGAGAAGCTGTTTGTAAAGCACTTAGAAACAGGCAGCCCATTCAAAACAAAAAAGAGATTGCCGTATTATTTCAAACTGAGCCTTCTCTGTTCAATGAAGCAGCTTCTCACCTAAGCTGCTCCCTGGGTGTTCACCACGCAGTTTAAGAAGCAGTGTGAAATCTCTGCTGGGCCCTAGGCTATCATTTAGCACACTCAAGCACTGACTTCTGGATGGTCCTGTAGCATCCTGCCAGTATCCCCTTCTCCAGTTCTCTGCAAGGTGTTCATTTGACTCCCAGGGAAGAGGCTGAGTCAACAGTTATCGTGAAGCATGCACAAAGTGTGAGCTGCTGAACAGAGCACAACTCAACCTTATTCGATTTATTGGAATCAAGAGTAACTGTGATTAGGGACACATTGCTGGAAATCAGGATATCTCTGCACGCACTTCCTCTGGCACAGGGAATGCCTTCTGAAGTGGATGGAGTCCACGCACCACATACTCACTGTCATGACTTCAAGAGCCAAATGTGGATCTCAATTTGGACTCCTCCTTGTGCCATATCGCCATTGTGAAGCCTCATACCACCTAGTGAAGCCCACTTGGTGGTGAGAAAAGCAAAGCAGATGTTATGTATTCAGATGCATGTATATACATACTATATCCACCTTGCTAGCTTTTATCTTTTAAAAAGAAATACATCTTAAAATGTGTTTTATGAGGTCACCTCTTCAATATTACTGTCCCATTCTATCCCAAGAACCATCAAAGTTTCATGGTTTTAATGGGAATAAAATTTCCTTGTTAGTGCACCTGGGGAACAATTTTCATTCCTATTTTAAGAACATAAGTGTACTGTTTTAAAAAGCTTTCCTGTAAGTCTGTGTGTCAGTGTATGTAAGAGGAGCAACAGTCTCTCTTTTTAAACTTTCAAATCCTGGAAATATAAGTTTACAGGGGGAGTTCTCTGTAGGAACAATTGAAAGAATAAATAGAGAGCTGCAGAGAGCATTTCAAATGAAGGCATCAGACAACTTTCAGATGATGATCCGAACTTCCTTGACCAGTGGTCCAAGAATGGCAGGTACGGAACCCTCTGTCCTTCCAAGCGGAAGAACCACTTCATCTTCCCTGCTTCCTGGATTCCAGACCACAGGGCTTATCCCAGGAGCCCCAAGAGATTCAGTGGCCTGATGATGAGAACCCTTAATCCAGCACTCGCTGATTTTAGGATTAGTAAATCTTGGTTTAGGATGCTGGGGAGAGGATGAAAGATGAGGCTAGTGAAAATTATGGGATACAAATTTTCAAATGACGTATTTCCTTAACTGCCTCCCTTCTCACATCTGGGCTAACAAAGAGAACTATACAGTCCCAGAAATTTATAGATAGAACAGTTATTTAGGGAACTTTACTGACCTTCTTTCTTCTCCCATCCCTCTTCTTCACCAACCCACAAGATTAGAGAGAGAAGTATTCCTTTTGCTCATTTTTTTCAGACAGAAAGAAGGCCTCATTATTGATACCGTTGATGGTTCAGAGGTGAGAATTACCACAAATATTACACACAAGATTAAGAGGTTAGATTTGCATTCATCACCAATCTCAGTTTCCACTGTCAAATCCCTATGCTTTTCCTCCACAAGGTTTTGCCACATCTTTTTAGACTCTTCTAAAAAGATATAGCACCACCTGGCCTGACACTCGAGCTTCTGCAATTGGGCTGGAGTTAGATTGAAGGCATCTTTTCTTTGGTTACCTTATGTGGCTTTTTGAAGAAATACTTGTGGAGGTCACTATTAGTTGCCCAGAATTTCCAAACAGGCTTAAACTGTTCTGAAGTATTTTGAAATATTATGACTTCTTCTTGGGCAGCACTTTTGAAATGACCGTGGCAACCCATCAAAGGGTCCTGATAAGAAATGGAAAAAAAAAAAAAAGGCAGAAGAAAAAAAATAAAGTACAGAAAAAATGTCAGAGTGTATTATATGTAAAGAGGGTGGGTATTGTCTTTTAAAATTTGTTTTAATTATATGGACTTGAAAAGACACACATATGTGAGGACATGTGTGCATGTAAATACTGGGTCATTCTATAAAGATCTACTTAATAAAGAAAGTCTCACTCAAAAAATTTTGAAGACACTGCTGTAGGGTAAATAAAATGTTCCCAGCCCCCAGCTCCGGGACATACTCTTGTTGGGCCTCAGGGTACAATTTTGTACTCTACATTTATTCAACAAATGGTACCCCAATGACTGAACTATTTAATCTCATGTATTTTATCCACGCTGACCCATGCCAAAATCAAGTATTCTCACTTCTACTCAGATTCCAAAAATGGGAACAAAACAATCCACATTGAATAAGTTGCCTTGATATCCCTTGTGATTAAAGTATTTGCATCAGGCTGGAGCATTGCCTAAGCACCCGCTCTGGACTAAGCATCTTCATATGTGCCAGGTCACTTCATTTCATTTCAGGGGTTGCAGCATAAGCCTACCCGCATACGCTATAAGCTGCCCAGACACACTTGGAGAGGTAGCAGGGTAACCCACCAGACATTTATTTGCATAAGGGGCTGAGAAAAGCTCTGGGAAAGAACACAACTCGAGTAAAAATGGAGTTTGTCAAGACAAACTTGACTGAGGAACAAAGCTTTAGTTATCTGAGTACAACCTTATTGTCCTTCAGCCTTGCCTTTTGGCCAAAATGTCAACTGAGTCATGTTTAAATCCTGTGAAGCCAGAGTAGTGTGGGAGAATGAAGGAAAAATAACGACTAACAGTTAGTTTAACTAAAATTCTGTACAAAGTGGCAGTACCCCTGGACTCCTTTAAGCAAAGTAGGTCATTGATAGTATAAGAAGACTTTTCCCCACTTCCCCTTGTGTACTCATGTGACTGTGACCAGAGTTCCTGTCCTTCAACAAAAATGCCAAAGTAGGACTCTGTGGAGCCCAGCAGAAGACAACACTGCCTAGTGGACAAGGCAGTACCTCAACAACCCCCTGGCATTAGCTGGGGGTGATCACTGATTGAACATTCCAGCACATGTGAAACACTCTGTGGAAATTCCCGTGTTTTCTTTAAAGCTAGGACTTTGGAGTAATTTGATGTTCTATATAGAATGATGAGAGAACTAGCCAGAGCAATATTGGCTACTCATAATTTTTATATAGATATTTGCCCTAGTCTCTTAGGCTGCTACAACAAAATACTGTATTCTGGGTGGGTTCTAAACAACAGAAATTTCTTTCTCACAGTTCTGGAGGCTGTTAAGTTCAAGATCAAGGCTCAGGCAAATTCTGTAGTTGGTGAGGGCTTGCTTTCTATATCAGTTCATAGTTAGCACCTTCTTGCTGTGTTCTCACTTGGTGGAAGGATTGACGGGTCTCTCTAGGGCCTCTTTTAGAAAGGTATATAATCCCATTCACAAGGCCTCTCTCTCCATGAACTAATCACCTTCCTCATAACATCACCTTGGGCATGAGGATTTCAACATATGAATTTTGAGGGGACACAAACATTCAGACCCTAGCAGTATTAAGTGTCAAAAAAAATACCATAAATCAAATGTTTCCTTTAAGTATCCTTTGGAGAATTCAACCTGTGATACTTTAGCTACTTGTTTTTCTAAGTTATTAATAAGGACTACACGGCATGTACAAGGAGATGCTCTACATAATTGGAAGCTAGATACAGACACACAGATCAGAGAGTCTGGGTCACAAAGGAGAAAATGCTTCAGACTTCCTGGACATGCACTAAGGTAGATACATTGCTTCAGGCAAGCTCTGATAAGAAGTTACTAAGGAAAGAAATAGGAATTGATCATTTCCAGATTCATTAGTTTACAACTGATTCCAAAGTTGTGGAGAGGTATCAGAGCGTTTGAAAATTAAAATAACCAAATAATAGTTTTTAAACTTGCTGCAAGCTATTTCAGCAATGTAAGATATCAAAATGCATTATCTAGTTTGCTTGCTGGAGTGTTTTCTACTTATCTACAAATGAGATGATATCTTAATATTAGATAATATTTTTAGTCTTTTTTTCTAGTTTTACTTTTGTGTAATTTCTTAATTTTAAGTGAGGACTACTTTAACCTCATGGGGGACACAAATGCTATTTTTTATTTTTTTTTACATCTTTTTGTATTTTATGATCTTATACTCTGAAATTATCAGTTTGGCAGTTTGAAGAAGTGGTACTTTGATATTAAGCTCATTCTCTGGTGTTACACTATGGTTTTTGATACATTCTTTTTTCACATGTAGACCAGCAGCTATCAAATAGAGATGTACATCAAAATAAGTATGGTTCTCAAAATTGTCAGGAAAGACAATGGCATTCAATAAACTTGAGAGTGGCTCTTTAGGTTTACTACATATACGATTAATGCATCCAAGAAAGTAGGTGAGTAAGCATTTGAAATATCAAGTCCACCTCTGTTCCACACCATTTATTGAAGAGTCTACCATATACAAGGCACTATGTTGACTGTAATACAGGCAAAGCTGTGTCAGTATAGATGAGTTCTTGAGGAACATGTGGTCAGCAGAGACTAAGTAAAATATACCAACCACTATTAAAAGAAAAAGTATAAGAGATGATGCAAAAAATTTACAACGGCTTGATGGGGGAAGAGTATTGGTGGTAGGGAGGTGTTTGTGAGTGTGTGTGTGTGTGTGTGTGTGTGTAAAACTTATATCCTATTGAAGGAATCAAGGAAGACCAAGGATGATGGGTAATTTAAAATAGGACACAAGAGTGGATAAGAGTTAATAAGCAGAGATGTGTATACTTCTTTCTGAGGGAAGAGCATCAGCAGAGACATGAGAAAACTAAGTTTAGGGGGTCAAGCAGTAACATGGGTAGGTGGACTGGAGTGTGCAGGAGATGTTGGGGAATAGGATTCAGTCAGTGTAGTTTGGAATCATATGGGGAAAAGACCTGAACTAGCATAGTGATGCTACACTTGGGTTGATAGGCGTGTCTTCGATGATCATTTGATGGAAATTTTTAGGATGAACTGATGGGAAGTCAGGGACAGTATGGTATTGGAGTGGTTCAGGGGACAGAGCCGAAACTAAAACAGTGGCAGTAAAAATACAGAAGAGGTTAGAATTGGAGAAAGGGAGGCAGAATCTTAAGTATATGAAAACTTAAGTAAAAAAGAAAATCAAAATTTTAAAATGACTTACTTCAAGGTAGATTAGAGCATGGTGTTGCCACTACCAGAAACATGAGTGTTAGGGGGAGAAACCGAGGTAAGGGGTGAACCAAGAGTGAGCCCAGTTTAAACACATAGTGTGGGAAGTTGGAAGTTTTGCCAAAACATTTAGATGGAGATGTTCAATAAGTAAATGGAAAAGATTTAGATGCAATGGCCAGGCCTAATACCACCCCCTATTTCCCCTAGAGGGTCAGTTCTGAATTGGGACAGAAAGGATTTTAAGAGCTCCTGATCCAAACTCTGAGACTCGGCATCAAATAATTATTACTCCAAGTCCATTGTTGCTGCCCTTGGGAACTTGGTTCTAGTAACAGAGCCTTAGCAAAATGCTAAATACTAAGCTACTAACTTTCGCATCTATTATGTTTTCTTTTATTCTGTTTTTATCTGAGTGTCCAGTCTTGTGCCCATTTTTCTCTAGCATTGAGGTCCCTCAAAATCCCTCCAGGTGGCTGGGATCCTTAAGGCCTAGATTCCCAGAGATCAACTGTCACATGATTTCACATCATCATGCTCTACCCAGCTGTCGAGACACCCTGGTTATTTCTCGTTAGATTTTTCTTTCCCTCAAGACACACACACACATACACATAGATGAACACACACACACACACACACACACACACACATACATGCACACACACACCACCACCACCACCACGACCAAGATACACACAAGTTCCTGCTACTGATTTAGTATCTATTGATAGATGTTTGGACACAAGACCATGGTATATGTTTTGGGCTGAATTTCCTCTCAGCATCTGCAATAGTTTTCTTTAGAAAAAAATTGGCACAAATTGCATGCCCCACCTTTTTGTTTGCTTCATGCCATGTGATTGACTGTGTCATGTAGGGTTATGATAATATTCTGGTTTAAGGTGTCATAGTTACACATGTAGATGTGAGAGCAAAAGCCATGGGAATGCATGAAATGTCCAAAGAAGTGGTACAGAGAAAGAAAAGACTAAGAGAGGATGTTGTAGAATGTCCATCTTTGGCAGGTGGGGAAAAGAAGAGGAACAAATGGAACAGGCTCAGAGCATACGTCAAAGAACAAGGATAGTGCAGAGTCACAAAAAGTAAAAGAAGATTTCAACAGAAGAGGCTGTGACCAAAATAATTAAATGCTTCAAAAAGCTTAAACTATAGAAAAAATGAAGAAAACAGTGGTTTTGTGTTTTATGTTTTTGTTTTTGTTGAATTTCATCTCCCTTTTATGCATGAGGAAATATGCATAGGACTTAAATAATTTTTAAAACTTGCTTAGGTTCATTTTGCCAGTCATTTAAACATGAATTTACCTATAGTGTCTTGCACCTTTAAGTAACATTGAGAATAAGCTGAGGTTAACCAGTAAAAACTGCAGAGGATAAAATACTTTTTATTAGCTTCATGGATAAAGCAGAGAAAGTAATTAGGGAATTTACACAGGATTGAGAAACAGCACAAATCCAGAGACTGAAAAATCTAGTGGTGGAATTGGTTTAAACGGCTGATCCTGGGTTGCAAAATGAACAACTAGAAAAGGTGTGATGACAACGTTAAGTGAATGTGTCCTGTGGTTGAAATTTTCCATGAGAGGTGAAGAACAAGCTTAGTAGGAGAGAGTAGAAGAGGTGTATTCAGAAAACAATTTCAGAGTTTAAGATCACAGAAGTGGAGCAGATGCAGAGTGATGGTGTGTGACACGTAGATATTCAGTCAGGCAACTGCTGAAACAGTAGGGGTGAGGTTACTGAGTTGAGGGAACTGAAGTCTGGACAACAGAAGTGATGTAATGGAAATCTTCAGGAGCCATTTAGAGATGTAGGTTAGCCATTACTCTCTTATCAATTAGCTAGGAAGTCTCCTATTTTGCTTGAAAGCAGCCATTAGGGTAGTTTTTGAAGCAAATTGGACATATATTTCTCCTTTCTCTGGTTAGATCATGTACCTATGACTGGATTGTGAGAATGAGGAAAACTAATAGCACCCATATGTATATTGTTCTTCACCACTAAATTCTGAGTGACGTATTACACTATATTAGCTCACATGATTATCTTATATTTTTCAGGAATATATAGAGTAATTCAGGCACAGAGAAGCTGCCTCTGTCTTTGTTTCTGAACCTACCATTAGAGCAAAGTTCTTAAAATTATATACTAACACAGAGAAGAAAATATTGAGCACTTAGTCTACTAACTGCTGAGCTAACTACTTGACATGGTATGATAGACAGTTTCTAAAATGGCTTCCAGTGATCTCCACCTCCTGATATTAATGTCCATGTTTCATTCTTTCCCCTTTGAGAGTGGGCTAGACCTAGTGACCTACTCTAACAAATACAAATGTGACAAAAGTGTGGAATGGCATTTCTGAGGTTAGGTTACAAAAGACTGTGACATCTGTCTTAGTTGCCCACTCTCGGTCTTGATTCTCACTTGCTCACTCAGATAAACTGAGCTTCCGTGTTGTAAATAGCCCTATGGAGAAGCCCACATAGCAAGGAACTGAGGGTGGCTTCTGATCAACAGACCGTGAGTAGTGGAGGCACCCAGTCCAACAAATCTCCTACAGCCATGTGAGTGAACTTAGAAGTAGATCCTTCTTCCGTCGAGCCTTAAGACAGCTGTTGCCCCAGCCCACACCTCAATTGCAGTGCTCAGGAGATTCTGAGTGAGGGAACACAGCTAAAACATATGTGGATACCTGACCACATATACATTTGTATACACCAATAACATTCAAGCTGAGAACCGAATGAATAACTCACTCCCATTTACAATAGCCACACACACAAAAAAATACCTAGGAATACATTTAACCAAGGATGTGACAAATTTATACAAGGAGAACTACACAACAAAACACTGATGAAACTGTTGTTTTTAAATCACTAATTTCTGAGGTGGAGGTAATTCATTATACAGCAGGAGATAATGAATACACATGGAGTATTTTAGTTAATGTTCCCAATAACCCTGTGTGGTAAGTGTCATTATATCTACTTTAGTGAGGAAACAAAGTAGTAGACCTGGAATATTAACCCAAAAGTGGAACTTTCCTCTCTAACACAGGACTGCACAACATAATGAAAAATAGGTAGATGGCTTATAAAATGAACATTTGTGGCAATTTTATTCTGATTTTATGTTATTGTTATTATGTGGCCAGTTATGACCCCAGTGCCCCAACAGGATTGAAGTAATTCCTCTTAAGACAAACTCATAGTGCCAAATTTTATGGTCCTCAAAAGTCTTCATCTTCATTAAACCTATTTTGGGGCCTAAACTGCTATTTCTTTTAAAAGACCAGAGGGTATGGTAATCTTTCATTTCAAAAGGTGGTGGAAAATATGTCACCTGATCGTCGAATGACCTCTGGTGGGTGAATCTAATTGATGACAAATGCAGCTCACTATAAAACGTTTTCTAAAGTCTTGTCCTATAGTGAAAATTTTTAACTCAAGAACAACTAAAATCTTGGCTCTTTTTTCTGGTAACTCTTGAGACTCTTCTCTATGGCCTAATTTCAGAAATACCCAAGAAAAAGAGATCTGAATTATCTATGTGTGCAGCCAAGGTTAAATGTTCTAGAATACACTTTTTTCTTCTAACCACTGTACTGAAGTATTTTCCAAAAAGCTATTTACATAGAAAACTGTGGTTGTTATATTTACAGAAAGGATTTTTATTTAAGAAATATAAGAAAATAAACCTCTATTTGCTACGAACAGCAGCTCCTTGGATGCTGGTGTCTGATGACCATCACACTAAGGTTTCCTCTGTAGATGATAAATGTTGATACCAACATGGAGGGCATATGCAAATGCATATGTGTATATGTGTGGGTGTGATGTGTGAGTGTGGGTGTGTATGAATGTGTGCGTATTAACACTTATGTGCCTGTGCTCACCATATTTGCTATTTTTGTAATCTCCAGTCTTGACAAATCAGTTTCCCTATCACCCTTTCTTATTCTTTACAGTTCCTCCCGTATCACCCATAAAATTATTTTAAAAGTTAATGCTGTAAGGGATCTTAGATAGACTATTTTCTCTAAAATGCCATTTTACAAAAAATAAATGAGGCTCAGAAAGAATAGACTAGGGTAGAGGACCAGAAATAATCATTGTGATTTATTATGCCAGGCACTGTTCTGAGAGCTTCACTTGAATGAACATGAGTTCACTCTTCAAGACAATACACAAATCAAGAAATGTGACTCACCACCTAAACAGAACTAAGAACAAAAGCCATATGATCTTCTGAATAGATCCAGCAAAAGCATTCAAGAAAATCCAACATTCCTTTATGATAGAAACCCTTAACAAATGGGGCAAAGAAGGAACATACCTCAAAATAATAAGAGCCATATATGACAAACCCACAGCCAACATCATACTGAATAGAGAAAAGTTGAAATCATTTCCTCCAAGAACTGGAACAAGACAAAGATTTCCACATTACTAGTCTCATTCAACATGCTAGTGATACTAGTGGAAGCTCTAGCCAGTGCAATGAGATAAGAGAAATAAATAAAAAGCATCCAAATTGAGGGAAAGAAGCCAAATTATCTGTTTGCTGATGACATGAATGTATACCTAGAAAACCTCAAATGCTCCTCCAGAGGACTTCTAGATTATATAGACAACGTCGGTAACGTCTTAGGATACAAAAGTAACATACAAAAATCAGTAGCATTTGTATACACCAATAACATTCAAGCTGAGAACCAAATGAATAACTCACTCCCATTTACAATAGCCACACACACACAAAAATACCTAGGAATACATTTAACCAAGGATGTGACAAATTTCTACAAGGAGAACTACACAACAAAACACTGATGAAAGAAATCATAGACAACACAAACAAATGGAAAAAGATTCATTTGTTAGTATCCTTAAAATCAACATCTACAGATTGAACACAATTTCTATCAAATTACCAATGTCATTTTCACAGAATTGGAAAAAACAATCCTAAAGTTCATATGGAACCAAGAAAAAGCTGAAATAGCCAAAGCATCCTTACGTAAAAAGAACAAATACAGAGGCATTACATTGCCTCACTTCAAATTATACTACAAAGCTGCAGTAATTAAAACAGCATAGTACTGGTACAAAAATAGACACATAGATCAGTAAAATAAAATAGAGAACTCAGAAATAAAGCCGTATAACTATGCCAACTGATAATTGATAAAGTCAACAACAACAAAAAAATGGGGAAATGACACCATATTAAATAACTGGTACAGAAAACATTGGCTAGCCTAATGCAGAAAAATAAAACTGGACCCCTATCTCTCACTATATACAGAAATTAACTCACAATAAATTAAAGATATAAGATGCAAAACTATGAAAATCATAGAAGAAAATCTAGAATAAACTCTTCTGGACATTGGCCTAGGCAAAGAATTTATAACAAAGACCCTAAAAGGAAATACAACAACAACAACAACAAAACAGAAAAGACAAATGTGATTTAATTAAACTAAAAATATTCTGCATAAGAGAAATAGCCAACAGAATTAACAATCAACCTATGGAACTGGAGGAAATATTTGCAGATTATCCCTCTGACAAAGGACTAATATCCAGAATCTGTAAGGAACTCACACAACTCATCAAGAAAGAGACAAACAACCCCATTAAAAACTGGGCGAAGGACATGAACAGACATTTCTCAAAAGAAGATATACATGGAGACGAGAAACTTCTTTAAAAAATGCTGAACATCACTAATCGTCAGAGAAATGCAAATTAAAACCACACTGAGATCATCTCACACCAGTCACAGTGGCTGTTACTAAGAAGTCAAAAAACAACAGATGTTGGCATGGATGTGGAGAAAACGGAACACTTATACACTGTTGGTGGGAATGTAAATGAGTTTAACCCCTATGGAAAACAGTATGGAGATACCTCAAAGAACTAAAAATAGAATTACCATTTGGCCCAGCAATCCCACTATTGAGTATCTACCCAAAGGAAAAGAAATCATTATATAAAAATACACCTGTACTTGTATGTTCATTGCAGCACTATTTTTTTTTTTTTTTTTCTGAGACAGGGTCTTGCTCTGTCACCCAGGCTGGAGTGCAGTGGCACAGTCTCGGCTCACTGCAAGCTCTGCCTCCAGGGCTCAGGTGATCCTCCCACCTCGGCCTCCTGGGTAGCTGGGACCACACGTGTGCCACCATGCCCAGCTAACTTTTGTATTTTTTGTAGAGATAGGGTTTCATCATGTTGCCCAAGCTGGTCTTAAATTCCTGAGCACAAGCAATCCACATGCCTGGGCCTTCCAAAGTGTTGGGATTATAGGCCTAAGCTACTGCTACCAGCCTGCAGCAATATTCACAATAGAAAAGTCATGGAACCAACCTAAGTGCCAAACAACAGTTAATTGGATAAAGAAATGGTGTATATATACACCATGGAATACCATGCAGTCATAAAAAATTATGTCTTTTGCAGCAACATGGAAGGCCATTATCCTAACCAAATGAACTCGGAAGCAGAAAATCAAGTATCACGTGTTTTAACTTATAAGTGGGAGCTAAACAATAGGTACACATGGACAGAAAGTTGGGGATAACAGACTCCAGGGACTTCAAAAGCAGGGAGGGAGGAAGAGGGATGAGGGATGGAAAATTACTCATGGAGTACAATATTCAACATTCGGGTGATGGGTACCCCAAAAGCCCAAACCCCACCATTATGCAATATACCCATGTAACAAACAAACACATGTACCCCTTTAATCTAAAATAAAAATAATAATTATGAAAAGAAAACTGAAGTTATCCACATGTTCATACATATACATTGTATTATATAAAAATTTAAACCCACCACTAAAGTAGTTTGGTCTGAAGAAGAAAAAAAGGACAGTATTATCAGGATGCACTATTAGTATCTTCATTAGTTTACTAATGAAACTAATAATATTGCCTTTTTTTTCTCCAATAACGTGGAAGAAACCTTCCACAAACACGAGGAAACTAAGGAACAAAAGTATTAATTAGTTTGTAAAAAGTCACGCATGGTCTGAGAGATGAAGCCAGGATGGAAGGTTAGCGTCTGAATACATGATTTCTAATCTCATGTGTATAACCTCTCCATTCAGAAACCATGCTGATAAAACCATGCTAAAATGGTTGGGGTTTTTTGTTTTGTTTTGTTTTGCCTTTTTTGTTTTGTTTTGTTTTTTTGTTTGTTTTTTACTATATCAATTTCCTTTATGTAAATTCAGACAGGTCTGTAATCTTTAGTCCCAGGTATTGATTGTGTTTATTGAATCTTGAGGAGGATTCTGGAATATTGGCCACCTACTTCTTTTCTAACTCAACAAGTTCATTTGATGGGTTCACAACTGTATATTACAGATAAAAGCTTTTGTAGAATACCAACTAAAATGTCAATCTTAATACTTAACTGTATTCCATGTAGTATAAACATAGCTTATGTGTTTTCACCGAAGACGTATACATGCTTTACCTGTGATATATAAAGCACAATCTACAAAATCTAAAATTGTACCATAAATGCCTTTGTAGAGGAAGAAACACAATCATATACAGTTTAACACTCCATTTTAAATTTCCATTTATCACTTTCAAAAGTCTGAGAACAATAAACATCATTTGGGGAAAAAATGATTATTTCATTATGATGAAAGGAAACGTGATTCTAGTAACATACACTATATATGCACATATCCTTAATTCCTTTATTTGTGTTCCCCAAACTAACCTTTCTTCACAGGTTCCAGAGTTATCCATATCTAGGCTAAGATGTCATAAAGATAAACATTTGTTATTAGATCTCATAATAGTTTATATACCAGTATCTCACTACAAAACTTGTTATGTCAGAGAATTAAATACGAGACAATTAGATTTTTCCTGGAAGCTGTCTAAGGAGATGCAAAAAGAAAGTGTATATTACTTGAGAGGCCAGAGGGACATATCATATCACTACACCACTTTTAGGTAAGGATCTATGCAAGGACGCTATGAGTAACTCCTGTTAATCACATTACTACTACTACAATTAATCTTAATTCTTTGATCAGAGGTGTAAGATCAGAACTCAAAAGTTTCTGAGTTAATAATGTGTGAGTAGAGGAAAGAGGTCATCCATTAAGTTAGGAGTTGACACGTGTTTTCTCTAATGGGCCAGATACTAAATATTTTAATATTTGCAGGCCATCAGATCTCTGTTGCAATAACTCAGCTCTGCTACTATAGCACAAAAACAGTCATAGACAATATGTTAATAACGGGTGTGGTCATTTTCCCATAAATGTTTATTTGCAAAAATAGGTGGTAGGCCATCTTGGGCTAGTTTGCTGACCTTGCGTTAAGGTTCACTATTAATTTCATTTTAACATGCATTTAGTAAGTTCGTAAATTATGTAACACATGTCTGGAATATAAGGAAAAATGTAGTTGCAGACAACTACACCCCACTCAATAATTTAATCATTTGTGGTGGGCTGTAGGCTGTGATACTTTGGGAGGATAATTAGGCAAAAAGCAATCGTAAGATCATATACAAAACAAAATAGTTTATCTTATTATTTCTTAGAGTGTCAGAAGACCTTAGATCTAAAAAATGGTTGGCAACCTGAAGAGAGTTAATCCTCCATTTAGCTATTTATTAGATATTGGGGAATGCTTATGTGTCAGGCACTTTAGAAGAGTGAGGGAGATATGAATTAAACCTCATGGCATTGCGGAATACAGATGTACCAATGCCAAAACACGATGTGACAAATTCTAAAGATACTGTGTGCTCCTGCTTTCTTATAGACTTACTCTTCCCATTTTGCAGAAGAGAATGAGGTTCAGCGACATTTCCAATGTCACCTATTTAAGGAAGTTATTCTAGATTCTTCAAGTGTAAGGCAGTTTTTTTGTTTGTTTGTTTTGTTTTGTTTTTGAGACGGAGTCTTGCTCTGTCGCCCAGGCTGGAGTGCAGTGGCGTGATGTTGGCTCACTGCAAGCTCCGCCTCCCAGGTTCACGCCATTCCCCTGCCTCAGTCTCCTGAGTAGCTGGGACTACAGGCGCCCGCCATCACGCCCGCTAATTTTGTGTGTGTGTGTTTTTAGTAGAGACGGGGTTTCATCGTGTTAGCCAGGATGATCTCGATCTCCTGACCTCATGATCCGCCCGCCTCGGCCTCCCAAAGTGTTGGGATTACAGGCGTGAGCCACTGCGCCCGGCCGTGTAAGGCAGTTTTCTTACTGCCCCGTACTACCTCTTTCCAGAATTATCTTTCTACCTCAGCTCTGACCTGCTCCAATCTGTGCTATCATTCAGATCTGCAAAATGAGAATAATGATATTTAATATTTTTCTACATGCATTTTGCAATTGAAAGCTGTTTGTTCTGGAAATGCTTACCCCTTTACTATTCATGGTTTTTGTTTTTATTATTGTTGTTATTTTTATTGTGAAATTATTTACATATTGTTGGGGACAATAATCTCTAACCTTTGTCTTCAGGATCAAGCCTTCAGACCTGTTTATTCACTTCTAATCCCACATAAAGACATAAGGCGATGCGTATTGAATTGCCAGTATCAACAATGCTCTCTGACTTTGCTGAAAAAAAGAGTAACCGGAACTCCCTAATGCATTTTCCTTCATATATATTTGGTTTAGACACTTACTTTAATTTTTAAGCCTGTGGTTTAGGTAAAATTTATCAGCACATTTTTTGTACTTTACTCATTTTTATGTCATTGAGTGATACTTTAGTGTTGTAAGAGAAAAAGAAATAACTTGGAGTTAGGTACAAAAAATGTGCCCTATAAATAACCATCAGCTTATTCTGTGGGTTGTAAGGCTAAATCCCCTCCCCACTTCCTCCTCCTGGAATCTGAGAAATGGCCAGTTTGTAAGCCACTTGTTGGCCTTCACAGCTACCACATTAGCTAAAAGACAGTCCAGCTCATTTTACCTAACTATTGAAAAGGCAGTATTTATTTTTTAGTTGGAGAGGTAGGAAAGGATGGTGGGAAGTTCTAAAAACTCTGATTCAACCTCTGACCTACAATCTACAGAAAGAAAAAGAAGCCCCCAGCCTACCATAAACAGTCAGGAAACCCAGAAGCTCTGATTTCCAGCTGTGAAACTCACTCCCACAAAGGCCTTGGAGCAAGACCTTAACTCTGCCAGAAGTCCCAAGGCCATTTCAGTCCCAAAACCCTCAAAGAAATAGAAAAAGATGAGAGGAGACGGTATCCATTCATTCACTATTACAGTTTTCTCTCATTGCCTCTTTTGGAAATTTGATGTTCTCTTTCTCGGGCCATGGAAGCTGGACGTTCTTTTGGTCCGTAGTCTCATTCTAAGTGTAGGAGAGTTAATGAATACTGGGATGCCCTTTGAAGAGTGTGGATGCAGAAAATACTGAAGTAATTCAAAGTGCAGCCCACATTGATTGCAAAGCTTTAAGCTGACCACAGTCCCTTGTAGTGTGGGACATGTGATAAAAATGTAAAAAATGAAGGCAATATATAAAAACTTATCCTCATGTTTGTTTAATTAAAATGTTAGATTAAAACTGAATTCCTAGAAAACAGAAGCATTTAGGGCAGTTTTCACTTTTTGTTATTCTCAGCATATATCATTTGTTGTAATAAAGGGCAAAATTGAATGGAATCATATAGTGATTTAATCTCAATCTTTAAGAAGGAAGGGGGACTAGGGTAGAAAAAGATTTTGTTTTGTTTTGTTTTCTTGTTTCAGTTTCTGAAACTCCTGTAATTATGTGCAATTACCTATTATGTCGGAAATTGGTTCTCAAAGATGTAGAACCTACTTTGTGTTCTTTAAAAAAAACTGTACAAAATATGCAATTTAAAAGGAAACAGTTTGAATGTGGAGAAAAATGAGGCTACAGCTGTAGGATTTTGTTATGCTTTTAGTACCAAATCACAAAACCCATTAAATTATTTATCCTACAGGCAGGCGTTGTACTGCAAACGTTGAATACAATTGCAGATTCTAGGAAAAGAAATGTGTGCATTTTAATTGCCTCTGATTTAAACAACCTCTAATTTCATTAGTCTTATTTTTTTCCTCAAAAAATACAAGAGTTTATTTTTAGTCCTAGGATGCAAATGACACTAATATTTTTTCTTTCCTTTAAAGAAGCAGGCTATTGAGGATCAAGCCATACAGAAGCACATGTGCACATATACATGCAAGAAAGCTGCATACACATGCATAACACGTTCTCCCATATATACAATCTGCAATATGCCCCCAAAGGATTCATGGTGCTCCTATCATATTCTTTGCTCCTCATACATGCATATAGATTGGCTTACTATATTTCACTTCCATCATTTCTCCCAATACTATGTCACAAATGAAGATATCCTCCAGGAGTCCTGCTTACGAAGCAGACTATTGTTCCCAGGCAAAGAAGACATATAAATTTATCAAGGGTTGGGTAGCATGGGAGTGAGGGGAAAGCTCTCTCATGTCATATTTTTGGGTTCATTTGAAAAATCTTGGCTTTGCCATCCTCTGTAATTAAAACTCTTCTGTCTTAAGATTTATCGGTGCAGTAGTGAACGCATTTTCAAAATGTTTCTTTACAGCAGCTATTGGAAATCTCTAACTCTGCCTCAGGCAGGATGCTGCGGCTGCTGTACTTTTTGGGGTCTATTCTCCCCATGATAAATGAGCTTAACTTCAAAGATAAGTTACAACAACTCTCAGAGGGGAAACCCTTATTACTCTTAATATACGTTACTCTCTATCATTGCATTTCAAATACTGTTGCATGGAAAAGAAACCATACAAAATTGCTTAAGTCTTGCTTTGTCAATAGAGTCAGGGTATGCATATGTAGACTTTAATTGAAATATAGGATAATTATTTCTCCCAAGCTATAGTTACTTTTGCTGTGTGTGTAGCAAAACCAGTAAATTGGATAATATACAAGCAACACTTGTAGTAATGGTGATAACAGTATTATTTACTATCTTATTCAATCAATATCATGCAACTTGATAAAACTCAGAGATTTCTTAAAGTGAGATTTCACTCAAATGATACACGATCTCTAAAAGAATATATGTGATTTTAATGTGATTTTGACTATTTCAGATTTAATAGTACATTTTTTCTTTCCAGAGCCCATCTTATCTCGAGAAATGTTGTGCTCTAGCCATTTCCCTAAAAGTATGCTTTCTGAAGTTGCTTAAAGATGAAAATTTAAAAGAAAAATTGACCCATCATTCCACTGTGTTCCTGCCCAGAGATTGAATTTGTTCTCCCGGCTGATGAATTTTTACTCCTCTTTCTAGTTTGTTAGCAGAGCAACATATAGATGGATGGGTGTGTGCAGATTGAAGCCTGGTCCTTTATCCTTTGAAAGGGTTAAAGTGAAAAGGGGGCTTTTTGAAACTGGGGAGTCAGTAGGGTGGGGGTATGAGGGAAGGAAAAAGGAGAAAGAAAAGGTTAGTGTTTTCTGTCCATTAAAGGGAGTATTCTGTTCTGAAACCAAATTGGTCATGCATTCCAGAAGCGTTTCCTGGTAGAGCGGAGTCTGACCGGAGCACCTGCCTTGCTATTGTACTGGGTCTGGGCTGCTGTCCTCCAGCCCTTTCCTTTATATGAGGCAGAATCTGTCACTTATTACAGACAGATTGCTCGTGGGCCCAGAATGGCTGTGAGCCACTGAGGGGATGGGGGAGAATACTGTGACCGCGTGAATCACTGCCCAAGCCATCACGTACACACAGCTTTATTTTTCTTCTCTAAGCACTTAAACAATAATGACGTGAAACCCTAATGACATCATGTTGAAGTCTACCAAAAGATTAAACCATCTGAACCCAGGGTACAGATAGGTTAATATTCCAAGCTGAAGAGTAAGAAAATACAAAGAAAGGGTAGACACTGGGTGCTCAGAGTTTCAGGAGCACAGAGGAAAAGAGAGTGTCAGTGGCCAGCATGCCGCAGGTGGAATCTATTAGCTCTGTAACACCGGAGGTAAATAATCGGACTTGCTCTGTGGATCCTGGAAGGAATTCCCGGTGTCCCAGCTGTGTTTTTTTGCACCCCACAGAGTACCTCCCTGGATTTATGCCCTGGACACCTCAGCACTGAGGAGGGACACCTTATCCAGAAATGATGTCATAGTTCTGCTACTGCATGCTTCAACTAGTTATTTTTTAAAGCATGTTGCTTAACAGGCACACACATTGTGAACATTTTTTTTAAGTTGCATACTTTAAGGGATTAGTCGGTTTCTCTCTCATCTAGTCATTTTGTTTTCTTCTTCATTCAAGAAGTGAGTAATGAACAGAAGATTAAAAACAACTGGGTTTTTTTTTTGCATTGAATTCTTTTTAATGGGTGTACATCGAAGGAAACTTGCTGTGATAAAATCCAGTTGTGGAAGATTCACATTGCCCTGTGGCTATCTGTTCAGATTAATGAAAGGTGGCCTTTGTAACCAAATCTGCCAACCCTAGGGTCACTCTCTCTGGCCCTCTAGAACTATTAGACAGAAAGCCAGAGCTTAAATATGCTGGTCTTTGGTATCTTTGCTGACATTTCTGGACAGATGTTAATTATAAGAAAAATGATAGTGGAAATGTAGATAGTATAGAAAATATCTATTAAATATCTATTAAAATTAAATTTTTTTTTATTGTTTCTTTTTTAGTTAAGAGATTTGGTTAGGAAGAGCACATGGCAAAGGCTTATACAGAGCACCCCTACCCCCTTGTGGCACAATGGCACTTGTAAAATGGAAATTTCATCATCTTTTTTAGAGCTGTTGAGACTTTTGAACTCAGAAACACCTGAATTAAACCCCTTGAAGCACTGTCCTGTTGAAGATCAAAACATAGAAAGGTAGACAATTTCTCAGCTCTAGAGAGAAGAAAAAAGATCTGAGGTATTTTTCTCTTGAAATATTTTAGTTTTTATTTTTATTGTAGATCACAGTACATTAAAATATATGTCACCTATTTAATCATCAGGCAGCCTGGCTAAAGATAAGGCCCCATTATTTATTTAGCTATTCTTAAATATTTATGTTATCCCAATCAAAATAAATAAAAACTTCATCATTTATAAAAAGTTATTACAACTAATTTGATGCTCTCAATCACTCTAGGGAATAGTCTGTGGCTATTCTCCTTTTGAAAATGAGAACACCAGAGCTCAGAAATGTTAAGGGTCTTGTCTAAGCTGGCATCATGGTTAACAGAAGCATCCCAGGGGAACACAGCTGGTCAAGGGGGAAGCAAGACCTGAACCCCGGTTTTCAAAAACTAAGGCTAGGACTCTGTTGTATAACACCCACGCCTGTATAGAATTAACTGCACAATTTTGCACATTAATCTCTCATACATGGCCCTCCACACTGGCCTCATCTCCAATGTCTTCATTCACTTCTCTGCCTAAACTCCTGTTCATCTTCGAAAACTCAGATAAAATGTTATTTCCTCAATGAAGCCTTTTGTGATTCCCATAAGCAATGATTCATTTTTCCCTTCTATATTTCCTCTGCCCTCTGTTCATTCACCTATTTTGGCAGTTACCATGTTGCACTGGCATGATCATTTTATTCATTTATATCTCCCTCTAGACTGAGTTCCGTCAGGGAGAAATCTTGTCTTATTCATGCCTATATCCCAACATTTACTATGGACCTGGCAATGCCAGCTATTGGGAGATGTTTGGGGATCCATATATGTAAGTTGGGGCTCCATGTGATAAGCTGAGTTACCCTCATTAAGCCTCTTGTCAGTAATGCTGACATCTGGCAACTCTAAAAGGGCCTTTCTGTGGAAAAGCTCCAGGAAGGATTCTTAGACCCTTCCTGGTTCTCCTTGTTTTTCTATCTTCTCTGTAGCAGACACCTATTACCCAGGATGCCGCTGGCTTCTAGTCATTCATCCACACATTCATTCATTCACACATTCATTCATTCATTCACACATTCATTCATTCACACACTCATTCATTCATACATAAATTCATTAAACAGATATTGATTACTTGCTCCAGGGTAGGCACAATGCTAGGTCCTGGGAATATAGATGTTAAAAAGATAAAAGAGACAGCTTCTGATTCCAAGAAACTCAAAGGAAGATGGGAAAGATGGCAAGCAAATAAACATAATGATTGGGGTAAGCTGGGTCCTATGACTGTTCATGATTTTCTATGAAAGGTAATTCTAAGAGACAGGATGTAGGTGGAGGGATAAGCCTACAAAGTTTCCAGGAGGAGGTCATATCTGAATAGTACTTTGACTCATGAGTAGGCATCAACTAGAGAGAATAAGAGTGGAGCAAGGGGAGATGTGGAAATAGTACTGTAATCAGAAAGATTACAGTGTGAAAAGGGCCTAGAGATGCTGAGAGACCACAGCACATTCAGGGTATTGCAAGAAGTTCCATATGGCAGTTATTGGATTAAGGAGGAAGATAGTGAGTGATGATTCTGGTGAAGGCAGCAGGAAACCCACCATAAAGTACACGATAAGTCATACAAAAATATTATCCTCAAAATATGAAAGCAATAAGGAGGAAAGTTCACTTTGATAGAAGTATGAGGAATGCCAGAAAGGGCTAGACTTGGGGAAGAAGCTGTGGGAAAAGAACAACAGTGAATGTGAAGAAACAATTGGGATATTACACCAACTTGGGTAACGATCCAGGTAATAATTGATCATGAAAGAAATGAGAGCACGGGTGCCCTAAAACATATTTATAAGATTTAATTCTATATAGGGGACTGAGAGGAAGAGCCTGAAAAAAATGCTAGCAGAAGAAATAGATTTAGAAGTAGAAGAGAGAAATTAGTAGAGAACCGAGCACTCAAAATAAGCATGCAAACCAAACTTTCAAGACATATGAAAAATCAAGCACTAAAAACAAAATTAAAATCAGATTAATTCATTGAATAGAGAATCCTCACAAAGACTATAAATATGTCTGTCTAAGATTTTTAAAGGGATAAATTAAAGTATAACACCCATTTAAAAATAATAAAATGAACCAGAAATAGATAAAAGTGAAATTAAAACAGATATAAAAAAGGACCAGTTGGAAAACTTACAAATAAAAAATAAAATTCAATAGATAAAAATATACTCTGGATTAGAATCACTGACGAAGGCATAAATGTACTGAATTATTAACCCAGAACCCAGCATCAAGGGATAAGGAGATAAAAATATGAAAAAAATAGATTCATGTTTACTGAGGAAAGACTGAATGGATCCGCAAGTATCTAATAAGACTTCCCATAGAAGAAAATGCAAGGAATGGCAGAGAAGTATTAAATATCACAAAATTTTCCAAAATTAGAGAAAAATCAAAAGTGTATACCAAATCACCAAGTAGGATAAATAACAATAAAGCTGCATCTAGAAACTTCATAGCGAAAGCATAGTCCATCAAAAACAAGTGAAAACACTCAAAAGCTATCAGGAGGAAAGATAAATTAACAGAAAAAAAATAGATTAACTGTACACTTCCCATAAGCAACAATAAATGCCAAAGCCAATGGAACACCACCTTCAAAGCACTGAGGGAAAATAATTGTCAACCAAGTATTCTATATCCAGGTATATTTCCATGTAAGCTCAAGGACAAAATAAAACATTTAAAAACATACAGAACCAGAAGAGTTTACACAAAACTCACTAAACTCCATTAGATGATGTTTTTAAGCAAGAAGAATAGTGAATTCTGGAGGAAGGAAAAAGGTAATAACAATAACAGCTAATAATTAGAGTATTTACTTTCTGCTGGGCACAGTTCTAAGTGACTACATCATTAGCTCCTTTGGTCCCAATAACAACCCAATAAAATAGAGACTACTGTGAGGTTCATTTTACAACTGAGAAAATATATGTCATGAGAAAGACAAAGAACTTCCTCACAGCTAAGAACTGGTAGATCTGGGGACTGAACCTCAGCAGACTGACTCTAGGACACACATGTTTTATCACTACATATTCTGCCCCAATAGAAGAAACAAAGACAAACAAAGAACTTGATGAAACATTGCTAAATGTAATTATTAGGTGTAAAAATGACTATTTTTATTATTTATAAAACTGTTAATAGAAGTCCTCCAATAAAAGGCATAGAAGTGAGACTGAGAACAGTTCTTGCTATATAGGGCCGTAGTCAGATACAGAGAGAAAAACTGACTTCAATATTTATATGCCGAGGGGTTGAGTTCTATGAGGAGGAATGGTAGAAGTGGAGGGGAGAATGTGGATGAACAAGGTTTCAGCGGCAGCAAAACAACCCCAGACCCAAGGCCTGGGAAGCCTTCTTATGAATAGATAATACCTCGACCCTCTGATTTCTTACAATCTTTAGAATCCTAATCACACACATTAGCAGGTAATTATAGACTGAAATTCTTTTGTTTGTATTCCATACATATTATCATCCTGTTGCCCCCAAGTAAAATGAGCTCCTTGAGGTAAAAAATTGCATTTTATAGCTCCTTTATCCCCTTCAAGTGGCTAGCACAGTTCAGAAAATTTAAAAAGTAAATTATTATTATTGAATGATTGATCCATTATGAGGTTGTAATCCATTCGATAGGAATTATTAATACATGATTATCTATATGTTAGGTATCTCAAATAAGGGAGCAATATTTTTAAGTTATTTGTATTTTCATAGACTTTATATATTTTTCAAGAAGCTTAAATCATTTAATTACTTAAATAGTAGAAACCTTGGAAACACTGTTGTTGGGCTCATGTCACTATCTTTAACTCTTTGGGAGTAAAGTATCTACTTCCACTGATAAATGTCTCTATGAGCTATAAAAATATATAGTAGAAATTGTTTAAGAAGTAACATGTCTCGTTCTTGGACATTCTCTCACACCTGAACAGCTTCCACTAACCTGTTATGAACCTAAATTTGAAGATCCCAGAAATGAGCCTGTGTAGAAAATCCCCCCCTTTAAAAAGAGGGTAGGCATTTCTCTCAGTTGAATCTCTTAGAAAATATTTTGAGAAATGTTCTAAGCTAATAGTCTCTTATTTCTCACTCTACATTCCACCAGATATATAAACTGTCTTCAAACATTTAGTCAGTCCTACAATATTACTGTTGAGTTTGAGGTCAAGATAATCTTCTCTTGATGATTTAGTCCAAATCCCAAAGTTCCTCTCTCCTTTACTAACTTTAGCAAGATTACCTCTAGAGGGGATCTAATCATAAGGTCTCTAAGATCTCTTTGGGACCTGCTGGGCATAGTGATCCCAAAGGGTATTCTTTCTCCCTTTCTTTCTTTCTTTCTTTCTTTCTTTCTTTCTTTCTCTCTCTCTCTCTCTCTTTCTTTCTTTCCTTCTTTCCTTTCTTTTTTTATTCTTCTCTGATGTCTTGGACCTGCTTGGGGTTGCTCAGCTTGCAGGAGCCCTGTGGACCATCTCTGGCTCCATTGCCCATGGCAAGAAAACTGCTTCTTTAACTTTCTCCAAACCTCTCTGTGGGATATCCAATCTAACACACCAGGAGAGCTCAGGCAGGGGTTAGCAGCTAAAAGGACCATTGATCCTCTTCAGAACTAAAAAGTTTCTATAAACAATCCATACGCCCTCCAAGAATACCCTGCAGCTTCTGCTGGCACTTCTTGAGAAGTGCTATGGCTAGTGAAATGCCCCACAGGACCCACTAGCGTTTCCAGATACCCACTGGTGAAGCACCCCCAAGGGACTCTCAGGCTCTGGGAAACAATCATCTTCAACCCTCTAGAATGTCCACGGACTTTACTAGCACCTTCTAAAAGTGCCCTGTGGGCTCTTCTGTCTTTTCATTTTTCCAGAATCGCACTGTGCTTAATCAACTACCCTGCTCACTGCATTAATTTGTCAGGAGCTCAGCTGAGCTGAAGAGAGCTGAGCTGCCAGGTGTTTGAGTAGCTGATTAAAACAAAAAGCCAAAATGGAATTAACAGGGAAGCCTTTAATCACCTTCTGCAAAAGTATGAAAAAGAGGCTAAACAAGAGGAAATGTCCACTCTGTTTTATTCTATTTTCTCCCCACGGAATGGCACCAGTCAAAGGTGAGGTGAATCAGCAGAGCCAAGGAAGTTCCAAACAAAAAGATCCTGCAGTTTTATGAACCTGTGTCAGGGTGGATGGAAGGCAGAGATGACAAAATCGAAAAGACTAGGAGTGGGAAAGTACAGAGCACTGCATTGAAGTGGAGAAAAGTAGCCTCAAACCTGCCCCCACAATCCCATAAGGAGGTCTTGGCAGAGAGGCCTGAGAAAGGCCTTGGCCAAAAGCCCCATTAAAGGCCTCTGAATGAAGGCACCTGAGCTAGGAAGGCAGCTATGCCCAAGAGCATGGCTAGTCAAGAGGACCTGAGTCCTTGACTGTAGCTGCCCTCGGAGGCTGCAGCCCACCAAGCCTGATGTGAGGAGAGCAGCTTTCTCCATGAGCCCTGTCAGGTAAAGCCTTTATTATTACCAACAGTTGGGCCTGAAAATTCATTCAGAAGTTTGTGGTCAGAAGCCATACTCCCCATCTAGCACACTTTCCTCTCCATGTGAACCAGGTGAATTTATAATCACCATCATCTTCCTCTCTCTCTAACCCCTATCCCAGCAACTGGCCAATACCGAGCCAATTAGGGTACTTTATTTTCCATTCTCATCCTTCAGCCTGGTCTGAAGGATGGAAATGGAGTCAAAGTTTAGCAAATGGGAGTGTTTGCTCAGGATGTTAAAAATTAGTATTGATGAGAGTAGTACTTAGCTCTTCCTTCTAGGTCATGAGGTCCTGGTGTTGCCAGAGCCATCTGCCATCTTCCCTGCCAGTGCAGAAAGCCCACCTGAGAACAAAGCCCACACAGTGAGAAGGCAAGCTGACTGACAGAGGGAAAGCTAAAGCTCAGGTTGAACGGCCCCTGAACTTTCCAGTTATACCTACGATAATCTCCTTTCATCTTGTTTAGGGAGAGTGGGGTGAGTGTCTGTCACTTAAAGCTAACTATCCTGACTAATACTTTTCTATTTCAGTAGTCATTTCAACTATCAACATCCCCTTCACACTTCTACCCCAACCTCACATCCAAACATCACTACACACACCAGCCTCCCGATTCATTCCAAACACTAGACCTGTGTACAACTATTCTAAGACTCACTGTAACTCTGCCTCCAACCAGTTCAGGCTAAGCCATTTATCTTCTTATCATGTTAAATATCAGCTTCAAAACCTAGAGGAATATAGACTCAATTATGCTTTTGGAGTGGGAAGACTTTGGATGGAGTGGTAGAAGCTTTTCCTGGTGTGCCTAAAATCACAGGAGAAAGGAGACTAGGATCTGTCATTTTATTTTTAGAAAACATCTGCCTATTGGTTATTTTGATTTTCATAAAAGCCCTTTGAAGTACACAGGTTTTAATATGTGATTCAAAAGAGAATTATTGCATAAAATTAGGCATTTATAAGGTGAGTGTACAGACAACCAACAAAGTGACAAGGTTGACTTGCATTTCATTTCATTAAGTCACAGAACTATGACATACTAGCACAGATCAAACCATGAAGATGTGAGGATTGTAGGAAATGTGAGCTTACAATCACTATGTTCCTTTTGAATGAAAAGCCACTTGCAGATTCAAGTTTTCCACTAATCAATTTTGCTGGATTGTTCAGGTACAATAATTTTCTAAACCAATCTAATATTTCTTACATAATTTTTAAGCAAATATTTAGCTGATTTTTAATCTCTTTAGGGAAATGCTTTCAAATTAGGAATACCTTTATTAAATCTATAATGTATGGTTAACTGTAGAAAAAAATTACACATGTGCTATTAATAAAGTTGATAGTCACTATCTGAGATTGTGGGCTGTATATTTTTCTCATGTAAATAATAAAATCCCATTTTACTAACAAGGGGAGTCCCAGGGACATTCACAAGAATCCTTGTATGTTAGGACATTGACTCGAGCTAAAGAGCCCACTTTTTCAAGCGATAGTTGAGGATACCAAATAGTTTGACTGGCCCATCTCTTTCTCCTGCTTTCTGACCCAGCTGTTCAGTAAAAACAGTTTCCATCTGGCACGAGACAATCTGAGAGTTCTTCTTCATAAGGATGCTGCTATTCCCTGGAGCCACTTCCCCTAGGTCCAATAAAGGGGAACCTCCCCTTGAAGCTCTGGGGTTTTAACCATGCTAACTCCATGTTCTAAATGCCTACAGAAAATCTTTTCTGACAAGTGTAATTAAAAAAAAGGAGTTTAGAAGCTACGTGAAATTTGTGATTGTAGAACTACTAACATTATTTCATGTACAGTTAAGTAATATTTATTGAATATATTATTTATCAAATTTATTTTGAGTCCTGAATGATTTTTTCTCTAACATCGATTACTAGTCTTTGGAACTAGTGGAAAGTGGAAAAAACCATGCTCAGATAAATGGAGTAACAGTTGTTCTCTATGAGCCACCTGCCCCGATGCTTCATCCTATTTAATTCTCACAGCAACCTATGAGGTTGATACTTTCATTATGTAAATTTTACAGCTGAAGAAACTGAGTCATAGGGAGTTTTAATATTGTGCAAAGTCACACAGCTTGGTTGTGCTTGGCCATGCTTGGCTGCAGACCCAGAAGTCCAACTCTATGGATCACATTCTTAATTACTACACCATATGGCTTCTATTTAATATTTCCTGACTGCTGATTGTGCATTGTATACTCACCATGATGACCATATGTAATTGCTTGAATGTAAATCACTTTACAGTTTTGGAAATTTGTACAGAGCTTCTGCAGAGCCTGACTGCCAGGCCATTGCTAAATTACAGTGAGACTTTAAATATCATTTGGTCACCAGGGTCTCAGTATCATGCTCTGTAAAATGGCCACAGAAAGAAGCAGTGTCTCACAGGGAGGATAATGACAGTGAATTAGGTTAGCTGGCCTCATAAGCTTCTCTCTAGGAATACACCAGATGCTCGTGGAAGCTGAATGGTTCTTTCAATCAGTTAAAACAACTGAGGGCATTATGGCTCCTATGCCCTAAATGTTCAGCTTGTGGGCCAGAAGCCCCAAAACCTGCCCATTTCAGGTAGCACTTAAAGATCCCTTCCCTCCTGGCTTCCCATGGTTTATGTAGTGAGATACCAATTCCTCAGCAAGAAAGCTCACTCTTAATAAGTTTTTTTTTCTTTTTCTGGTAACTTCTTAAAAGTTAAAATGGTCTAACAGAAAATCAAGTTCATGTTATGATCTGCTGGATTTACTGTGTCTTTAACTCATAGTTTTTAATACTGCAACACATTTTATACTTTATTCATCCACTCTTTCATAAAATATGTGCAGAGAATATACCATGTGCATGGAACTGTGAGAGTTAATGTGAGATACTAAAACCACTGGTTTGTTGGAATTTGCTAGAGAGAGAAAGCATAATTTCTTCTTTTGCAGAAGTTATTAGATATCCAGTGTATATCTTATTTTTAAAGGGAGGGAAGGGTACTTACAGTTATCAAAAAACTACCATGAGTTAGCCATGATGGTAGGTCCTTTATATACACCCGATCCTCACTTCAATCTTTTGAAATTCATATTATTTTTCCATTTTCATGTATTATGTACAAATAAAACGAAAGCTCAAGAAATTAAGATGGCAGTTCCACGTTCACACAGCTAGGGAGGTGAGCAGGCTGGCTCCAAAAGCCCATTTTCCTTTCACTAACCTAGTCTCCTCTTCATTACAGTATATCAGAGGATAGATAAGAATAATTGTTGGGAAGAGCCAATGAGGAAGTAATGACTTCGAACCCTAATCCACAAAACCTGTGATTGTTAGAGATAACCTATAGGAAAGTACAGAATGCATGTATTAGAATGGAGCATTGTATCTGAATTATCTTCCCAGTCCAAATTCAAAGGATAGGTGTTGGGGATTGCCTGAAAGATAGATAATCATATTAGAGAGGAATGGAAAGCGATGAGATGAGAAAATTGTGATTAAGTTTAGGAAAACAATTGGATGTTTAGACTTAGGAAGACTTGGGGGTTTATCCACAGAACATTATCAAACACAGCACATACTCTCTAGAACATTCCAGCCAGGGACAAAAATGAAGCCATAGTAATTTTATCTCTTTGGTTATCATATGCATTTGATACAAGGGAAAAACAGCTCCACTGTTTCTGGAAGGTGCATTGAGATATCTTACCCTTATTATCAGAAGCCCTCTTTAAGAACTTTCAGTCTCCATTGATTCCAAGGGATCCACCCTCCCTGAAGCCTCATCAAGTTGCCTCCCCTCAACTCCCTGTGCACTCCCTCATAGCCAGGCTGCTTTCTGAGACTCTCAGGTGGAGCCTCGAGAACAACTCGCAACTCAACCCAGCAATAGGGCAGTGAGTCTAGCCCTCAATTCCTGAAGCCACCGTGTCCAGGGGCTGAGAGACTCCTAAGAAAAGTATCCAGCTGTGCCCAAGATTGTACCCTGAACTTCTTTAGTTTGTCTTTGACAAACAATTACACGTGTTTTGGGGGACCCTAAGTGTCATGTTGAACACAAATATCAAAGCAGATTTCAGAACCCTGAAAATCAACAGTGACTAGGCATGTGGTGTTTGTCTCTATAATGGTAGACATTAACTCCTCAAAGACAGGGCCCATGTCTTCTCTGTCTTTGTCTGCCCATGACCCAGCACCTGATCACAATATGTGCCCAATTAATGTTGAGCAGAAATTAAGTACAAGAATGTTTCCCAAGACACTTTCTCTGAAGCCTGCATTGCTTGTCAGTAGTCAACACTGTACACCTCTACTTAACAATAATATTCCTCTTGTTGATTTTCCTAGTCATGAGTAGGATCTCCTTTTCATCATTTGGTAGTTGACTTTCCAAAGACCCACTCTAGTAAGGATAGCATTTGGAACTCAGAGTATGCTCTGGGAACATTTCACTCATGGCACCATGAGGAGCTAATGCAATTCAGAATGAGAAAGAGAAGGGGAGCTGCATGTGTATGCAGAGTCCATATTCCCAAAATTCTTCATCCCAAGGCCAGCCAAGTCAGGTGAAGACAAAAGTGGAGAGGGGACACGATATATTACACATAATGGTTTTGTCAAAGCTCTAAGAGAAAAGACTGTCTAATAGAGAAACCAACAGTCAGTAACTCTGGGGAAAGACTTATTAGACTCCTGGACAAAACACCTTCCATAGGATAACATTGCAACTCTTCCTTTTTTGTAAACAATAATTGGTTATAACAGAAAACTACAAGTTCTGACATCTGAACGTAGGGCTTGACTCACTGGTGCAGGTCAGCTGCAATTGCCTACAGATTATACAAGGTGGCCACGAATAGCCCCACAAGTTATGCCTGGGACAACTATGGAAGGTGCCATTTTATTCTAATGTTTGCTATTGTTTCCCTGAGATACCAGATTCTTTTCAGAGCCCTAGGAAAGTGGGAATCCCCAATATTACATGAGTTAAAATTCTAACTGAGATCTCTGTTTTTAAACTAGCCTGGTTAATACTTGGCAGGTGACAGTGTTTGGATGCTGCCTTCTGAGAGTGAGTTTCCAAGAGCACCCCAGGCACACTCTACAGAAGTATTTGTGCTAAATTCACAATTGCTTTTTTTTTCTTTAGAGTCCAGTGTAGTTTACATCTGTTTGCCCCATGAGTCCACTCATAAAACAAGAATAGAATTAACAGTTTGTGAGGATTCTTAGGGACTTTATATGTTTGTGAAAATGAAACTAATTCAGCCTAACTCCAATATAAGTGCTGTTGCATGCCGCGCACAGCACCCTGAAACCCAGTGGGTTCTGCTAACTTGTTGACTGACTGATAAACAAGTTCCAGATTTCTAATTGGCCACAGCCTCCCTGGCTGCTCTGATGATATATCGCTTTGGGTGGAAGATTCAGCCTGTATCACTCAGAAATAAGCAAAATTGAACTAAACTAAAACAACTGTTTTGCATAGAAAAGAAAACATCTAATGTTTGAACCCCTACCAATACCTAACCCCCTCTTCTTTCTGGGTAACCCTGGGTCTGAGGCCCTTAGAAGATGCAACTAGACCTCTTAAGGACATGTGAATAGTGTGAACCCAGAGAAAGTACTCAGGAGCCACCTGTGGAGTCAGGGGAGGACAAATTCAGCTCAGTACAAAAGCAAGCAATCCAGTTCAATAAACACTTATCTAGCAACTTTGTGGCTAACTGTACAGTGGAAATGTGAAGACAAAAAGCACTCTTCGTGTTCAGAACCTCCCAGTCCAATGGGGTAATAGATAAATAATTATAGTACTATGTGATAAGTGCTATTTGAGAGGTTACATAAAGGGAAACGCCTTGGAGAGTCACCAAATACCTGGAGGAGTTTGGAATCAGGGAACCTTTCCTGAGCTGAGATTTGAAGAATGACTAGAAAGGATTCTGTTGAAGATGGTGGGTGGGGCCAAGTCTAGGGGGCTGCAGGGGTGAGCCCATGGGAAGGCCAGAAGGGTGAGAATGGCTCCTCACTGGCTAGCTTATATATGCACGGCACCATGCAGGTTGCAAAGGGCCTTCACTGAAGTATTTCATTTGACTTTCTCGCAAACTGGTGGGGCTGTGTAGTGGACAGGATGCTCTCGGGGTCACCTGTAGCCACTTCCTCTTTGAACAAAGATGAAACTGGTTGACTCTCTCTGTCTTCACCTACTCAGACTCTCTGTAGTATTTAGAATGGCCTGTCACTACTCTTCTTGAAACTCTCTTCTCTCTTGGACACTGCGGCACCCCTCTTTCCAGGCTTCGCCCTCTTTCAGATTTGCCATCTTGTCTCCCTTGTGGGCTACTCAAGCTTTATGCCTCTCTCGGGGTTAGAGTGTCCCCACAGATCTGTTCAGAACTTTTTCTTTATCTGCAACTTGTCCCTAGGTGGTCTCATCCAGAGCTACATTTTTAATAGACTTTATTTTATAGAACATGGATTATATCTTTTAGTATTATCTTCTGATTGATGAATTCTGAGTCTGTTTCCAGCCTGACCACTTCCAGAATTCCATGCTTGTAAATCTTGCTGTGGATTACACATCTCTACCTACACCTCAAGCCTCACATGCCAAAACAGAATTATTTATTGCCTTCCACTCTTCAATTTGTGCCTCCCATAGCCTCCCCCATTTCAATAAATAGCACTACTAATCACTCAGTTGCCTACATAAATAACTAGGAGCCACCCTCAATTTCTATCTTTCCTTCATATTCTACTTCCAAGCCAAAAACAATTTCAGTTGGCTAATTTTCAAAGTAAATCCTCATTTTAATTATTGCTTACCCCTTCACTTCTTCTTCTTCTTCTTTTTTTTTTTTTTTTTTTTTTTTTGAGATGGAGTTTTGCTCTGTCGCCCAGGCCGGAGTTCAGTGGTGTGATCTCGGCTCACTGCAACCTCGCCTCCCGTTACCACCTCAACTTCTAAAACCCTAGTTGAAGACCCATCATTTCTTATTTGAACCACTGCAATATCTTCCTAACACGTTTTCATTCTTTATCCTTCATGTCTTTTCTCATGTTTTATTCATTTTTACAAAGCAAAGTCAAATAAAATTTTCCTTTCTTAAACTACTCAATGGCTTCACATTGCAGTGAAAATAAAACCTAAGTTCTTTTTCACAGCCTTCAAACCCCTTCACATGCCATCCCCTTCTCTGCCTCATCCCATTCACCCTCCTTTCAATATTCTTAATATCCCAGAGCCTCTGATATTTCTTCTCTTCTTTAGTCATAACAAGTCAGGGCCTCACATTCAACTGTTCCCTCTGCTTAGAATGCCCTTCTTTAAGAACCAGCAATGCTGTCTCCCTCCTTCATGTTTCAACTCAAATGCTTCCCTCTCAGAGTGCCATTCTGTGAAAATTTGAGGTGCAGGGGTCACAATCACCCCCACTCTCCTCTTTATGTATGACCCTTTTTTACTTTCTTCATATATTGTATTGCTATCTGAAATTATCTTGGTGATTTAGTTGTCTACTGACTATTGTCTCTTCCCAACTGACTGGAAGGTAGGGACTTTGCTGGGCTCACCTCTGGATCCCTAATGCCTAGAGTAGAGCATGACACATAGCAAGGGCCCAACACATATTTGCAGGTGACCATATGAATGTCTGAACCAGGAGCAGTTAGCTGTGACGGACTCCAAGTGAGAGCTCTGCCCAGCCAAGATGGTTGTCATTAGCTTGTGAAAGGTTAGATGCATCAAATCAGCTCTCTCAAGCACTGTGAACTAGAGACACAGAGTGACACAGTCAGTAGCAGCAGGGGCAATAGAAGCAGAGACAGAAGTGATGAGTCACAACACTGGTAGCCTGTGAGAGTGGAAATGAATGGCAATGGATTGCTGAGGAGACAGCAAAATAACCAGATTGCCAAAATGCTGCAGAGCCTGGTGTCTCATTTGATTTGCTGGGAAGCCTCACTCTGCAGCTTCTGAGATTGTTTTCCATTCTTCCTTACTTCCTCATTAACCTACTTAGCCTGAATATGCTTCTCTGTCCCTCCCACTTTACAAGAGTCTAACAGAAATAATTTTTTTTAATATATTCACTTTAGCTAAAAATATGCAGGGACACAGAGGAACAAAGTAACTTAGCCAAGATTATAGAGCTGGTCATTGCTGAGTCCAAGCTCAAACTTTTCCACTATTGTAATCATCTGATGGGTTCATCTTGCCTGCAGCCTAGAAAAGCCAGTTTACTGAGACAGAATTATGCCAATAGAGAAAAAGTTTAATAAACATAGAACTAGCCAAATGGGAGACCAGAGTTTTATTATTACTCAAATCAACCTCCTCAAAATTTTAAAGGACAGGATTTTTTAAGGATAGTTTGCCAGGTAGGGGGCTAGTGAATGGGGAATACTAGTCAGTCAGATTGAAGATGAAATCAGAAGGAGTGGAAGCTGTCCTCTTTTGCTGAGTCAGTTCCTGGGTAGAGGTCACAAAACCAGATGAGCCAGTTTACTGACCTGAATGGCACCAGCTGGTCCATCCAAATGCAGGATCTGAAAAACACCTTGAAAACCGATCTTAGGTTTTATAATAGTAATGTTTTCTATAGAAGCAATTGGGGAGGTTAGGAATCTTATGGCCTCTGGCTGCATGACTACTGAGCCATAATTTCTAATCTTGTGGCTGATTCATTAGTTTTACAAAGGAAATCTGGTCCCCAAGCAATGAGGAGATTTGTTTTGAGGAAGGGGCTGTTATCATCTTTGTTTCAAAGTTACACTATAAACTAAATTCCTCTGATAGTTAGCTTGGCCTATTCCCAGGAATGAGCAAGGGCAGGTTGGAGGTTAGAAGCAAAATGGAGTCAGTTAGGTCAGATCCCTTTCACTGTTGTAAGTTTTGAAAAACGCAATTTCACTATGTTGGTCACCTAATTTTATCTTCACAACCGACCTAGGAAGTAGGAAAGAATTGGACTACCTTGAGATAAAATCTCTATCCCTCAGAGAAGGCACCTAGAGGCTGGATCACTAGTTATAGGGAATGCCACAGTGGAGGTCCAAGATTTAGATTCACAGAAACTGGGACAAATTGGCCTCTTATGCAAATTTAAACCCTGAGACTCCATGATGTAATATTAGAGGACAGGGAAAGCATGGTGGGTTTTCTTCTACATCTCACAGTGGGTTTTCTGCTTCTCCACAGTGCTTGGGGACTCACATTAATTTGGTGATCTTGGTATGGTAATTTTAATTCCAGAACTTAGGATACCAAACATTCTCCTCATTAAACTTCTGCTGGTGTCTCAGGTCCAAAAGTTTCTTTGCCATTTGGATTTTCTGCTGCCACTCTCCCGGTCATTGAAGCTATGAATTTCTGGGCCACGATGCCGTTAGTAACAAAGATAAATCACCAAGATAAATCACAGTGCCTGGGACGTGCCTACCTTACTGACAATGGAATAGTCCACTGGTAAGGATACAGCAGTTACAGTACTGTTAGCATCCCTCCTTGTGAATAAATTCTGTGTTTTCATGGCACAGTGACCTAGTACCAAAAGAAAGTGATTTGTCTTGACATATGCCACTACCAGCCTGGAGTTTAACTCACTACCTTAAAAGTTAAAGTGTTGTTATACTCACCTTTCTCAGAAAGAATAAACCATGCATAAACCAATCTAGTGCTAACATTGTTCAAAGATTCCCCGTAGTGGAATAAAATATCCCTTTCATACTAAACTATATTCTTTAAAAGTCAAAAGAGTTGTTCCCAAGTAGTTTCTTCAATTAATCATTGAGAGTCATAGGCAAAATATTTGGGAATCTCAATGCCCTATTTCACAGTCCCCACCACTGACTGTGAAGGATCATATTCCAGGGGTACTTCTGCCTTCTGCTATCTAGGAGGATCAACGATCTGTAGAGACTGGCATCCCACCAGATATGGCAAGGTGTCTGGAGAGTTGCCCTTTGCAAATCTTTAAATATGTAGGCATATATTACTGGCATCTTTTCACAAAGTTCACCTGCTAACCTGTGGAGGGAGCAGCAAGAGCCCATCACCAGGTAGGAGAAATCAGAGTGATAGGCCTGGCTATTCTGTATTTCTCCTGAGACCTAAACAAGAACAAATTCACTAACCAGGCTGTAGTTGAAATTACAGATCAGCTTCCTCATTGAGGTCGGGTACCTCACAGAGCTATGTAAGAACTTCTTAACCTAAGTTAGAATATTCACAAAATGATTTTGAAGCCAGAGCACCTAAACCTGATAGAAACTAGTCCAGCCCTCAAAGAAACCAGGCAACAGAACAATATAAACATAATTTTTAAAAGCTATCACATGGGCCTCGGTGCACTAAAATTGTATTTCAAGATGATGATACTGTTCAATGCACTAGATTCTGTGTATTGGTGAGCATATTTACTGATCTAGATGGAAAGTTTTGGGTGTCATTTGGCCTGAGGGGACAATGAAAGGGGCTTAGAATATCTGTCCTCCTGGGATTCTTTCCAGACTGTACATTAGTTCATTGACATATATTGATTTAGTGCCTCCAAATCATCAGCCAAAAAAGGAGCCAAATGTGCTGTCCTCCCACCCTAACATGAACAGGAACACTAATATTCCTGCCCCCACCCCTCAGCATGTTTAAAAAAGAATGTTCCCAGATAAGCACAGAGTGGAGACCTTGAATGCTGTGCAGTAGTCATTCAGTGAAAAACCAAATTAACACTAATTATATTCTGGCTTGCTGTGGTGCAGACAGTGTGACTTCACAAGGGGAAATGGCATTTGTGGCACTAGGTGGCATCATTCTGACACATTTACAGACCATTAGCCAGAGCTAATATCATTTCAAAGGGCTGGTGTCAGGACGGGTAGGGCACCCTAGGAGCACTTCGCTCAGCCCTGTGTGATCTGTGAGTGAAACTCCAGGCTCCCAAAGCAGGAGGGCTTGGGCAGGGGTTGGGCATCTACCACCTCCCTAAATGTAGGTCACTTGGAGCAGGTTGTGTCCTCAGGCATCTAAGAAACTTTGGGAAACTTTTGTTTTTTTGACAGGAAAAAGAGTCTTATCAGGAAATGCCCTTGCGTCACTCACTCACAGAAAGATCTAAGTTTTTCCTCAGGATCTGTGACTAGTGGTCTCATGGTCCAGACATTTCTGAGGTAAAAGTGGGAGTCGGTTTCTATAATTGGGGTTGCAAAATGAGACTTTTGAGCCTCAGCAAGTCTCTAGCAGAGGGAAGTGGGCAAGATGACCCAGTGAACTGAGATGCTAGACTGGTGGGAAGTTCAGGGAACAGTCATGGAATTCAGAGCACTAAGGCAGGAGGATCTCTCTAGAAGTTATCTATCCTCTTGCCACTCTAAGTGTGATCTATGCACAAGTAGAAGGGTCACAGCTGGGTGGGTGGAGGGAGTACTTTCAGGAATGCAAACTCTCAGGCCCACCCCAGCTTTTCTGAATCAGAATCTAGATTTTAATACAATCCCCACATAATTCCTGGGCACATTAACACTTAAAAAGCACTGGTCTAGTCTATACCCCTAACTGCAAGAATGCTTTGCAAGAGAGGACAATTACCTTCTTTTTTCCCCCTTTCTTCTTCTTCCTCCTTTTTTTTAAAAAAAAAAAATTTACACTCCCTACTCTCAAAGCTGTTTTTTTGGATTCTGGACCAACCCTCCACCAAATTCTTCTCACATTCCCTTTCACTTGTAATCCCTTTCACCTCCTTTTTTTTCTCTATATGTCCTCCCTTCTTCCATACTTCCAGCACATAGATTCTGCTCTTGTGGCCATCTGGATCCTGCCAAGAGAAGGCCTATTCTGAAGTTAAACAGTTAAAGTGGGAAAAGCACTCAATTTTGAGCACAAAAACCAAACTCAAGCCTCAATTCTGCAGAGTCCTGAACATGTCTTTTCATTTTCCTACTAACACCCATTTTCCTGAATACAGATATGAAATGTAATAGTGTATGTAAAATAACTTTATGAGCTATAAAACATTAAAGATATGTCTAAGATCTTGTTCCCCACGGGGCTGTTTCTGAACACATGCTATTCATAAAGGGGGCAGTACTGTGTAAATTTTAAGAACATGGGCTCAGAGCAGATTGCTGGGGTTCAGATCCCACTTAGCCATTTTCTGGTGATCATGTTTGACTCAACTTTCCCACTTGTAATAGGACCCACCTGTTACCATGATAGGGCTGTCACAAGGAGTAAAACTTTATGCATATGCCATACCCAAACATTCCTTGTCCTATAATGTGAACTGTGATTACTTCTTCTCCATAAATGTCGGTAATATCCATAAATTTCAACTATGACTAATTACTACAAAGTGCAGGTAACTTTACATCTGAGAACTGTGTGTACATTATCTCTAAGCAAAACACAGAGACATGGAATAAATGAACAGGGAACACACTCAGGGGGCATTTGAGGGTGAGGATAAGAGGGAAAGAGAGAGAGAGATCCAGAGATACAAAGACATAGAATTAATGTCAGGCCAAGCAGCAAGCAGAGCTAGAAAGAAAGGGGTAGACTTTATATTATCCAAGAAACATAAGCATTTGTTGGGGTGGGGGTTATCTCTGCAAGAAAATCACTATTTGTCACAGAAGAGAGCCAAAGTGGACTAAAGTCCTAAGACAGGTGCTTGATCTCCTGCCCAGATGTAATTGACATTATTGCACACGAAGGCTATTTCTACATATTAGATGAATAAGTCATTGAACCATGCCCTTAAATAAACCAGCTCATGTTAATAAGAACACGATTTTTTGCAACACAATAAAAGTTTGAAGATGCCCTGAAATGCACTTACCCTGGATCTCCAGAAAGATCTCTATATGCCTGCATTTGAGGTCATTATTCTTCTCTTTATGAAAGTTTTTAATTACCAAGACAGAGCCCTGACCTTAATCGTTCCTCTGCTGGCCACATAGAAGACCATGAGCACTCTGTGAAATATAGCTGTTCCCCTTTCCTGAAGCCCTGGAAATCCCCATTCCAGCCATTGCTCCAGGCCCATCTCCCATTCAGCCATTGATTAGTGTCTCACATCCCTTTTTAGCCATGGTCGTCTTTGGTAGGATCTTCTTCTGTCTAGTCGTCTAGTCTTTTTTTGGGGAAGTGTTTGATGTTTGCCTGGATCATAACTTCTCAGATAGCTGACTCTGTCTCTGAAGCCTAGTACAGCTCCAGGACTTCTGCTTTTTGGGGTTTAGGTCACCTCTTCCAAGTTCCTTGTGCACTTGCCTGTACTTCTGCCATCAGGTTAAAGACTGTGGTCTTGAAAGATGGTCTCTTGTACAGTATCAGGTAGGATCCTGCTACTTCACAAATGCCCCAAGATTAATAGAATAGGATCAATAGGAAAGTGAAAACGATGATGACAATCAAAGTTAATCTTAAAGAGAATTATCAACCACATGAATTTTAAACTTTGTTCTTCTCTCCTTTACAGAACCTTTTTCTTCTCTTCCAAGGTTCTCTTGCTTTCTCTCAATGTTCTCATTCTGTTTTATGTTGAGCACAACACCCCACCATGCCACTTAACTCACCATTGGCCTGTCTCAGCATCCAGAAATTCCATTGTTATGTATCCATTTCTTAATGTAAGTACCTCTCAAAGGAGTCTCAGGAATGAAGTTATTAGTAAACAACTGGGGGAAGTTAGGAAAAAAGCGTCCAACACCTTCAAGTGCTTAAGATTTGATTGGATGAAACAAAATTCTACAATGTGAGGAAGTGCCTGTTAGAACAAATTCCATCTAGTAGTGAGAGAATAAATGGGCTAGCTCGTCACTACTGGATCCTTAGGAGGCTGCATTTTGCAGTCAATGAGGCAAAATGAGAGGAAATTCCAAGAATGCTCCATCCTGTCTTGGTTATTCTGAGATGTTAATTGAACTAGCAAGATCATTTCCAAAGCTCTCTAAAATAATTATACATATGAAACTTCATAGATTGGTGTTTGAAGCCATTAAATGTTTCTCGAATCCAAAAGATTCTACAGTTCCATTGAGAATTCAGTTACCAGCCTTGCCCACTGATAGCAGGATGCTGGGTCGAGTGATATTAAAAAATACATGCTTTGATAAAGAGTAATTTAGTAACACTTGCAGACACTTTCCTGTGGGAAAAAGGTGGTTCTTTGGTTTTAAAATAATCTCCAATAGCTATTGATTACAAACACATTCACACACACATTTCAAGGTATCAATGTGTTTTTTATTTCATTCAGGCATGTACCCTCACTGTCTCTCTGCTATTCACTTCTCTGTCTCTGTCTCTTGAATTATTTAATGTTTTTTCCCAGTTAATCTAAATTAGAGTTGGTTCTTTTTTTAAGGGGGATGGGAGGAAACTAAAAATAGTTACTGAAGCCAGGATATATTACACCAACTGCTTTTGCCTCTGGTGGTTACTGGAGTTTCCTTTGTTGTCTTGTTTGATTGTTTCATTTATATGGCAGGTTAGACAGCAACAGACTTCTGTTATTGCCTTTTCTCAGTGGTGGATTTTTTAGGCTCAGATCCCCCTAAGGCAGCCACTCCCCATCCGCAGCTGGTGACAAGAGGTGCTGTTGCTCTCAGTACTTACACCTACTGGAGAAAGATCAACAGAGATGCTATTAAGTGACATAGAGTGTCTCCATTTTTAACTGTTTAGGCCTTTGTTGAGAGACACAGGGAAGGAGAAAAAATGAGAGAAAGAGACTTAGAAAGGATGAGAGAGAGAGAACATTGAACAAGTTTCATCTTCCAGATTCTTTATGAACTACTTTTGCAGATGTGAGATTGCATTTTTCTTTATTCCTGCCTTCCCACCACCAGCTTCCACCCTCTCCTTTAAAAATGTTCTGTTTTTTCCTATTTTTCAGTAGTCAGAAATAATTTCTTAAATCAAATGGTAATAGGAGTATGTTAAAGTGGAGAAGACAAGTGCTGATCAGTAATTCAGCACTTGGGGCTATTTTTTAAAGTTCTCCCAAGAAGCTTTAGGTCATTAGTTACTTTCTAAATTTCCATTACTCTTTCAACTAATGTGGCCACAGAGCATCATCCTTGGCAAAAAACTGGGAATGGGGAGATTTATGGAGGAAAAGGAAGTGCAACTTTGTGAAATTAAACTGATTAGATGGCTCTGGTAATACTTAAGGCAATAAATTAGCACTGTGAATTGAGAAGAGATCCTAAAGAATCTTGGTGATTAGGAGAGGGTTTCTCCCCTCTTATCTTGTCTCCTTCAGGCATCTCAGCTGCCTTTTTATTTCCTTTTAGTTCATAGAGCAGACAGCCAGGGGAAGGACCCTCCAGGTATTCACTGTTAAATTATTTGGTCTGTTTATTTTTCATTAAGGGCATAAAACACCAGGTAAGGAAATGTAAGGTTAAGGACATCATCTAATCTTCAGAGGAACTTTAAGACCAAGACCTCCTTGAGCACTTTCTATGTGCGTACACTGAGGTCTATACTACCACATGCCAAAAGAAAAATAAAGAATTTTACGAGTGTGTTTTTTAAAAGGAAGGTGACCCTAGAGCCAGGTACCTGAATTTAAAACCATAACTGAGAAGACCTACTAAAGGAGATTACAACAGAAAAATTGGAGACTTTCTCTCATAATAATAATGCAAGACTCCAGGTGCCTAAGAGCCCACATTAATTCCTAAATAAGATAAAAAAGGCTGGGGTAGTGAGAGATGGCCTGCTTGTGGTGATCTTATAACTGGGAATTGAAAAATGAGTAGGATTTAGATAATTACTATAGATACAAGGCATTTTAAAATTTTCCCCTCCTTTCATAACCACAAACTTAGGAGTTAACCTTGGCTTTATCTTTTAGAAAATGCCCTAAGTTCTAGCTTTTTTCTCATTTGAATAAACCAGATGAACTTCAATAAATACACTGAACTTATCCTATGAGCAAAAATAGTGAATACATGATGATGTCATAACATAGAACATTAGCAGGAAAAAGGCCTTCAACATTCTGTGACTTCAGTCTCATTTCTCGATTAGTCTGTAATGGATGTTGTAGTATTTTAAAACTGTGAAACACGTTCATGGAAACATATAATCTTGAGAAAAATATAACCATGAGTAATTTATAAACCATTGCATTGATTTTTCATGGTATAGAATAGGGGCTTTTTTGTAAATATGTATTACATCTCTAGAAAAAGAATCCCAGGATTTTCCCTCCTGTGTTTTTGACTCGCTTCTTCATGGTCCATGACGCCAGCTGCGGTTGTCAGTACAATGAAACCAAACTGGTGGGATGGAAGCAGATTATTCTGCCATTTTTCTAGATTTTTAAGTTGGACATCAAATCTGGTGCTGATCACTCCACACTTGTGTAGCCTGCCTGTGAGGTTCACAACAATTTTCGCAGCTCTGTTATCATCAATGATTTCAAATTCGCCAATGTTATCATGCTTCATCATCACTGTTAGAAACCGGATGCTGACTTTGGAGCATGGCCCAATAAGAACCTAGCGTTTGCCTCTCTTTTCAGCATTGTTGATGCTCTGGAGAGCAACAGCCAGGATGTCCATGCACACCATTGTGGCAGTGCAGAAAGATGGAGGAAAGAGAATACAGGGACATTTTAAAAATAAAATCTATTTTATTCTAAGACAAAATAGGATTCAAAATTATATACTGAAGTACTTCTAATATAATAATATTTATTACATACAGAAGTAAGTTTTACTTTTTCCCATTTAACAAACATATACAGCTTAACTTACTATTTTAATTATGTAAGAAAAAGCATTATTTACATACAAATAAATTTTTTAATGTGTTGAATTTGACAGGTATTATTTGTATTAAAATATGGATTGAGAATTAACTATGTTTTGCAGCATCAGAATCTTAAAAATACTATAATCACGTATTATTTGGAATTATTGAACTTCACACTAATTATTATTTTTTAAACTTCCGTTCTGCTTCTAAGGACAAGACTAGAGAAATCTGGGGGGTGCTATTTACATTACGTCTCTACAGATAATGCATTTGGATATGGGCAGTCTTTATTTGCAACAAATGAACAGCCAAATTGGCCATAATCATTGCTATATTTCCCATATTCATTTGGAAGGACTGAAGACACAGTAATCTATTTTAAGAACCCTGATCACATGAGTGCACCAGACAGGTTCTGAGGCTCCTTTGTAGAGAGCCAGCACGGTGTGATGCTTAGGAGAGGGACCCTGGAGCCAGGTACCTTAATTTAAACCCACCTTCCCTGTTTCCTTGCCTTCCTACTATGCAGCTTTCTAGTTCTGTGACCTTTCTGCGCCTCAGGTTCCTCGTCGTAAAATGGGGATAACAACAGTGTCCATCCCATAAAATTGTTAGAGGGATTGAATGAAATAGTATTTTAAGGCGATTAGAACAGCACCTAGCACACAATACCTTCTATAGCATTATTAAATAATCATTTATATTCTCCTTACTAACTCCAATTAAAATTAAAACATCAGTGTTTTTATGTCCATTACTTGTATAAATTATGCCCTGATTTCCAAGGGTAAAATGATTCTAAAATGTGTAATGATTACAATTATAGTGTTTTCGTTTTTGTTTTTTCTGCTAGATGTCCAAACCCCGAGTGGCTGAATCACATGCATGATTATAGAATCTATCAGCCAGCATGCAAATTCTGTCCTTATTTACATATGTTCAGGTTCCTTCTACTTTAAGGGAAACTATTTAGATAATTATTTTTAGTTAAAATTGAAACTGACCACCTTATAAAACAGAACCTTCCTGGAACATCTTTACAAATTCCATAATTTGGAAAAGTGACCAACAGAATCTCTAGGTTTGAAGGCAGCTCATAGAATTTTGGAAAGCCTGATATGATTTTGGCTCAATATAGGGAAACATTTTCCATTCCTCAGAATTTATATACTCTGAGGCTTCCCTGTACAGCTGTACAGGCTAGATACTGCACATCTCTAGGCTCCTCAGCCATTTTCTAAGTGAGTGCTGCCACCAGAATTGTGCAACTGAGCAGCCTGAACACAGCAGTCCCCAAAGGATCCCCTAGGCCATTAGGACCCACCTTGTCCTTCTGTCATATGCCAATCCTCCTTCCAGTACTTGGAGACAGTGATCATATTATTCCAAGTCTTCTCTTTTCCAAGTTAAACATCGTAACTTTCAACAGTCCTGCTTCATATGGCATGTTTCCAAATCCTAAATTTGTTCATTCAACAAACATTTACTGGGTCCCTGCACTGTGTCAGGTGGTGATACCCAGATGAATAAAGCACCACCTCTGCCCTCAAAGTCCGTATAGTCTATGCCCTAGCCTGGTGATATCCCCTTTATTTGCCTAGGATAAAACAACATGTTTGGTTGATGAAGTCTGAATTGCATCTACTTTTCTCGATTGCCACAGTGTACTGCCAAGCTTGCTCAGTGCCAAAACTCACATAGCCTATGCTTAGCCATATCTTTCCCTGCCTAGGCTTTTGCAGTTTGGTTTGCAAAGCTTTACAATTTTTCCTGCTGAATTTTATTTTCAACAATTTAGACTACCAAGCCCCAGCTATCAACAATTTTTATACATTTAATATGTTTGCTTTTATTCCAAATGATATGGCATGTAGTTATCAAATAAAAATGTTGAGCAAGGGGGAGTCTACGATGGAGCCCTGCCATATTTACCCACATACAATCCAGTGGTCCTCAAATTTGTCCACAAGGCTCTCACAAGGAGCTTTTTCAAATGTTTCCCCAAAGTCTCGCTTCTATGTCAATTACATTTCCCTAATTATTGGTCTAAGGATCCTCTCAAAGGAAAAACTGAAGATGGAAGTAATTGCTTGTTTTTGATGACCCCTATGTTGGTTCTTAATGGTAGCTACTACATTCTCCAGGGATTGTTAAACCAGCGTTTCACTTAAAAAAAAAAATCTGAGTATTTGAGGGTGGAGGGAAAAGTACTAGAATTAAGAGCCTTGGTAATGTGTTTGGAACATCTCCTTTATTCCTCTTAGAAATCAGCCTGGCAACTCCAAATTCTCAGTTTTTCTGTCATCTCTCTTGCTTTCTCGAGATTTCTCCAAGATCAAGGATTACAGTTCAGCCATTTCAATTGCAAATCCCTTCTGCAGAAGTAAAGGTCAGGGTAGAACTCTCTAAAGCTGACAGGGAACATCCCTTGCCTCAGACAAGATCATCCTAATTAATAATAATCACAATAATATTGTGCTCTGCATTTTATCCAGGGACACCTGAACAGCAGAATGCTTTATGAACATTATTTAATTAAGTCTTATGACAGTCCCGTGAGGGGAACTGGGAAACTGAGAGATTGGCTTAATCTCTGCCTAGGTAAGGAGACCTGTCAGGAGGAGCAGGGCAAACATGCAGGAAGAGACAGGCTGGGAGGTTAAGCAGAGAATGGGGATTGATAGCAGATGTGCATTTAAACCTTTCTAACCATCTATGCACCTGGAGGAAATACCTACATCTGAATCCTTCTGAGGTGCTCCTGTGGAGTTTTATGTATGTCACTCCAAAATAATAGCAATAGTCTACATAATTCAGTGATTTTAAATTCACTAAAGCAAATGCTTGTTAAACAATATTTGCATTTTCTCTCTCTTTTGCTCTCCTCCCTCCCTCTCTGTGGCCACCTCTCTGGGGCTCAAATTTGTCAGCCACAAGACTGACTGAAGTACAAGCAAGTAAAGCAAATGACCACATTCATTGTCCATGACAAACCCAAACCATATTCCATCACATCCCTGTGGTCCGGAGCCTCAAGATCTAGCCTGGAGAAAGCTATTTCAGTGTCATCAAGGGCCATTCCATTCTTGCCCCGGAGGGACATGTGACACCCAGTACACTGCATGGACACAGGCTGGTCTGCCCTAGAAAACTAGATTATTTAAAGGACTCCCCTAAACACCTAAGATAAAAATAGAATAAACAGTCCAACCTTTTTGTGAAACTTCCTTGAGAAACAAAGTGTGTGTGATATTGGATACTGACAAAAAATAATAATTTGCATCTTATTATACTTGACTTAAATATAACATATGGATACTATTTTTTTTTCATCATGGGGACTTTTGAAATAAAACTATTACCTTCCTGAGAAGTACTTGGTAAACTAAATTGCCTAACTTAGCATACAACCACAAAATCAAGGTGTGTTGAATTGAATTAAAATAAGTTTAATGAAATGCCCTTTCCCAACGGAGTTTTCTTCCCTGGCACTTCACCACCTCCTAGCACTCACACTTTCAAGAAGTCTCGTAACAGGGTTCCCTGGTTGTGGTTCTCTTCTCCTGTATCCACACCTCACACTTACACCTCTGTGGACACAATAACATACAAGAGGAGAGCAGAGAAAGGAATAACTTGTTATTGAGATAAGCGTCAGCAAATGATCATTTGGATTACTGCATAATCTATGTCAGACGTAAGCCTGGGATGTCATCACCTGCACTTTGTGGGAAATTGCCATAATTCTCATTTTCACATTTTCACCATGGAAGGAAGTCAGTACAGCAGGCATCACTGGGCTCAGCACATTTAAAACAGCTTACACCTATTTTTCCGTTATGAATTCCTCATATATATATTTGAACATGGAGAGAAAAAATACATATACATTTAAATATATATTTAAGACATATATATACATATGCATATATATACACATGCATATGTATATATACACACACATGCATATATATATATACACACACACCCCATATATATTCTCACCTCATTCATCTACTAGCAACACAGATTGCTTCAGAGATGAGGAAATGAAATGCTATTTTTGGAGAAAAGACTGATCTTTCATACAGATTGTCCAGAAAATGACCCAGCCTGCCACCCATTCAGACCTCAAGGCATCCAAGTGCTGCTTTGTTCCAATGCTTACATCTATTCAAAGTTCATACTCCAAGATTAAATGAGCCTCCCTGAGCCAAAAGAAAAGGCTTCACTGGCATTGCTGCCGATGCCATTCTCCTTGTGTCTGCCGTACAGGAGAGAAAGAATGAACCTAGGCTTTTCAAAACGGGCTGCCCAATTATATTTTTAAAAAGATGTTTTGCTGACATCTAGAGGCATTTGGGTAATAACACTTATTAATAATGATTCTTCCCACTTATAGGGCGTCTTGTGTCGCGTGATCCCTCAGCTCTTTACACACATTAATTAATTACGCATCACAGCACCCCTGTGAGGTAGAGTAGGTAAGCATTATTATGTGCAAAGGATTTATTGATTTTTCAAAGCAATATATAGCTGAGGCACAGAGGGGAAAACCATAGGAGCATGAATTAAGGAAGGAAAAAAAAAAAGACATACAATGAATGTAAAAGAAAACAAATAAAAGTAAAAATTACCCCCACTGTGCTCTTTAGAAAGGAATGATTACTTCACAAGTTCTGAGGGCCTGAACATTAACTAATTTGGTTGTTAGCAACTTACGCAAAGGCACATAGGAAATTGGAGGGAGAGAGTCATCGATAAAATTTCCAAGTCTTCCTTTGCAATCCTATTGACAGTGCTCCCAGCGCTTGGTGCTCTTGCATCCTGGGAAATCTCAGTAGTCACTGAGGAGCTGTGACATCAGGATGGCCCTAAATTTACGATGGAGGCATATTACATGTTTATGGCAGGGGTGGGGATAGGGATGAGATGCGGTTGGGATGTGTAGTAAAGGAGGGGGAGAACTACAGCCAAGTTTCTATGCAAAAATATGTTTGGAGGCTGTGGAATTTAAAGTATGTCACTGAGTACAGCAATATAAATTGACTATCATTTTGAATTCTAGTCTTGTTTTATGGTAGTGGCTCAGCTGCTCTTTTTTAAAGTAGTAACTATGCTAAGTTCTTATTTTAGGCATAGTTCTTATTTATTTTCATGGAGCTAACACTTCTGGGGCTTACTATTTATTTCTAAACTGAAAGGTAATATTCTACTTAAAAAGAAGAGTGTCATAAAATCACTAGCTTGCAGACACCAAGACATGATTAAAAACTCAAGAAACACATTATATTCTTTCTATAAGTTATTGTAATGCTGAGTTTTTATAAGGATAAAAATAAGTTGCCTTTCAAACAACTTCTTTTGCTCAAAACTTTTATATTCATTGGGTTTGAAAAAAATGTGACAAGAAAGCAAAGTGAACATAGATGGGCATACATGGCTCCCAGAGATTTGGAAGTGGCTTATCTTCTAAAGCTGGCACCAAAAAAATAAAATTACAACTTCGCCCTCACCTTCCCATTCACTATTACTCCTCCTCCACATTCTCAGGCCCATCAAAATATAAGTTTATCACCATAAACAATTACACCTTCATTGTGTCTTCATTGAAAATTAAACGTGCAACCGAGGCTCAAAATCAGAGAAAAAGCTGTGCTGAGAAAAGCGGGGCCAGTTATAAGAGCCAACCCCTGGGGTGTTTTTCCAGATAGGGTCCCTTCTCCTACACTCTATTAATGATGGTTCTGTTTGTGTGTTTCACTTCATACCACCACACCGACAGAAAGTCTGCTGATCTAGATTTATTTGTGTAAAAGCTATTCTTTTTTTCTCTATTTCATATATGTCTGTTCTATTAGTCATTCACTCCTCAAAACAAAGGACTTGGATCAATTTTCCCCCAAACTTGTAGCTTGGACCAGATGTCCTGAGACAGAGAAAATTTTGTTTGAGATAGAGGTGAGGTAAGTCATTTTGAATCATGGGTCACTCTTGGGAGAGGCCAGGCCCCAGTGTTACATAATACTAGGCTTAAGGCATTTGGGACTTGGCAGGAGGGCTACTGATTAGATGGAAGAAGATGTGCACAGAAAGCGATGGAGAAGGTACCAGATCCAACAATCAATTTCAAAATGTTGCCTGGGTGTGTCTCAGGGACTCTGAAGGGGAGAAGAAACTCCTTCCTCTTTCTCTTCCTCCTTCTTTTCCTCCTGCTCTCCCTTCTGCCCTTGGCTTGTCCTGCTGAACCCAGACATCACATATTTGCCACAACTCAACTATGCTTTGGATTCTTCAGGATCTCACCCAGGAACCCAAGCACTATTAATAATCTTCTTTCTCAGGGAAAATGTTTTAAAGTTCCAAATCATGTAATAAAAAGACAATTTTGAAAACTGCCCACTTCAAAAATTGGAGACTGCTTCATCCTCAAACAGGTAGTGGTAAAACAGCCAAGGAATCACATACCAATCCGTATGGCAGTAGGTTTCTTTTTGTCTCAATGCCTTGCTCAGTTCATGAGTGTTGTAATTTATACATTCTATAGTTTAAGATACTTTACCTTCAGGTTTCCTATGTACTCTTTTACTACAAACAGATATGCCACCAAATACCTAAGATGACAACAGTATATAACAGGTGAATGTTAACAAATATGTATTTCACTCTTTATAGTTATGTGCCTCCTGGGTTAAGAGCAAGCTGGAGAGTTAAAACATTGTCATGCACTAGTAATATGTTCTCATTTGCAAAGAAGCTAGTGGTAGGAAAGAACATGTGTGCGTTTTAAAAATTAAGGGATTTGCAAAAAGACTTTTACTTTTAGGACTTTCAGCCTTGGAGGGTCATTTTCAGTTCTGTGTTATTTTATGAAAGTTTATTTAATAAAACATTTGGATTTAGTGGGATCTAAACAGAGGTTTAAAAGGACTTTTTGCTGCTTGGCTTCATCTGCAGTTCAAGGGTTACGTAGGGAAAGAGGAGACACAGAGTGGCAATGTGTTGTTGATTCCACATGTGTGTCAGTGTTGAATGCAGACATCAGCAAGATTTCTTCCTCATCACTGCTGCCTCTTGCTAAATGTGGAACTCCCACTTTGTTTTTGTGATCACAGCTACACCCAGTTGGTTCACTTACCTGACCCTAAGTACTAGTCTCTGGTTCAAACGATTAGGACCTTCTTAATTTAAGTGTCTCTCCTTTACCCAAAACTCTTTAATTATTTCACATCTCAACAGAGAAAAGCCAAAGTCCTCATCATGGTTGCCATGGTCATACCTGGTCTGTCTCTCTCACCCTCTGACCTCAGCTCCTACACTCTCCATCATTCACTCCACTCAGAACTCCTTGCCATTCCTTAAGCACTTGAGAAGCACTCCTCCAGCGCCTTTGCACTTGCTGTGTCTTCTCTCCTCTGATTCCCTGAATAGCTACAGGGCTCGCCCCCTCAGTTACTTCAGGTCTTGACCTAAGTGTCACCTTCTCTGGGAGGTCTTCCCTTGCCTTCATCTAATTGTTCAATATTCCTTTCCATTCCCAAAGCCAGCATGCTTTCTATCACCCAGCCTTGCTTTATTTTTCTTCTTGACACTCTTACAAATGTAATAGTGTTTATATTTTACCCCATTATCTTGATTGATCATTGGTATCCCCCAAGGTAGAATAAAAGTTTATAAGGTCAGGAATTGTTGCATTGTTCACTGCTGTATCTACAGGATCTAGAACAGCATCTAGCACTTAGTAGGTGCTTAATAAATATGTGTTGAATGAATCTTGGGGAAAGGCCTGGGGCTCAAATGTAGAAATTGTTCATAGAGATCTGAGGCATTAATGAGGGAGCACTGGGCAGTAAGTTTAAGCATAGGGAGAAATTAACTTTCTTTAAAGTGGCCAGTTGAACAAATTGAAATCACAGATGAAATTATGCCATCAAGCCTTTAATGAAACTGCCACCAGTTCATTTAAGGCCGCCCAGATGATTTCAAAAGGAATGTGGCAGAGTGTGTCTATTTCAGAGTGATGAATGTATGTTCAACTGCTAATGTTTCTTTCAGAAATCTTGTGTAGCTCCAGTAAAGCTAATTTATAAACCTTAACTACTGTAGCTAATTTAACTCACTAATTTTAGACATTGTGTTGAATTAAAATCTGCATTTTATTGTGTATCATTTTGTCTACCGCTAACATTAATATGCGTTTTGTAATGTGGAACTACTAATGTTTTAAATATATATTTAGGCTTTCAGAAGCATTTGTGTTAACTAGATTTTTTTTCTTTCATGCATTTTAGTGGATGTCCTGTCAGATCACACATCATTAGACAAAGTTTTACATGCTTAAGGCCTGCATGTAGATACTAGACTAGACTACTTAAGTCTAGTATCCTTCTTGACTTTGAAAGTATCTTCCACTTCTGAAAGTCAGGAAGGATACTAGACTGAAGGCCTAATAAGAATTCAGTAAACTCTGTCTTTCATTTCTCTCCCCTCATTGGGATGGCAAAAAAAAAAAATGTGGTTTGGGGAAGTATACTGGTATAGTCAATTGACATCTACATGTGACCCTCAGACTAATGAGATGAGAGCACTAAAGGGGCTGTGTTACCAAATACAAATTTTTAAAAGGTGTCATTGGCAAACTTAGCTGTCTGTAAGCATTTTTGAAGAGCTGGCTATGTTTTATAATTCTTATTTCTAAGACAATTTAATTTGTTACTACTTATAACCCTATCTATGTTGAGAACATGTTTTACATTTTTCACCTGTGTTCAATGTATATTCATTCTTTCTCCCTTGCAAGCTTCTCAAATTCAGGTCAGAAATTTGTCTATATTTCTCAGTGTTTTACATATGTATATATTTTTATGTATTTTGTAGATTTATTGGAATTATATATATAATATTGGTATTTTATATACACATATAATCCATATATATATATAATCCCAATAAATCTATATGATATATATATATACACATTATATATAGAGACATAGATATACTCACATCACTACAAGACTACTATATCCCCACAGCAGACTGTTATGTTTCAAGCTGTTTCTACAACTCTTAAACTACCTACTTCTTCATGGAAGGGCAATACCTTTTCACAATTTATTTCCCCCAACTGTGAGACTGCATGTATGCATTTGATGCTTATTAGTAATAAGGACTTGTACTGTATTATCCATAGTCATAAAAGACTCTTAGACCAAGTTTTGGAAAAGAGTAGCTCTGTTATTTGCAGGGAACCATAGTTCTCCATTTTTAAAACACAAGAAGGACAAAGAGTAACATTCCCCCCTCCACTTCTCTTAAGCATACTTGACATTTCCTTTGAGTTAATATCTATAAAGAATCTTTGAGGGACTGCTCCAAGTTTTAGTAAAGTAATGACGACATAAAAGGAAAAAATAATAATAAATAAAAGATATGGTTCACAATAGACTTTGCTGGAAGACAGGAGTAGTGCAAAGAGCATGAATTTTGGTCAGATAAGCATGGACTTAAATCTTACATCTACTATTGACAAACTGTGTCATCTTTGCAAAGTTAACACTTAAGACTACTTTTTGAACTAAGTTCTAGCATACCTATTTTATAGATGAAGAAACAAATACTCAGAGTTTACAAAAGAAAAATAGGTAAGTAAAGTGTGTAACACACAGTAGAAGCTTGATAAATGTTGTCTCTCAAAATAACAACAAAAACAAAAATGTTACCCATACTTATGAAACCTTAGCCATGTTCCCACACCGTGTAGAGTGCTTTATCTGTGTTATCTCACTTAATCGTTACAATAATCCTGTGATTTAAACGTTATCTCATTTTTGCAAGGGGGAAACTAAGGCTTAGAAAGCTAACACTCACTCCTAACCACTGTGCTTTTCCCTGGGAAAGACCACAGTAGCTGAGCATTTGCCAAGGGCTTCATTGCAGCGCCAACTTTGGGATTCAGTTTTCTTGATTTATTAATCGCAGTACGAACCTAAATCCTTAAATTCCCTTTCCACTTCAAAGGGCAATTATGTATTGAGTCATCTTTTTAGATATTTCAAAATAAGCCCACTTTTCCTAAGCTTTCAAAATTAAGTGAGGCACATTTTGTTTTGGAGAATCTGAATCATTGGTATTTGCCTTCATTTGTAAGTTCGCTTTCCACAGCCAAGGACATTTTTTCCTGAATTTTGTCTTTCCTCAAATGGCAAAAAAATAAGATCTTTGGCCTTATAGAAGTGACCCATTTAGGTATCTTTCTATGCTACCTATGTAAGACTGTCTAGGAGACCCCCATGTCCTCTCAGGAAGCATCCTCAGTGCCCCTGTCCAGATAAAATCCTGTCTCAATGCTTTGTAGCAATTCTGATATTCAAATATCCTCAATCATAATGTTGTAAATAGGGTTGGAACAAATGACAAGTGCTGCTGGAGGAATTCATGATCTCTTCCTGGTCAGGACTGGGCATTGAGAAGTAGACATTAGCAGATCATGCAGACTTACCAATTGGAAGCCCTACAATTTTGTGAGGATGGAAACAGCCCCACATGCCTCCAAGCTTAGCACAAAGTCAGGGTAATACCACTGATGTTTACCAGTGGAAGATTGAAGAAATTGGAATAAATGGTGTTGTAAGTGACTAAGGAACAGTGGTGAGCATGGAAAGAGGAGAGGGACAAATTCTATCTTAGTTACCTATGAAAAGCTTGTTTCTACAAGGTATCACATGACAATATGTTTCTCTTTGGAACAAAAGGGAGCTAGCAAGAATGGTTATGATTTGTATAGCAGCTAACAAATGTTTAGTACTTTATAGTTGGCTAATATTTTTCAAATTAATTATCACTTTAGTAACTTACAAATGCCCTGTGAGATAGCAGGAATCATGAGAGCAGGAATCATCTCCACTTTACAGATGAGGAGAATGAAAGCTCAAAGTTAAGGGAATCCATGAGAAGGTTGGTGCTACTCGCAGGCATTATGCAAACATCACCTCCAACCATCATACCTTTGCAAGGTCAGATTCATGGTGTCCATTTTCTTGAGGAGGAGGCAGAGAAGTTAAGTGAACTGACTGGAAACGAAGTTGATGAGTGGCAGATGTGGAATCTTAGCACTACCCTGTCTGGCTCCAAGGCTATTGCATCGTGACAATGCCTTCCCTAGGCCTTTCCTTTCCCTCTTTCTGGTCTACTTAGCTTCTGTGGCTCATATGCCAACCCCAGCAGGCCTCTGTAAGGCTCATACATGGAAACAGGTAATTTAAAGTACTTAGATGCACATCAAATTGGGTTCCTCTTAGGTTGGTGCAAAAGTAATTGCGGTTTTTGCCACTAAAGTATGGCAAAATTACTCACCAGGAGTGGCTGCTGATTCTTTATGTCTGCACTTTCTTTTTTTATTTTTGCAAAAGTAATTGCGGTTTTTGCCATACTTTAATGGCATAATTGCGGTTTTTGCCATACTTTAATGGCATATTTGAATGCCATACTTTAATGGCAAAAACCGCAATTCCTTTTGCAAAAATAAAAAAAAAAAGTGCAGACACAAAGAATCAGCAGCCACTCCTGGTGAGCAATTTTTCATGGAGAACAATAAAGTGGAATCTGTCCGAAACACATAATAAATGTCCATAAAATTCAAAGGCATAGTACAAAATGATACACTTATAAAACATGTCAGCAAGATCAAGAAGGCACATATGTCAGAAGAGCTGTGGACTTCTAGCCTCAGATGACCAATACACTATTTTGTGCTTGTGATTTCCTCTTACCCTCATGTAAAATTTAAGCCTTTTGTCAAATCTAAACAAGCGTTTATTGAGAGTCTACTGTGTATAAGGTATATGGAAATGAAGATGTGAGCATTAGGAAAACCTGCCATGTCTTTCAGCTTCCATTATATCTCATCAATGACCTCAAGTCACTTGAGCACACATTTTGTTTCCCTTTTTAAAGCTTTTTAATGTTTTAGTGAAGAAACAATAAAAATCCACATAAGCTTGTCAAGACACTTCTCCCATAAAATGCAATAGTGTTGATATTTATCTCTCTACCTGTGTATCTATGTATCTGCCTATATATTAGATATATTCAATATATTATACATTAAATATTACATATATGTTTTACGTGTATAGATACAAAATAGATTTAATATTTGCATATTAAATGTTTTAATATATTTCATGTGTATAGACACAAATATATATGTTATGTGTATATGTGTATATTCACACATATACATACATACATATTCATACATATGTATGTATAATTAAAACTTACTAAAGATGATAATGGCCCCACAAAAGTCATTGCTTAGTAGAGACCTAATCAAATACTCTTACAAGCCAAGAGGTTTAACCTTATTGTACTTAAAGAGGGAGAAATACACATATACAAGTAATTCTTCAGTATCTTTTTTTATCCCACTATGTGCTCTGCCTCACACAACTCTCCCTTTTCTTTCTCCTGTTCTTCCTCTCCCACGTCTCCTTCCTTTCCTTCTTTTTGCCTTTATTAGGGAGTCTTTGTCCCCTAGCCAGAAGCAAGCCTCCAGGCAATACCCCATGTTCTAATAAAGCAGCCCTTTTGTCAATGGTGATAATGATTACCTCTTTTGCAGCTGCCCCTGGTGTTGTATTTTGTAACACAATTTGGCCTCTTTGGCTCTGGTTAGTCCTATTTAAGGTACTGCAGGGGTTCCCTGTTTGATCTCTAATTGATATAATTGACTGGGAATAATCGGGAAGGCTTTATAGATGTTTATTGATAGCTAATTTTCCTTCATCCATTGTTTAATTCAATAAGAGCATAACCTAATTTATTGTCACTCCAGTAGAGATCCATTATCCTTTTGATAAATGCTTCTGGGGCCAACTTGTCAGTAACTGATTTCAAAGAGCTGTTAAGCCCACAGAGTCCATCATTAGTTAATGGCAGTTTAGAAAGCTAATGATGTTATAAATTACAATCAATAAGAACATGGAAATTACAGTTGTTGAGCAAGATAATACTATATTATTAAACTAACACTAAATCCTACCTTTGCTTACTATACTTTTGGAGGATTTCTAAATCCATTTAATAATATCCATGATTAACCAATAAACCCATGGATCAGGAGGCAAATTGTGGGAATGGAGATACTCATACTTAAAAGAACATTTCAGAAGGATAGAGGAATTACATTACATTCTTTGATAATAAAAGGAATCTGGGGAACCAACACACCACCACAAACATGAGATCTCCATCATCTCATGTCTTGAATCTGATCCTATTGAAGGAACCTATCCTCAGATATACCACAACTTAGGGGCATCATACTTTGTAAGTCTTTACTTCCCAAGAATATATAAAACCTAGATGCATAGTTTCTCTTTGGCTGCCAGTTTCTGCCCTTTCTTCTTATAACTTATAATTATAATAGATAGATAGATGCATATAAAATTTCTTATACTTAGTGTTGGGCTAAGAAAGCAAAAAAGGAAAAAATTAGGACAGGGTTCTTGGTTCCCAAAGATAAGATCAATATCTGATATAGGGGACTATATAAACAACTTAACAAACATTATTGCTCATGATGGGAAACATATTCCTTGTTTTACCCACTCTCCCTAGAAATGTAAGCTCTGTGAGGGCACCTATTTTTGTCTGGCTTTTCACTTAGAGTACCTAACACATAATAGATGCTCAGTAAATAGTTTTTGACCATCTTTGTTAAATGATTTATCCTGGAATTATACGTATTTAAAGCAACTTCTACACAATCTCTGATTTTACAGGACTATACAATTCAATTTTTCATCTATTTATTCAATATTTATCAAACAATTGCTATACAGTCAATGAGAATATAATGGTGAGAAATCCTAAAAGAGTGCCTGCTCTAATGAAGTCTAATTGGAAAGACAAATATCAAGGAAATAAGTAAATAAAATATAATGACAAACTGTATGGTAAGAACTGTGAAAGAAAAGTACAAGGTTCTATGAGTATACAATATGATGTGAGTCACAAGGATGACCCCAGGGATTAAACGAATCTGAATATATCATAAACCCTGAAAAGCAAGACTATTTTTTGTCTTTTAACACAGTGTTTAACTTAAGGTTTTAAACATAGTAGCTTATTAATAGATTTTTATTAAATAGAGTTATTTTAAAACTGATCATCCATATATTTTTATTCATTAACAAAATTCTAAATTCATTAGAATATTCTATTACCTGTCTAGTAATTATAGATAAACAGTACTTACTCTCACTTTTTTCCAAAAAAAAAAAAAAGATGCACCCTTCTCTTCATTTTGTGACTTTGCATGGTGTAAAATTAAGTTCAAATCAAGGCATATGGAAATTAGTTATTTCCTGTTCATGTTAGTTTATTTCCTTAACATGCCAGTTTCATTAATGCTATGCAGAAGAGGCAACTCTATTCAATGATCATGTGTGAAGTGTGTGTAATGTGTAACGCCTACCATTTCTATGCCTTTAATTTTCACTGAACCACGGCATCAAAGAAACTTTTAAACATGTTTTTGCTGTACAAAGCATGAACATACTACTGTGCATATTTCGCATTTCCCTTAGGACTTAAAATTGGGCCACATTTCACAGAACCTCCATTTGGGGGCAGAAGGAGGAGTACTGAGAGGAGCAGGGGGTTTCCCCTAAAAGATTTGTCTCTCCTTTGTCTCAAGTTCTCTTCTCATCATCTCCACTCCCTCATTGGTAGCATTGAAATCATGTTCATAGAAACCATTGGTAATCTTGCCAAAATGGATCATGATGTTGAGCTGAGGATAAACAGTAGAATGGATAAGATCTTTAAAAAATAAATGTGCAGGCATGGACCATTAACAATAAGCAAAGGAAGCACCCTGCAAGTCCCACAGACGGAGCAAATCTGAGGAGACTATGCATCTGTCTTCTGTGAGCCATTGGCTGCTCTTCCACTGTGCACTCTTTGCTACTTTGAAAACACAGCAGACAGGCTAGCCCGTAGAAGGAGCTACTTGCAGATTGATTTCCTTGCTTCGATAGCTACTTGACATTGCAAAGTTTGGCTCCACTCTGTTTTCAAATTGAAAATTTATACAGAAATGAGAAAAACCACCACACCCAGCAATGAATTAATAATAGCTGCCAACTAGCTGCAAGAACCATTATATTTATAATGCTTCCCGATGCTGTTCGCATTGCCTGCGAAAGGGAATTTGTCCTTAAGCTGCTTATTTTCAAACTACATGTGAAGACAACAAATTGTTTGGCATGTTTATCCAATAAGGCATAGCAAGGAAACTAAAGAATCAGATGGGAGGGAGTGAAAAGAAACAGAAATTTAACAGCTAGACAGCCCGAAATAAAGCAGGCAAGATTAGGAGACACATGTACAATTCTCCACGGTCCCTAAAGTCTCTAGCGAAAAGGTAGAAATGAACTAATTTATTAGTAAAATCACATCAGGGGCAGTAATTTCATGTTAGTGAATTTACATGTAATAACATTAGGCTCCCAACCTCCATTTCACCAGTGTGGCCCTCTCCGATGATGAATGAGGCGCCTAAAGAAAGATGATAGTTTGATTGTTTTCACTGCAAACAGATCAGCATTTTAATTTCTTGCCTCTGTGTTTATTGCTTATTTGGCCCCTTGCTCGGCTTGTAAAAACTTGGCTAAATGGAAATGAATAAATGTAATTACTGCGGGTGACAGTGGTAATCTGTGTGGGTTTTTCATATTGGCTTTGCCAGCGTTAATCTAATCACTGGAGAATACGTGTCACCGCACCAATGCACTGACAGAAAGCAGAGTTTTCAGTCAGTGCCAAATATACACAGGCTGGGAAGCACAGACACAGACGGCGACTTCTGCACCAACAGCTTGTCTCTCCTCTGCTACAGGAGCAGAAGCCACCAGAGTATCCCAGAAGGTGAATGTGTGTGTATGAAATGGTTCATAGTTTGGGGGAACCCAAAAAAGGCTCACAGATGACCCTGAATCCAACAGAAATGGCAACGAATGGGCCGGGCATGGTGGCTCATGCCTGTAATCCCAGCACCTTAGGAGGCCGAGGCCGGCGGATCACCTGTGGTCGGGAGTTCGAGACTTGCCTCACCAACATAGAGAAATCCCATCTCTACTAAAAATACAAAATTAGCCGGGCATGGTGGCGCATGCCTGTGATCCCAGCAACTAGGGAGGCTGAGGCAGGAGAATCACTTGAACCCAGGAGGCAGAGGTTGCAGTGAGCTGAGATAGCCGCCACTGCACTCCAGCCTGGGCAACAAGAGCGAAACTCTATCTCGAAAAGAAAAGAAAAGAAAAGAATAGAAAAGAAAAGAAAAGGCAACTAATGTTTTCCCCAGTGCAGGAATGAGGTGTCCCAGGGCATAGGAAAGTGGAGACTGAAATTTTCCATTTCTCCCCAGTAGTAAATGGCTGGGAGGGCTGGTTAATGAGTGACGTCACCTTTCAGGGTTTGGTTTGCCATCTATAAGACAGGCATGGGACAAATCAGATTGTTTGATGTTTGCATTGCAGAAGTAGCAGCAGGGGGTGAACCAGGCAATCAGTGCAGGGTAGGAAGGATGAAATGAGATAATGTATGTTAAAGTGTCTTGCAAACTACAAAGCAAAGCTAAATGGAGCAGAAGAGAGTCCTCCAAAATAGAGTTTATTATATTTAAGATTTATTTTAACAAAGCAGCAGGGAAGCAAAGGATTATTCAATAAATGGCAATTGAATGACTGGTTAGCATTTTGGAAAGAAAAATAAATCAAGACCTGTAACTTAGAATATTGATCAAAAGGAATTCCAGATGGATAAAATCATTAAATATGAAAATAAAATGTTAGGAAAACCAGATGAGGAATTTAATATGCACTAGATTTGGGGGATTTGAGAGAGGGCTCCCTACACTGAAAAACAGTTAAAAAAAAAAGAAAAGAAGTTATGAAAAAAGAATAAACAAGTTTGATGACATTAAGTTAGAAGCTTCTGCAGTCAAAATAAGGTAGCCCAAATGGGAAAGCAAATAGTATTTTCAGCAAATAAGGAAAGGGCCAATAACTATATTAAATAAAATGCTCACAAATACTTATTTTTTAAAATGACCCCATTAATAACTGATAGAAATAAAACAGATGAATAAGTGTCCAAAGAGAAATACTACTAGTAAATTCGTGAAAAATGTTCAAACTTGGTAAGAATCAAAGAAAAGCAAATTTGAACAAATTAGCAAAAACAGATAATTCCTGATATTTTCAAAGCTATGGACAGACTAGACATTTCTAAACTTCCTATTGCAATTGAAGGTCAGTGTCAACTTTTTGGAAACCAATAGACATAAAAATTGTCTCGTTTTGACTTAGTAATTCTACTTCTGGAAATATAATTTAAAGAATATTTTAAAAGAATGAAAGGATTGTATCTCTAAAAGTATATGTAGTAGTGAAATATTAGAAATAAACTGCAAGGCCGAGCGTGGTGGCTCACACCTGTAATCCCAGCACTTTAGGAGGCTGAGCTGGGTGGATCACCTGAGGTCAGGAGTTCGAGACCAGCCTGGCCAACATGGTGAAACTCCACCTCTACTACAAATACAGAAATTAGCCAGGCATGGTAGCACATGCCTGTAATCCCAGCTACTCGGGAGGCTGAGGCAGGAGAATCGCTTGAACCGGGAGGCAGAGGTTGCAGTGAGCTGAGATCTTGCCACTGCACTCCAGTCTGCAGTCTGGGTGACAGAGTGAGACTTTGTCTCACAAAAAAAAAAAAAAAAAAAGAATGAAAAAAAAGAAAACTGCAGGTATCGCTCAACATTTAAGTAATTAAGCAAATACTCTTCCTGCATAAATAAGATTTGTAAATAAAAATTATAAAGACTAACAATGTGGAAAGTATTTGGTGGGCTACTAAGCAAGAAAAAATTGTGCTTTCCTAGAAGGCTTCATTGGGTTTTTAAATCTCATGTGCCAGTATTGGGTCATATGTTTATCTCTAATGCCATCATAAGAAGAACAATGGGATAACTATGATTGACTTTGAACAATCATTTTGGGGAAAAAATAATGGGTGATACTGAAAAGCATAAAGGAATGAGGACCATCAAATGATGTTCTTAGCGACAGAATAAGCACTAGACATGTGAGAGTAGGGAGAGATGGATGTCGTATATAAGAAAATAAATAGAAATTATGTGTATTTAGAAAATTGGGGAATTAGAGGGATGACTGGCTACTTAAGTAAGATATAAAAAATCTTTCTCTCCAATCCCTAAGGAACAGAAAGGGAAGGAGGAAGGAAAGAAGAAAGAAAGGAAGGAAGGAAGGAAAGGGGAAGGAAGGAAAAAAAAACATGAGATGAAGAAAGAAGGAGTGAGAACAAAGAAAGATAAAACATTACTTCCATAGATTATCAATCTTAGAAAAGGGGGTATCTAACCCCCCTCTATATAAAACAAAGACTTTTATCATCATGTTTTCAACTTACAGATAGTATCAGGAATATAAGGCCTCAGACAATCTGCTAGGAAGGTAGCTGAAAAGCTTACAACTTTCTTGTGAAGCTTAAAAAGCAAGCAAGAAAAAACAAACAACAACAATAAAAAGAGTGAGGCACTCTCCAAAGAAGGCAATACAAGATCCAGTCTGATCCAAAGTACAGTAGGTAGACCTCTACTCTTTTAAGGTGCAGTGTGCAAACTAAGCCATGATAAGAGACAAAAAACTGGGAAGGTGTAGCAGTCAACCAGAAGTCTCAACAAAGAGCACCTTTCCTCAAGAGAGTTGAACTTAAAAGGAAAAAAAAAAAAAAAGCTCAGGGAAGATCAGTTCAAAGCAGCCAACCTCTCTAACGATGGAACATCAGAGACGTGGGTAGACGTTGTTTGGAAAATGCCTCTTGTTGGCAGTTCATTTGCAAGGGAGATGATAATATCCATTTTTATATTCCTCCACTAGCCCACATTTCTGGAGTGCTTTGTGATGAGTTTTAGGTAGGAAAGCAACAGATGTGTTGTAATCACTGGAAGAAAGAGTCTAGGTCTGGGAACAGGCATACTTCCCTGTTGACTCCACCGAGGCTGTACAGCCATTTTTCCTGGAAGAGAGTTGATAGTTACTTTTATTGAGTATCTATACAAATTCTTTTCAGAACAAGGAAATATATTCATTAAATCTTCCAGAAATTGGATTTCCTGGTTCTTTAAGCCAGTGATGTGAATTATCACTTTGTCTGGGCATCACAGAGATGGTTGCCCTCCATTGATACCCAGGAAGCTGTGACCGGGGGATCCTAGGGAGAGAATTCAGTTCACCCACCTGCCACCCAACCTTACTTCTGGTGATGATAGGAAATAAAGTGGTTTCACTGCCGCCAGTCTTGAATGTAAAAATTAAAGTATAAACTCAGTGCTCTCACTTGACAAAAAAATAAAGATGGGAGAAGTTTCTTTTATGTCTCAGGAAATTATTACATTTTGGTGAAACGCTTAGAGGTATAATATGAGCTGGATAATTTTCACAGCATTTGATGTACTGAATGTTGTGGGGCTTTTCCATGACACATAATCAGTATTAAGCCAACATTTATAAAATAAAAAATGAAACCAAGTTTCTCACCAGGAAAATTGGTTTCCATTCAACAAGATATCCTACGGCATCCTTATAATTTTTAGGTTTCAGTTCTTAGTAGTCCCTTTTACCACAAGGGATGACAGTTACAAAATAAAGAATCCTTGGTGTCCCCTCAAAGGAAGTGTACCAAAATATTAGGAGAGTATCTGACCCCAAGTAAATTAACATTTAATGATAACCATTGGTTTGGTACTTCTTCTTGACCTTTTTTGATTATAAAAAACAACAAACATTGCTGTTATATTTTATTTTTCTCTTCTAAGTAACTTTATAGGTCAATCCTCTTCCTAATATTGTATTTAGTATAATAAAATTGATTTTAACATGTCTGAGAGCAATATAAATTAATGCTATTGATATTATATAAATTTATGGCATTGTATGAACTAAATAGGGTAAGATACAATCCCTGCCCTTTAATAGCACACAACTGAACAAGGGAACTAAAACATATACACTTATAAAACTAACAAATATATATATATATATATATATATATATATATATGAAGGACTGAACGCTAATGGAGTAACAATAGGACTAAAAACAGTGACCAAAGAGGGTTAAGGACCACAGTATTTTCAGCATAAAACTAGGAGGTAGGTGCAACAATCATATACATATATATGATTATGTTGATGCTTGTCAAAAGCTAGTCTTCTACCCACAATTCATATCAAATACATTTAGTAGCCTTGTTAAAATGCATGTGCCTAGGTACCCTCTCAGAATGATTAAATAAAACATTCAGGAGAATGGGGCCTAGGAAGTTGGATTTTAGAGCCACTCCAAAGCTTGGAAAATTTTGCATGATATAAACCTACCAGAAAATATTAGGGACTAGAAGTTCTCCAAGGAATTAGTGGCAGGAGGTTACCGCTCGTTGAGGCAATCAAGAAAGGTGACTGAATATGTGAGATTTGAACTTGGTTTTTGAATAACAATCCATATTTTGGCAGTGGTAAGAACACATTACAAAAGTTCAGAAAGTAAAACATTAAAAATATGTCGATGGGAAAAGAAAGCCAATGACTTTTGCTAAGATTGAGAAGTTCTTATAGAAGAAACTAGAAAGATCATTTTAAAAGATTCTTGAATGCCTAGCCACCATCCCTAGAATCTCTCTAATTTTCAAAACATTAGGTGGGTAAATATTTATTTATAAGTAATATAATTACACTCATAAAATATGGCTTGTTTTAAGATTGCAAATGTTTCGGAATTGCTGGGCTACAGATGGCCTTAACAGAGCACCCACAATCCTAAAAAAAAAAAAAAAAATGTAATGTTGAAATATCTCTGAATCGCCTTTCCTCAGTACTGTGCCAGCCCCAAAGAAACCAGGAGTTTTGTGAGAATTACAAAAATAAATGTTCCTGCTCCCACGGTGGCCAGTAGAGACTCTGCTTTCTATTTGTAATTCAAAGAAGCTGATGTGTGTTCTGAGTCCTCCCTCAAACACATTTATTCTCTTTCATGAGAGGGAAAGGGAGCACTGCAAGTCTATTCTTTGTTTCTTCTTTTTTCAAACTGACACATAGTAATTGTACATATTTGTGGGGCACATGTGATATTTTCACGCATTTATACAATGTGTGATGACCATATCAGGGTAATTAGAAAATCTATCACCTCAAACATTTATCGTTTCTTTGTGTCATGCAAGTCTATTCTGATCCCGAAAGTCAAAACTCCCATCCCACTGGTTGCTGAGTAAGGGAAACAAGCTGAAAAGTTAACTGTTGGAAAATCTAGCACAGTGTATCTACTTCCTACTTTGTATTTGTATTAATAGGTGAGTTCCTACCACTGCCTTTTTCTGTGAAGGTGAAACCTAATGTGAGCCACATCTCCATTCCTTCTAGTGCCCTGCTGGTGGCAGCAGGAGAGCGAGTACAGGTAATTCACAATTAGGTGTTGGACAGAACAAGGCTGTCAGATCCAGGTAAAAGCACACCATGCTGTTTGAAAGATCTGGTCCCTGGTTGGGAATGCCTCACTGTTTCTTTGAAGACTTTCTCCTCAAGGCGAAAGCCAAGATCTAAGTAAATAAAAGAGGAAAGGAAAAAGAAGGAGACTGCAAGAAACCAAAAGAACAGAACAGAATGCAATATTTGAATCTGGAGAATGCTGTAAGTTCTAAATTAATAGGACCATAATTAAAAATAGATCTTGCATAGTAAAGTTCTAGTAAGATCAAGGATCCAAGAGAAAAAAATATATGTGGGGGTTTAACTTACACTTTTGAGAATGTTTTTATGCAACTTTTTTCTTATATCCACATGAAGCATAAAAGCCTAGAAGAATTCAAAGGGACATGGTACAAAACAAGAGACCAAAAGCTGAGGTTTAAAGAAAGTGGTAAAATAAGTAAAGAATGTATATGGTTAGGAACTGAAGAGTACCAAAGAAAATGGAGTTGGTAAGAATGAGAATGTGGTGGAAAGGAGTAGGGTGGCAGGGGAGTCAAGAGATTTTAGTTAATGGCAAAACACACCTGAAGAAAATTTAAAAACCCACAAATAGAGAAACAGCTTTTGAGATTTTCCTCTCTCTCCTATGATGATTATGCCATTTTTGCTGCATCAGAATGGGTGAACATCATCATAGCAAGCTCTTCTCCTTCTGCAGCTCCCAGGGTACATCCAGGTTCACCTCCTGCTAATCTTTATTCTCCTTCCTTTTAGGACTTAAGATATATTTTGCAAAACTTCTGAACATAATTGTCATTCACAATACCAGAATTGCTGGAAGCAACTACTTTTCCAGGAAAAGTTCTGCATAGTTTTTGTTTTTCAGACATATCAGCTCTAGAGAGTGTTCACTATCATACTTTTTATTGAAACATGTTGCCCATACATAGGAGGCATGTTCAGAATAACATGAACAAAATAGCAGAAAGAAGTACAGGACAAAATCTAGGCATGTTATTCTGAACATGCCTAGATTTTGTCCTGTACTTCTTTCTGCTATTTTGTTCATGTACATATTCAAAGTAAACTCGAGTCTGCTTTTCCACTTAAGAAAGACTGCCTTTCTCAACACAATGGGATAAAAAACAAACAAAAACCTCTTGAGCTTGCTCCCAATTTCTCTCTGTGACAGAGTTAAATGAGAGATGCTGAGGTGATAGTAATCACTATATCCTGCATCATTATTGTGATGGTACTGGATCATTATTATATTATGCCTATATTATTATGCAAGTCAATTAAAATGATTATTAAAAGTAACTAATTGTTTTTAAGTCTTACTGTGAGCCAGACACTATTCTAGGAGTTTTTCATGTATTAGCACATTTAGCTAAAATAAAACTAGGAGAAAGGGGTGATAATGAGCCTTGTTTTACAGATGCAAAAACTGATTCATAAAGAAATTAACAAGTTTGCCCAAGATTACTTAGCTAGGAAGAAGTGGAGCAATAATTCTAACCCAAGTTTTACAGCCCTGAATCCTAATAACATTTTTACTTTTACAAAATAAGTGGGATATATATATATGTATATATATATATATATATATGTATGTGTGTGTATATGTATATATACACACACACATACTTACACAACCCAAACACATAAGCAACACACCCATAGGACTTTGATTTATGTACAATGAGCATCCTTCGTTCAGCCAAGTAAAAAGGTTATAGACAACAAACCCAATACACATCACCATGAGAGATTTAATAATAGTCTGGAAGGACTGAATGCTAATGGAGTAACAATAGGACTAAAAACAGTCACCAAAAAGGGTTAAGGACCACAGTATTTTCAGCAGCTTTGGTCTGAATGGGTGCCCTGAGTGTTTATCATGTAAGTAAACACTGGAAAGAAGAAAACACTCAAGAAACTTCATGAATATGGGGGAAGGAAGTCCACTGATATAGGAGGTATTAGTTGACAGGGGACCTCCCTACCTGAAATGCCTAGGGCAGCTTCATTGGAAAGGCTGGTTATGGGTTTCTAGGATACTAGAGTTGAGATTGAAGTATCTTTTGAGGTCTTCTGTTCAGTAGAGCCAATCACTTCTTGCCCACCTCTATGGCCCATCTATTGGTTACTTTGCATTCATGTATCAGTGGGTGACAAGATTGACCCTGAGGATAAACTCTTATATTGGTATTCTGTGTCCATTGGCAATTGTCTCAAGTCTTCCTCCCTAAGGTTTCAATTACAGAAGATAGTGTTAACTTTTCATAGGCTGCAATTTAACATCTGCTCCCGCCAGGTTTATTTTATCTGGCCTGGGAGAAATAACATAAGTAACACTTCCCCTCTCCCCTGCTCTGCCTGATGAAATGAGATATAAAACACAGAATGGTGACAAGGAGGAAAACATATTGAAGTTCCTTTACCTTTGCTGGATTAAGTATTCAGAGATCAAAGAGAGTATTAACAGAGCCTTAATTAGGTGATAGAGAAAAGAATATTGATGCACTTTTCCTTCCTTTGATGGGTTACAGAATATGGTTTATGTGTCATTATGTAACTATCATCAGTCCCCTTGTTTACAACTGGACTAAAAAGGCTGCATGGATAAGGCTTGAAACAAGAAGTAAAAATAGTAACTAGAAATAATAATAGATGCAAGTAAATATGGTGTAAAAAGGCAATAACTGTAGGAGCTTTCATTAATCCTTACTCCCATTTCTAATAAACTTAATGGGAAGTTGTAATATGTATCCCTTAGAAATACACAGCAGCAGCCCCATGGATGTGAAACAGAGGTGCATAGAAGGGAATCTTGCTGATTTTGCTGTCTAGACTAGGGCTTACATTGATTAATTTTTATAAAAATAATGAAAGAAGACCTGGCCAATAAAAACAGAATTAACTAAAGGAAGGCTTTGGGACCCAAATGCAAGTTAAATGCCTGCAATTCCAGGAAGAGAATTCGTTATTGGTTATTTGATTTTTGTAGTTGTTGTTGTCTGTGCATAAGTAACAGAAGATAGTTGGCCACATCCTGTGACTTTAAACTATTGAAGCTTTCCCCCAACTATTGTTTCTCAAACTTTACTTGTTGAGACAACAAAGAGGTTCCTAGGCTGTTTCCCTTAGCTAGAGAGATGAAAAGTGAAAGTGGAAGTGGTAAATTAAGACAGAACACCTGGCATTTTTAAGAAAAATTACTAATAGAATCTTTTTAAAAATTATCTCTTGAGGAAGTAAAATTTTAGGTTAAGGAAGAGCTTAACAATTTAAAGAAATGCCATGTTCTTTCTTGATCTGTACTCATTCCCTATAATAAAATGCCAAACCAGAAAAGTCACAATTTCTTGTGAAATTCAAGTACACTCCTTCTTAAGAAGAGGCTTTAATTGCTATTAGATGAGACATGGCAAACAAATTGTTACCTAGTTTATAACAAAACTATAAACATGGCCCCAATGAGTCAATTAACCATAGTTGTTTAAATATATCAATAGTAGTTCCTATATATCACTGCATATAAGACATCTATATGAGAATTGTGTTCCAAGTAGGGATGTCGCCCCCACAAAATGAAAGGAAAGTTTTCTGTGCAGGGTCGCATTGGTGAAACATATTCTGGATAACATAAAAGCTAGAGTACCTATTACTTGAAGCATGTTCAGCCTAAGAAATACCACCTGTGTAATAGGACAGAACACATTGATTCAACATTATTTTAAGGTAGATAATCTATAAAATTATAACAAGGCAAAAGCTGATTATTTTCGGTATAATCAAGAGATTACACAATATCCATTGATTTTCCATATATACAAAATTTAAAATGTTGCATCGTAATTACATTTCCCTAGATCAGCTGGAAATTTAAATTGAATCACTTATAACAGTATTCTAAAAATAACATGTCTAGGAATAAGTCTATGAAATATATGTAAGACTTATATGGAGAATATTATAAATGTTATTGTAAAACATTTTTGAGATCTAAATAAATGGAGACACATACTCTGTTTGTAAAGTCTCAATATCATAAGGTCAAATTTTCCCAAATTGATATATAAATTTATTGCAGTTTCAGTCAAAATTCCAGAGTTCTTAAAACCGAGAATTGACTCAATGCTTCTAAAATTTAAAGGGAAAAGAAAAGCATTAAGAATAACTAAATACTTCTGAAAAAGAACAAAAGAAACAAATGTGTGGCATGAGGGGTGTATACCATACACTAAAAATGAGAGATAACAAATGAGAAAGCTACACATAGGCCCATAACAAAGGAACGAAGAGACCAGGAGTTGGTCCACAAAACAGGTTGATGCATATATGGGATCTTGTCATATGACAAAGCTGCTATAACACATCAGTGGGTAAAGGATACACAACTTAACACAAGGTGCAGGGGGAAAAAAAACAATTATTCTCATTGGAAAAGAGTAAAATTCCTGGAATTGTCACAAAAATCAATTTCAGGTGGATTAAAGACTAAAATGTAAAAGACAAGACTTAAAAGTGTTTTCAAAATTACATAAGAAATACTTTTAAGAACTAGAATAGTAAAGGGGTTCATAAACAAGCTACTTTTAAAAAAAGATTGATAACTTATTTCATTAAATTTGAGATCTACAATTTAACAAAAGATTCCATGAAGAGACTGAAAAGACAATAAAATACTTGAAATATGCATAACAAAAGGATTAGTATCCAGACTACATAAAGAATTCCTTCATATCAGTAAGAGAAAAATGCATAATAGCCAGGAACAGGCGTTTCACCAAAAAGAAAACACAATTGAACAATAAACATGTAAAAAGATATTCAACTTCATTAGTTATAAAGGAAGTATGAATTAAAATCAAAGTAAACTATGTTTTAAATTAGAAAACAAATAAAAACATGTCAATGCCTTAACAAGGATTAATTGTCAACGTAGAATGAGTAAATTGCTTGTGGTATATTTATTCACAAATGTAATTTCAATAAAGATGAATGCCTATTCATAAAATGAAATATTAGTGAAAATGAATAAAGTCAACTACACGTTTCTACATGGAAAAACCACAAAAATATAATTTCCATGAGAAAAATGCAACTCACACAAAAATGTAGTCTGTATAATGTTGATATAAAGATCAAAAACAGGCAGAACTAAACAATATATTATCAGAGAATACATACAATTATAGTAAAAATACAACTTAAAGCCATGTAAAAGATTAGCATGAGTCAGGATTGTCATTACCGGCAGAAGGCAAGGAATCATGGGTGATTAGGGAGGACAATGCAGTTGTGGTGGGACACACAAGGTGACAGATGACTTTTACTCCTTAAGTTGAGCTGCGGATGTATATGTCTACATTATTATTTGTTAAGTGATATATAAAAGTTATTGATAACTTATGTATAATATATTTTACACTTTTAAAAATTGTTCACATATAGTGAAATTTCAAATTGAGTCTAAGATACATCCATCACTGGGGCTAAGGTAAATTTGTGGATTTCTGGTAAACTGATTTATAGGGAACACCAAGGAATTCCTTTGGAAATAATGTAGTCTTGAAGCAAAGTGGTCAGGTATGTCACCTTTATTACTGAGAAAAATTAGAAAATACAGAAAGTATGTCCTTAATTTTACACAGGGCTGGAGCTCCTGTTAGAGTAGGGGGTTGACAGCCAGGAAATTTTAGGATATCCACATGTTTATCCTATAGTCCTTATCTAAGAACCCTTTAAATTAGGCATAATTTTCTCCATTTGGGAATGGGCTTTTCACGGGTTCCACAAGAAGATGGGCTCAATGATGCCATTTATTCTATGGTGAACAGATCTGAATTCTGAATTCTAATCCAGGGCTTCAAGTAGAGCCCATATTCTTTCCCCTTCCCTGGAATTTCTGACCTTCTTTACTATTGACATTTAGGGCTGGATATTTCTTTGTGAGATCTTTCCTGCGCATTGTAGGATGTTTAGCTGCCTCTCTGGCTTCTATCTAATAGATAACAGTAGCACACCATACCCCCATCCCCAAGCTGTGACAGCTAAAATATCCCCAGACACTGCCAGATGTCCCCTGCATCGCAAAAGTCCCTTTTGGAAACCACTGGCCTACACCATAATGACAAATGGGACCATGATTTTAAATATGTATGCTTATGCCCTTATGCATTCATATAAGAGTGAGATTCTGAAAGCAGCTTGTATTACTTAGCTCTCCAACTCTAAAATCCACACCAAAATTACCTGTAGCAGGTGCTTATTAATGTTCAGAATCTAAGTAAAGTTTCCCAGAACCATATCTAGATAGAAAGAGGTATGGTTATATACATGGAAGGAAAGAAAATACAAGATTGCATCATTTTTAGGTGCTGAGGTAGACAGTCCTTTTATTTGCTTTCTTTTAATTTCCACCTCAAAAATTTCAAGTCAATAAATTCAATCAGCTGAAAGAACTCCAGACAATATGAAGGCAAATCTAAGGAAATATGATGACTGATACATAAATTTAATAACTCAATCATTTTCATACCAATCTGGAGGCTTTCCCATATATATATATATATATCCCCATTAATTGGTTGAAGGTTTCTTATAATTTGTTAAATTGCAAACTGGAATATGTGCTTTCATTATGTTACAGGGGTATTTGGAAATTGAAAATTTATCTGTACATCTGTAAATTTAAAAAATGAGTCTTTAATTTATTAAAAAATATTAGCACCTATTTAATACCTGAAACTATACTAGATAGAAATGTGATGAAGAAACTTTTAAGATGAATTTCAATGCTGCTTATGAAATACTAATCTATCATGAGTAGGAAAAATGGCATGATATGGCTGATTTTGTTATGGAAAAATGATGCCTTCTTGGGGAATTACAATAACATACATGTGTTTTGAAGTCTAGAGGAAAAGAGACTTTGAAATCTCTTCATGATCTCCTTACACACTGTTCTTAATTAAGACTTCAGCATTGTCATTTAAAACAGAGAAAATATTATTAATACTCTTTCATCTACATCCCAGACCAATTTTCATCCCATCAAAAGGAGCAGAAAGCTGAGAGAGATATCAAGCATAGTGACAATAGTTTTATGTCAGGACTTCTCTTCATCTGACATATCTTCAATATGCTTTATTGGTATTTCCACTTTATTAGTATATACACACATGGATACACACACATATAGAGTTTTCTGCAGGATTCAGAAACATAAGCTCAGTGCCTTATCTGAGGTCTTAAAGATAATCATAGTAATTAATTACCTTTATTTTGAGCATAAAATTGAGATAACGTAGCCATCTCATTCATGAATGTGCAACTGTGTGGATTAATGTGTTTGTTAAGACAGAGGTGCTATTTGTTTAACAAATTGGTGGGATTTTTTAAATATAACCTTATTATTACAAGCAGAATGCATGTCTTCCCCTTTAAAAATCTTAGCACTTGTAACATAAGATAGGTTCTCTATTTTTCCAATCTTCTAAAGATTGAAGACCTAGCTTAATTGTCAAAACTTATTTTGAATTAATAAGTGCATATTAATTGAGAAAACAATCTTGAAAACTAAAGTTTTATTAATGAAATAGTGATTTAACTGAATTTACATTTTATTTATCACGACATCAATAATATTTAAAACTATATGTGAAACATATTATTTAGCTAATAGAAAATGCTTGGCAAGCAAAAGAGCTTCTCAAACACTCTGCAGTTGCTCAGATATCGTAAATATAAAATGGATAATATTGAAAGAAACAGAGGAGATGCAAGAATAAAGAATATTTTTTCCCAGTATCTTGGGAAAGATAAAGCCAAGTAGAAACAAAACCAGCAGGGTCCTTAGAGACTTTCAGACATCAATTTCCTTGTGTATAATCTGGGGACAATAATTCTCTTCAGCACAAGAAATGTTTGGTAAAGCAGATATTAAATAGCTATAAAGTAACAGATTTTAAAACTGAAAAAAGAATCATTGAGTGATATAGGAAGTCTTATTCTTCTGAATTATTTTAGCCTGTGTCATTCATTTGATAGAAATTTGTATAAAGTGCAGTGGGTTTTTAGGAGTACAAGACTTTTCTCTCCAAATCAGATTAAAAATTTCTGGAAGACTTTTCAGTATCCTCACACAGCCTTCTCCTGTAGAATCCTCCTAGCACATACTATTTGTAATTTAGATGTCAGCCAGAGGGTTTTTTGTTTTGTTTTCTTGGTTTGTTTGTTTTTTGCCCTTTGAGATCCAGGTAAATTTGGCTCAAACTTTATTCTTTTGCCTTATAGAAGTCATAAAACCTCATAAAGTGTTCTGTGACTTATTAGGGATCTTAATTATTTTTGTTTGTTTGTTTGGTTGGTTTGGTTTCTGTGCGTGCACGTATATGAGTGCATGTGTACTTGCTGTTCTGCACTACCGCCACTTGGTTTTTACATTAAAATTCAGCGCTGGTCTTTCTGTGCCTTAACACAATGTCCTCCAGGTTTATCTATGTTGTTATAGATGACAAGATTTCCTTCCAAAGACCGCATAGTATTCCATTGTGTATATATGCCACAATTTCTTTACCTATTCATTCATTAATGGACATTTAGACTGCTTTCATATTGTGGCTATTGTGAATCATACCACAATAAACAGGAATGAAGATATCTCTTCAACATACTGATTTCACTTCCTTTGGATATTTGCCCAGTAGTGGGATTGCTGGATTATGTGGTAGCCACACTTTTAGTTTTTAGAGGAATTTCCACGCTATTTTCCAAAATGGCTGTACTAATTTACATTCCCACCAACAGTGTACGAGAGTTCCTTTTTCTCCACATCCTCTCCAACACTTACGTTTCATTCTACATATATGCAGAATTTTAAAAAGTCAAACTCTTAAAATGAGAGTGTAGAATACTGGTTACCAGAGACTGGGTGTGCCGGGGATGGGAGTGGCAGGGAGGGACAGAAAAAAGGGAGATGCTGGTCAGAGGATAGAAAGTTTCAGTTAGATGAAAGGAATAATCTTGGTGATCTATTGCACAGTAGCTGATCATAGTTAATAATAATGTAATAATGTATTTCACATCTCAAAATTGCTAAAAGAGTAGATTTTAAATGTTCTCACCAAACAAAAAAATGGTAAGTGGGTAAGGTGGATGTGTTAGCTTGATTAACCTTTATATAATATACACATACATCAAAGCATCACATTGTACTTCATTAATATATACAATCATTAGTTGTCAATTCAGAATTAAATAATAAAATAATTTATTCATACAACATACTCATAAACATAACAGGCTTTTGCAAGAGGTATGAGTATAGAGAAAAAATGGAGTAGGGGTCATATTATACACAAAAATAACTATAAATTACCAAAACAATGATGATGGCATCATTGTTCTTATACTGTCCTTTGGCCACCTTACTATTTGGGAATTATTGCAGGCCTTGCATCCCCTAATCTTCCAGCTTTTTTCAATTTGTTAATTATTCTCTTCCTCCCTTTTTCTCTGCTTTTATAGAGGACCCGATTGATTGCCTACCCAACATTCATTTCCCTTTTTCTCCTACTAACAGTCTCATTTGGATTAGGTATCTTCCCTTCCTTAAGGAAAGCAGACCACACCCAGCACGGAGGTTGCCCTGATCACAGTTGTAAGTGCACAGTGAGTCATATGGCCTCAGATGACCCAATCAAGCTAGAAGGAAAGATGCTTGAAGGAGGACTGTTCTTTCTCTTACTTGTCCAAGACAAGACCCAGCCATCACCCACAGCTAGCTTGCCAACATGAACAAGCCACAGATGCAAGTAGCAGGGTGAAAAGATGTAAAGAACCTGGGTTCTTCATGATGTGAGCCTCTGCCTTCACTGACACTGGCAGCCATACCACCTCTGCATTTCTGAGGACATCATGTTTTACTATTTAATTTGTTAAATGTTTTGCTATTTAAACCTATGTGAATCAGGTTCTTGTTACTAAGAAGTAGAAGTATCCTAATTAACTATAGTTCTCTTTTCTTCTTCTCAGGAACAAAACATTGTTATTTATTTCTTTTTTTTAAGCTCATATAGAACACGTTAGTCCTTTAGAGACTAGTGACCCTTCCTTGTTGTTTAATCTCCTGTGAATTTCCCCAAGCTTGGAGTCCCACACTCTGCCCTAAGTAGATTATCAAAATAGGTTTCTAAACAAAGGTAGTTCCCATTATAAGAAAAATGCTAGCAAGAGCTGTTAAGAAAATTATGATTTCCTCATTATATATCCATTAACTATTATTTCTTCTCAGCTCTGCTACAGTGCTGTCATTTCTTGTCTTCCTGTCCAGGTGAAATTACCACCACCCCACAGCCTGCCACATTATTCTGCTACAAGATAAAAGAGGTGCTCTACTTGCTCCAGCTGTGAAGGAGGAAATCTTCTTAAAATGCCCCAGTCTCCCATTTGCTGGTCTTACCACTGGCAGCTGCAGAGCATGGATACCCAGTAACCCCACTGAATGCAGCTAGAGGGAGTTATCTGCTGTATTAGACACTGTGCTGTGCTGCCCAGATCTCCTTTCTAAATTGAAGGGCCTGTTTCTCACCTACAGAAACTACTACTCACACCCCATCCTCTGTTTTCTGCGCTTTCCAGGAATTGCTTTCTGCTGAAGAGAGCTGCCTGACTCAAAGTGATATCCCTTCCAGGATGCAGCCTGGATCAATGATGGGCTAAAGCAGAACAAAGGACCAGTCTCTCCCTATCTAAATTTGACCAACTCTGTGGGGCCACCTGAGCTTCAGAGCTCCCATACATTTTCCGAGACTGAATGATTATGCCTGTATTATACCTTGATTTTTCCTCTGCTGCCTGTGTTGTTTTCCCTTCTTTTATAGGTGCTTATCATATACCCGGGCACTTCCTAATAACCCTCCTGTATACAAATCTCCATCAGAGTTATTTTCTTTCTCTGATGGGGGAAGCTGATGGTAACAGTACCAGGAGTCTGAGAAAGCAGACGCTAACATGAGATTCTGAAGCTGCCTCACCTGTCACCCAACAAACATCAAGTGACTCATCACTGGTGGAAGGTGGAGAATGAATAACCTGGCAAAAGGCAGCAGGGCGATTGTTAAAGCTTTCACCTGTGGGGAATTGTGATGGCATGCTGGCAGAAGGAAATGCACTAGTGGGTGTAATGCATCAGGTGTTTGAGAAATATAGAGAAAATAGTAATTAGGGGAACAATGAACTTGAATAGGTTTTACTGTGGATATTTGATTCCTTAGAAAACAAATAATGGAAAGCTGAGAAGGATTAATTGGAAATTAAAAGCTAAATGCGAAAGCCAGAAGACCCCCTTGGCAACATATAAAGAGATATCCATCTCTTACAGTTGAAAGATGGAATGAGCTGAGGACCAGACAAGGGTTTAATCATAAGAATAGCAGAACTCCAGAGAACCTGAGCATGTCTGCTATGCCAAGGTCAGATACTTGATTAGGAAGAGGTGGAATACTGGGATAATTGATAGGGACATCTGGCACGATGTGCTAGAAAATTACAAATCCCCAAGTCCCCTAAACCAGAATTTCTCAACCTCTGCACTATTGGCACTTGAAGCTGGATAGTTCTTTGTTGTTGGGGGCTGTCCTGTGCATTGTAGAATGACTATTCAGCAGCATCCCTGGTCTCTACTAGATGCCGGCAGTAGCCCCTCTGCACCATTTATGAAGATCACAAGTGTCTGCAGACATTGTCAAATATGCCCTTGGGACCAAAACTGTCCCAACTGGGAATCAATGCCCTAAAAACCCTCTGTATTGGTGAGATTGGCCTAATCCTCCCTGTTACAATCTAGTACTCCACTCTTACTTGAAGACAGCACAGAGAACTATATCTTTCGAAACAAAAAGGACCCCACTTGTGATGTAATCTCATGGCTTCTAAGCCAATGATTAAGTTTAAGTTACATTCTAACCCAGCTGGGGCAATATTGGGCCTGCTGAGGGAATTAAAGGATCATACTGTAAAGAAACTTTAGTAGTTAGCAATCAACTTCAGCAGGACCTTGGAGAGTTCATGTGAGACTGGACCCTAAGAACACTGGATTGAAGCTGGCAGAACATGAAGTTGGGAAATGGGGAGTTTTTCAATATGAGAACATTCTCCCATGACATAGGACTCAACATTCTGGCAAGGACCCTGGGAAATGGTGCCAACACATTCCTAGGATGGCTTGTAAAAGCTTGGGGAAGACTAAAGCTATGGTAAATACATAGTGAAGCATAAATGCCATAATTTCCATGGCTGATGGTCAAAGAATGAATTAAAAGGCATAGAAAAGTAAGCATGCTAAAGTACATATACTATGCAAGGCCAAGTAACTCATTAGATGACTATTACCACACAGGAGGGTCTGGGAGATCCTGCAATTACAAAATGTTAGAGAATTTGCTGATGAGAGGGGCACCAAGAACACTGTGAGGCTTACAGTAGGAGATGAGATATGTCAAGTTAGAAGTGGGGTCAGGATAATAATGGGGATGATTAGCCCATAAATGATAGAGGCTACATGGTAACACAGTTATCACAATCAGACTTAGATTGCCTTGACATCATGCAGCACATCACAGTGGTCCACTCATTAGTGACATCATGCTCACTGGACTATCTGAGCAGGAAGTGTCATATGAAGCACTACATATGTACTCTAGAGAGTAGGGGATAAAGCCTGTGGATTCAGAGGCCCATTATATCAGCAAAATGTTTAGGGATGCAGTGGTCTGGAACACACAGAAACATCTTATCTAAAATGAAGCACAAATTATTGTATTTCACATCTCTCACCATGAAAGCTAAGCGGAATGCCTGGCAGGGTTTTGGAGGCAGCATGCTCCCTACCTGGGAATCCTTCTCCGCTTCTCAGCGTATATACTGGGGACATAGTTTGAGTGGGTTGAGTGGGACACTGAGCAAAAATGGCTGTTGCATGGATCACATGACCCAGCAGGCCCTATAATCTTGGAAACACATATGGTGGGAAAGGTGGCATGTAAAGTTTATAACAAGCCTTAATGGAATCACAATACAGGTCTCTAGGATTCTAGAACAAGATAATGCAATCTACATTAGATAATTATACACCTATCGAAAATTAGCTCCTGGTGTGCTGCTGGGCCCTGATTAAGGAAGAGCACATGACTTAAGAAATACCAAGTGACCATGCATCCAGAATTGCCCACTATGAGCTAGAGTCCATCAGAACCAAAAAGTCATATAGTTGCTTACGACCAGTGGCAATCTACATTAATGTGAATGGTACATCTAGGATCAAATATCTAGTAGAACCAAAGGGGACAGGTGAGCCACACAGGCAGACAGCCCTGACTCTCCTATTATCTATCACCATTACATCATACCTTTCCCCTCAGCTCACTCCTGAATGGGGTGTGTTCCAATATGACAAGCCAACAGGAGAGAAAAAGCCAATATTGGCTCATGGATGGTTTGGCTTGGTATATGGGTACCAAATGAAAATGGACTGCATTGTACTATAGCCACCCGTATCATGGCCTTAACTGAAGGTGGTGGAGAGAAATACTTCTGAAGGATGGTGCACCTAGCCATCTACTTTGTGTGGACCCTAAGGAAGCAGAGATCCTGTCTGCCTCCTTCGTCTCTGAATTCCTGAGTACATAGAAGGTAACAGGCAGAGAAGAGGTACTCCACAAACATTTGTTAAATGAATGAGTCAATTCAACAAATATTCTTTCTTTATTTTTTGTTTGTTTTTGTTTTTGTTTGTTTATTTGTTTTTTGAGATAGAGTCTTGTTCTGTTGCCCAGGCTGGAGTACAGTGGCACGATCTCGGCCCACTGCAACCTCCCCCTCCCAGGTTCCAGCAATTCTCCTTCTCAGCCTCCCGAGTAGCTGGGATTACAGGCACATGCCATCACGCACGGCTAATTTTTGTATTTTTAGTAGAGACAGAGTTTCACCATGTTGGCCAGGCTGGTCTTGAACTCCTGACCTCAAGTGATCCATCCACCTTGGTCTCCCAAAGTGTTGGAATTACAGGCTCAACAAATATTCTTTAAGCACATACTCTAACCAAGGTATGTAATAAATATTTGACAGCTTACTGATTAAGACTCTTGGTGATTTTATACCTGGAACAACAGGTTGCCAAGACAGAAACTAGAAAATGTGCAGAATCCGTTAAACAACAAAAAAAGCAATGGGTACATCTTAGTCTTTTCCTGGAGAGACAGTTCATGAATGAATAACTAAAATTGGGGAATAATCACAATTAAGATACCCAGAGACAGAAACAGGGAAAAGGAGACACTATTTTCCACTTACATTTCCATAATTCTAAAAGTTAAAAACTGTTTTATTTATTTTGAGCCAGATGGACATATTGGCCTCCTACTTATTTCAGAAAGAAAATTATTTTTAGTCATTATTCCAGTCTTGTATGACACAAGCAATTATAGATGTGTGCTGAAATCAATTGTTTAGTTCGATGAATATACAGAAAAGGCAATGAAACATGTAGCTTAAATCAGGTAATAGTCTGTGTAATGGTAAAATCTAAATCAATTAGATTGGTTTACTTGTGGTAATTGTGTACAATAGTTCATACACTGCCCATAGATTATAAAATGGATAAGTGTACACACATAGGTGCAGTAGATTATAAAATGCATAAGTGTACACACATAGGTGCAGTCCTGGCCCTTACAAAACTTCTGTTTAAAATCTGACATGTAGAAATGAGACTATAATCTAGAAATTGCACTCCTTAGAAATTACCCAAATGACTTAAAAATGTACGTCCACACAAAAACCTGCACACAAATGTTTATAGCAGCTTTATTCATGATTGCCCAAACTTCAAAGAAATCAAGATATCCTTCAGTAGGTAAGTGGTTAAATAAACTGTGGTACATCCAGTCAATGGAGTATTATTCAACACTAAATAGAAAAGAGCTATAAGGACATGAAGGAACCTTAAATCCATATTACTAAGTGAAAGATGCCAGTCTGTAAAGTCTGCATACAATATAATTCCAACTATTTGACATTCTGGAAAAGCCAAAACTGTGGAGACAGTACAAAAGATCAGTGTTTGTCAGAGTTTGTGAAGAGAGAGGGATACACTGGTGGAACACAGAGGATTTTTAGGGCAATGAAACTACTCTGTATGATACTATAATGGTAGATGCATGTCATTATAAATTTGTCCAAAACTATAGAATATACAATTTTAACAGTGAACCTTAACATAAACTATGGACTTTGAGTGTTTATTATGTGTCAATGTAAGTTCATCAGTTGTAACAAATTAAAGCAATGGCAAAAAAAAGTGCAATTACTTTTGCACCAACCTAATACCACTCTGGTGCAGGGAGTTGATAGTGGAGGAGGCTGTGCATGTGTGGGGGCAGGTAGCATATGGGAAATCTATGTACTTTCTGCACAACTTTGTTATGAAGCTAAAACTGCTCTAAAAGAACGTTAAAAAACTATTTTTAAAGAAAACTTCACTGGTAGACCAATCTTTCTTTCCTATCCGCTTTTAGGACCATTTTTTTAATAAGACCTTTTCTTCTCCCAAATAGTATAAAGCAACTTGATCTAGAGTAAGCAAGAAAAAAAAAAGATGATTTTCTATAGGGACACTCATGGTTTATGAGCACAATGGTAGCCAGGCTTGATAAGGGACTGGAGCAGAAAACAAGAAAACAGAAAACTTTGTGGAAGCAGGCAGGCACTCTCCTATTCCCCTTCTCTTTAGATTACCCAATGCCAAGTCTATTTTTTTAACTAGTATCCACCCTACACTGGTGGTTGCTCATACAATGTCTATTCTCAGTATACTCTCCTTTCCTTCATTACTAAGAGAACTTCAATTTTGTTCAGGGAGGTATGTTTAGCTTAAAATTTTAGTTGCCCAGATACCTTTGCAACTAAATATTGACACAGCGACATTGTCTAGGCCAATGAGATGTAAGCAGAAGTAGAAGTTGTGGGTGGTTACTTCAGGAAGCTGTTAATGGAGGCGTAGCCTTTCTCCCTGTCTGCCCAGAATATAGGTACCATGCTGGGAGACGAGTTAAGTATTTTGTAACCACGAGGTTGAGAGCTACATGGCAAGACTAGTGGAACAGAAAACTAAAAGTGGTGTGGGTATTTTATCAGCCCAGGACTATTTATCTCTGCATTTCTTATCATATGGAAACATTTTAAAAAGTAAGCCACAGTAGTTGGGTTTCTGTTTCATGCAGCCCGTCCAATTCTTAACTAATACGACATCCACTCGATCTGTCTTTCTTGGCAGATGGACACTCTCTGTGCTGTAGTCACTAGAGAAAGACAGCTGCTCACATATTTTCAGTTTATATTACCTCAGTTTATGCTAACAGTACAGATTAAACTAGAACTTCTTAGATCCAAGATGAACTTTACTAGAGGAAGAATCTGATTAACCCAGCTAATCAATTATGTGCAGGGTCAGGATAACTTATCAAATATGGTTGACAGGGGCCCATCTTGGAAGGATTTTAGGGAAAATTGTTCATGATGAATGAAGAACAAAGACGGCAGCCCGATGATATGAACCACTCTTACTTTATTAAAACACAACTAATTCAGCCACAGAATCTGACTCTCCCAATCACTTTTACTATACATACGCAGATGTGACTCTGCCCAGTGGTTTAAGTTCTTCTTAGCTGGAAACACTCCTGGATGAAAAGAATTCTTTAGGAAAACAATTTGAAATTAAATATGTGCATAGGAAGGTCCTTGGTGTGGCATCCAATTTTCAGAATTTCTGTGTGCAAGTGTTTTGTTTATTTATTTACTTATTTGCTTATGTAAATTTCATCTTTTATTTTAGATACAGGTGGTATATATGTAGGTTTGTCACATGGGTATATTGTGTGATGCTGAGGTTTGAAGAATGGATTCCAACACCCAGGTAGTAAGCATAGTAGCCAATAGGTAGTTTCTCAACCTGCACTCCTGTCCCCTACCAGTACTCTGAAGTGTCTATTGTACTCGTATTTATTTTTATGTGTGACCAATGTTTAGCTCTCAGTTATAAGTGAGAATACATAATATGTGGTTTTCTTTTCCTGCATTAATTCACTGAGGGTAATGGCCTCCATCTGCCTCCATGTTGCTGTAAAAAATCATAAGTTCATTTTTTATGGCTGTATAGTATTCCATGGTGTATATGTGCCACATTTTCTTTATCCAGTCCGCCACTAATGGGCACCTACACTGATTCCATGTCTTTGCTATTGCGAATAGTGCTGTGATGAACACACTGGTGCATGTGTCTTTTTGGTAGAATAATCTATTTTCCTATGGGTATATACCCAGTAATGGGATGGCTTGGTTGAATGGTAGTTATGTTTTAAGTTCTTTGAGAAATCTCTAAACTGCTTTTCGCAGTGGCTGAATTAATTTACATTCCCCCTAACAGTATATAAGCTTTCCCTTTTCCTTGCGGCTTCACCAACATCTGTTGTTTTTTGACTTTGTAGTAATAGCCATTCTGACTGGTGTGAGATAGTGTCTCATTGTAGTTTTTATTTGCATTTCTCTTATGATTGGTGATGATGAGCATTTTTCATATGTTTGTTGGCCACTTGTATGCCTTCTTTTGAGAAGCATCTGTTCATGTCCTTTGTCCACTTTTTAATGGGGTTATTTGTTTTTTGCTTGTTGATTTGCTTAAGTTCCTTATAAATTCTGGATATTAGACATTTGCCAGGTGCATAGGTCGAGAATATTTTCTCCCATTTGGTAGGTGTTTTGTTTACTCTTATATTTTCTTTTGCTGTGCTGAAGATTTTTAGTTTAATTAGGTCCCACTTGTCAATTTTTGTTTTCATTGCAATTGCTTTAATATATACATAAGCGGAAGGTGAATTCAGCTAGGATACTGCCTATTCTGTACACTCTTCAGATATGTTCCACCCTGTGCAAGGATTTGAAAATATAGTGACAGGAAACTAAGTACCTGCACTTTGAGACTTAACAATTGACCTAGGGGGAAAGCTATAAACATAAGTAATTCATAATGCAAGTTTCCAGTTTTTCTGCTGCAATTATGTAATTTATATTATAATTGTTATTAGATCAGAGGAAGAAGAGAAGATGGCCCCTTGTCATTAAAAAATATTTGGAAAATGACAAAATGAGTTCTTCCTCAAGGTTAAGCAAATACTACAATTAGACAAAGAAAACACAAAGCTACATGTTGTCCATTCAACTGCAGAGTGAGTGTCTGAACATTTACAGATGTAAAAAGAAGTAACTCCCTGAAATTTTTACAACACAGAGGGAAATGAGGTCTGGTACTCTGCAAGTATTTGATGTCACTATAATATGTAAGCATAAACCTGACAATCTAAACTTGCTACCTGTCAATGAATATGTTAAACGAAATAATACTACATGTCAGTTTCTCTTCATATTGGAGTCTCTTGGATTCACTCTGTGAGATATATTTTTATCACTGGTGTTTACAGAAACATAGTGGCAGTTAATCTATACCTTATTTCCATAAATTTTAAAGACATCCTTTGTTTTTATAGAATCCAAAGATAATGAGCCTGCTAGATTCTTTTAAAATAAGAATTTTGATAGAAATACTATAACAATCATTGTTTAAAATGTAATAGCCCTCACAGTATTGTATCCCCTTGCTACTCAGTCATACTTTAGTCACACATTCAGTAAATATTTGTTGAGTGCTAGCAAACAGCAGACACAGTGCTGGGCACTAAGGAGGCAGTAGCAAATACTATACAAACAGGGGGTCCTGGCTTTATGGAGTTAAAAGATTAATGGGGAAGACTAGCATTAACTAAATACTTATAAATGTGAAAATGTGTGAAAGAATGCACACAGACTATGATAAACGGATTACTGCTATTCATGAGAGAGAAATGTTACTAAACATCTACACTCTTTCTCCATAATCTAAATTTGAAGTACTGAGTTATCAACCTTTGAACACTATCTCAGACCAGGATAAGACCAGAAAATGCTAAATTCCAAAATCAATTTCATTTTGTGGAATGGTTGGATGTTTGCCAACATCACACCAAAAATAAATAAATAAGCAACGGGACCCATCTATATGCAGCTGTATTGAAAATTGTATTCCATATGTGACAACATATTATTAAAACAGCAAAATCTTAGCTTCCATCTGCCTTTTGAGATGCACAGCGTCACTGCTTTCCCTGTAATGTTAGACTTTATTGCATTTGTCTGCAGCATATCCCATTTTAATATTTGATAAATAGATATGGAAGGAATTGTTTCAAGCTACAATCCTGTACTGTTTCAGCTGTTCATGTTCTTTCTGAAGCAAAATCTCTATCCTCAAACTAATATCTCCCTAAAAAGAAAAATCAATTTAAAATAACTGTGAAAATGTGTTTATTTTTCTACCCTCAGGATTAAAAAGCTGAGAAATGATTAATAATAATTTGTCTAGAAAGATAATGCAGGCATTTTAGGGAGGTAGTGATTTTGCATCTTTAATTTTCATCAGTTCTAACATTTTATCATTAAAACTGCATGACTGTATGTATGTATATATAGAGAGAGAGAGATAAAAGAAAATGAAAGAGGTGGTAATACCTCATATCTCTTAGGCGGTATTTTCTATGTTTCAGATTTCTACATTGTCTGACCCCATTTCAGTCAATTTTCCATAGCCTGCCTGTCTCATATTCGCTGAGGGAACACACTAGTGCTGTGTTTATGCTAATTTTATGCTCTCTGAGTTGTGTCTGTTATTCAAAGCAGTTGAAGCAGTTATTGCCAGTAATCTTATTTCTGTGGGAGCCCCAGGGCAGACGAGGCCTCAAAATCAGGCCTGCAGACCGAGGCAAAGCCATCACAGCCTGCTGGTAAATGGCAGTTCTTTCCCTCCGAATCTGATATCAGTTACTTCGCAAACACAGTAATAAAATGAAACAAATCAGATTTTCAAGTAAATAAACCAGACTTCAGTGGAAAGCAACAATGGTCAGGGCAACAGGAGTTTAATAAGTGATACATAGGGGGAAATACAAAAGCACCATGGCTTGCTCCTCTACTCCCTTAATTTCAAAGCAAAGCCTCCCTAACCTCCCAGCTCTGAAAAAGGAAGGTGTTTTAACCCAAAAGCAAAAAAGAGGGGGAGACGTCAAGTAAAACAAGCAGCAAAGTAGATGTTAACTTTCTCTTATCTAAGATCAAGCAACAATACTGAAAATTCTATTACTTGCCTTTGAAGAGCATCTAGGGATGTAAAATAAAACAAAAGATTCACGAAGACAAATTGACTCATCCATTCTTCTTATGACAAAAAAGTAATGCCCACTTAGAAATCTCAAGCAAATGGATACAAAGCTAACCAGTTTAGTTTCCTGATGTAGAGACATTTTTCCTACTATGACATGGGGTAACAGGGGGATTTTGATGCAGCAAAAGCAGTGACCAAGTTCTCTTTGCCAAATCAGAGAATCATGGACTTATGGGATCATTCATTTCTGGCAAGTGCTCCTTGTTTTCCAATGTGTTCTTAATCCCAATTATTCTAAGCTGCTCTGCACTCCATCCCTCTCCACTGTATCACTCATTTGTTGGAACCAATTTTAATGTCTGACCAAAACTAAACAGTAAAATGAGAAGTGTCTAAATCTCAGTTAGCAGCATGACAGAGTTTTTCTAGAAACCAATGGCAAATATCTTTCATAAATTTGGATCCAGTGCTATGTTGATAAACTGATATTTGTTCTCTTTAATCTGTAGCGCCTTGCCCCAGTCCTTCCCAGCAGCAGGACTCATTCATTCAACAGAATGCTCATTCATTCAGCATACTTTAGTATCTATTTTATGCCAAGCACTGTAGTCAGAGCAGGAAATATAGACTCAGATTCCAGCAGAGACAGAATTACACAGTATTAGAACCATATTTATTCATCCAACTGCTATGAGTAAGGGGTGTAGAAGACACTGTAGAGACACAGAGACCTACTGATGGTTAGAGATAGGCTTTTTGAGAAGGTGACTTCTGAGTTGAATTTTGTAAAAAAGAATAGAAATTTACAAGTCAGGAAAGCATTTACTAGGTAGAGGACTGAGAGAGTGCATTTGTAGAGTATTAAGATCAGTATGAATGGGACAGGGTTTGAAGAAGTGGCGATGAAAAAGTCTAGGAACTCAGAGTCATAAAAGACTTCAAATGTTCCCAATACTAGTGCACTCAAGGGTTTTACACAGGGCACTAACGTGTTCAGAATCTGATTTTATAAAGACCATTTTTTCAATCAGTGTGGAAGATAGAAAATAGAGGCTTTTGCTAGAAATAGAGAGGCTAGTGGTGAAGAAAAAGGGAAGGATAAGACTTACAGTAGAATCTGAGGAAAGAGGCAAAAGAGATGAGACATTTACAGTGAAGATGTCTACCTCAACATGGCACACTGAGCACATGATTTTATCTCTGCTTATTCCAGAAAAAAACAGTAAGATGACAGTAAAGGAAGAGGATAATTGAGGCCCCCACATAAATAAAAAGATTAGAAAAGGAGAATACCACAGATGAAAAATATCAAGAAAATGTTTAAATGGAAAGCACATGCATGTATGTAACTGAATTAACAAAGAAAAGAAAGCTAAAATCTAACTTCTCTGGGGAAGCCACCTAATTCAATATCTATTGCAGAACCCCAGAAAGATTTAGGAGTTGGAGGCTTCAGTATCTCTGAAAGGTTAAGTGTAACACTTAGTTGAAAATAAAGAGGATAGGTTGTTAGTTTGTAAGGAAGTATTTAGAACCTTAGACCCATTTCCCAATCTCAATAGAAGAAAGAAAGTTTATTCCTCCACTGAGGTTAAATTACAAAAGTTTGGATTTAGGCATACAAGTGGGTAAAATTAAAAGCTGTATCCCAGATGCTGAGAATTTCTTAGTGTTCTTTCCCTGTTCAGCTTTCAGAACAATAGCAGATATGCTTACAAATCCCAGGCAAAGATCAGTAGTACTTTTTTAGAGAAACATATCCCATTCAAAAGAGAAAACTGACAGACACTAATATAGTAGGACCTCTAATGTAATAGTCAAATCCTAGACCAATCAACATACAGTGAGCCACACTAAACTCACCCATGCACACAGGGCTTCCAATCACCTTTTTCGTGCCTTATTCAAAATCTAAATACACAGCCAGAGATTACCAGCATTTTAAGAAAGATCTCCAACATATCAAAACAAACCAAAAATAAACAAATGGAACATGAAAAAAGAGAATTAAACCAAAACATGTGTAATATGCATGTGTGTCTGTGTGTGTGTCTCTGCGTGTGTGTGTGTGTGTGTGTGTGTGTGTGTATCTTAGTATCCTAGAAGAACTAAGAGAAAAGATACTGCTTTCATAAAACAAGGACAGGATAAGTAAGGAACATTTCTTTGTCTTTTCTTTTCTTTTTTATTCTTTTTTCTTTTCTTTTTTTTTTTTTTTCTTGAGGCAGAGTCCTGCTCTGTCACCCAGGCTGGAGTGCAGTGGCGCGATCTTGGCTCACTGCAACCCCCCACCTCCCAGGCTCAAGCAATTCTCCCTGCCTCAGCCTCTCGAGCAGCTGGGACTACAGATGCCTGCCACCATGCCTGGCCAATTTTTGTATTTTTATAGAGAAGGGTTTTCCCCATGTTGGCCAGGCTGATCTCGAACTCCTGACTTCAGGTGATCTTCCTGCCTCGGTCTTCCAAAGTGCTGAGATTACAGGTGTGAACCACGATGCCTAGCCAGTAAGGAACATTCTAAGAATACAAAAGTGTTCTCATAAACTAAAAATATATTTTAAAAAAAGAAAAACAAAAAATAGAAAAGTTTAATGGTAGAATGAAAGAAATATCACAAAAGGCAAAGAAAGAAAACAAAGATATGGGCTTTAAAAAAGAAGAACCAATAAAATTAGAGAATTTATATTGAATATTCAATATCTAACAAATGGAACTACCAGTAAGAGAGGACAGTGAAAACAGAGGGAAAGAAATCACAAAAGAAATAATTCAAGAAAATTTGTAAAACCTGAAATTCAAGAGTGTCATGGTTTAAAGAGTCTATTGAGTCTCCAGCATAATAAATGAAAAAAAAAGTGCACTAATAAATATCACAGTAACATTAATGAAGTGATTTTTAAAACCTTCTGAAAAGAAACAAGTGAGAATCGGAATAGCATCAATTTCTAAATTTTAACAATGAAAGTTAGAAGGCAAGAGTTAAACAACTTTAAAACCGAGTGACCGGGCACCATGGCTCACGCCTGTAATCCCAGCACTTTGGGAGGCCAAGGCGGGTGGATCACCTGAAGTCAGGAGTTTGAGACCATCCTGACCAACATGGTGAAACCTCGTCTCTACTAAAAACACAAAAATAAGCTGGGTGTGGTGGTGAGCACCTGCAATCCTAGCTACTTGGGAGGCTGAGGCATGAGAATTGCTTGAACCCAGGACGCAGGAATTGCAGTGAGCCGAGATCGTGCCACCGCACTCCAGCCTGGGCGACAGAGTGAGACTTTGTCTAAAAAAAAAAAAAAGAAAGGTCTGAGTAAACATGATTTCCAATACACTCTATACCCACTAAAATTATACACTAAGTGTGGGTGTAAAATAAATATATTTTCTGATATGTGAGCTCTTAGAAAACTGACTTTCCCATATACTCTCAGAAAGTGATGAGAAAATATGCAAAACAAAGAATTGAACCAAGAAAGTAGAAGAGGTGGGATCCAAGAAACAGAGGTCAAACACAGGAAAGAAGAAGAGGATATCATCATTCCAAGATAATAGTGTAGACACATTCTGAGAACCACAGCATGCAGGTCTATAGAATAACTAATTCAAACTGGAAGAAGAAGACAAAGAGTGTTACAAAGTATGATTCCAAAATAATGTGGAAATAAAATATATCTCAATGTTTGACTATAGTAAAGGTATTTTATAGTTTTATTGGAGAGTTTCGGGCTGGGTAGTGATCAAAACATAAAAAACTGAGCAAATAAAGACAACTGTTAACTTTTAGATAAGTAATAGTAATACAACAAATATTTACTACAAATTAGAATAATAAAGTTGCCAGAGTGTTGGTATGAGGAAAGGAAGTAATATAATAATAGCTAACACTTAAGTTCCATTCAAGTGCTTATTATGTGCCAAGCACTCTGTTACATACTTCATTTGAATTACTTTATTTAATCCTCACAGTAATTCTATAAAATGAGTACTGCTACTACTGTCCTTATTTTACAGGTAAGACAAGTAAGGTAAAACGCTTTCTCTGAATCACAATGCTAGTGTGCATAAAAGCTGGGATTTAAATCTGACAATGTCCAGGGTAACAGATTTTGCTCCTGACCACATAATTGTAGTCCTTCCCATCCCCTTTTACCGCCTACTCATTTCTACAGATGAGATGAGACCTGGACCCTATTTCCAATATCTTCATATCCCACATATTTGATAACATGCTTGTTCTTAGGCTGCCCAGAGTCTCCTGTTTCCATGCTCCCCACCTATCACTTGGCTCTCTTGAATATTGGATTTGTATCTGAATTGGACTCCAGTGGATTAAGCACCTTGAACTACTCTAATGAGCAGAGTTAGTACAGTTCAAATTTCTCCTTACATCTAAAGAGGAAGGTAGATTGATCTATTAGATATTTGTTTTCTTCATTTCCTTTCATTCTCTTACATATATTTACAGTTACAGAATAGATTTTTTCACTGCATAATTTAGTATAAACACATAAGTCAACTCATTTGGTTATTTGTATTTTTCTCCATGAATAGCTTTATGACAATGGACAAGAAGATTTGAAAGTAAAACTTGAACAAATACATAGGAAAGTTTAGGCCGGGTGTAGTGGCTCGTACCTGTAATCCCAGCACTTTGGGAGGCTGAGGTGTGCCTGTTGCTTGAGCCCAGGAATACAAAACCAGCCTAGGCAAAATAGCAAAACCCTACCTCTACAAATATATACATGTGTGATATGTGTGTGTGTGTGTGTGCACACGTGCTCAGTTTTGGAAAATTTAGGTATCCTTCTAGGGTGACTAACTGTCCTAATTTGCCCAAAACTGTTGAGTTTCCTGGGATACAGGACTTCCTGTGTTAAAATTTGGAGAGTTCCAGTAAAACAAAATGATTGGTCACCTTTGTCAATCTTGACTTTAGTATTTAAGGTTTGGAGCCACTAAGCTCTGAAGTGCCCTCTTTTTCTGTGGGTCTGTAAGGTTGAGCTCCTACATCTTGTCAAGAGTGAAATATTCAGGGAGATTTGGAAGAAGCAGATATGTGTAGAGGAAGGGATTTTGCTTTGAAATTTTTTAGATGGTGCTTGGAAAAACTAAAATCGTGGAGAAAACTCCTCATGTACTAGAGAAGAAAGCCCAGAGTCTAGCCTAGTCTAGTGTTAGGAAACAGAAAGTAGCCCCTGGGTGTTGAGACAACCAAAACCTTAGAGAAGCCTTGAGAATAAAGAGTATTTGCTGGTGCTGAGCTGGACTCATGATCAATGCAAGATTATATGAAGTTAATCAGACTGATGGTAGAGGACTGCTCAAATCAAATTGCCTTTACTAACTAGGATATGGCATAGATGGACCAGATAAAATAAGAGAAATTCTGCAATGATGATGCCATCAGAGACTATTCAAAGATGAACAATGTGCATTCCAAAGTATTAGGAGGGTTGTTTGGAAAAATTTACAAGACATTTAATACTTTTTTTTGCAAAAATTTTTGTCCTTGTCACCATAAAACAAAATCTATATGTGAAGGATTTTGAATCATACTACTAAATAATTTTATCAAAATTTGCACTCAAACATAAGTCATTCATTCATTGTTTAAACTATCACAGTTATAATATATTTTGTGATCTATAAGATAGAATATTTTCATAAAGTAATAACTGCATTGTTAATTTAGTCCCAAATCAAGTTTACTTCTGTACATCTGTTTCAGATCCTTAGTAATATTAGTCATTTAAACCTAACAGGGTCTTAAAAATAGACATCAGCTAGACTTGAAGACATATGGTGCTAAATACTCAAATCTGGCTCTCACCACCCAAGCAAAGCTAAATGATGAACATAGTTATTTACTGAATGCTCAATAATGCTCATTACTGCCAAATATGTTACTTTCATTACCTTAGTGAGTGGTAGACCACAAAGTAACAAAAAAAGTATGAGTTATTTGTTTGGAGGTTGGTACTATTGAATTAGTTCTCATAAAGGAGTTTATGTGTGAATGGTAAACTTTGAATAAAAGTTGTTGCCCATTAATAAGTCCTCATTTTTGAAGCAGAAGTAACAGAACTGAACTCTGAAAATAATCACAGGCTTGTGTGCTAATGTTATAAAACATTTTTAAATAGCTTATAAATTAAATGCTGCTTTTAAAGGCAATTCACTTCATTGCCTTTTAAAATTTATTTTTTAAATTATATAAAGTTAATCTTTTTGAGCAATTCTATGACTTTTAAGACATCTATGTATCTGTGTAACCACCCTTCACAATCAGGATACAAAATGGTTCCATCACCCTAAAAACCTCCATTTTGTTCTACCTTTATAGTCATATCTCCCACTACCTCCAACCTCTGGCAACTATTGATCTGTTCTCTATCACTATTCTGCCTTTGGAGAATGTTATGTATGAAATCATATAGTATCATAGCTTTTAAGACTGGCTTCTCTTATTTAGTGTAATGCCTTTGAGATCCTTCCACACTGCATGCATTAATAGTTGGTTCCTTTTTATTCCTGAGTAATGTTTTGTTCTTTAGATGTACCACAGTTTGTTTGTTCTTCCATTAAAGGACATTTAACTTTTTCCAGTTTGGAGCAATTATGAGTAGAGCTGCTATTAACATTCATGAACAGATTTTTGGGTATACATAAGCTTTCATATTTTGGGGATAAATACCCCGGAGAGAAATCACTGAATTGTATGGTAAATATGCATTTAATTTAATAAGAAACGGCCTGTGTTTGTACATTCTCATACTGCTATAAGGAACTACCTAAGATTGGGTAATTTATGAAGAAGAAAGGTTCAGTTGGCTCACAGTTCTGCAGGCTTAACAGGAAGCTGACTGGGAGGCCTCAGTTAACTTACAATCATTGTGGAAGGTGAAGGAAAAGCAAGCATGTCTTGCCATAGCAGAGCAAGAGAAAGAGAGAGAGTGCAAGGGGGGAAGTGCCACACACTTTTAAACAGCCAGATCTCATAAGAACTCACTATCATGAGAACAGCATGATGGAAGTCCACCCCCATGATCCAATCACCTCCCACCAGCCCTCCTCTGACACATGGGGATTACAATTCAAGATGAGATTTGGGTGGGGACACAAAGCCAAACCATTCTATTCTCTTCCACCCCTGGCCCTCTCCAAATCTCATGTCATTTTCATATTTTAAAACCAATCTTGCCTTCTCAACAGTCTCCCAAAGTCTTAACTCATTCCAACATTAACTCAAAAGTCCAAGTCCAAAGTCCAAACACATCTTGAACACTTTGCTGCCTACAAATTTCTTCCACCAGATACCCTAAATCATCTCTCTCAAGTTCAAAGTTTCACAGATCTCTAGGGCAAGGGCAAAATGCCACCAGTCTCTTTGCTAATGCACAGCATGAGTGACCTTTACTCCAGCTCCCACTAAATTTCTCATCTCCTTCTGAGATCACTTCAGCCTGGACTTCATTGCCCATATTCACTATCAACATTTTGGTCAAAACTGTTCAGCAAGTCTCTAGGAAGTTCCAAACTTTCCCACATCTTTCTGTCTTCTTCTGAGTCCTCCAAACTATTCTGTCTTCTGCCCATTACCCAGTTCCAAAATCGCTTCCACATTGTCAGGTATCTTTAAAGCAGTGCCCCCCTCCTGATACCAAATTTCTATATTAGTTTGTTCTCATACTGAAATAAGAACTACCTGAGACTGGGTAATTTATGAAGAAAGGAGGTTTAATTGACTCACAGTTCCACAGGCTGAACAGGAAGCATGACTGGGAGGCCTCAGAAAACTTACAATTGTGGCAGAAAGCAACGGGGAAGTAAGTGCTTCTTACCATGTGGAGCAGGAGGGAGAGAGAGAGCAAGAAGGGAAGTGCCACACACTTTTAAACCTTCAGATCTCATGAGAACTCACTCACTATCATGAGAACTCACTCACTATCATGAGAACGGCATGGGGGAAATCTGTCCCCCATGATTCAATCACCTCCCACCAGGCCTATTCTCTGACATACAGGGATTACAATTTGAGATGAGATTTGGGTGAGGACACAGAACCAAACCATATCACTGCCAAACCATTTTTATAATGGAGGAATCATTTTTTCATTCCTCCAGGAATGTATGAGGTTTTCATTTCCTCCACATATTTACTGGCACTTGGTATTATGCAAGCATTTTTTATTTTTTATCCGAAGAAATGAATAGTTGTTTCTCACAGTGATTTTAATTTGTATTTTCCTAATAGTCAATGATGCTAAACATCTTTATGTGCCTTTTCACTACCCCTTTGTCCTTTTTATTGAAGTTCAATCAAACTCTTTGCCCATTTTAAAACTAGAAGGTTTTTTTTTGCTTTAATATTATGGAGTTTTGAGAGTTCTTTATTACACACTGAATACAAGTAAGTCATTTGTTCAATATATATGACTTGAAAATATCTTTTCTCAAGCTGCAGTTTATCTTGTGAGTCTGTTAATAGAGTCTTTCACAGAGCAAATTTGTAAACTTTTGATCAAGTCCAATTTATAAATATATTCTTTTATGAATTATGCTTTTGGTGTCATAGCTAAGCAATTTTCCTCTAATCAAGGTCATGAAGATTTTTTTCAAGTTTTCTTCTAAAAGCATTATACACAGTTTTACATTTTACATTTGGCTCTGTGGTCCATTTGGTGTTACATTTTTTAAGTGGCATGAATTTCATGTCAAAGTTTACCTTATCTTAACTTATAGATGCCAGATTATGTCAACATTATTTTTTGAAAACTCCATATTTTTTTAAATTTATTTTTATTGTATATATTTAAGGTGTACAACACAATGTTTTGAAATACATACACATAGTGAAATGGTTACTACAGTCAAGCAATTAATATATCCATCTTATCACACAGTCACCTTTTTGTGGGTGTTTGGTAAAAAGCACCAGAAATTTACTCTCTTGGCAAATTTCCAGTACAAAATACAATATTATTAACTATAGTTGCCACGTTGTACATTAGATCTCTAGATTTATTCATATCATATAACTATAACTTTATACCCTTTGACCAGTGTCTCCCATATGTCTCCTCTCTCCATTGGTAACTACCATTCCATTCCCTATTTCTATGTGTTCAACTTTTATGGATTCCACATATAAAGGAGATCATGCAGTGTATTTTTTGTTTGTTTGTTTGTTTGTTTGTTTTTATCTCTGGCTTGCCTCAGCATAATGTCTTCTAGGTTTATCTGTGTTGTCACAAATGGCAGAATCTCCTCTTTTTTAGGGCTGAATAATATTCTGTTGTATGTATACCACAATTTCTTTATCCATTCATCCACTGACAGACACATAAATTGTTTATGTATCTTGGCTATTGTGAATTATGCTTCAATGATCATGGGAATGCAGATATCTCTGTGAGGTACTGGTTTCATTTCCTTTGGATATGTAACCAGAAAAGAGATTGCTAAATTATATGGTAGTTTATTTTTATTTTGTCAAGAGAACTCCATACTATTTTCCATAATGATTTTATAAATTTACATTCCCAAGAACAGTGTACAAAGGTTTTATTTTCTACACTCTTACTAAAATTTATCTTATTTCTCTTTGATAATAGTCATCCTCACAGGGATGAGATGATATCTCATTGTGGTTTTATCTTGTATTTCCTTGATGATTACTAATGTTGAGTACTTTTTTATATACCTGTTGTCACCCCTTTATAAACCTTTTGGTAATTTTTATGTCTTCTTTGCCAATATTTCTATCAGATTTTATTTTTTAATTTTTAATTCAGTTTATTTGTGGGGTTTTTTTTTTTGCTATTGAGTTATGTGAGTTCCTTATATATTTTGGATATAAGGCCCTTGTCAAATATATAGACTGTGAATATTTTCTCCCAAGACATAAACTGCCTTTTCATTTTGTGGAATGTTTCCTTTGCTGTGCAAAAGCTTTTTAGGTTGAGGTAGTCCCATTTGTTTACGCTTACTATTGTGGCCTGAGCTTTTGGTGCAGTATCCAAAAAGTCATTACCAAAGCCAATGCCAGGGTTCTTTCCCTTATGTTTTCTTTTAGCAGTTTTACAGTTTCAGGTCTTGCATTTAAGTCTTTAATCCATTTCGAGTTGATTTTTGTGCATTTTATAAGGGGCCAATTTCATTCTTTTGCTTGTGGATGTTCAGTTTTTCCAACACCATATATTGAAGAGACTATCCTCTTCCCATTGTGTATACTTGGTGCCCTTGTTGAAGATTAGTTAACTGTATATGTTTGGGCTGACTTATGGTCTTTCTATTATATTCCATTTGTCTATTTACCTGCTCTCACTCTCTCTCTCTCTTTCTCACTTTCTTTCTCTTTGTATATATATAGATATAGATATATGTTCTATTATATATATCTACATAATATATATTCTATTATATATGTATATAATATATATATTCTATTATATTCCATTGGTCTATTTATACCAGTATCATATTGTTTTGATTATTATTGCCATGTAATACAATTTGAAAGCAGGAAGTGTGATGTCTCCAACTTTGCTTTTCTTTCTCGAGACTGCTTTGGCTATTTGGGGTCTGGGGTCTTCTGCGGTTCCATATAAATTTAAAAATTCTTTTCTATTTCTGTGAAAAATGCCATTAGAATTTTGATGGAGAAGGTGTTGAATCTATATATGACTTAGTAGAATGAACATTTTTATAATAATTATTCTTCTACTCCATAAATATGGCATATCTGTTTATTTATGTCTTTTTCAATTTATTTAATTAATGTTTTATAATTTTCAGCATACAGATTTTTCACCCCCTTGGTTAAATTTATTCTAAAGTATTGTATTTTTTCCATGTTAATGTAAATGGGATTGTTTTCTTGACTTCCTTTCTGTATAGATTATAACTGATGTAAATAAATACAACTGATATTTTTTACTTTTTATTTATTTATTAATTTATTTTGAGACGGAGTCTCGTTCTGTCACCCAGGCTGGAGTGCAGTGCCAGGATCTCGGCTCACTGAAACTTCCACCTCCCGAGTTCAAACAATTATCCTGCCTTAGCCTCCCAAGTTGCTGGGACTACAGGCGCATGCCACCATACCTGGCTAATTTTTGTATATTTTTAGTAGAGACAGGGTTTCATCATATTGGACTGGCTGATCTCAAACTCCCGACCTCATGTGATCCACCTGCCTCCGTCTCCCAAAGCGCCTGGATTATAGGTGTGAGCCACATGCCCATCCTACAACTGATATTTTTAGGTTGATTTTTGAATACTGAAACTTTATTGAATGTCTTCATTAGTTCTAACAGTTATTTTTTGGAGGATTTAGGGTTTTCTACATATGAAATTATGTCATCTGCAAACAGAGATAATTTAATTTCTTCCTTTCCAATTTAGATTATTGTTATTTCTTTTTCTTATCTGTTTGATCGTGCTAGTACTTCTTTACTATGCTGAGTAGAAGTGGTGAGAGTGGGCAGCCTTACATTGGACCAGATCTTAGAGGAAATGATCGTAGTCTTTCCCCATTGAGTACAATGTTAGCTGTGGGCTTTTCATAACTGGCCTTCATTGTGCTGCAGACATTTACTTCTATACCTATTTGACTGAAAGTTTTTATCACGAATGGACGTTGAACTTTATCAAATGCTTTTACTGCATATATTAAGACAATCATGTGGTTTTTATTATTCATTCTATTAACATGTTGTGCCACATTGATTGGTTTGTGTATGTTAAACTACCCTTGCATCCCAGAGATAAATCTCACCTGGTCATGTCGTACAGCCTTTTTGATGTGTGACTGAATTCGGTTTGCTATTATTCTATTGAGGATTTTTACATCTATGTTCACCAGAGATATTGACCTGTAGTTCGTTTTTTTTTTGTTTTTTTCCCCCCATGATATATTTGTCTGGCTCTAGTATTGAGAGTGATGTTGGTCTCATACAATAAGTTGGAAGTATTACCTCTACTTCAATTTTTTTGGAAGAGTTTAAGAAGTATTGGTATTACTTATTCTTTGAATGTTTGGTAGAATTCAGTCATAAAGCCATCTGGTCCTGAGCTTTTCTCTTTTTCTCTTTTCTTTCTTTTTTTCTTTTTCTTTTTAGAGATGGAGTCTAACTCTATTGCCCAGGCTGAAGTGCAGTGGCATGATCATGGATTACTGCAGCCTCAAACTCCTGGGCTGAAGAGATCCTCCTGCCTTGGCTTCTCAAAGTGCTGGGATTACACGTGTGAGCCACTGCACCTGGCTTTCTAGGAGGTTTTTTATTGCAATTTTAATCTACTTATTTATTATTAGTCTATGTAAACTTTCTATTTCTTCTTGATTCAGTCTTAGTAGATTGTATGTTTTTAGAAATTTATCTATTTTTTCTAGGTTATCCAATTTGTAGGCATATAAGAATTCAAATAATCTCTTATCCTGAAAAAGGAGATTGCCTCCTGTTTCATTTCTGATTTTACTTATTAGTGTCCCCCCTTTCTTATTTATTTGAGTCTTCTCTCTTTTTTCCCTTAAATCTAGGTAAGAGTTTGTCAATTTTGTGTATTTTTCAAAGAAATTTTTTAAATTTTTTTCTATAGTTTTAAAATTCTCGATTAGATATATTATTGCTCTGTATCTTATTACTTTATTCCTATGCTATTACTTTAGGCTTAATATCTTTTTATAGTTCCTTAAGGTATAAAGTTAGGATGTTAACTTGAGATCTTCTTTTATAATGTTGACATTTATCATGATAAACTTCCTCTTAGTACTGTCTTTGCTGCATCCCATAAGTTTTAGTACGTTGTGTTTTCATTTCATCTCAATATATTTTTAAATTTTTCTTTTGCTTTTCTTTTTGACCCAGTGATTGTTCAAGAGTGTGTTGTTTCCATATATTTGTAAATTTTCTCATTTTCTTAACTATTATTGGTTTCTAGCTCTATTCCATTGTGACAGGAAAAGTTACTTCGTATGATTTGGATCTTTCTAAATTTGTTAATATTTGTTTTGTGACCTAACATGTGATTCTATACTCGAGAATGTTCTGCGTGCACTTGAGAAAAATGTATAGTAGTCTGCTGTTAAAGAGAAAGTTCTATACATGCTTGTTAGGTCCATTTGATTTATAGCATTATTCAAGTCTACTGTTACTTTATTGATTTTCTATTTAGATGTTCTATTCATTATTGTAAGTAGGGTATTAAAGTCTCATGCAATCACTGTATTACTGTCAATGTCATCTTTCAGATCTGTCAATATTTATTTTGTATACTTAGATGCTCTGATGTTGGGTGCCTGTATATTTATAATCATTATATCTTAGTCTTGAATTGACCCTTTTATTATTATGCAATGATGATCTTTGTCTCTAGAGGCAGTTTTTGACTCAGGGTTTCCTTTATCTGATATAAACATAGCCACTCTTGCTTTCATTTGGTTGCCACTGCATACAATATATTTTTTCATCCCTTCACTTTTAGCTTATGCGTCCTTGGCTCTAAAGTGTTTGGATGCAGTTGGATCTCGGTTTACTTATTTATCTATTCAGTACCTCTGTATCTTTTTATTGGAGAGTTCAGTCCATTTACATTTTATGTAATTATTGATAGAGAAGGATTTACTATTGGCATTTTGTCAACTGCTTTGTGTTTATCTTGTGATTCCTATGTCCCTTTATTCTCCCTTGCTGTTTATTTTGTGTTTAATTGTTTGTTTTGTTTGTCTGTTTGGATGAGTTTTGATTCCTTTCTTTTTTTCTTTTGTGTAATTTTGATAGGTGTTTTCTTTGTGGTTACTAAGGGGCTTACATAAAATTTCTTATAACAATCTGTTTTAAACTGACTGTTTTACACAACTTTATCCACATACAAGAACTCTGCATGTTTACCTCTCTTCCTCCCACATTATGTGCTTTAGATGTCTAAATTTACATTATTGATCTTATGTATCCATTAACATAATCTAAATTATAGTTTTAAAAATAATATTGTCTTTTCCCTTTTATAGTAGAATTAAAAGGCATTTATCCACCACCTTTATATTAATGGAGTATTTTTTGTCTATATATTTGCCTTTACAGGCAATTTCATACTTTCTTATGCCCTCTTTTTGCTGTTTAGCATCCTTTTGTAGTTCCTGTTTGTTACATTTCTTGTAAGACAAGTCTAGCAGTGATAAATTCATTCAATTTGTGTTTGTCTGAGAACGTCTTTTTCTTCCCTTCATTTTTAAAGGATAGTTTTGGCAGGTATAATATTCTTGGTTTATAGTGTTGTGTTTGTTTTTGCTTCAGCACGTTAAATATATAATCTCACTCCTTTCAGGTCTGCAAGGTTTCTGCTGAAAAATCCACTGATAGAAGACTTCCCTTCTATGTAACAAGTCACTTTTTTATTGTTGCTTTCAAAATTCTTCTTTTGTCTCTAATTTTTAAAAATTTGATTATAATATATCTTGATGTAAGTCTGTTTAGATTCATCTTATGTTTTTTGGGCTGCCTAGATCTGAATGTTTTTTTCTCCCTGGTTTGGGAAGTTTTTAGCCATTATTTTTTGAGTACTTTCTTTTCCTTTCACTATTTTATTTCCTTTTGGGACTCCCATTATGTGTTTATTTGCCTGCTTGATGGTGTTCCATAAGTCACTTAAGCTATCTTTACTTTTTTCATTTTTCTTTTTGCTCCTCTGATTAGATTATTTCCAAAGACCTGTCATTGAGTTTGCTGATTCTTTCATTTGCTTGATATAGTCTGCTGTTGAATTCCTCTATTGAATTATCAGTTCTGTTATTGTATTTTTCAACTCTATGATACCTATATAGTACCTTTTTATATTTTCTGTCTCCTTGTTAAAATTCTCACTTTGTATATGCATTGCTCTCCTGACCTTGGTAAGTATCTCTGTGATTATTGTTGTGAATTTTCTGTTAAGCAACACATGTTGATCGATTATGTTCAGTTCAGCAGAAACAGTCTCTGGAGATTTATTTTGGTGTTCTGTTTGAAACATGTTTCTCTTTTCTTTTTATTTCTGCATTTTCCTTGACTCTCTGTGTTGGTTTCTGCACATTAAACAACCACATCTCTGTATCTTGACATAATAGCCTTATGTAAGAGATAAGCTTACCCAATCAGCCCAGCCAGAGGTTACAAGTGCCTCTCAAATCTTTGTGTTTGTCCAAACTGCAATCTGTGTTCTTACTGGGCCCCCAGATGATCAGGTTCTACCAAGTCCCATCAGTGCCCCAAGGCCGCTGAGATAGAAGCCAGTCCCTCAGGAAGCAGCTGCAGAAGTTGAGGTGTTAAAAGTATCACCTGGTTTCCTTTCTCCTCAGGGCAAAGTGGGAAACTGGTGTTTATCTCCCAATCACTCCACACTAAGTCAGGTAGAGGATCTGTGGCAAACACTTATATTCATGTTCAGACCATACACTTTCAGCCCATTGCTTTGGTCTTTGTTGCCAGGCATCTAGTGAATGTCAGGTTCTTAACTCTCAAAGACAAGAAGGTTAGCTTGAGGTTTGATTCTGCCTCTAGGGTAAGCCAGGGAGAGAAGCAACAAGAAGTGCCTACATGCCCATTCAGGCTTCCAGAGTACTAATAATTGCTTGCCCTTTCAGTTCCCAAATGTAGGCTAATTAAAAGCCTGACTCATGGTCAGAAGCTAGGAAAGTTAAGGCATTAGTGGGCAGTCAAACCTCTTCTAGTGAGAAACTGAGAGCTCGATGTTTTTGCCTGCTTCCTCTGCACTTAACTAGGGGAAATAGCCACTGATAGCGTTCCTGTGCCCATTTAAAACCACTTTTGTTCTTTATGTTCCTGAAGACTCACAAATGCTGAGCCCTGTTAACTCCTAAGTGATTTAAGAGCCAGTCTCTTGTATGTGAGCTATAAAAGTTGGAGTGTTTGTTGTGTGGATAAACTGTCCAAAACGTGGCTGGAAGTTAAACTTACTTTTATCATTGGAGCAAGCCATGGGGTAGGAGACACAGGAAACACCCAAACACCTGTTCAGGCTCTTGGATCTCTCACTAATTCTCTACTCCATCGACTCCCAAATGCAAGCTACTTAAAAGTCCAATCCTTAAATAGCAACTGAAAATGTGTGCAGTCAAACCTCTTCCAAGGAGGAACTGGGGGCTGAAACTTATTGCCTGTTCATCTGTGCTGAGCCCTGGGAGAATGCAGACTGACTATTTGTTCTTTTTAGTCCTGGTGGACTGACAAATGCCAAGTCCCATTTACTCTCGGAGCTAGGTGGGAGCTTGAGTCCCTCCAGTGGGAGCTGTAAAAGTTGGGGTGATATATGTGTGTCTCAAGCCCTTCATTCCTCAGGGAGGAGCTGGAAATGAAGGGTTCCCTACAGATCGTAACGCACTGTGACTGCGGTGGTATTTGTGGCTGAAGTGTGTCTCAAGGGGGGTTGGTTTGTTTTCTGTTTTGTTTTGTTTTTTTCACCTGTTTCAATGTGGATTATTTTTCATTTGTAGTATGGAGTCTCTCAACTAGCACCTCAATTTCTCTCAGAGGGAATAATTCCATGTGTAGCCATTTAATTGTTGCATCTGTGGGAGGAGAAAAGTCAGGCTCCTCTTATTCTGCTACCTTGCTAACATTAAAAACTATTATTTCTTAATTGATTTGCTTTTGTATGTTTTCAAGAACAAATGGCTATATTCTGTAGATTTATTTCTGGACTCTCTAATTTATTCCATTGATTTATGTAGCATTACTTTTCACAATGCACACTGTCCTGACTATTGCAGCTTTATAGTACAGTAGGGTGATTTCTTCAACTTTATTCTTTTTAAAAATTTTTCTAACTATTCTGTTTATTTTGCTCTTCCATAAACATTTAAAAATCATCTTGCCTATACCAATGCAAAATCCTTCTGAGAATTTTGACTGATATTGTGATAAATCTATAGATTAATTTGTGGAGAATTGGCACTTTATTATAATGAGTGTTTCAAACCAAGAACATCCTATCTACCTCCATTGATTTATGTCTTTTTTATTACTTTTGTCAGCATTATGCAGTTTTTAGCATAAAGCTTTTGTACATGCAATGTTAAAATTATACCTAAATATTTATTTTTATGGAATCTATTATATATAACATTGTTTTTGTTCAATTTTGCTTTCAGACTGTGCATTGCTGGTATATAGAAATATAGTTTTTTTGTGTGCTAACCTTGTATCCAACAACCTCTAGGAACTTTATAAAGCTACCCTGGGTTTTATTACACAGGAAATCATGTTCCTGTGCATAGGAACAATTTGTTTATTCCTTTTTTTTCCAAGTTGTATGTCATTCATTTTTTTTTTCTTGCCTTATACAATGGCTCAGATCCCAATACTATTTTGAGTAGAAGTTTTAAGAGTGGAGATGTTTGCCTTGTTCCTGCTATTCGCAGGTAAATCACTTAGTCTTTCACCAATAAATATGTTTCCTATAGGTTTTTTGTAGATATCCTTTATCAAGTTGAGAAAGTTTCCTTTTATTTCTAGTTTAATACAAGCTTTATATAATAGATGAATGTTGTATGTTACAAAACGCTTTTTCTGCATCAGTTAATATAATCATATATATTATACTGTTAATATGGTGAATATGTTGATCTGCTATACACTAACAGTGACCAAGCTGAGACACAAATCAAGAACTTGACCCCTTCATAACAGCTGCAAAATAATAAAATACTTAGAGATATACCTAACCAAGGAGGTGAAAGACCTCTACATGGAAAACTACAAAAGACAGCTGAAAGAAATCATAGAAAACACAAACAAATGGAAACACATACCATGTTCATGATTGGGTAGAATCAATGTTATGAAAATGACCATACTGCCAAAATTCGCATGAAAATACCACCATCATCCTTCACAGAACTAGAAAAAAAAATCCTAAAATTAACATGGAACCAAAAAAGAGCCTGCATAGCCAAAGCAAGACTAAACAAAAAGAACAAATCCGGAGATATCACATTACCCGACTTCAATCTAAACTATAAGGCCACAGTCACCAAAAATAGCATGGTACTGGTATAAAAATAGGCACATAAACCAATGAAACAGAATGGAGAACCCAGAAATAAAGCCAAATACATATAGCCAACTGATCTATGACAAAACAAACAAAAACGTAAAGTAGGGAAAGGACACCCTATTCAAAAAATTGTACTGGGATAGTTGGCAAGCTGCATTTAGAAGAATGCAACTGGATCCTCACCTCTCACTGTATTAGTCCATTTTCACACTGCTGATAAAGACATACCTGAGACTGGGGAGAAAAAGAGGTTTAATGGACTTACAGTTCCACATGGCTGGGGAGGCCTCACAATCATGGCAGAGGGCAAGGAGAAGCTAGTCACATCTTACATGGATGGCAGCAGGCAAAGAGAGAGAGGTTGTGCAAGTAAACTCCCATTTTCAAAACCATCAGATCTCATGAGACGTATTCACTATCACAAGAACAGCATGGGAAAGACTCCATCCCATGACTCAATTATCTCCCACCAAGTCCCTCCCACAACACATGGGAATTATGGGAGCTACAAGATGAGATTTGGATGGGGGCACAGAGCCAAACCATATCACTCACTGAGAGGTGACAACGTGCTAGCAGCCCTCGCTGGCCTTCGGAGCCTCCTTGGCCTGGGCGTCTGCTCTGGCTGGGCTCAAGGAGCCCTTCAGCCGGCCACTGCGCTGTGGGGGCCCCTCTCTGGGGCTGGCAGAAGCTGGAGCCAGCTCCCTCTGCTTGCGGGGAGGTGTGGAGGGGGCGGCGCTGGTGGGAACCGGGGCTGCACGCGGACCTCGTGGGCTGACACAGGTTCCTGGTGGGCGCCACACTCAGCGCTGCCTTCCGGCTCCTGCTGGGCTTGATCAGGTGACGAGTTCCCTCTTGGCTGCCAGAGTGCCCAGGCTAGGTGCCGCAAAGTCTCACTGCCTGTGCCACTGAGAGGTGAAGCCGGCTGGGCTTCTGGGTCTGGTGGGGATCTGGAGAACTTTTCTGTCTAGCTAAAGGTTTGTAAACGCACTAATCAGTACTCTGTGTCTAGCCAAAGGTTTATAAATGCACCAGTCAGCACTCTGTGTCTAGCTAAAGGTTTGTAAAGGCATCAATCAGTGCTCTGTAAAACGGACCAATCAGCTCTCTGTAAAATGGACCAATCAGCGCTCTGTGTCTAGCTAAAGGTTTGTAAACACACCAATCAGTGCTCTGTCAAAACAGAACAATCAGCTCTCTGTAAAACAGGCCAATCAGCTCTCTGTAAAATGGACCAATCAGGATGTGGGTGGGGCCAGATAAGGAAATAAAATCAGGCCACCTGAGTCACTCAGGTCCCTTTCTGAAACACTTTTTCTTTCACTCTTCACGATAAATCTTGCTGCGGCTCGCTCTTTGGGTATGCACCACCTTTATGATCTGTAACACTCAGCACGAAGGTCTGCAGCTTCACTCCTGAAGTCAGCGAGACCACGAACCCACCAGGAGGGACAAACAACTCTGGATGCGCCACCTTTATGAACTGTAACACTCACCGCAAAGGTCTGCAGCTTCACTCCTGAGGCCAGCGAGACCATGAACCCCCTGGAAGGAATGAACAACTCCAGACGCGCTGCCTTAAAGAGCCTAACACTCACCGCAAAGGTCTGCAGCTCCCCTCCTGAAGTCAGCGAGACCATGAACCCACCAGAAGGAATAAACTCCGGACACATCGGAACATCTGATGGAACAAACTCCAGACACACCATCTTTAAGAACTGTAACACTCAACGTGAGGGTCTGTGGCTTCATTCTTGAAGTCAGTGAGACCAAGAATCCACCAATTCCAGACACATCACCTTATACAAAAATTACTCAAGATGGATCAAAGACTTAAATCTGAGACGTGAAACTATAAAAATTCTAGACGATAACATTGGAAAACCCCTTCTAGACATTGGCTTAGGCAAAGACTTCATGACCAAGAACCCAAAAGCAAATACAACAAAAACAAAGATAAATAGATGAGACTTAGTTAAATTAAAAAGCTTCTGCACAGCAAAAGAAATCATCATCAGAATTAACAGACAACCCACAGAGTGGGAGAAAATCTTGACAATCTATACATCCAATAAAGAACTAATATCCAGAATTTACAAAGAGCTCAAACAAATCAGCAAGAAAAAAAACAAGTAATCCCGTCAAAAAGTGGGCTAAGGGCATGAATACAGAATTCTCAAACAAAGATATACAAATGGCCAACAAACATATGAAAAAATGCAAAACAAAACCACAATGCAATACCACCTCACTCCTGCAAGAACGGCCATAATCAAAAATCAAAAAATAATTGATGTTGACGTGGATGTGGTGAAAAGGAACATTTCACACTGCTGGTGGGAATGTGAACTGGTACAACCACTATGGATAACAGTGTGGGGATTCCTTAAAGGACTAAAAGTAGAACTATCATTTGATCCAGCAATCCCACAACTGGATATCTACCCAAAGGAAAAAGTTATTATATGAAAAGGATACTTGCACACACATGTTTATAGCAGCACAATTTGCAGTTGCAAAAATATAGAACCAGCCCAAATACCCATCAATCAACAAGTAAATGAAGAAATTGTGGTATATATACACCATGGAATACCACTCAGCCACAAAAAGAAATGAAATAATGGCATTCGCAGCAACCTGAATGAAATTGTAAACCATTATTCTAAGTGAAGTAACTCAGGAATGGAAAACCAAACATACGTTCTCGCTTATAGGTGGAGCTAAGGAATGAGGATGCAAAGGCGTAAGAACGATTCAATGAACTTTGGGGACTCTGGGGAAAGGATGCAAAAGTAAGTGAGGAATAAAAGAACATACACTGGGTACAGTGTACATTGCTTGGGGTATGGGTGCACAAAAATCTCAAAAATTACTCCTAAAGAATTTATTCATGGAACCAAACACCACCTGTTCCCCCAAAACCTATTGAAATAAATAAATGTAAATAAATAAATAAATAAATAATGAAGGGAAAAAAGAGTTTATGCCAACTTATTCGAGGTTGCAGAGTAGGTAAGTGGTGAAGATTCAAACCGCAAAAGCTGACTCTAGAGCCCCCCCATCTAACCACAAAAGCTGACTTGACCCAACTACATAAAGCTAAGCATATGTGTAAAGGGCAAATTTACAGAAATGAGGAGGGAGATAATTAGCTTTATGTCCAAAAGCCATATAAAATTTGGAAGCAGTCTAGTGATTTTTGAAAGCCACCAATAGGCTATGTGAGTGGGTAGGTAAAAAGGCTTGATAAGGAATTTTTACATTGTCTCTTTGCTTCTTTGTGGAATTTGATAATTTAATCTATTTAGATTTTATTCCTTCTCTCTAAAACAAGGACATTAAATGGAAAGAAATTCTTAAGTTCCCTGCAATTGTATAAGTCCACTAGTCTTATGTGTGACTCTATGAAGGCAAATCAAGACAATGATAATCTCAAAACTTCCAATGAAAGGCAAACAGTATACTTAGATAAAATAGAAAACATATGCAGCTACATAAATGGACAGTATGTATGTATTATGTTGTAGAGCGAGGAGGTTGGTAGTTTCAAGCAAGAGTAAAATATTTTTTAGTTGAGATATGATCTTGTCCCAAATGGATATCATTTTGGTAATACATTTGGGTAATAAAATTCATGAAATTTTCCTCCAGAATAAATTTTGGATCATGTGGGAGTTGAGCACACAAATCAAAACGATGAGAATGAGAGTTTAAGAGGCCCCAGGTTCTACAGCTTCAAGCAGGCTACAGGAACACCCCTGGCCTGACTTTCTACAGTGGAACAAAATGGATCATCATTACACCATCCACTTCAGAGGAGCTAGTCTTGAAAACGATTTGAGTTATCTTTGTATCTGGAGGTTCATGATCTTAAAGCCAAGAGATCTAAGTTTATTCAAAACTCAGAGCTAGCTCTAATATGTCTTATGATGTCAGGCAAATCACTTTGCATTTCTGAGCTTCAATAGTCTCAAAAGCAAAAAAGGAATAACAATGCTGACAGTAATTATGACTATAAAATACCTCACATTGTATAGTATAAGACTGATCATAGGCACTTTATCTGTTAAGTGGGTTTGATTTCATAGTGGATCAGCTTAGGTATTGTGATTTACAAAGCTTTAAAAATCATTTTATGATGACTTCTCTTTATAGAATATAAAATGATGCTATACTTTTAAATAATGTACTTTCTTAAGACTATTTATATAACACTCTAACAAGAAAGTGTAAACATTCTGATGCCCCACTGGAAAGGCAACAAAGTGAATATTAAGTGACATACTTATCTTAATTTTGTTTTTAAGAGGTATGACCTTTAGTTAACTCTATTAGCTTGCTTATCTGAAACACGGAAAACTATTTTTTACTATATTTTCCTCACTACAAGCTATGATTGTTATTATTTTTACAATTTCTAATGCAATGCCTTTTTAAGAAAACTATATACATGTCAGTTTTCCTTTAACTTGTATGTTATTTCCAGAAACAAGTTTCTCAGTGTTTATATAAGCATTTTGAAGGAGTAACAAGGAAAAAAACTTCATGGGGCAATCTAATTATCACCAACAGCTGTAACCTGTTGCATTCAATGCTGAAACTACAAGTATGCTGCTTTAACCAAATGTTCAAGCATTTTAAAAGCTTCTTTTATCTTCTGACTTAAAAGGAGATTTGAGTAAAATGCCTACATAAGATACAAATGTTTTTCTACCACATAGAAAAAATATTAACCTATCTTCAGTTAGCCTTAACACTTAAGAACTATGAGACCTCTTACTTCTTAAAAAACGAATTTCCTTTCCTAGATATAGAGATGTCAAGAATTTAATACAATGTGGTTTTGTTTTCTCTGCTCCATTATATATTGCTTTAAAGAGGTATCATTGCAGTTTGTCTTATTGATCGGAATAAATTGGTATGGTGTTTCATGAGAAAATGATCGCATTTTAACCAAACATAATTATTTTAAAAATTCAGATTTGGGCTGATTATTTGTTTTATTTGAAAATCATAATTTAAAATACCAAGTTGTCCCAATTTACTTAGATGGTTTGGTTTTATATAAAACTTGCATTACGTTTCTTATAACAATTATTTTCTGAAGTAATTTCTCTAACGAAGGGGAAATTAAGTTGTTTCATCTCCAGTTGAAATAGGTTGTGTCTTTCCCTCTTTAGTATGTCCTCTTAAACTTACTTTATAGTATATGAGAGGCAAATAATCAAAGCTTCTTACAAAAAAATCTTGTACATTGTCAATGATGCTCCACTCTCTTTAATAAAGGAGTTTTCTTCATTCATACAATGGGAAAGGGGTGAAGTGGAGAGAGGTTAGGAAATTAGCTATAAAGAAAGAAAGGTATAAGAGACAGAAATAATTAGAACTTCCACAGATTATTCTGTAATAGATAAGGCAAACAACATGTGAAAACCATAAGAAAGCTTTGTTTTAACTAAATTAATGGTAATTTCTTTTTCTAGTCGTCATTGGGTGGGGGTACCTTAATTATTTGTGTTATGAAATTTGATAATTTATATTGTTCCTTTCTGGTTCTCTGCAACTTTGCCAAGGGTGTGGAATGATAGTGTTTTGTATAGTGACTTTTTCTTTTCCCTCCTTCCTTACTTAAAATAAAGTTTATTGCCTTTCCTAAACAAAATAAAGCAGAAAAACATATATTATTGAATTTACTTTTTAAAAAAGAAACCCCAAATGTGTGTGTTCAAACATTTCTCCCCTCACATAGAGACTTGGGAAGAATTTAGTGCTAAATAAATGCTGCCTCAAACCAGGCAAGATAAAACATAAATCATTGCATTAAAACCTCTAACAAGTCTATCTGCTTTTTGAAATGACTGGGAGATGAAAGCGAGGAGTCTCATTTAAGAAGGCCCAGCGGATCAGTTCTGCATTTATATAGCTGTTATCAAAAGCAATTCATTTGGAGATCAAATAGACTGACAGATAGGACAAGCAGGGGATCACCACTGCCTTCAGGCAGCCCAAAGCTAGGATGGCTTCCCAGCACCTCACTAATATTGGGTCTAGTCAATGCTCGTGTTTATTACCATTTCCATCCTCTATCGCCTGGCTGCACACTAACACATACTGCTGTCCCTTCCTAGCCAGACAACTGTCGGGAAAGCAGTAATAAGAATAGTGTTTACCCAACTCGATTGGATGGAAAAATTCCTTCATTGTACTTCAATGAGCAGACCACATTCATCCAAAATTTGGACAAGCAGGACAATGATGTAGGGCAGTAAAAGCAGGAAATAAGAGAAACTTGCCAAGGGGCACGGGTTTCATGACCTCATCAAGATAGGCAGGTTCCCCAAGTCTTCTCCAGGTTGCAGATTGAGCTGAATGCCCTGCAGCTGATTTGCCTACAGTAGGTGGAGGGAAAGCACACCAGTTTGAAGTGAATTTGCACAGGTGAGCATTTCCAGGGTTAGCATTGAGGATGTTTATTTATCAGTGAAAAGTGTGGAGTTTCTAGTTCTCATTGGAACATAACATACTGAATTTTATTTTCTCATTAAAAGACAGCATGTTAAATTGTCGAAATTCTGAGTAATATAAAAACAAAGAAGAAAATAAAAAATAAAAATCAAGTATTTCAGAGAGAACTCCTGCTAATTAGTACACATATTAATATAAATATGAACATAAATACCCACACAAATTTAGATGAGATCACACTGTATGGATTCTATATGTTTCACTTAACATTAAAAAGTAAGTTTTTATGAAATTATTATTTGAAAGCAGAATTTTTAGTGAATCAAAATCTTTTAGTTATATGGATGTAGCAATCTTAATTACTTCTCTTTCGTCAATAACACTTTTGTTGTTGCTGTTGCTTTGTCATGTGAGTGTCTAAACTTGTTTGACACTTAAAATACACACCATTTGGCTAGAATATTCTGGAAAAATAAACATAAACTGGCTAACGCCAGCAAAACGTGAAACCCGGTATTATTTTCCTTCCATAGGACTTAAGGTAGCAATCAATCAACAAATATTTACTGCATTTACTCTCTTCTTATTGCCTAGGTAAATCATACATATTTAGAAATATTTATTTACACATATGTTAAAAGCACAATTCTTGCCTTAAGTCTGAGCCAGGAAAACAATGTTTTCTTATACTCACTCATTTAACATTCACATCCACTCTGTTACTACGTCACTGTATTAGAAATGAAGTAGAGAACCCAGTGATATGGGGGACATGGTCCTTGCTGTCAATATGTTTATAATCTACTTGAGGAAACTGACATATTCTGTAAAGTGTTAACAGCTACTCATCACCTTGTATAATTGCAAAGGCAGCATAGACAATCTCAAGCAAGGGAAAGCTCACCTGGTCATGAGAGACCAGAGATAGACCTGGTCCCAGGCTCAGAGCACATGTAGGACATGAATAGAGGAAGGACAAGAGGGAAAATTGTAACTTATAAAGAGAAAAACAAATGTTCCTTCTTATATTTTTAAGACTTAAAACATACCACATTTTCCTTGAAAACCAACAGGCCAGGGACTTTTACCTTTGTGTCTATGGTTCTATCACTTAAATTCCTGTGCCCCTGTCTCAGCAGGACTGAAAGGAGACTTTAGAGAAGAGCTGACAGAAGAGATTCATTCTAGGATCTCTCCATTCTCACCACACCATGGACAAGGTATATGACAGTAGCGGAGTACTATAACAGAGGACTTCATCCTTAATTCCTATATTATATGCTCAGCTGCAATCATGGGTACGGTTTGTCATTAATATAGATTTCCTTTCCAATCTTACCCATAGACATAAATGGCCAGAGAAGATATTATTTCTGGTAGGTTGAAAAATGGCCATTCCTCATATATCCTCATCCAAACCCTTGGAACCTGTGAATATCACCTCACATAGCAAAGGCAACTTGCAGATGTGATTAAGTAAGGGTTGTTGGAAAGGGGATATTATCCAGGATTATCCAAGTGGACCCTAAGTGTATTCACAGGGTTATTTATAAGAGAGAAAAAGATCAGGAAAACAATAGGAGACATGGAGCAAGAAGTTGGAGTGAAGTAGATGTTGGAATAATGACTTTGAAGATAAGAGGAAGGAGTCACAAGACAATGAACATAGGCAGCCACTAGAAGCTGAAAAGGGAAAGGAACCGGCCTTGACTCCACCTTCATTTTAGCCCAGTGAAACTGATTTTAGACTTCTGACCTCAAAAATTTTAAGATAATAAATTTGTATTGTTTTAATCCATGAAGTTTGTGGCAACAGCAGCAATAGGACACTAGTGCATTATTTGAGGTACCTCTATAAAATAACCTCCATCTTTAGATATAAATCCTTTTAGGCTATGGATTGAGAAATTTGTTAAAATGAAAATACTCCTAAAAGGTATGATATATTTAACATTACAACATTGGTGTGGATTATTCTGTAAAACTATCCATAAATTCTAGAAGAAATAGGTCACTGGATAGGTAAGTTTGAAGGGAAGGACAGAGAAAGGGTAGGCCCAGTGCTTGAGATATATCTGGAATGAGCTGGTCAGAGTTCATGAGATTTGGTCAGTCAGGTTAGAAGAATTAAGATAGGCAAAAGGTAAAAGAAACCCAAAATGCACATGTTAATAATAATTCTGTAATTTTGCTTTTTTTTTTTTTTTTGAGACGGAGTTTCACTCTTGTTGCCCAGGCTGGAGGGCAATGGCGTGGTCTTGGCTCACCGCAACCTCCACCTCCCAGGTTCAAGCTATTTTCCTGCCTCAGCCTCCCAAGTAGCTGGGATTATAGGCACCCCCCACGACACCCAGTTAATTTTGTATTTTTAGTAGAGACGGGGTTTCTCCATGTTGGTCAGGCTGGTCTTGAACCTCAAGTGATCTGCCCACCTCATCCTCCCAAAGTGCTGGGATTACAGACGTGAGCCACCGTGCCCAGCAACCTTGCTTTTATACTCTACACATAGAATTTTTACACATTCTCAAGCCAAGTACTCTAGTTTTAATTAGTACACAAAAATACTAAGAAGAAATAATAATTATGTAAACGAATGCAGCCACTATGGAGAACCGCATTGAGGTTCCTCAAAAAACACAAATAGAACTCCATATGAGCCAGCAATCCCACTACTGCGAAAAGGAAAGGAAATCAGGAAGAGACATCTGGACCTCCATATTTATTGCAGCACAATTCACGATAGCCAAGTTATGGAATCAATCGAGGTGCCTAACAATAGATGAATAGATAAACAAATGTGGCATATATACCATGGAATACTATTCAGCCATAAAAAAGAAGGAAATCATGTCATTTGTGGCAACATAAGTGGAACTGGAGGACATTATGTTAAGTGAAATAAGCCAGGAACAGAAATCTGAACACCGCAGGTTCTCACTCATATTTGGAAGATTAAAAAAGTGTTGATCTCATAAAAGTAAAACAGAGGATACTAGAGTCTTGGAAGGGGGAAGAAAGAAAGGGATAGAGAAAGATTTGTCAAAGGATATAAAATTATAGCCAGATAGGAGGAATAAGTTCCAGTGTTCTCAGCACTGTAGGAGGAGTACAGCTAACAATAATATATAGTTTCAAATAGCTAGAAGTAGGACAGTGAATCTTCCCAACACAAAGAATTGAGAAATCTCTGAGACGATGGTAATCACTAATTAACCTGATCTATTCACTATACATTGTACATATCCAAACCTCACTATATACTCCATAAATATATACAATTGTTATGTGTCAATTTAAAAAAAGAAAAACAAAAACCATGAATGTATATTGAGCTCTAAATAATAAAATGTGAGCTGAAATGTTTAGAAGTGACCTGTAGCAATGTCTGTAACTTACTTTAAAATCGATAAAACAATAAGCTGGACTGATAAATAGATAGAGGGATGGGTGAATGGATAGGTGTGAAATAAAGCTAATACAGAAAAATGTTAAAAAAGAAAAATATATCTAGTTGAGCAATCAAGGATTATGGATTCCAAATACAATCGTTCAAGTTAAAATGTCTACATTATAACCATATAAACTCTCTCCTTGTACAGAATCATGACTTTATTTCTAAATTCCAAACATGATGCTTTCTATTTCAGGGACGACCTCTGCTAGGTGAGAAATGATATAGCTCTTTTGGAAAGTGAATGCACTGTTTGGTCCAACACTTGTTTTACATTTTTGGACCTTAATTGTAGAAATGCATCTAAACTGGGTTATGTCTTTTAACCAGATATTTGTTTATGAAATATCAGTCGTGTTCTTTCAGCACATCACTAAGTATCCAAAAAGCAAAACTCAGGTTCTTATATACTGACTACTTACAACCATATCACAAAGAATGTTTTTGTTTTTGTTTTTTGGTGACATAGCAAATATATTTATATGAAGATTCTTACCTAATCACATGGGAACTACATTTGATATTTCCTAGTTTATAAAAGGAACAAAGAATAGAACAGTAGTTACAAAGCAATTTTAATTATTTTTTAGAAGTAGATTATGCAGGTATAGAAGTCTGATGCTAGAAGAGAAAGAAAAAAAAACACTTATTTTCTTATGCAGTGAAATATAATTCTAAAGCCAGTATTCAAAGCTCTTTAAAAGTTGATAAAAAAAAAAAAAAACTTAACCACAAGTCAAGAAAAAGGGAGAATAAGAATACCATTTCTGAAATAACAATAGTAATGTTTGAGTCCTGCCTCCCATCTTTTGGAGGTCTGAATTGTGTCTGCCAAGTTTGGACAAATCAAGGAGAGTCCTTTCAGGCACAGCTAAAACTTCATTTAACTTAAGACCATTTTACAAAAATATATAGTCTGTGATATTAATAATGTATTAATATATAAGGAATTACTATTTTAGTGTGACTCACCCTCATTTACGTGGGACTTTTTGGAGCTTTTTAGTTTACCAAGGAAAGTCCCATGTCCTCAGAAAACCCCCAGTCTCAGGCAAATCAAGACAGGTAGTCCAAATATAAATATATTTCTCCTGATAAAATATCATTTCGAAAATGATTTTACCCGCTTAAAATGAGCAAATTAAAAAATAGACTAGAAAAATTATCTCCTTGTTAAACAAAGGCAGTATTTATGATTTTTATTTAAATGAGGTAGAATATAGATAGAGTATATATTTTAAGTCATAGTGGTATTGTAAATGTCAATTTAATTATTGGCTAAAATTTTAATTTATTTTTATTGCAATGTGAAATTAAAATGTACTTTTTTCTTTTTAAGTTAATCATATTTTTAAAGCTCCAAATTAAGATTTTCTCTATGCACAAGTCAGCAATTGTGCATATATTCACACCCAGAATAAAGCATTTATATTTCTAATGCTATTTCAAGGCCTGTATCAGATTTAAGATCTTTATTATCTCTGAGACAGGACAGCATGCAGACAAATGTCCTAATGGTCTAAGCTTTCAAAGAATGTTGGCATTTATTCTATGGATCTGCATCTCTGCACAGCGACCAGACAGGACTGCGCATGACACAGCTAAATACAATTCCATCTTCCCAGTCCCTTCTCTTTCCCCTTTGCCCCCAAATCCTCCTTCTTCTCTTTTCTGCTCCCTCATTCGAATGTTCATTTTGAAGATATGCTTTTCGCCAGGATTAAAACAGGGTTTGCATTTAAAATTTTCATTTACCAAACAGAAAAATATTTTACTAGAAGGGAATGGTATTAAGGGGAAATGATTTTCCGTGTGCCCCGAGGCCCAGCATAGACAGGATTTGATTTGCTATGTTCGGCTGGAATCTGGATTGATACGCAGAGATGAGAGGGGGTGTTTAATAAAATTTACATTTCATTTTCTCACTTGACACCAGTCTCCTGTCACTCATGGAACTGATGGGAATGCTGCAAATAACTTTTGTCAGAATCTAGTTGGGGAAACAGACTGAGGAATGAGAAGACAGAAAGGGGGAAAGGGAAGAGAGAACAGTTTAGCTTGTTTTTGTCTTGTGGCTTCAGTGATGGAAGTAGACCCACTGAATCTGGGGGACATGACAGTTGGTCACCTCCACACTGGAAGGACCAGGTGCACCAGTGAGAAACCTGGGAAAGGCACATAGGAGTGGACATGATCCAGCTATGCACAAGGGCAGTCGTGCTTGGAGGGGAATCTATGGATTGAAGGAGGGGTTTAAGCTTATGGACGACTAGAATTTGTTTGTGTCAGCTGAAAAAGAGATCAGAAGACATACAAGCAAAGGCAAGAGGAGAGGATTAAACTCTTCTTTTTTCAGTGAAACCATAGTGTCTGTAATTTTACACTTCATTCTAAACTAGAAATGTCTGTTTTCCACTTCTGTGTCACAAATTACCACAAACATAGTGGCTTAAAACAACACCCATTTATTAGATCTCAGTCCTGTAGGTCAGAAGACTGGGCAGGCTCACCTGGATTTTGTTCTTAGGGTCTCATAAGGCTGTTATCTAGATGTTAGTTGGTCTGGGCTTTTATTGGGAGTCTCAGGAAGAATCAGCTTCCGTGCTTATAAAGGTGGTTGGCATAATTCATTTCCTAGTGGAGATAGGACCATAGTTCCCTTTCCACACTGGCTGTCTTCTGTGGGCCACTCTTAGTTCTGAGAGGCCACCTGCATCTCTTGCCAAGTGGCCTGTTCCATCTTCAAAGGAGCAAGGACACATGAAATCATTCCCAAGTTTGACATATCTCTGACTTCCTCTTCTGCCATCAGCCAGTAAACAAAAACTCTCTTCTTTTAAGACATTCCTGAGATGAGGTAAGGCCCACCAAAATAATTTTCCCACCTTAAGGTCAACTAATTAGTAAGCCTAATTTCATCTGCAGTATCCCTTTGCTATTTAATCATGGGTGGGACATCAGGTGGCTGAGATCATGGGATCACCTTAAAATTCTGCGTGTCACATTGTCCTTCCTATGTGTGATCCATGAGTGCCAGCCCAGGGGAGGTAGAAGGGCATGTTGCTGTGGCCAGCATAGCTGGTGACTTCTGAGAAGCCCGAGAACCAGAAGGCTAGAAAGCGAGGCATTTAATGGGGTCCCCCTAACGGCGGAATCTGTGAACCAAAAAGGGATGTATGGTCACTATGAGTTCCAGATAGAATCCCATTTGGGGCCTGTTTTTTTTGTTGTTGTTGAACCTTAGAAATAATAAGGATTATTTGTCAAAGGGAACTAAGATATTATTAAGCAAGGAAGGGCCTATAGAATCAGAAGATATTTGAGTTACATATTTGTAAATGTCTTAATCCGTGTCTTTCATAACAACAAAATGAGACTCAAAAGTTAAAATTACTTTCTATTGATAAGAAAGTTAGTTATAATTACTTTCTATTGATGCCAACAATGGTGTGACATGTTTCTACATTCTAATTCAAAGTGTTTTTTCCTTCACTTGACTTGGTATAATAAACAAAGGAGGAATCTAACAAAAAAAAAAAGAAAAAAAAAACAGCCCTTTGGAAGGCTGAGGTGGGCAGATCATAAAGTCAAGAGATTGAGACCATCCTGATCAACACGGTGAAACCCTGTGTGTACTAAAAATATGAAAATTATCTGGGTGTGCTGGCGTGCACCTGTAGTCCCAGCTACTTGGGAGGCTGAGGCAGGAGAATCACTTAAACGCAGGAGGTGGAGGCTGCAGCGAGCTGAGATCAGGCCACTGCACTCCAGCCTGGCAACAGAGCAAGACTTGGTCAAAAAAAAAAAAAAGCCTCTGCAAGGTCCAGAGGGCTCAGGGCTGTTTGGGCAGGCAGTTCAGCCTTGAGCATGCAATGGATGGTCTAAAAGGAGTGGGCATGGTGTGTAAGTGGGCACATCCCCTTGACTTCATGGATTCCCTGTCTGTGTGAGAAATGTAGCTAGGGGTGGGGTGACGTCAAAGTGGAGCCCTCTAGAGCACAGAATTTAGGACAGAAACTTCTATTCACTAGGTCTAAAGGTACAGTATCAGCTGGGGTGTTGTATATGTCTGATGCAAGTTTCATTTGGCATATCAAGAAAAGAGGAAATTTAGAGACCATTTACTCCGTGATCTCCCAGTGTATAAATTAGACTAGGGAAGAAACATTTAACCATGCCTTAAAAATATCAACAGAGTAGGATGCTGAAATATTCATAATACTTGCACTTCTTTCCAAGTAAGTAGAATTCTTTCCTAATACCTAATCTCTTCAGTTACAGTGGATATTCTTCCGTCTGGCCCAATCTGAATTGAAACCACACCTACCATCTTTTTAATATAATTTCACATGTTTAAAATGGTTATTAATTATTCATTCAGCCGTTTATTTCCTGTACTCTATAGCAATTCATCACTGATGAATCCATGATCTGGGAATCAGTAACTCTTCTAGTCACACTTATATATTTCCTCCTATCTGAAAGGTTCTCTTCCCTATCTACTTATACCGTATCTATTATTTTAAGTCATACTTAAGTTTTCCTTCCCTATGAATACTTCTTTTCTTATTACAAATATTATTTCCCTCTTTTTGCAATTATTATTGCCTAGTATACAAGGAGGATAGGCAATAGAATCACTTGGAGAGAACTGAATCTGTAGAAAGAAGTGCCCAAATGTTTAAATAACAGAAAAAAGATAGTATCATTTTCTAATTATTCCTACACAGAAACAACTCACACTGGTTTCTGACACCTTTTCTAAAACACTAAAGTTAGAAAATACTCGAATGATGTTTTCAGAATTTTACAGAGTAAAGGTTCCATGTATGAAGCCATTTTTATGACAAAGGGGCTAAGGAATAATATATCCCATGTAACTTACTTGAAAAAAATTACTAGAAGATTTATTTCAACATATTAAGATATAACTGTGATTAATGGGTCACAAATTGGTAAGCCATGATAATAAAAGATTATCTAGTAACACAGGAGTAAATTCAACATAAAGATACATCCAAATAGTTGTTAAACATTTGGTTATAAAACAAAATGCAAACACTAAAATCGTTTTTAAAAGAAAAAATACAAATATTAAAAGAATAACTTGAAATGGCTGTTAATATAATTTGTGGTTGATATTACCAATCTCACTATCCAATAAAAAAAATTGGATGGGTGAGACTGCATTGAGGCAGGAGTGTAAAATTATATTAAATTTAATGCATTAAAAAAATAAGATACCATTTCAAGCTCGCGAACCTTTAAAATATACACTTTCAAGAACATAGTGGAAAGCATATGCAATATTGATGATACGAAAAAATGTCTCAGTCATTTTGGGCCACTGTAACAATCTACCATAGACTGAGTGGCTTAAATAACAGACATTTATTTCTCACAGCTCTCGAGCCTGGAAAGCCCAAGATCGAGGTGCCAGCAGATTTGGATGCTGGTGAGGGCCCTCTTCCTTGTTCACAAACAGCCAGCTTCTCACTGTGTCCTCATATGGCAGAGAGAGAAAGAAAGAGAGAGATGAAGGAGACAGATGATGCATTGAAGTAGTTGGTAGAGTGAATGAAAACCAAGGAAGTAATAAAATGTGTGAACAAAAGTCTTTCAAACAAATTTGCTGGAGTGGAGGTAGAAAAATTGTAAAGAGATTCGAAGAAGCCTATTGAATCAAGGAATGTTTTCTTTTTCTTTCTTCCTTTCTTTTTTTTTTTTTTTTTTTTTTCAATAGTGGGAGCTTTTTAACCATGTTGGATACTCACAGGAGTAAACCAGTAGATTGGGAGAGATTAATGATCCTGGAAGGAGAGGATAATCGAAGCAGTGACATCCTTGAAAATACAATAAAAATATATGGGTGGGAGAAACTCTTGATATTTGGTATTATTAGACGTATAGCCCAAATTTATAGCACTTCTAGAGTTCTCCAAACTACAGATAAGCAGCTAGGATTATTTATTCATGCAACAATTTTTAAAAATTTTGGAGAATCTTATTTCTCAGGCCACATTCACTGTTTGCAAATTAAAGCCCACAGCCTCTTGACTTCAGCTTCTATTACAGGAGCCTGAATCTCTGGAACCTCCCTGATAAGTATACAGTGATAGCTGCTACCAAGAGTCAGACCTTTGTGTTCAGGGTTATACACACACGAATTGTTTAATGACAGGGATACACTCTGAGAAATACACCATTAGGTGATTTCATCATTGTGCAAACATCATAGAGCATACTTAAACAAACCTAAATGGTGTAGCCTACTATACACCGAGGCTACATGATATAGCCTGTTGCTCCTAGTCTACAAACTTGTACAGCAAGTTACTGAACCAAATTCAATTGTAACACGATGGTATGTATTCATATATCTAAACACATCTAATCATAGAAAATGTACAGGAAAAATATGGTATAATCTTATGTGACCACCATTGTATTGTGGTCCATTTTTAACCAAAATGTTATGCAGCACTGAATATCAGTATCACATAGTATAGGCTTAGAATAAGCTCTCATGGAGCTGGACTGGAAGAAATACACAAGGTGGCACTAACATGGGGGAGGGAGGCATACTATTGGGTGGGCATGTCTCAGTGATGTGGGTATTATGTTGACTTGGGGTACACATCTGCTTCCACAGGGTCTCCTCTATAAGACTGCGATGAGAAGGAGACTGTTTTATATCTGGATTTTAGGAGTGATACTGAGGCCATAACTATATATGATTTTTCCTTATAGGCCCTTCACCCAAATGGAACCCTTGGTGACATGCCTTGTATAATAACCCAGGGACACTGTGGTAGTAAAGCAGACCCAGTCACAATCTAACCACTATTGTCCATAGCACCTTCTCTTCCTCACCTATAGACTTCCCTTACTTTTCCTTTTATTCCTCCCTGGCCTCTTTTCTCAGTCCATTCATCTTCCACTCAGACTCTTTTTCTTCTCCTTTGCATCTATTTTAGTTTTTCAAGGACTAACAGCATTTTCTATAAGCATTTCTGCAAAGATTAAGAGCATTTCCTGTAAGCATGTCCCATCCCTGGCTGAGATCTAAAGAGACTGCCAATCTCTGGTCAATCATAACTTGGAGAAAATATTTTAAAATTTATTTTAATAGTAAATGTATTTATAAAAGTATTGAAATACAAAAGGATATAAGATTTGAAGTGCAAATCAACCCATATTTTCTACTCCATTCCCTGGAGGTACCTATTACAAAATTATCTTGACTATCTTTTCATAATTGTTCTATGTATAAGCAAACTATAGTAAAAGCATACTATACAGATGGTTTTGAGATTTGCTTTTTTTTTTACTATAACAGCATAACTTGAATAATTTTCTACATGAGTCATTCTACTAAATGACATACCATTAACTTGAGGAAATGTTAGAAGGAAAAAATATAGTCCAAACAATTTTTGTAATTTGCCTTGGACCCTAACAAAGTTATGGCAACTGACTTTTTTATTTATAAAATGGAGAGAAGAGTAGGTATTTCCTTCACCTTGTTATAGCTACTAATTTTGAAATAAAATGTAAAGTGATAATAAATAAGATTATCTTGGGACTGATAAGAGATAATGTATGGACAATTAATTATTTGAATCCCTTAAAATCTAGAAAGTCCTAAAAATGCATTAAATAAATGTTCTAAATTGTTCCGAGCAAAGAAATCACCAAATAAAAAGAACAAATGCTAGAAGAATATTTGTAAACATTCAAATCTCTGTATTCTGCCACTTAATCCACATTTAAGTTTACAGAAATGTTTTATTTCTTTTTGAAAATTACCTTGTAGAAATGTGACTTTTCTATCAAATATATCTGTAATTAGTCAAAGTGCTATAGTGTATGTTGAAATCAACAGTTCTATACTCAATAGTATTTAATTCCTTGTGCTTATAGTTTTTTCAAAATTGGCATAGACTATAAGTTCTGAAAGCAAAATATGGAATGCATGAATTTTAAATGACAGAATTAATTAAAATTCTTTACTGTTATTGACACGTACAATTTTATAGAAGCTTGGTTGAATAATATTTGCATATGATTTACATTTGATTTCCTCATACTCATTTTTGCATATAGTTTGCAGGCATTTCAATGTATAGTAATTTCATATATTTGGAGTAAGACTGATAGATGGAAGGGAGTCATTCAACTAAATTGTTGAAAGGGGAAGGCCCTGAGAGAGCTCAACTGTTCTTGGTCCTTGGTGGCCTCACTGGGCAGTAACAAGGGCAAGTCTATTGAAGGGCAAGTTCACCTTGATCAGATAAGCTGAGTCTCGCACTCTGGAAGAGACTTGAAGTTCTGTTGGTCAGGTACTTTCCCTGAACACAGTCCCTGCCCCCCAAAAAATGTCCCCCTCCCCAAACAAAAAGCATGGAGAAATGGTCAAAACAACCGTGGCTCCATATATACTTCTTTCTCAATTTTGAAATCTATAAATATTTATAGATGTTCTTTATTTGACAAATAAAAATTGTATATATTTATCATGTACAACTCGATAGTTTGAAATATGTATACATTGTGGAATGGATCAGTTGAACTAATTAACATATGTATCACCTCACACACTAGCATTTTTTGTGGTGAGAACACTTAAAATGTACTTTCAAACACTTTTGAACTCTCTAGAATTTTAGCTTGTCCAATCTCTTGAGAGAAATGAGTCCATCAATACAGAAAATCAGCAATGGGAGGCAAGAAGAGATTCTTTGAACTAACACAGGAAAAAAGCACATCTCAATATTTATTTAGATAAAGGGTGTAGATTGTCACTGCTGGGAAATATTTGCTGGGTTACCCATGTTAACGATCTGAATAAATTTAGAGTTGGCCTACAGTGGTGCTCAAATTGGCTCATCTCCAGACATGAATGAACATAGAGCTGCTCTCTTTGCTTTTGGTGTTTCCCTAATTCTCTCATTTTTTTTTTTTTTTAGGAGAAAGAGGAGTAGCTTAACTATGGGTTGAGGAATTTTAGCTAGATGCCAAAATTCCATGCCACATGCTAGAGCCTGGCAAGTTACTGAAGATGTTTATAGCTGCTATTTAGGCCCAAAGAGTCAATTCTGGCCTCAGGGATCACAGGCTTTTCTGGGATGGAATTAGTAAGATAATTATGGTTATTCCTACGCAGAGGGATAGGATAAAACATGCCTCCCAGAAAGACTGGTCTTGTGACACATAGAGGATAAATAAGAAGATAATAAAAATTGGAAGAAGGGTAAAGAAGGGGCAGAAATAACAGAGCTGGCAGCTAACTCTTTGTGAAGGGCGAAATAGAATGAAGAGTCATGACTGACTTCTAGATTTCTGGTCTGAGTGCAGTGATGTCATTCATTGAGTTGGAAAAAAACACAAGGAGAAGTAGGTTTTTGGGCTGTGTTAACTTCATAGTAACTATAGGATAACCTACTGGATATTCTCACTAGGCAGCTAAATGCATGGTATAGAGCTCAGGAAAAATACCTGTGGAAAAAAAACTTAAAAAGTGGTGAAAGAATCCGAGGAAATGAAAGAAAGCATGTGCAGGTAAACTGAGGCAGGGCAAGGACTAAGACTGCTACCATTTTATAAACCTCAAAAGCCTTCACTTCTGAAATGTTTTTTTCCAAAAAGCTTACGGCTCTTTGAGGATCCAATGAGTATACTAAAGTAGAGATTGCAAAGGCAAATGACTTCAAGACCGAGAATCTACAAAAAAAGATAAATAACTGGTTATAACAGGGACTAATTAAACTAGGGAAGGCATGTTCTGCCTAAGTCATTCGAGTTTTTTTTTGTTTTTCGTTTTTAATTCTGTTGGTGCCCAAGCAAAATACATCATCTACAAAGAGGACTTACTCAGCATGGCAGCCAGCTTGTGCCTCCAGAGTAAACGTCTATAAACCAACTTCTTGCAAATCATTCCCTGAACACAGATAGCCTGGATTGAAATCTCCTGGAGAGCACTGACCTTAACATCTACTTATATTTTCTTCCAAATCCAACACAGTGACCACAGAGAAGGCTACCTACCTCCTTTTAGGGACAGCCTGAAGATCTGCAATACTCACCAGATGCCTAAAGAAGAGGTTAAAACATTTCTGCCAATTCTTAGTAGGGTGAGACACACCTGCCCCTTGATGCCCTGCAGACATAACAGCTGTCTGCCAGTACTTCTCATAGAACTAATTCAGGGCATCATTATTTAGAATTCAGCAATGAAAGAGTGTGTTTCCTTTCTCTCTTCCAATGCAACTACACAACAACCCCTTAACATTGTAGAGATTGGAAAATCCTGGTTTTCAGGATTTTCAGGAAAATCTGAGAGCAATCTCTTTTTGGAAGCTCTCCACATTCCTGCGATCTTTTCTTTACATGCTTGGAGCATAAGGCCTTCTGGATCCAGAGCCAAGGACACAGTCAGGCTGTTTAAAGTATTCTTCAGTTTGAAAAGAAATGGGCCCCGTACAAATGTGTGAATTTGGTGAAATTGCCTTTAACAACCTTACCAAATGTATCAATACCAGGTGAGCCTTTGTTCTGATCTCCATTTAAACCCCCTGCACAGCCTAGAGCAGTTGCATATGACATAATCTCTCCTCTCCTTAGTATCACAGCTTTATGCATCATCTTCTCCAAAAAGCAGCTTTTTGATAAAGGACTTGGCCACTTGGCTTTCTCTGATCTCCCAATGTAGTTCTTTTCCAGTTGTAAATGTGACCCAGCTACTAACAGAGAGAATCACTGAAAAATAGAACAGTGGTCATACAAAATTTCCTTTCCCAAATTTGGCATTTTTACATCTTTGTCCTTAACTAAACTCTCAGCAAAGCCCATGAGAATATCAATTTTCATGTGTAAATCCTCATGAAGTGCAAATTTGATACGCTCACACTACTGTAGGTTCTCAATAATGATTGAATTTAAACCATGAAATAAAATCCACTTGTAAAAAGCCAGGAAGTTGCCTTGTGGTTGGAAGGTAAGCTCTGACAGATCAGGGAGCAGGGTGTTGAACTGTCCCTTCAAATGCTACTACAGGATAAAGAAATGCTTTTCTGTAACAGTGTGGAATTAAACTGTAGCTGACCAGACCTTTTCATGATCCCTTCTATAAAAGAAGCTCAAAGCATTGTGGGTGGTCAATCCAGAGAATGCTTAATAATAACCCCTGCTGGTATAAGTCAGTATTACACCATTATCAAGTTGTTAAAATCAGGCTTAAGTTAAAAACTGGTAAATAATTAACAAGTGCCATTATTTGCCTAGCATTGAACTAGGATCATGATAGCTGCAAAATATGTATGAGACATTTTTCAGTCTGTAAGCATTTATATGACTGTTTTCCATTTTAAAGTTGAAAAAGGGATTCAGAGTCCACATTCTCTCTTCTTAGTTGTCCCAGCAGGACAGTCCTCACTTCCCCAGCTTATTATCCAGAAATACTGGGAACATTCTGCCTTTCAGGCCAAATGCCCCCAACTTCCCTGATCACAGTTGCTCCTGAATAGTTTCCGGGTGTACTGAATGAAGGCAGAATGCCTCAGTGGCCCCGCAGGAGGCTTTCTTCTCTTGGGAAAGCCCCAAGCTGCCACTTTGCTTACTCAGCCGACTTTGCCCTGGCAACTGCTGCCTCTCTTGTCTGAAGTCTGGGCATAGCAGCAGCAGCTGATTTTGGCCTGCCAGCTGGTATCTGAGCAACTGCTCTTGGCCCTCCTTCCAGTTCCCAGTCTCTTGCAGGTACACCTGCTGAGCAGGAGCACCTGGAGCACAGATGTGCCCATGGGATGTGATGCCAGTAGTACCAGGAGCAGGCACAGCAGCCTCTTCCTCTCGGACAATGTGGCGGCTAACTTTCCTTCTGGACACTCCATTCATCAACTGGTGGGGGCACTGGTTCACCTTGCCCAGCATGACCTTCATTCTCATATCTGGGGGGAAAAGAAATAGGGGAAGAAATGGATTTAGTTTTCAACCAGTTAATTACACATTTTGCATACTTAGCATTTCTGACAAGATATTGTCAAATCAAAGATTGAATTACATCAGCTCTTTGATTTCCAAATATCTTTTATCAGACACTCCAAATATGTAATAAAAAATTGGTAATACTTCTTCCTCAAAAAATACTTACATGATGTTGATAATTGAATGAGGATTTTTCATTGTAAGCGCTAGGCTTCAATGCAAAAACCAGACCATGGTCAGGCCTTACCAACTGGCCAACTCACACTTACCAACAGGCCAACTTACCAACAGGCCAACTTACCAACAGGCCAACTCACACCTGTGTTAAGAGATATGAACTATAAAAACCAGTCCTATCTAATACTTAGGCTCTTATACCAAGTTCACAATGTAAATATCTTTGGTATTATAAAAACATGAATATAAATATTTGCAGAAATAATCACATAAACATCTATGTATATGAGTGTGTACATGTATGGTTGCATAACAGTAGAAAGAGAGATGGCACATTACACTCAAGTCACAAAATTAGGCCCAAGTTCCCCTTCTCCTGCTATCTGGCTTCATGACTTTCATCCTTTCAGCCTCTCTGGGCTTTAGTTGCATAATTTAATTTATTCTCAGGTGCTACTTCAAAATTTACTAAAATATATTTATTTTAACAATGTTGTTTTAATTGATTTCCTCTTTGACATTTTATTTGTCTCTTATTTTTCTATTAAACAGACCTAAACATCAACTCAGAAGAGTACAATATACATAAACAGATGATCTAGGCACCATATAATACTGTGTAAAGATAAAGACTGCAATGGAAAGTTAAGAATGTTCAGTGGGATACATGCATGGGAGTATACCATGCATGCAAAGGTCACTATTCATATGCCTTACAGTGAGAAAAAGGTTGAACTTGTCCTAAACCCTGGGGGGTAGATGGTAATACTGTCATCTACTTTTACTACGTTTACTGTCCCTGCTTTTCTCACATCTCACCACCAAATACATTAACCACGCATTTGTATGTATTGAAGATCCTTAACTTATTAAGCTTTTTGTTATTTTTTTCCTGAGTTCATTGAGAGCTGTCTTGGTTTGTGTTAGGAGATAGTAATCCTGTCTGATTCATACTATAAGAGACAGTATTGGGATAGACAATACCAATTTCCCACTTCAATTTAATCTGGAAAATGAGGTAAGGATGAGAGAAAGTAATAACATTATATATACATATATATATATGTATATATATATATATAATGCTTTTGATTTAGAGCAGTAAAAAAAGATAATCATGTTGTTCCTATTATTTCCATGACACATCTACTAATATTATGATAAGCCCATGTTATTCACATTTTCTGTCTCCTGTTCCACAGTCCATTTGTCTAGCATGTATCTTCTACAGCCATCAAACTATGGGATGATTCTCTTGCTTAGAGCTATAAGAACTTTCAGGTTACCCTAGTTTTCCTAAGGAACCTGCAGCTCCTTCCAGAAGTGTTTCTTCACAGCTCAAACTACATTGATTTATGCCTCAATACTTGTCTGGAGTTTCTCATTTGACCTGCACAGTTGCTTCTATTATTAGTCACCTTTCCTTATGTAACAGTCTCATCTTCCTCTTAGGAATTTGAGTTCCTTCAAGGAAGAAATGTTTGTGTGCCGTCAACCTTGCTCCCTCATTATGCCCAGTCCTCTGCCAAGCACTGAGCTGGGCATCATCTCCATAATTACTGCTCCCACCAGGTGGAAAAGACATAGTTTATCAGGATCAGCAAATAACCAAAGAACAAGAATAATAAATTATCAGGTAGAAGCAAACTTTAAAAAGACAAAAAAGGCTTTGAATTTTAATCCCTTGGTAAAACCAATAGTGCTTCATACAAGAGGAATCAAACACTGCAAGTCGCCTATTTTCAACCCATTGAAGATACTGTTATCTTGTTTTTGAGAGACCTTCATTGGAAATCTTTTCCCCCTTGTTCTTTAAGTCCGCATCTATTCATGAAAGACTAACACAAGCATAGCTTTCCTTTGCAGACCCCAAAACATTTAAAAATCTCCCATGAATTATTTACATGGCAGCTCCAATCAGCAACATACCTGACAGACTCCCCAGCCGAAATGAAAGTTCACTGTGTAAAGGTGCCCAGAGAGGCTGGCCACCTCCTACTATGAGGTTATAGACAGAACTAAGTCAGCACACATTATGTGTCAGCGCCGACATCAGAAGGAATCAAATCCTTTGATCTTGGACCTCCACAGGAAGCTTAGATCTCAGACAAATTAGATAAAAAATGAATTTATAGCAGATACGTGTCCTAAGGCATTCAGCTGAATGTTTGGGTTTTAGGGAAGGAAGGATAGTGAGTATCAAAACATATGAATTGTCATGCCTCCTTTCCACCTCTGCCTTGTTGATGAGTTCCCATTAAAATGAAAAGATGGGATTTTAAACTGTTCCTCCATGCCTCTTAGAATCCCACTGGTGGATTTGATCAAGTTTTAGGGAAAATGGGATACAATATGGGGAACCTATATCTCTTCTCTATGGAAAGGAGGACTCACTGGTTCTGGGTTCTTTCGGGTCCACCCACAGTCAGCTACAGCTTTTCCAGCTATCCTTAGCCTCTTCCAACTTCCAAAACTTTCTTGAGCAGCAAATATGCACTGTGCCTTTGACTTTTAAAATTTGTGTGGGTACTAGTCACTGGCTTCTTTTGCAATAAGAATATTAACAATGAATCTCCCCTCTCTCTCTCTACCTCCCCCTACCCTGTTCATATTTTTTGAGCCTAGTTCCATGTGCAACATTCAGTATTGGATGATCTGGATTCAGTACAGAAAGCCTGGACTTTTGAGCCTAAACAGGATCTGAAGCAGAAGGATGAAAAACAGATCAACCAACAACAAGAATCAACCATCTTGGTTTCTCATTTGTCAATAATGGGCAATAGTCCTGCCCACATATCAGGGAATGTATATGCCATAATTAAATACTAATGCTTCTATCTTCTCTAGAGAATTTGTTCCTTTATGTGAAAAATATTATTTCTTCTTAATAAGCAATGTATGACAATTGAGGAGGCATAAAAATTAGAGAAAAATAAAAAGGAAAATGTCTGTAGTTGCACATTATATCATAAGTAATCTGCATTTTATTGTTTTTGTGATACTCTAGAAATGGATATGTTTTAGTAAACCTAATTTAACTCATTAATCCATCTGGAATTTCCTTTGTAATATTTTATAAAATGTGAATCGAGACTGATAAATGTTCTAAATAGTCAAATTTGCTAAACCTTTTATAAACTGTTTTCCTTTATATTTACTTTTATTTTCTCTTTTATTATATATTTCATTCCTGTATCTATTACCTATATATGATATCTATATCTACCTAATTGGGGCTATTTCCACTAATGTGCCCATATATTCTTGTAACAGAATCACATTATCTTAAGAATAGTGACATAAATATTATTTCCCTGATAGGGCTACCCATTTCCACTATCATAAAATCTATTTATTTTAGAAAATTGGCTTTGTATCATTAGTCTATATTTTCTGATGAACTTTGGAATCCATCTTATGCTATTCAACATTGCAAAGAATGATTGGAATTGCATTAATCCCATTTATTTGAGAAAAACTGAGGCATTTGCAATAATAGTCAATCTAATTGGAAACATACTATAATTCCCTATGTATTCAAGTCTTCTCTTTATACTATTTAATAAATTATAGTTTATTTTTATATAGGTTCAACATAACACTGGTTAAGACTTTTTTCAAGGCAGTATATCCTTTGGTCTCTATTGTACATTTCTTTATTTTTTTTCTAAATATATACCATTGACCTATACAATTTTTTGGACTGACATTATATTTGAGTGAGTTATTCAAAATATTTATAAATCATGGTAGTTAATGGTTGAATCTTTTAAGTTATTCTTAAAAAAGCATATCATCTGCAAACAACTTCCATCATTGTCCTCCTAATTTGTTGTATTTTTATTTATCTATTTTTTTTATTTTTTTGAGATGGAGTCTCGCTCTGTCACCCAGGCTGGAATGCAGTGGCATGATCTTGGCCCACTGCGCCCTCCACCTCCTGGTTTCAAGCAATTCTCCAGTCTCAGCCTCCCGAGTAGCTGTGACTACAGGCATGTGCCACCACACCCAGCTAATTTTTTCTGTATTTTTAGTAGAGACGGGGTTTCACCACATTGGCTAGGCTGGTATCAAACTCCTGACCTCAGGTGATCTGTCCACTTCGGCCTCCCAAAGTGCTGGGATTACAGGTGTGAGCTACCATGACTGGCCAATTTGTTTTATATATGCTGTGTTTCTTAGCATTCCAAAATATATGTTATAAAATTATGGTAAGAATGACTTATGTGTTTTCCTCATTTGAATATGAATTCCTCTAATATTCCATTGTTAATTATGATATTGGATCTTGATTGAAAATAGAATTGGAACTCTTTATTCTTTTTTAATTTTTTTTAAGAGACTAGGGTTTTATTATGTTGCCCAGGTTGGAGTGCAGTGGATATTTTCATAGCTCACTGCAGCCTCAAACTCTTAGGCTCATGCAATCCTCCACCTCGGCCTCCTGAATAGTTGGAAATACAGGTGCATACCACCATACCAGGCTCTTCATCTTATTCAGTGGGCATGCTGTTATTCCTGATTATTTTTTGAAGTTGTCTTGTGGGACAACTACTATATTTTATCCATGTTTTAAAATAGAAAATGTTCATTTTTTATTATATGACATGGACACATTATTTATCAATAATTTCCAAACATAGTTTTGCTTTCCTGAGAACTTGAGACAATTTCTAGTTCTCAGCTCCTTTGCTTCCAGATGAAGCTATCTCTGTCCTTTCCTATCCCTGTCATTCTCATGAAGCTAAAGCAGCCAGCAGAAAACTGTTAGGACCCCAAAAAAATGTGCATTCATCATCCTTTTGTATAGTTGGTGAACTTGGATAAAATTTCTATTAATACATTTCTTTTAGAAGAAGGCAGGGGCGGGTCTTTTTTTTCCCCAGCAGTTGTAATAACTACTGGAATCCAAAAGACCCTTGGATGTGAACACATATATAGCACACATAGTGTGCCTGAAATTGTTCTGTGCTCTTTACTGACACCAATTCACTTATTCTGTATAATAACCATAACTATGGCCAGTATCACTAGGGCCATGTTACTGATGAGGACACTGAAACACACGGAGAAATTAGTTCTCTTACTTGAGGCCACAAAGTCTGTCAACAGGGAGTCAGATTTAAACCCAGTCTGTTGGACTTCTGGGTTCTATGCTCTTAACTGTCACACTCTCCTGATTCTCCAACTGACAATGAGAATTCATTAAATCTTATGAGTAGAAGAGTGACATGAGCAGACATGGATTTAAAGAGGGCTTAGATGGCTCTTGATATCAAAAAACCTGGCAACAGTAAAATAGGAGGGATGTATACTTTACTATCTTCTTCCCCCATCACAACTTTCTAGCACCCTGACCGTACCATGCCATTTTTGGTAAAAGCTGTAATGTGGTAAATTTATAATCTGAATCTAGTAGTCATGCTCAGTTCCAACAGCTCAATAATCCTAAGTGCTATGGCAGTGCTTAGTGAAGGCAAAGTGCTGGAGAGAGAGAGACAGCCAGTCACTTTATCAGCAAATGTTAAAAGTTTAAAAACACAGAGGGAAAAGGGAAACTAAAGTGCCATGGCAATAATAGAATGAAACAAAATTTATGTAAAGCTACCAATAAGTAGGTGTTTCATAGCTGGTAATAATTTCCAAAGAAAAGCAGGAGATGCTTCATTATTTGTCTTCAAAACGATACTCTTCAGATTTGTACAAAGCTTAGAAGATAAGGAAACAAATCTGCTGTGATCCCCAGAGGAGGATTCGGATAACACATTTTTCTATTTTTAACTTGTATGTCCTAATAAAATGGCCTCTTTGATGCTCCCCTCTCTTCAATCTAAACTTTTCCACAGAGCCCTTTCCCTGTCTCATTCCTAATAATTTATTAATAAGCCACCACATAAAAAAGTTCCTTAATAAAACAGTTAGGCACTGTGGACGGCATAATGTAGTTAATTTAAGCGGGCCACTGAAATGCACATAAATGGCCATATGAGATTAAGAGAGAGATTAGTACTGCTCCTGCCACTCTCTGCAGATGGCAGCTGAATACGAAGAGCTATTCAGATGGCAGCGTTCAAACACCTGTCCTGAGTTTACATGCAATAATATGGTCAAGAGGCTTCTAAAAACCAAAATTAGAATAATCTTAGATGGAATCTTGAATAATTCCCATCCCCTTCTCTCTTTCTCTATTTATTTCAATAGCACTCCCAACCACACCCCCATACCCTCTACCACCTTCTGGTGCAGGTCCAGGAACTGGAGTATGGCTAACTAATACGATGGGAAAATTGAAAAAAACAAACAAACCTTTATTTCTTTCATGGAAAAATATACAAACAAGCAAACAAACTGATACACACTCATGCTCATGTGTGCATGCACACACACACACACCCACATAAACACACACATGAAAGATCTCACTCAGCTACTTAGAGGCAGAATAACATTGGACTGCTATTTTTTGCTTAAACACGCATTCAGAACCACTAAGATTGGTAAGCCTTTTCAAGCAGAAAATATGATAATTGACTCTTTGGAGTATATGTTTTAAAACGTTTCAGGCCCATGGAAATTATATGAATATTTTTCATGTATCATACCCATACTTGGCAAAGCCATCTTGTGCTCTGCCCAGTCTTCCTATTTGCAGCATTCTTAGTAGGACAAGGGCAAAGCATTCATCCCAGGCAAATGCTTATCTTTTCTCTGTTTGGCACTAATTCTAATGGCAATTTAACAATATAACAAGTAATATCATCTGACATAACACACCATAGAGGCAAATACTACATTTTGCTAAAAGTACAACTAAACAACAAAGCACAGCTTAACAAAGCTGACTCATTTGTCGAGGGTTCTGTACTCAATCTAATTTGCATAGTTGGTATTTGGCAACTGTACTCTTCTTTCCCAAATTCAATAATGTTGCCAAATTGGCAGCTTTGCAATAGCTAAAGGAAAGATTATATGCCTATACTCTGGTTTCCCCTTTCCTCTATGTAACAAACTCAAATGTTAAACCAATAATCTTCTACTAAAAACAATATAAATATCAATTCAAATAATTGGTGAATAGCTGAGTGAACCAGCCAGACCTGTGTATTTTTCTGCTGGGGTATAATTTCTTTGAAGGAAAGTAACAAAGACTAAGAAGGGGCTATAAACCAAATTGCTTCAGAGACAGAGCTGAAGGAGAGGGAGGCTCAGACCATCCACAGTGGGTCTCTCCTGTGGGGATCATCTCCACCCTCCAAGCTTACCTTCTCCCACCACAGTGTCTTCTTTTTTGGGCCCTTGTGATTCTCGGCGTTTGGATGAGATGTGGATATGAATATTTTGATTATTAGTCTGGGATTCAGGAATCTCTTCAGGTTTTGTTTCTGTATTAATGGAGAAGAAAAAGGATTTTTTTGTTCAGTTGTAAGTGGGACCATCAGCATTTAGGTGTTTCCCTTGTATGTACCCTTGTCCCAAAATTATCATACACATGCAACAGAAAGCATATAACATATTCAGAGTTCAAGAAATAATGGCATAAAATCCTATATACTGACCACCAACTTTATGGTATAAAACTGTACTGTCTGATACAAATAGCAGACACATGTGGCTACTGATCACTTAAAATGTTACTAGTTAAATTGAGATGTATTGTAAGTATAATGTACACACTCAATTTTGAAAAAAAGTGTAAACTAACTAATGTTTTTATATTCATTACATGCTGGAATAATATTCTTGATATATTATGTTAAATGGCTACTAGAGAATTACATATGTGCCTTGCATATGTGGCTCATGTTATACTTCCGTAGGACAGAACTGATTAGCTAGTGACAGAATATTACTAATACTTTTTTTAACCTTTAATTTTGAAATGAGTATTGATTCACAGGCAGTTGTCAAGAAATATACAGGGAGGATTCAAGCATCTTCACCCAGCCTTCTCCATTGTCAACAACCTGTGTAACTACAGTATGATATCAATACCAAAGAATTGAGACCGGTACAAGCCACCATACGCAAGATGAGGAGGGCTTTTAATAGAAGATTGTATATCTTCAGTCTATTCCTGGCTGAAGAGATACTTCATCTTCTATTCATTTATTTAATAAATTCATTCATCTAAAATATATTTACATTCCTCATGTCAGGCACTGTTTAAGGCTCTGGGAATAATACAGTGAGTAAAAAAGATCTGATCCCTACCCTCACTGAGCTTTTATTCTAGTTTGGATGGCAGAGGACAAACAAATAAATTTGTAATATGGCAAAGTAATGCCATAACATGGCATGAAAAGGAGATAGTTATGGGTAGGAAATAGACCTTTTCTTTTTCTTTTTCAACTTTTATTTTAGGTTCAGGGGGTACATGTACAGGTTTGTTACAGGTAAATTGCATGTCACTGGGGTTTGGTGTACAAATGATTTCATCACCCAAGTAGTGAACATAGTACCAAATAGGCAGTTTTTCAACCCTTACCCCCCTCCCACCTTCCCCACTCAAGTAGACCCTAGTCTCCATTGTTCCTCTCTTTGTGTCCATGTGAACCCAGTGTTTAGCTCCCACTTATAAGTGACAACATGCAGTATTTGGTTTTCTGTTCCTGCATTAATTCACTTAGTTTAGTGTCCTCCAGCCACATCAATGTTGCTGCAAAGGATGCGATTTCATTCTTTTTATGGCTGCATTCTATTCCATGGTATATATGTATCACATTTCCTTTATCCAGTACACTGTTGATGAGCATCTAGGTTGATTCCATGTCTTTGCTATTGTGAATAGTGCTGCAATAAACATTCAAATACATGTGTCCTTTTGGTAGACTGATTTATATTCTTTTGGGTATATACCCAGTAATGGGATTACTGAGTTGAAAACTTCTGTTTTAAGTTCTTTGAGAAATCTCCAAACTGTTTTGCATAGTGGCTGAACTAATTTACATTCCCACCAACAGTGTATCAGCATTCCCTTTTCTCCACAACCTCGCCAACATCTGTTACTGTTTTAACTTTTTAATAATTGCCATTCTGACTGGTGTGAGATGGTATCTTATTGTATACTAGACTTCAAACTATACTACAAAGGTACAGTAACCAAAACAGAATGGCACTGGCAAAATAATAGAGACATAGACCAATGGAACAGGTGAGAGAACTCAATAATGAAGCTGCACACATACAACCATCTCATCTTCAACAAAGCCAACAATAACAAGCAATTGTGAAAGGACTCCTTTTCAATAAATGGTGCTGGGATAGCTGGCTAGCCATATGTAGAAGAATGAAACTTGACCTTTTCCTTTCACTATATGCAAAATTCCACTTAAGATAGATTAAAGATTTAAATGTAAGACCCAAAACTGTAAAAACCGTAGAAAAAAACCTAAGAAATACCAATCTGGACATAGGCCTTGGCAAAGTTTTCATGTGAAGTCTCCAAAAGCAAATGCAACAAAAACATAAATAAAAAAAGTGGGACCGAATTAAACTAAAGAGCTTCTTCACAGCAAAAGAAACTGTCAACAGAGTAAACAAACAACCTACAGAATGAGAGAAAACATTCACAAACTATGCATCTGACAAAGGCCTAATACCAGAATCTATAAGAACTTAAATCAAAAATCAAAAAAGCAAACAATCCCATTTAAAAAAAATGGGCAAAGGACGTGAACAGACACTTCTCAAAAGAAGACATACATGTGGCCAAAAGTATGTGAAAAAAATGCTCATCATCACTAATCATTAGAGAAATGCTAGTAAAAACCACAAGGTATACATTTTTTGGATAGGCATGATCAAGAAGGATATACCCTGAAATAAAATCACAGTAAAACAAAACAAAACAAAAAACCAAGAAGAAGAGAAAAAACAAAAGCCAATTTTACTTAAGAATATCTTTGATAAAGCACTAAAGAAAATTAAATTTTATTTAAAATTCATATGTGATTTTCCCAAGAAAAAGCAATTTTGCAATTGAATTTTGAGCTGAACTAGCTATTTTTTCATGGAACACCATTTTTACTTGAAAGAGCTTGAAATAATGATTGAGAAATTATGGTTATTCATACTTGTATATTTGGCAGATTTTATTTTTTCTCAAATGAATGAAGTGAGCTTCTAAAACAGAAACAACTTACAGTGTTTGTTCCCAGTGATAAAATTCAAGCTTTCATGGGAAACTTGGAATTTGGGAAAACTTGTATCAACTACATGAGCTTCACAGGTTTCTAATTCTTAATGATTCATGTTATTAACAAATGTGATCTTTTTGAATAGTAGAATGAAATATGTCAACGTTGAGAAGATCTTCACGACTCCGTGAAACAATATTTTCAAAATGACCAAAGCATAATGCATGGATAAAAGCTCCATTCAAAGTATATGATGAGACTGGTGGATTTTCATGTAACAAAGTACAAAAAGGCCATTGAGATGGCACTTTAAGTAACTACTTCTTGTCAAGTCTGGGTGCAGTAAGAAAGAAGAATGTCCACTATTATCTGTAAAGGCTATTAAAATGCTCATCCCTTTTCTACAATGTATCTGACTGAGGCTGGTTTTCTTCATATACTTCAGCAAAAACAATACATTGCAATAGGTCGAATGCAGAAGCTGCCAAGAGATTCCAGCTGCCTATTAAGGAAGATATTAAAGAGGTTTGTAAGAATGCCACACTCTTTTCACTACATATTTTTTGAAAATACAACTTTTTAATTTAAAATGTTATGTTTACATGCAATGCATGTATTATTTTAAAATAAGTTAATGAATAAATTTAAAATTTTCTGTTTAAACTTCTAATTTGGAAATATTAATGGATATAGAACCCACATAGACAAAAGTTGTTTAGATTCTCAACAATTATTGAAAGCATAACAAGGTCCTTAGACCCAAATTGAAAATGACAGGCACAGAGAGCATATAGCTTAACCAGAGAATCTTTTTTTATGAGTAAGTTGTGGAACAATATATTTTTCTGATTCTGAAGAAATGAAAGTTAATTTTAGAAACTTAATAAATATAAAATACAGAAGGTATAAGGAAGAAAATACAAATCACTTATACAGATCTGACTACTGTAAAACTTTCATAAAGTTCCTTGCAATTTCTTTACATCTTTTTTGTTTGTTTAACATAGTTAGGAGTCTGTGCCCAGTAAAGAAAATATGGGGATATCATACAAGGTAATGTGTCCACAGATATTGAAAGGTTGAAAGAGGAAAAGGAAGACACTGAAGTAATAGATATATTTGTAAACACAGGAAGAAGTCACGTCTAGAGCTGGGGGATCAAAAGTGGAGATAGCAGAGCTTAGGAGTTAGAAAAAGCCTTCTCTAGAGCTTAGGATTAAAAGTGAGGTTAGACCTTAGGGAGAGACCCCTGCATGGCTACTAGGTTTAGATACCAAATGGAAGATGAGAATCAAATCACCTACTTCACGGGATTACATGAGATAAAAATTTATGAAAATTCTACTTACAAGCAGACAGCACTACATACACTGAATGTAGATAGAACTTTAAGAAGGAAAAACAAAAAACTGCAAATCACAGCAACATAAGGCAGAACGAGGTCAAGATCCCCTTCTTCTTCAGAAAGACAAGGAGCTGCCTTGTAGTTAGTCCAGTCCTGATCAACAGGATGAAGAGAGAAACAGGGATACCAGGCTGTAGCTCAGTTCAAATACAGAAAATGTATCCAGTGGAGCCTCCTTTCCCAAGCATCTCTCAGAGCTCCAAGCCCAGCAAATGTTGTAGTAGTGGGACTATGCTACTTCCTCTCACCTTTATTTTGACTTTTTTCTCTTTGCCTCTCTTTATTTCTCCTCTTTTAAACTTCACTCTTGCTTTTACTTTGGTTTTGTAGAGCCTCCTAGTAAGACAAGTATTTCTTTCACTCATTGGCTGGTCTAGGGTTGGGGGAATGGGTGGAATAAGGAATTTGCCAATGCCTGATCTGCTCACCTATCTCCTCCACTCTAAGATAGAAAGAAGCTTCATTTACAAAGCTTCTTTCCCTCAGTGACTACAAGTCTCCAGCTTTAAAAAATTAAAAAATGGCATCCACTTCTGGGAAATATTTAGGAACCTACTTAATTCCTATGCTAAAAAACAAACAAACAAACAAACAAACTAAGCCCTCTCCCCTTTTAAAGGAGAAGAGGAGAGGATGACATTTCCCCGGATTCTTTTTTTTTTTCTTTTTTTTTTTTTTTATTGTGACAGAATTTCACTCCTGTCACCCAGGCTGGAGTGCAATGGCGCAATCTCGGCTCACTGCAACCTCCACCACCATCTAGGTTCAAGCAATTCTCCTGCCTCAGCCTCCCGAGTAGCTGGGATTACAGGCATCTGCCACCATGCCCAGATAATTTTTGTATTTTTAGTAGAGACAGGGTTTCACCATGTTGGCCAGGCTGGTCTCGAAATCCTAACCTCAGGTGATCCACCCACCTCTGCCTCCCAAAGTGCTGGTTTCCCCTGATTCTTTAACTCACTTTTTGAAGTGAGTTACAATATTTTTCACCCACCTCATTGGGTTGTTGTGTGGATTAAATAAATTCCTTTATCTGAAGTGCTCAGAATGTGTTCCATAGTGAGTATTTAGTTAACATGAGTTTTTATTATTATTGCTATTATTACTTAAGATTAGGCAATCCTTGTCTCTAATGTATTAATTGAACAATTTGGCTTTGTGTAATTTTATATTTTAGAGAAGCTCACAAAAATTTGTCTTTGGGGAAAGAAACAGAATCATTAATATGTTATGTATGATGACTTTTTTTTCAGAAATTTTCATTCCAAAATAAAAAAAAAACTACATACTTCTGCTTTTGCTTCTTTTAAGCCAACAGCACACCAGACAGCTCAGAGCCAGCCATGAGGCCACAGAGGACAGGGAAGCAGCCAGGATGATGGTCGACTTCTCCTTCCTAGTCACAGGCAAGACAGCAAATGGCTTGGATCGAGCTGTAAAATTGACTCCTGTGGCGGGGAAAAGAAGATGTTTCAATGATATGTTAATAAGATGCTAATATAATTAAAATATGGTAAAAATAAATACATTCATAATAGTATCTGGGATATAGTAGGTGTTCAATATATATTCATTAAATTTAATAAATACATAAATTATAAATCCAAGATTTATATTTCTAGAGAATCACAAGATTCCAACAATAACACATAATAGTTATTTCCAATTCTGTCAATTATTGATTGAGAATTCTTCCAATTCTCTCTTTTAATTTTCAGACCAACCTTCCATACCAATGCAAAATTTCAGCTTCTTTCACTCATGTTTCACTAATGAGAATAAAAATATTCTCAGCTCCAGAATGTGTGAAATTACTTGCTCTGATGTATGTATCTACTCAATACGTGCCATATAACACATCAAAACAGGGGCATAGGGACTCCTGCTGCAGCACCATATTGTCTTAGAGAGTTATGTTATCTGGAAAACTAGGACTAGAACAATGGCAGATAGAACTGCCGGCCATGAATGATGGGGCAAGATAGCATCCTGTTGAGAGAGTTCAACTCTGTAAGAATTCATCTGAAACTCCTCCCATTTATGGAGACAGAAAAATTTCTCACCCCATTATTATTTATGAAATGAGTCATAAAATAATCTAAAAAAGAAAGTTACCTATCTGCATAAAAACACATACATAAATGTTTTTAGCAGCTCTGTACATTGCAAAACCCAGGAACAACCCAAATGTCCTTGAGCAGGGGAATGGATAAACAAACTACAGTTTATCTAGACAATGAAAAACTACTCAGCCAAAAAAGAAAGAAAGGAAAGAAAAAGGAAAAGAAACAAACACACAATTGATAACCTGTAACAACTAGAATGAGCATAAAAGGCATTATGCTGAGTAAGGGAAGCCCATCTCTGAATGGTACACATTTGTAGGATTCCATTTATATAACACTGTAGAAAAGACAAAACTATAGAGTTAAAGAACAGATCAGTGGTTGCCAACGATGAATGGTGGAGAAAGGCTACATGTATGTGAGAACAGATTTTTGGGGTGATGAAATGGTCCTTATCCTGACTGTGGGGATGGTTACATGGATCTATACATGTATTTGAAGTAATAAAACCACATACAAAAATGTCAATTTTAAAGTACATTCATTTTAAAAATAAATTGTTTGAAAACTTGCCTTTAATTTTGGGGGTGATGAATATATTCATTATTCTAATAATGAGGATGCTTTCATGGGAGTAGGCATTCATCAAAATGTATCAAATGGTATGCTTTAAATATGCTTATCATGTGTCAATCATATCTCAATACAAACAGGTTTATTTAAAAAAAAAAAACTTGTTTATGAACAGTTACAGCCAGCATTTTTAAAGCAGCTCATTCAAAACAAACAAGCAAACTTCAAACTTCTGCTTTCATCCACATAACTCAGGCAAAAAGAGTTTTTATTTTATGTACTCAAGGAAACACCATGTTTTTCTTTGCTGTGCTTTCACTGGGCTGAACCTGACAATTTTACTGGAAGTCACAGTCAGATCTTCAATCTCTTGACTTCTGGCTGACTTGGTCCCAAAGCTACTACAACAAAATCTCCTCTGTATACATCATGTATCTGAGCCATATTTGGCTTGTTTGTTATCAAGTAATTGCTTTTTATGGGCATCTGAATAAGCTCAATCAGGCACAGAGATGGGGGAATAGACTTTACTTGGGATTTACAGAAGTAAAAACTAAATTCTTCATACTTTTATCCATTTGTCAATGATTGCTCAGTAATTGTTTACTGGGTCAAGTTGATAAGTTACCAGTTCCCATTCTTAAGATATTTACAAGCTAGTAAATAAGATACACATAACAAACATTTGTTAAACAAATTAGGATGTGACACATGCCACTAGAATAATGCAAATCAATTGCTTTGGATGTTTATTTTCCATTGATATGATTCGGGAAAGCATCCTGGAGGAGGAAGTATCTGAGGGGACTCTGAAGGCTGTGCAAATACATAAACAAAGACAGAGAGGAGAAAATAGCTATTGATACTTAGGAGACTTACGCAGGAAAGTACTGGAACTTAATGCTAGAAGAATTTGAGACAAATCTGGATGGGCATTAAATATCAGGCAAAAGGCCCTTGAGAACATTCTGAAGGCATGAAGTATCACAGAAGAAAAGATTCTTTTTTATTTTTATTTTGTTAATAGAGACAGGGTCTAGCTCTATCACCCAAACTTCAGTACAATGAGTGGCACAATTATAGCTCACTGTAGCCCTGAACACCAGGGCTCATATGATCCTCCTGCTTCAGCCTGCCAGGTGGTTGGGACTACAACCATGTGCCACCATACCTGGCTAATTTTTTGTTAATGTATTGTAGAGATGGGGTATTGCTATGTTTTCCAGGCTAGTCTTGAACTCCTGGTCTCAAGTGATCCTTCAGTCTCAGCCTCCCAGAGTGCCAGAATTACAGGCATGAGCCACCCCGCACAGCCTAGGGGGAGATTCTAAACTGAGAAGTGACATGAGCCACATAAAATATAGTCAGTCCATTTTTGTATAGAACACAAAAATGACAGAGAAGCTAAAGTCAGGGTGACCAGGCGAAATTATCTAAATCCAAGGGTGGAGACCACTGGCTCTCAATTATCTTAGCATCAGAACATTTTTTAAAACTGCAATCTTAAAAATAATCTCAATATATTCACTTATTCATAAACAAATATTTATTTGTAGCTATGATGCACCAGGCTTTTCTACACCCTTGGGATATAATGTCAAACTAAGCAGAATCTCTGTCCCTTTGGAACTTTGGTCTCAATGGAGGACCCAGCACACGGACAGTAGACAAACAAATAAATACATAGATACTATAAAGCCAGGGAGTGATAAGTGCATAAAGAAAACTAAAGTGAGTTTATAAGACACAGTGGCTGGAGGTGTGGGGAGGATTGGGGATGGTATAGACTGAGTGATCCAAAAGAGTCCTCTTTGAGGAGATATTTGAGAAGAAATCTGAATGAGCTGAGTTAGCCACGTGACTTTCTGGGGGGAGAATATTCCAACCAAGGAATTGGCAACCACAGGTAGAGTTTCTCTGGCTAACTGTATTTGTGGTGAAGGTGGGGGGGGGCGGGGGGCCGGGGGCGGATTTGTGGGTGATACCTGGTTACATTAATCTCTTCTCAGCAGCAGCCCCTGAGGGCCTCCTGAGAACCCCACGGCACCAAGAAATGGTCATAAAAGCCACAGCCTACACCATGGTAATGATAGTGAACGTGGAAAGGCTAGCTACGAAGTCAGTACTACAAACTTACAGAAACCCTTATCTCTTGACAGTGTCTCAGGAAGTTGAGAAGTGATAAATGAGCTGGATTTGATAATATGTCAGACCTAAGAGGATTCCATAAATACTTGGGCAGATCTATTTTCTGTATTTCTAAAATAGGAATAATAATTTGTTTTTCTCTCTAAAATATTGGAGAGATGAGGGAAAATAGTGGAAATGATTGCAAATTCTCTGCTTGATTCATGAATGAATGAAACAACAGACCAGGCACGGGGACTAATGCCTATAATGCCAGCATGAGCCCAGGGGTTTAAGACCAGCCTGGGCAGCATAGTAAGATCCCATCTCTACCAAAAAATAAAATAAAATAAACCAACTGGGTGTGGTGGCACACACGTCTGTAGTCCCAGCTACTTTGGAGGCTGAGGTAGGAGGATTGCTTGAGCCTGGGAGGTTGAGACTGCAATGAGCCATGATTGAGCCACTGCACTCCAGCCTGGGTGTTGGGTGACAGATTGAGACCCTCTCTAAAAATAACAACAACAACAACAAACACACACACACACACAAAACAACAAAAGAAACAACAATAACATAAAACAATGCTTATCAGACCTATTATTTTGAAGCCTATTAGAAATAAGAAATTTCATTGTTTGGCGAAAATGTGTGAATATACGCTGCTTTCCCCAACATTCTAGCACTTCAAATTGATGTACTTGGAAACAAGGAGTTACTCTCTGGACGTGTACCGTTACTCAGTGTGATGTCAACAAGGGGTCACAGAAGTGCAGATATTTAATATTTTTCCTTTCTTTTTATCCTCCATCTATTCTCTCCAAATTTAAACTTTTATAAATCTCATTCTGAAAGAGTCTCACCTAACAGACTTGATCTTGAAAATTAAGAGGAATAATTTAGTGAAAAACACTAAGGGAAAACTTTCCAAATGATTCTTCAGTTAGTTCTTTTTACAGGCTGTAAGTAGAAACTACAATAAAGCAGTAGTCTACTAAGTGTGAACACCAAGACCAGTTCAAAATCACAGGAGTTACCAAGAAGTTTCTGTCTACAATACATTTCGCATTTGGTTTTACAACCTATTCCTTAAAATAAACTTGATAACGTATTTGGTTAGTCTTAATTAATTACTGAGGTAATTAAAGGACAAAGGCCTTTTAAATGTCAGACAAATCTGGAACAAAATATGCATTCCTGCCTGTCTTACCCTTTAAGACATATCCATTCAAAAACTCAAGCTTACAGCACAATCCCTGGGAATTGGGAATCCCACGGTCAAGGACACTACACGTTTGTTATGAACCTGTACTTATGTTAGGACACTTTGACACATAAAGTATGTGTAAATTGCTCTTTTAACAAGTATTTAAGCAATCATCCTCTGAAGTATAAATGTGACTCTCATGAAAACATATAATGAGCACTTGTCGACAGGTTATTTATCTCATTAATGAAGAAACCAGGAAGAACATGAAACTGGTTTAAATAGCATTTAAGAGATAATGATCATATAGCCAGGGAGCAATAATATTATCTGATCTCAGAAGATAGTCTTTTTGTTAAAAAAAAAAAAAATCCAGGCTGGGCGTGGTGACTGATGCCTGTAATCCCAGCACTTAGGGAGGCTGAGGCAGGCGAATCACGAGGTCAGAAATTCGAGACCAGCCTGGCCAACATGGTGAAACCTCATTTCTACTAAAAATACAAAAATTAGCCAGGCTTGGTGGCGCATGCCTGTAATCCCAGTGACTCAGGAGGCTGAGGCAGAAGAATTGCTTGAACCTGGGAGGTGGAGGTTGCAGTGAGCCGAGATTGTGCCACTGCACTCCAGCCTGGGTGACAGAGTGAGATTCCATCTCAAAAAAACAAAAAAAAATCCAAAACTTGGAATTAAAGGAAAAATGATTATGATTACAGATCTTACCAGTGTCATACTGGAACATTTTCAAAAGGCCCGTTGAAAGTTTATTAAGTTCTCTCAAACATATATTTGTTTCACTTACTATTTATTATTTATTTATTAGGACCCAGATATGTTTATTTGTAGAAGATTGACATGCTGAAACAATTTTTATATAGTTAAGGATGCAAATGATATCTGTAAACACTGGACTATCAAAATTTTGCTTTTATTGCCCTGTATCCATTGCAAACTTATTTCAACATTTCTTCCCTGGCTATACGATCACTATCTCCCAAATGCTCTTTTAATTAGTTTTCTTATCTTCTGATTTCCTCATTAGTGAGTTAAATAACATGTTGACAAATGATCACTATATTTTCATGAGAGTCACATTTAATACGCCAGAGGGTGTTTTTTTTACATGTTTTGTCAAAAAGAACTGGATCAGATATGCAATTTACATACCCCTTATTCTGAAGTGCCAGGATGTTGATGGGTATTGTCCCCATTTGGCAGGGGGTTGAGGAGGACAGGACCCAAAGTTAAAATTTCAACATCCTATGACTCTCTTTCTTATAAATTAACATTCTCCTATTAATATCTAACCAAATGTCAGGTAAGTAAATTAAAGAAAAAAACAAGTAGAACACTGAACGTAAACGTCAATGTTGAGAAGGAAATGTACATTTGGTTTCTTGCTCACCAGGAGTAACCTGAGGTTTCCATTTCTACATGTGCTCTTTCTTCTCAAGCTTAATGATACAGTCAAGTGAATTTATTTTCTAAACTATGATGACCTCTTATTCATGATAGTAGCTATTCCCACTATAAGGGAGAAAGGATTATCTTCTCAAAAAAAAAAAAAAAAAACACAGAATAAAAGCACACTGTATAAAATTACCTGGAGGAGAAGTGACAGTAAAAATAAAGTGCCAGTTTGACCCAGAGATCAAGACTGCCAAGTTGTAGAAGCTAACATAACCATCTTGAGTTTCTGCCTGGGTGCACCCTACAAAAAAGTACAAAACAAAAATTAGCTGTTTATTATCTAATCTCGAACAATGTCTTCATGTCTTCTGCGAAGGCAGACATTTGGACAATAAAGGACAATTTTTTAAACTCAAAGAGGTTACCTAATCCATCAGGTTCTTCTTAGTCAAGACTTAGAACCAAATGACCCAAGACAGAATAACAGTTAACATATATTGAAAGTTCCACTATGCCAGACACTGTTCTATATATACACGATTGCCTACAAACTACACAACAACCCTATAAAATACGCTATTATCTATATTCTAGCAATTAGGAAATAGGCTCATGAAAGATTAAATTATGTGGTACTGGGGTTACAGCCCAAATCTACCTGATTTCAGTCTGCATTCTTAACCACTACAATATATTGGCTATATTATTATTAAATGTATAATATATAAAGAAAGAAATTCTATTATCTTTCTAGGTGGTCAGTTTCTACAGTCTGTCTTTCTTCTATCCAAGTTATCTATAGTTTATGTGGTACCAGAATTAGGCCAAGAGATCAGGACCATGGCAATCTACCAAATAATGACTGATAGAGCTACTCTGATTTAGCAACTTGAATTGCCTGAGCCTTGGCTTCCCTAACTAAAATGAAAAAAACAAAAACAAAAACAAAAAAAAACCCTTGCGTCTTCTAACAGTAGGTCATCCATTTATAACGTGAAAAAAGGCAGCTTAACTCAGTATCACATTCACAATACCATTAATCGTCTTTTGACTCCACCATCCCTAAATTATTTTCCTAATTAACAGCTGCTAGACTTTACTCTGGAAATGTCAATATGATTGGCATGGTGGACAAAGGGTTATGAAAGTGGTCTGAAAGTTTATAGATTGGTTTGAGATCTCTAAGGCTGAAATGTGTCATAAAGATACAATATGCTTAGTGTTACATTTTTCAATTCAATTGCTTAATCTTTTTGTGAAAACACTGTCTTTCTTCATCAATTTTGCAGAGCTAACTAAAACTTCTTTTTTGAGAAAGATCTTTTGCTTCATCTCTTCTGAGTTCTAAAATAAATAAAATGCCCAGTAAAATGAAAATAAATAAGCCAAGACTCAAATAAATGATAGGTGCCCAAGATAAATGCAGTTTATACTCTTTAAAACCTATATGCATCAAAATTATGGTCAATAAACTCTTGCAAACAATGAACTGAAGAGTACAGATGTTCAACATGAAATCATTTGCTGCAGTTTTTCCTTTGACAAACGTCTTTATTGTTCCCATCTTTGGAAGAATACAAAGCAGCATTTAATCGAAATGTGTCCGTAGAGCACAGTGAGTTGGCCTCGTAGAACAGCCGCCAAATTGCCTAATGGAAAGTGCTTTAGTTCTAAATGGGTTTGCTTTTGCGTTAAATACCAGCTTGCCTTAGAGATCTCTACAAAGATTCCCATATATATCTATGATATTCTCAGATTTGAAGCATATGTGCTCAAAAGCTGAGGCAGTTGCTGCTAAGTATAGTACATTACTCCAGGGTTCATCATATCTTCAGAATAGCTATGATGACATATACAAATGCAATTGACAGGCTCCCTGATCATGCTGGTATAAACAGTATACTGGCTGGGGGACTTGGGATGGGGTGGGGTGCTGGGCTCGAGCAACTTTGGAATTGATTACACAACTACCAGGGAATGATACCTGAATGGGTTTCTGCAGGATAGATAGTTTCTAAAATACCTTTGCAGCCCAAATTATCCCCACAGCTATCCCACTCACTCCTAGGTATGCATACTAGCAAACTGTTACATTGTTAATGTTGAGATGTTATCTTTAAAAGTATTAAGGACTTTTTTGTGCAACTATGATCCATAAATGTCAAAGGATATTGAAGACCTGTAAATAATTGTCCTTGAGTATATAAATTCACTTTTTATGATAATAGGTTGTAACTGCCTTTTCACTGAGGAGGGTCTACTAAAGAAAAAAGAATATGAAGTTAAATTGCAGAACAAAAGATTTAGAGGAGATATATAGATATGGTTTTGTTGTTGTTATTTTGTTTTTCTCCAGGAGATACTTATAGTAAGTTAGATAATCCATCCCAAATGCTTTTGGTGCATTCTTTCTGAAGTGAAAAAGTAGTATTTCATGATGGCTTCAAGAGAAACTTTCAATCACATAAAATAGGGTAGTTTGGTGACATGGGTATGCTAAAAACAGAAAACTGCATGTGATTTCTTCCCTACTTCATGACTCACTCACATAAAAAAGGTGTGTATATAAGACACCCTCAAACTAGTCCTCACACATTCCCATTGGATCTCTTAAAAAAGGTAATAGTGACAATACTGATCCAAGTGAGCTAGTTGGCTTGAGTGTGGCTTGGTGTCCGTAGAATAAAAGAGTAAATGGTATCTCATCTCACACCAGTTAGAATGGCAATCATTAAAAAGTCAGGAAACAACATATGTGGAGAAATAGTAATCCTTTTACACTGTTGGTGGGAGTGTAAATTAGTTCAACCATTGTGGAAGACAGTGTGGTGATTCCTCAAGGATCTAGAACCAGAAATACCATTTGACCCAGCAATCCCATTACTGGGTATATATCCAAAGCATTATAAATCATGCTACTATAAAGACACATGCACATGTATGTTTATTGCAGCACACTCACAATAGCAAAGACTTGGAATCAACACAAATGCCCATCAATGATAGACTGGATAAAGAAAATGTGGCACATATACACTACGGAATACTATGCAGCCATAAAAAAGAATTAGTTAATGTCCTTTGCAGGGACATGGATGAAGCTGGAAACCATCATTCTCAGCAAACTAACACAGGAACAGAAAACCAAACATAGCATGTTCTCACATAGGAGAAGTGGGAGTTGAACAATGAGAACATATGGGCACAGGGAGGGGAACATCACACACTAGGGCCTGTCAGGGAGTGGGGAGCAAGGGGAGGGATAGCATTAGGAGAAATAACTAATGTAGATGACGGGTTGATGGGTGCAGCAAACCACCATGGCACATGTATACCTATGTAACAAACCTGCATGTTCTGCACATGTATCCCAGAACTTAAAGTATAATAATAAATAAATAAATAGATAAATAAATAAAGAGTAAATGGTTTCATGCCTCATTCACTTTTCATGGCCACAACATGATTCTAAGCTGGCCGGGCATGACATCCTTAAGGTTACTGAAAGAAAAATAATGAAAGATGAGGTGCAATAAGTGTCAGGACAAAGTAAAATATAAAGTCTCAGTAAGGTATCATATAGGAGAAGGTATGGGGAATAGGTAAGGCATGGAGCATAAGTAAGGTACTGGGTATAAATAATGTGCAAAGTGTGGCAAGGTACAGAATATAAGTAAGTAAGATATGGACTATGGGTTAGAAATGAAGTGTGAGTAAGGGTCTGGAGAATGTGTAAAGTATGGAATATGAGTAAGGTACAGACTATGGGTAAAGTATGGAGTGTGAATAAGGCATGGAGTATGTGTAAGTTGTGGAATATGGCTAAGGCATAGAATATGAGTAAGGTATTGGACATGGTAATGTATGAAGTATGGCAAGGTAAGGGATATAAGTAAGGGATGGGCTGGGCACGGTGGCTCACACCTGTAATCCCGACACTTTGGGAGGCCAATACGGGAGGATCACCTGAGGTCAGGATTTCGAGACCAGCTTGGCCAACACGGCAAAACCCCGTCTTTACTAAAAATAGAAAAATTAGCCAGGTGTGGTGGTGGGCACCTGTAATCCCAGCTACTCAGGAGGCTAAGACAGGAGAATCACTTGAACCCGGGAGGCAGAGGTTGCAGTGAGACAAGATCGTGCCACTGCATTCCAGCCTGGGTAACAGAGCCAGGCTCTGCCTCAAAAAAAAGTAAGGTATGGACTATACATAGGGTATGGAGTATAAGTAGGGTCTTAGGTATGGATAAGGTCTGGAGGAGCAATGTAAGGCATGAGTATGGGTATGGTTTGGAGTATGGGTAAGGAATAGAATATGGGTAACACATGGAGTAGACAATGGGGAGGTGAGTTCCAGTAGTCATGTGAGAGTATCTGTGGTAAATATTACCAGAACATGAAAAAAGCTAAAAATTAATATTTCTATGCTGCTGTATTAAGATCAGAAGGTGAGTGACTGTTACATATCCTAAGCACTTTCTATACCAAAACACCAACAGTAGCAAAATGGCACTGAAAAATGAACAGAATGACAGCATCAAAACAGGCAGTTCGAAATGCAATTCTGAATCTTTCATCTTCACAGTGGGCAACCTTGGATAAATTCACTTCATTTTCTTACTTTCTTAATGACATGCCTTGTGTCTACAAATCTGTACAAGGACCATTCTGGTTTGTCCTCATTCCTTGGGATTTTAAACCCAAGAAGCTTCTAACTGAACTGCCCACATTAAAAAAATAAAAAAAAAAATGACCAGGAGCAACAATATGAGTTACCCACACAGGTGTTACTTTCAACAAATTGAACAAAAGATAGATTGTGTAAGTAGAAGGGAAAGTCTGGAGAGTCTATGGGCAGATTCTGACAAAATATGCCACATTACCTGGGCCTTTAAATTTGGATTGTATAAAGAGAACGTGGAGAGGGTACTGAGGAGAGCAAGACCTCAAAGTTTGGTAGAAAATTATTTTTGTGGACATGCTGAAAACATTTAGAGTCTCGTTTTGTTTTGTTTTTTGTTTGTTTTAATTATTTTATTTTATTTTAAATTCCGGGATACATGTACAGAACATGCAGGTTTGTTACGTAGGCAAACATGCGCCGTGGTGGTTGGCTGCACCTATCAACTCATCACCTAGGTATTAAGCCCCACATGCATTAGCTATTCATCCTGATGCTCTCCTTCCCCCTTAGTCCTCCCCCCAATCTCTGACAGGCCCCAGTGTGTGTTGTTCCCTGTGTCCATGTGTTCTCACTGGAAAACATTTGGTGTCTTAATAAGTAATTAGATGGGTTAAAAAAAATAACAGGTCAAAATAGTAGAAAGTCAAATTGAAAAGAGAGTGGGAAAATTTATTGTTCTAATAAAACAATAAGACGAAGCAAGCTTTAAAAAGTAAGGGTTTTGAAGCTATGAACTGTTTAATCACGAGATGTCAATCGCCTCCTTAAGAGAATTTTTAGAAGGGGATAATTTCATTTTCTGGAATCGATGAGGTGCAGCTTTGCCAGAAACAAAATGTATAAGCTAAATTAAATGGTGACATTAAAAAAAAACTGAGATCTGAGATTAATTCATTGAAAACAACATCAAATGATTATTCATTAACTTGGAGACTTTATTACAACAATTTTATATGTTTCTTAAGAGACAAATAACAAAAAATTAAGGAACAATGTCATCAGAAATGGTAGGCAATGTGCACCATATGATAGGAACAGTTTTAGGCCAATAATAAACGCAATTAGAAGACGAGGCACGTCTATGATTGACTTATGGCTATCCATTTGAACATTCCATATATTTTATGGGAACCATCTGAATGAGCTTAGACTCATAGCCAGAGTAGAGCAAGAAATAACTGTAAAATCATGGCCTATTCTTGGAAGTCAGTGATTTTGCAGGTAGGCTGATGTTTGAGCTGGCACATGAGTCATTTCTAAGCCTGAAAAAAACATTTTGGACAACACAAAACCCACAGAAATGCCCTACCTGATTCATGAGGTGCACAGGAAATTGGATAAGCTGATTTTGTTTTGTTTTGAGCTGGAGTCTCACTCTGTCACCAGGCTGGAATGCAGTGGGCGATCTTGGCTCACTGCAACCTCCACCTCCCGGGTTCAAGCAATTCTCCTGCCTCAGCCTCCTGAGTAGCTGGGACTTCAGGTGCATGCCATCATGTCTACCTAATTTTCGTATTATTAGTAGAGACGGGGTTTTACCATGTTGGCCAGGATGGTCTTGATCTCTTGACCTTGTGATCTGCCCGCCTTGGCCTCCCAAAGTGCTGGCATTACAGGCATGTGTCACTGAGCCCGGCCAATAAACCGAATTTTTAAAGAGTGGTAAACACATCCTCAAATTTGCATAAGAATGGAGATATTTGGCCAATTATAAAAAGGTACATATACACCATATCAATTTATAATTTTCAGTGATTTATTGGTATGAAACTTCCTTTCAATATGTTACTGGCTAATCTCAAAGAATGTTTCATTATAATTACAATACTAACTGCATTAAAAGCCAGTGCTTGAAATCACACTTCTAGAAAGAAGAATTTGCAAAAGTTAACAAGATTTCCTACTTATTCCCCTATTATAATATACAAATATCAAGGTAATAATAGATAATTGTGCTTAAAACAAATAACCTTTATTTTCTTTTTTAAAAAATTTTTACCAGTACTGATATATATCTCTTTGTATAGTATGCATATTTTGAAAACATTATTTTCTTTTTTCTTTTTTTCTTGAGACGGAGTCTTGCTCTGTCACCCAGGCTAGAGTGCAGTGGCGCCATCTTGGCTCACCGCAACCTCTGCCTCCTGGGTTCAAGTGATTCTCGTGCCTCCGCTTCCCAAGTAGCTGGGATTACAGGCGCATGCCCACCATGCCCGGCTAATTTTTGCATTTTTAGTAGAGACGGCGTTTCACCATGTTGGCCAGGCTGGTCTCAAATGCCTGACCTCAAGTGATCCAGCCACCTTAGCCTCCCAAAGTGCTGGATTACAGGCACGAACCGCCGTTCCCAGCCTGAAAACATTATTTTCAAGTCACATTTGAAATCACAAAGAATTTATAAATTATTTCTCATCTAAAATAGCAACACAATATTTAGTGCAGAGATTTGCTTGAGTCCTAGCTCTTGGTCAGAATTATTCAACAATTCTGAATTCAAGGAGTCAAGATAAACCCATTGGCTCTATTCTTTTACTGGGACCCTGCAAGGATTTTTGAAAACTGTCTGACATAGAAGTTGTGGGGAAGGGAGTGAATGCTTTCCTTTCTGAGGATATTTTCCATCTACCTTAAAAATCATTTTTAATCCATTTGAATTCTTGGGACACTTTTTAAATTTTCTCATTGAAACTAGTGGGAGAGATTAAAGAAATTTAACAGATTCACTTTTTCAGACTGTTGTAATCTCCAGCTCCCTATCCAAATATAGGAGATGATTTTTAAATGTTCCATCGAACCCTTCTATTCTAGGTTATATCAGGTTGACATAAAATGAATTTCTCTTCACCTCAAGGTGAAGCCCAGAATTGGACTGTGATATTGTGCATGATTGGGACTCCCTCCGATGAGAAGGAAATACACAATCCTACCCATAAGCAGAGGAAGAATTTCAAGGTGCTGTGATAATTGTGAGGCCCCTTGTGCAGAGAGGAAACCCCTATGCATGAAGAGTTTGAGGCTGTCAGGCAAGATCTGTGTGTTGGGAGATTGACTGCACACAATAGGGAGAAGGCTCCTGGTAGGAAGCATGATTAATAATTTATGGGTTATGTTGGAGGGAGGCAGGTAAGAAGAAAAAAACTCTTGTGACACCCAGAACACAAACTATATTAATTGTAAAACACAACCTCTTGCTCTTACTGCCTTAAAACTGAAATCAAAAGGGCCTACGTCTTAATTTGGCCCAGCAACCAGGTTGTACTTACCTTTTCATGTTTCTCATCATAAAAACTCTTGCTTTTTGCTCCCAATCCAGTCTTCCCCATTTCAGTAAATAACACCAATATCCACCCAATATAACAAGATCAAAACCTATAAGTTGTCCTTAAGTCCTTGTTTTCTTTACTCCTAGTAGATTCTGCTGATTCAACTTCTAAAAGACATTCTGAATCAATCCAGTTGTGATCTCCACCATCCCTTGCCTGGCCTTTTGCAATCACTTTCCAACTGGCTCAGGAGGTTCACTCTTGCCATTCTCCAATCCACCCTCCATAGAGCAGAGTGGTCCTCTAAACATGCGAGTCAGACCTTGGAACTGGCCTGCTTAAAACCCTCCAATGGCTCTGCATCTCACTGAGAGCGCAGCCCAAACTCCCCACCATGGTCCCCAGAGTCCTCTGTTGACTGTCTGGCTCCAGCACCTGTCTCACTTTTCCTCTTCCCTTGATCTCCCTTAGTTATGAGGCTCCTTTGCCTTAATTCTGTTTCTCAAACACATTCTCCTTAACATATTTTCTGTGGATAATATATTGTACTGTTTGACAACATAAAAATACAATGATTGAACAATTTCGTAATAAATTAATATGTGTCTCTTTTGTCTCTTTGAGTAGGTTGTATTTCAACGGTTTTGTGTGTGAGAGGGTTAAATAGGAACTTAGAACTCAGAAACTATTTTTCCCATAAAAATCATGTTACACCTGCTTGCTTCTCTCTAGACCAGGCCCTAAAATGCACATTATTGGGTCCTTCTGCAGAATATGTTGCCAAACTATCTTGGGCCTAGTAGAAATCTGCATTTTAAATAGATTTTCATATAAATGAGCTTCAAGGAAAGTAAGTGGAGCTGGCAGTGGTGCTGGGATAGAACAGGAAGACAAAAGAGGGTAGACAAACATAAGGAGAAAAACTAGCTAAGGGCTGCTATGGGTCAGGTGCTTTTGCACTTATCATCACATTTATTCTTCATACCACTGAGAGCAAGTCTTTCTATTTCCCCATAGAAATCATATTGTACTTGGTAAATTGCTCCCTGGCCCAGTCCATGATACTATACCAAACAAGGGTGTGTCGTGGGGGCACTGAGTGGACTGTAGAAAACCTAGGATTTGATGCTCACCCAAAGATGCCAGGCACTTTTCCTTACACTACCTTAAGGATACGGATAAGTTGGAAAGGTTGCTTTATTGTGAAAGGGAAGGGAGAGAAAAAGTGGTGACTTTAGGATTTGCTGCCAGCCTAATCTTCCTTTTCACAGACACTGACACTGTAGATTAGGGATGAAGGAGTTTCTTCCCAAATTACTGAAGAAATTCAGTATTACCAATTTTGCTATGAATTCCTAATGGCTGCAAACATTTTCTGTGCAGATAAAGTGGTAACAGATATCTGAAATTTACAGATACTTTACCTACCTTTTAGCACTGAGTCTGATGCTCCTTCCAGGGAAGCTGAAATTGTCCATGGCTCTGAAGGAGGTCCCAGGGACTCTACTCTTCGATTCTAGAAATGGGAATAGGAGGAGGGAGGAAGAAAAAGTTGGATTCAGAAGAGAATTTTGTGAAGTTAGAAAAGATGGATCAGATATTTGCTTTTATAAAGCATATATTCAGTAGAAATAAAGGAAAGAAAGTGATAAATAAATGTCTTTCTCATGTTAAGAATATATCAGAATTAACTTATTGTAAGAAGAGTGAGGAAATTATTGCAAGACAAGTTGGGGCAGGACAGTGAGGAGAGGAAAGGAAAACTATGTTTATAGAAAAGAATGGTACTATGTGCTGAAGGTTCTTAAGAAAGGAAAGGTAAAGAGAAGAAAACAGGAGAGAGCTGGGTGAGTGCCAGACCACATCAAAGTTGACAGGTTTTCAAGTGTGGACCTCAGTGCCACAGATTTCTCTCTGCAAACATGTCAGGGGATGCATTTATAAACAGGAGAAAGCCAATTCAACAATCATAGTTCACTGTGAATTTTGTAAATACTGAAAAGATAAAATAGAATCAGGACACAAAGACTGAAATTAGAATTAAGCACAGAAACTTCTTGTTTTACTTAATCACATATAAGAGAGATTATTTTAAAAAACGTAAAACTGTAATGTATCTATAATGTCATAAGTTCCTTCACTAGCATGTGAAAAACTTCTTCAGATATAGATCTACTTCTTTGTGAAGGCTAGATTTCAGAGAAGATGTGACAGATCTACTTCAAGAATTTGGTTGGGGAGGAAAAGTATCAGAATTTTATTTTTACCCTTGATCAAATTCTGAATGTTCAGAGAAAATAGAAGGCAGGCAGGCTGTGAAGTGGAAGGAAAATGTGAAAGTAGTGAGAAGCTCTAAGTGCAACAAATTGCACCCAGTGGGCACTCTGTAAATGTGTATCAATGATGACACACTCTAAAAGATAGGCTGAATGCTACATGCTACTTAGCTCTAAAGACAGATTTGTTACCTGTGAAAAGTTACCTGCTCATCCAAAAATACCAATTGTGGCTGCACTGGAAGCTCATTTCCCACTTCTCCATCTGAAGGCTGGACTAGGATGGAAAGTGCATAGGGCCGAATATATATCAAGTTCCCAGTTTTAAAACTGCTTGTATTTCTGACAGATATAAAAACAAACAAAATACATCCTTAGGATTACACATATCCCTATGGTAGCAATTTTCCACAATCCATTATTACCAGTGAAAATATTTGCATTTGCCTGTGTTTCTAGAAAATAATACATTGTGTAGTGAACATGGCTTTATAGCAAAGGTTAATTGTGTATGTATTTGATATGTTTTCTTAGCTATAATGAAAATGGACTAGGGGGTAGGGAAAATCACAAATTATGAGCATATATTTTTATCATCATTTATTAAAATCAGCCAAAAAATAAAAGCCTCAGTGAAAATTAGCCTCAGACTAATATAGATAATAATAATAAAAGCCTCAGACTAAAATGACAGGACATGGACACGTCCAATAGTAAGCTATTAAATCAGCTTCCCAAATAATGCCCTGATTTGTGGATGTGTTCCAATTCTGTGATATAAATACCACCAACATAGCTAATTCTGAGATGACAAGATAATATCACTGAGCAGAGCTGGGAAGAGATGCCCAACAGCAAACTCCAGTACACCACTGTTTACACAGAATAGCTCATTTAATCTTCACAACAAGCCATATTTATATTTTCCGAGTGTGTTTGTACTAAATGGATTCAATAACTATTAATAGCATTAATGAATTAATTTACTTCAGTTGCATGAAGCATCTGAGGAGAATAATATTTAGAATTGATATTTACTGAGCACATACTATATACCAAGTTCCATGATAAAGTGTTCATATATAAATTCATTGCATCTTTAAAATGACACTATGTGGTAGGTACTCTTATTTATATATGAAGAAACTGAGGTCCAAAAAGGCTTAAATAACTTGCCAAAGGTCCTACAAATAGTAAGTGTTGACCAAGATCTAGAGTGGTTAACCAATGACCTATATTACTTCTTAGTTCCTTTGAACATGTTAAGTGCTGACATGACTTAGCAACAAAATGGAATACATAGAAAATAGTTACATAATTCATGACAGTGTAAAACATATTTCACTCAGAGTTTCGGTATTTTTGATGACAGAGCCTGCTTCATTAAAATAAAATTATATACCTATTGTCCCATTAAGCCTATTGTGAATTACATATCATAGGCATGCAACAGATGTTTGGCAACTAAATGCAGACACCTGGACATCACATATATATGGGACCCTGACATAGAGCAACCCTTGGTGAGTTATCCTCAATAGCCTAGGCCAGGTCTCATGAGGTATTTATTTATTTATTTATTTTTAAAGTAGCCTACTTTGCTTTCTCCCATTAAATGTAAGTCAACTATTCTATTTCCTAACCACCTCCCCTTCCCCACGTGAGGAGGAAAGGATAAAGTATTTATTTAATATGGAGGGTGCATGTCAGGAAAAAGTGAAGATTTGTTCTGAAAGAGGAAATAGTGGAAGAGCAAATACAATGGATCACTAAATATGAAGTTTCCATAGGAAGCAATTTTCTTCTCCCCTGGGAATCCTAGGAAATGCGGGCAGAGTGCAAACATGTGGTCCTAAGAAGCTCTTTAGTCATCTACCAGCTAAGACCCTGGCTTTTTGGCTGGAATCACTCCCTGGGAATTCAACTCACACTAGCCCCATCATCATTTCTTAGTTTGTTTAGCCTGAGTGGCTAGGGCTTCTTTCCTTTTTTAAAGGGAACAATTTAAACCAGATTTTTTAAATCCATGCTATTAATTCTATCCTTCTGTGGGTTCCAGGTTATTAGAAAATTCTAATGTTGTTATCAGATCCTATTTCTCCCCTAACCTTTTCCTTAAATTCTTTCTGATAGGGGCTAGGATGCAGGCAAGCAGTCTGGGTTAAAGAGACTGAAAGACCCCATCAAAGATTCTCACATAAGTACATTGACGTCTTGAGACGAAGAGAGGGAAACCAACTGCCTGAACACCCGCTAAAAGGTCCATTCCTGACACACTTTAAAGTTTATTGTGAGCAAACATCTCTTGTTAAATGTAAACAGCATCTCACTGGAGGTCACAGACTTGCTGCTGCAGCATATCCCAAGGTAATACCACTTTAAGCTCCACATAAACTCTTAAGCAGTTTCTATCCTAAAACCTGACCGTAGGTGGTACTGTTTTTTACGATATGTTATAATAGTGCAATAAATCTGTTAGCTTAAAATCGAATCTCCGTGGCCTTTTAGAGAAATCATCATTAAATGCAGGGTCCTGTTAATGATGCCATCGAAGTGAAATTGTTTAATCTGCTAAGGGGGTGAAAGGTCATCAAATGAATTTTTTATAATACATCAACTTGACACGCAATAGGGAAAACTGTAATAGATAAAAGCAAAGGAAAAGGGCACTGTCTTCTTCTGATAGGTCAATAGCAGCCAAGAGAGTCACTCATCCACTTTCCTTTCATGATGGGCTCCTTTTGCATTTAATATGGACACCCAATTAATACCTCAGCACCACAGACAACCTCATTTTAGGTGACTTATAGCAATTTCTCCCCCTTCCCTGAAATGAAAGTGATCACAATACATCATAGCATTGTGCGAATTAACGTTAATTGATTCAAGTTACCAAGCAATGATGGGCCACTTATATAATCTAGGCGTTATTGGGTGCTAGAAGGGATGGAGGGAAGATTAGATTCCAGTGTCCGTTGCTGTGACGACGGGAGTCACCTGATGCCTTGTTAGACAGTTGTAAGGTTCTATTGCTGGCCCCAGTGGGGTCGTCAGTAAACTGGAGTGATGTCCAAACATCATTACATGCTGCTCCAATATTAAAGCAAAGGGATTAGCAACTTATTGCAAGCAACCTGGATTTGTCATTGTGCTGTCGTTATCCAATTTCCAACTGCTAATGTGACTGTAGCCTGCAGGCAGAAGGACCTACAGCCAAACTTTAAAAAATGGGGGAGAAAAGTTCCCTCCATTCATCCCAGTTTTTACCATTATTTAATAGCTTCCAATACCCAGTTAGGTATGTGAGAGATTTTTTTTTCTGCAATGCTTAAATGCAGGCTATAGGAGAAAAGTCAAGAAAATACAGAAATTTCCCAATTAAGAGATCACTCCTATTCATGTCATTATTCTTGCTTTTCGATTCCACCAGATCTGAAATGTTTACCCTGTAGAAGATGGAATTATTTCTATTTGCATGGAAAACTCAGAAAGCAAGTAAGTTTTATTAGTGAAAACTGGCTCTCAACAAGACCTACTGTGGTGGGGTGAGGTGAAGTTGGGGTGGAAATCAGAGATACTCTCTCTTCAACCTTCTTCTCAAAGCTACTAAGCCGAGTTCCTATAAAAAGCCTCATGTTTTGATTGAATGCTTCATGATGTCCTGAGCATTTTTTATCTCTCTTGTTTTTTTTTTTTTTTTTTTTTTTTTTTTTTTTTTGAGACGGAGTCTCGCTCTGTCGCCCAGGCTGGAGTGCAGTGGCGGGATCTCGGCTCACTGCAAGCTCCGCCTCCCGGGTTCACGCCATTCTCCTGCCTCAGCCTCCCAAGTAGCTGGGACTACAGGCGCCCGCCACTACGCCCGGCTAATTTTTTGTATTTTTAGTAGAGACGGGGTTTCACCGTTTTAGCCGGGATGGTCTCGATCTCCTGACCTCGTGATCCGCCCGCCTCGGCCTCCCAAAGTGCTGGGATTACAGGCGTGAGCCACCGCGCCCGGCCTATCTCTCTTGTTTTAAATAGGCTAGATAAGGCCAAATATTCTATATGTGCCACAAGGGGACTTGAAATATAAAATGATTTTGGACAATTTTGTACTCTGAAAGAAAAAAGTAAATTCTTTAGTCAATTCTAAAGAATTCTAAATTAAATATATTATGTTTATATACAGGGAAAATGCAAATCTAATATCAACATATTTCTATATAGTTAACAAGTATATGTTAACCCTTCTACTATGTACAAATGTTGTTCAAGGCACTGTGAGATATGCAAAGATATAGAACACTGTGATCTCTCCCCCTCAAGAATAACCTTCTGTATACTTTGTATGACAAGAATGACTTTTCTGGTTATCCTTCTGAGTTGATAGATACAATTTTCTTACCTTTCATGGTCCTGATGCTCCCTTTTAAGCCTATCTAGGCTTTCTTAGCAAATAGCCAATTCCTAAGAGGGAAGAAATGTCTTATGATCTGACGGTTTTTTTCTGGCACTGTGGTCTAGTAGTTCCAAGCCTGGCATGTTGTAAGCACCCAGTACATGTTGTTATAGTAACACTTGCCAAATCAGTACCTACTATGCATCCCCTCTGTTCTTAGGTCACTAATTGCCTCTGAAAAACTACCACTCATCTTTGCCTTCAACTTCACATTCTGGGGCACTCCTCAAGCAGTGTGCTTACTTCTATTCTGTGATACTTCTGATTAAACTCTTGTGATTCCATGGAATTATTCATTTAAAAATGAGATTCCAGTAACCTTAGGTATAACTTGCAGTGGATCAGAAGTATATAAAGACACAGAATAAACACGGTACATCTTCCAACAATTCAGGGGACAACTACACCTCTTAGGAGTTGACTAGCTGTTAAGTAAGCCTAGGTGGGTTTAACAGGGCACAAGGACAATGAAAGATAAGTAAAATCAATTATAAGCAAAAATCAGGGGACAAAAACCTAAGTATTTTAATTGGTAAATCATTTAAAACAAGATTTTATAATAAATCTAGCATGAGTATTTTATCTAGGAGAATGAAAACTCTGCATTTTTAAAGACCATACGCAAAATAATCAAATTTTCCTGTTTAGCCTGGGGAGCTGTAGCAGTCATAAGTCTGTACAGGAAAACAGAAATCACTCAAGGTCTTTCTAATGGAAGAGATTTAATTCAAGATATTGGTTGCACAGGAGTTTTAGAATAGTAGAAAAGTAAAACAGGCTACCTTTCACTGTATGTGATATATTGAATGATAATTTATTGTGATTTACAATGTGCTTAGGCACACTTGAGAATATAATCATAAGTCGAAACCTTGACCACCTAATAAATTTTATAAAGATTAACATTTTATACTCAAGTTAATGTTACAAAAAACTGGATTAATGGCTAAGCAGCTTCATAGAGAATTAATGATTTATTTGTAATAGATACGGAATGAGATTTAGTATAACATCTTCTCATTAAATAGTTGAATAAATGTTGTTTTTCATATCCATTAATTTTCAAATCTCTAGATTCTTATAGGGACCATATGATATTTTGAACATAATAGCTGTTCGGTTAACACTGGGGAATAAAAAACATTGGCATGTAAGCTTTCAAGAGTCTATTATATTTACCTATGAGTTCACTATGTGTACAAATAATTCTTAAATTAATTGATTTTAAGTTAGTGTCGTCTGATTTTGGACTTAGAACTTTTCTGGATGTGGATATGTCAACAGCAACAATAGATTACAATTAGCATCCTTTTCATAGCAAAATAGCAAAAAAAAAAATACAATAGATTACAATTAGCATCCTTTTCACAGCAAAATAGCAGAAAAAATACAAACCGCAGGACAAGAACTAAAGATTTAGTGGTCTGGCACCATTCAGTATACGAAAAATAGTACCCAAGGGCATCACAGCAAAAACAGGATTGTGAAGTAAATGACAGATTTAATGATGACCATGAATCGTCATAACAAATGTGAACAGTCTACATTATTTCCCATTGAATAAGCCTGGGTATTATGCAATCTTTGTCTTTTTTTAACGATTAAGAGTTGAAGACTTTTTAAAATGCTTGTTATTAATGGAACAATTTTTAATTGTATGGAAAGCTTGCTTACGTAGAACATCTCACTTTCCCACAAAGCCACACATATGAAATAAGATTACAATAATTTTGCCATCGACCCAATTAAACAAAGTAGTGAATTTGTACTGTAGTGAAAAGAAGAAATGATGTAAAAACACTCTTTAATGGCAAAGTTGTGATTTTTGTCATAGGGAAGAAAAGAGACAAGCTGGCAATATAGGAATCTCTTCTAGGATGAACATTCTGCCGGTCTGGAAAAGAACATACTTCCTTGCTGATAGAAAGATTCTACTCTTTCATGCTCCAAACAGCTCTCTTCTAGAAAGCAGGTGCCCAGGATACATAAAGAGGAGAAGATGCAGAAGAGAAAATGCTAAAGGTGACTGAATGCCAAAAGACTTGTATAATTGATTGGCTTTCCTGGTTTTCTTCTCTATTCCAAAGCAACCTGATAGGGTGCTCCTTATGCAGAATGGGGGAACTTAAAAAGCTACTAATATGATAAGTATATACACATTGCACACACCCAGACACACACTCCCACAGTGTCATGCTCACCCTCACAGTAACTGTTTTCATGGCCCAAAATTCATGGCAATGTCACAAACAAAGAGCTTTATGTGATATGCCATATTACTTTCTATTGCTGTATAACAAATTACCACAGTCAGTGGCTTACAGTAACACAAATGTGTTATCTCCAGGGAGTGGGCCAGGAGTCCAGACAGGCTTGGCTGGGTTTACTGAAGAGTTCACTTCCAAACAGGTTGTTGGAAGAATGCATTTCCTATGACTACAGAATTGAGGTCCCTGAAAAACCACAATGAGATACTATCTCATGCCAGTCAGAAAGGCAATTATTAAAAAGTCAGGAAATAACAGATGCTGGTGAGCCTGTGGAGAAATAGGAACACTTTTACACTGTTGGTGGGAGTGTAAATTAGTTCAACCATTGTGGAAGAGAGTGTGGCGATTCCTCAAGGATCTAGAACAAGAAATACCATTTGACTCAGCAATCCCACTACTGGGGATATACCCAAAGGATTATTTATAAATCATTCTACTATAAAGACACATGCACACATATGTTTATTGCAGCACTATTCACAATAGCAAAGACTTGGAACCAACCCAAATGCCCATCAATGATAGACTGGATAAAGAAATGTGGCACATATACACCATGGAATGCTATGCAGTCATAAAAAAGAATCAGTTCATGCCCTTTGCAGAGACAAGGACAAAGCTGGAAGCCATCATTCTCAGCAAACTAACACAGGAACAGAAAACCAAACACCGCATGTTCTCACTCATAAGTGGGAGTTGAATAATGACAATACATGGACACAGTGAGGGGAACATCACACACCGGGGCCTGTTGACGGGTGGGGAGCAAGGGAAGGGAGAGCATTAGGACAAATACCTAACGCATGTGGGGCTGAAAACCTAGATGGCAGGTTGATAGGTGCAGCAAACCACCATGCCACATGCAAGAAGACAACAAATGACAACAGAGATCAACAAAGTTTTGGAAGTTGGAAAACATGGTGATGGAAACTTAGCTAAGCAGAGGATGCTTGAATCCAGATGCCTCTAGAGAAAGACCAGAAGAGGCTAGTTCACTGTGTATTATTTACTTTAAAAGTAGATGGCTACTCCGTTTCTTCCCACAAAACAGAGTTGGTAGCTTATAGCTTTTCTTTCTTTTTTTTTTTTTTTAAGACAGTATCTGGCTCTGTCACCCAGGCTGGTGTGTAGTGGCATAATCTCAGCTCATTGCAACCTCTCTCTCCCAGGCTAAAACAATCCACCTCAGCCTTCCAAGTAGCTGGGACTACAGGCATGCACCATCACATCCAGCTAATTTTTGTGTTTTTGTAGAGACGGGGTTTCACCATGTTGCCTAGGCTGGTCTCAAACTCCTGCGCTCAAGCTATCCACCTACCTCCACCTCCCAAAGTGCTGAGATTACAGGTGTGAGCCATCACGCCTGGCCCAAAGTTGGTAGCTTTTGAAAGTAGCTAGTACTCTCTTAGAAAAATGTGTCCAGTATGGCCTGAATTTGTTGAAATGCATATAAGCTCATTAAATTAACGAGAGCAAACCACTGGAGAACATCCTTGGTACTTTTCCATGAAAAAACTTAAAGTATAATAATAATAAAAAAAAAAAAAAGAAAGAACTGCATTCCTAGACTCATTTCTGCTGGCTTAAGGTCAGTTCATGGGCTCGTCAATGGCTCTCCAGTGAGTTCAATGGAAGACCCAACTGACTGTGATCAAAGCTGAAAGAAACAAGGCTGGCTCTGGAGACTGTGTCGGGCTTTAGGGTTTTGTTTCATTTTGGTTTGGTTTTTTATCATACTGTGCAACACTAGAAAACATGAGAAACCTTGCTAATTCTCATTGAATGCCATAGGATATGGCATTTCTTATTCGGGAGAAATTTGTTCAGACATACTTAAGAAGCAGCCCTTCTTTATCTTCAGAAGATTTACTCTTTGCCTTATGTCTAGAAAATGTCTTTTAAAATGCTAAAGAAAAAGAGAGAGAGATAGGCGGATAGAACACATTCCAACACAAAATCAATGCTATATTATACACTTTGAACTGTTTCTTATTAAATCAGAAATAACTGAGTCAAAAGTAAAAAAACATGATGGCTATGACAAATGGTGGGTGATAAATAAAAGTGATCTTTTCTCTGAAGCTGTTTCACTTCCTCATGATAGAATGGCATGCCCCACATATATGTGTGTATATATCTAAACTTGTGCTGGATCCACTCTCTGCTGGTTTTCTTCTGATGTACCTCTATTGCTTCTACTCATTGACTTTTCTCTGTTTCTAGTTAAAAGCACAATATTAACTGAGTCGTCTTTTATATATAATATAAAATCAGTCATTTTGGAATTACGACCTATTAGAAAGCTCAGTACTGTAAAATCTAAATAAAATTAAGCAATAAACTGACTCTCTTTCTCTCTAGACAAAAATTATTCATGTATGTATACTTATAATATACTTACAAGAACTCAGTGGGATCTAAATAAAATTGGGCAAAAGGAAAGATATTTCAATGTAAGCTAAGATGCATCAGCATCATTTCTTTAAGCATTCTAATTCTCATACCACCATACACAATATTATAATAATGTCACTAACATGGTGAAGGTTTGGTAGTTGACAAAAATATCCAAAACTGAATAAATTTTGAATAATAATAAGCTATGAGTACCTTTTAATTTTAAGTTAACAATTCCCAAAGGCCTTAAATCAACCAGATCCAGAAAAATTTGCTTGCATTTTTTCTCATCCTCTTTATATATCAATGTATAACAGGAAAGAGGAACATCCATCTCTATTATAAACACAAAAACACTAGCTAAACTTTCACTTGGATATGTTGCTCTGTGTACAAAAAGACAATCAATGTATTAGCTGAATATTTCTCCAAGTGTGAGGACGTGGTTTTCTTTTTAGTTTTGCTTTTTATTTAAGTTCTACCAAATTCCACATTCACTGGAGATGGTTGTATAGAAGTAGTCACTACCCATTAAATACTAATAGCTTATTAGCACTATCACAAATAAAATGATATAGCAGTAGCAACAGAATAACATCTATTTCACTTTACCAACCCTAGAACCTAGCCCATTGCTTAAATTCATTAAATAAATAAATAAACAATCAAATGAACTAAAAACAAGTTGCTTCAAAAATATCTCTTCCTACATGCTTTTCACCTTAAGGAATCAAAATATAATGTTTTCTACCACCTTGGAAATAGAATAATCATGAAAAACATGAATTTAATATAGAATCTAAAAACTAAGAATTTAAGTCTTTAAATGACTCTTTGAATTTTTATTCTTATCTTAAAAAGCAGATGAGTTATATGATTCAGTGTAAGTAGATTGACATTTGCAACATATGTCAATATGGACCTAAAAAATCAGCCCTCATTTGGATGTGAATATAATTAGTACTTACCCATAGCCAATGACTCCCTTTGACTGAGTAACTAGTAAGGCCCCGATAGTCATATTCAGAACATTCTCTAGTACCCCAGTCTGTTGAGCAGTGATGACTCGATGAGCCAAATTCTGTAATTTGTTACTTGATAAGGATGAAATCATTCCAGTGCTCCTTACTGTTGGCGAATCACCAATTTCAATGACAATCACTTTTGAGATAGTTTCCACAGTCATTGGGGGTGAAGCCCTATGTGAGTTCATTTCCATCATGAGAGGCCTACGTTGACCAACTCTTCTATAATGACTAGTGCAAGTCACAGTAGGGCAATTGCGCTTTCTTTTTGCTCTACTGTCAGCAATGGCCTTTAAGGTCTCTTCATGGCCAGGCATCTCGTGAATAAACCTGATTTGGTTTTGGCCAATCTGTAAGAAGTTAGTTAGTCTTTCGAGTATTACTATTTCCCAGCCTTTTTCTAAGACTGAAACCATCACAGTGAGGGCCAAGTGAATGGAAACACCTGAGCGTATTTCAATGGGCTCCTCTCCTTGTAGGACAACATACAAGAGGTTATCCATGATGTTGAAATAGTTGGCACCAATAGATTCATTCAGCAATAAGGAAGCTGACTGAACCAGAGTGGGTGGAATAAAACTTTCCCCTAAGAAGACGTGGGGGCTCTGGAGCTCATGGTAGAATACAGCCAAGAGAAGCTTGGAGGTACTTTTGTTCCCCAATAGAAAAAAGCGCAAAACTTGAGGAGTTTGATCCATGAAGCAGACTTTGGTGATTTGCCTGATGGGTAAGATAGAATAGAAAGTAGACACTGACCCAGAAGTAGAGCAGGGAATATTGGCATTTACACTGCTAAAGACATCAACAAAACCACTAGTCACAGATACAACTGGATATAACTTCTGAATTGCCCAAATGGCATCAGCGCTATCAAGAATTAGGACCACTTGGTCAGTCTGTTTGCAGATGAATCCTTGCATCAGAAATTGGTATGTACATTTCTGTTCTTCTCTAAATGTACCTATAAAAGAAAAGAAGCAAAACAAGTGATATATGAATTATAATCTGTCAATGATTATTTGTAATCCATCACTCTTGCCATCATCTATAACTGGATAAAATATTTATTAAACATCTAATTGTGCCAGATACTGAGAGTGCAAGGAAGATTGCGGCAAAATATTTTTAAAAATTAAATAATAGTTCTTTAATATATTTTAAAAGTATATGTTACATAATATGTTATTTAAAGTTAATAATGGAGATAATAACTGAGAAAAGGAGTTGAAGAAGTAAAAGAATCAAGACAATGAAATAATCATTAAGGGCCCTTGAGAGAAAAGCAAGATAAACTGCTTTTTACTACTCTCACACACTCCATATAACACAAAATACCTCACCTCTGGTCACCAAAATGTGTAGGTATTTCACCACACCAGCAACCAATTCTCCAGTGGATACAAACTGGGTGTCACATAATTTAACCAAATTCTGATACTAAACAAAGTTAGTGCAGACTCCACAAGGTAAGGGCTCAGTCTTACAAGCATGCCCCTATTTCAGATGCCAATTGCAAGTCCTAGGCTGTGACCTCTGCTTCTGAACAACTGGCTATATAAATCAGGGCTCTCAGGACTCCATCCTTGAATTCAATTAACTCGCTAGAGAGGCTTACAAAACTCAGGGAAACATTTACTTATGTTTTTTCATTTATTATAAAGGATATTACAAAAGACGCAGATGAACAGACAGATGGAAGAGACGCATAGGACAAGGCATGTGGGAAGGGCATGGAGCTTCCATGCCCTCTGCATGTGCCACCCTCAAGACACTTCCATGCGTTCAGCCACCTGAAAGCTCTCCCAATCCTGTCCTTTCAGCCTTTCATGGAGGCTCCATTATGTAGGTATGATTGACTAAGTTATTGGTTGTTGGTGATCGACTCAACCTTCAGACTCTCTCCCTTCCCCTGAAATGGGGATGGTGAGGAGATGAGGCTTGATGTTCCAACCCTCTAGTCACGTGATTGGTTCCCCTGGCAACCAGCCTCCATCCTGAGGCTATCCAGTAGTTGAGGCATTAGCTCATTAGAAAAAAAAGATATTCCTATCACCCAGGAAATTCCAAGGGATTTAGGAACTGTGTATCCAATGTTTCTGTCACTTAGGGAATTACAAATATCTTAGGGCTTCTGTGTCAGCAACCAGAGTCAAAGATCAAATATTCGAACAAAAGAGTCTCCTAGCACTACTGATTTTAGTAGCTCTGCCTCAGGAACCAGAAATATAGATACAGATATAGATTAGATATAGATATAGATATATAGATATAGATACAGATTTAGATAGATATAGATATAGAAAGAATCTCACAATATCATAGCTCCATAATAGAAATAGGGTATAAGAGAAGGGGTAGTAACATCCAAGCGAATGGGAGAAGAGGTAGATGGAGGGGAATGGGTGGAACAGAGAAATTATGAAGGCATATTAAAATTGAAGAGGTGTGTCTGACCAGATTGTGAAAGAGTTTGGATGTCAAACTATATAATTTTCTCATACTCTATTTTTCCCTAAACATAAAAAGTAAAGAAATACAAGAAGAAGGAAAGAAGAAAGTAGTAACTTCGGAAGTTGTTGATATTAAAGAGTCCAAGTTGAGGATGGTGAGGGTTAATAAAACATTTAAAGGAACAGCGTTATTCATTATTTCTACCATTCCTAATACCTCCTATATGAACCCAGAATAGTTCTTGTTTTGAATCCATAGGGATATTTTATCTTTCAATAAAGAATTTCTTTGATTTAAAATTTATATTCACGAAATCATTCTGTATTGTTTTCTAGATTTTTAAAATTTGCCTTAGTGTAAGTTCATAAAAGTAGCTTAAGAAATGGAACAAAAAATCAAATTATCTTTAATGTAGGAAATACTAGATTTGCATATAATCTAGTCTTTCCTATATTCTTCCATCCATATGATATAATTATAAATCTATGCTAAACCTGACCATGGTGTTAATAAATTTAACTACCAAATTGTTGGTTCAGAAGTAGGGCACATGTTTTACTTTTTCTTCAACAATAACAGCAAAAACAGGGATGATTAAAAGTCACAAGGAAAACTATAAAATATTTAAAACAATAATAATTATACTTTTACTATATTAAAATTTGGGGAATGAAGTTAAAACAGTACTTTTATGGGAAAATTTATAGTGTTAAATGCTCATATAAGCAAAGAAGAATTATCTAAAAGCAATGTCCTATATGGTACTACCTTAAGAATTTTGAAAAAAGATACAATGGACAGCATGGTGATTGCAGTTAATAATACTGTATGATATAATTAAAATTTGCTAAGGGGGTAGATCTTAACATATTCTCACCACACACACACGCACACACACATACAAGTAAAAAGGTAATAATGAGGTAATGGATATATTAGTTTTCGCAATGTATATGTGTATCAAAACATCACATTATATAGTATATCCTAAATATTTAAAATTTTTATTTGTCAATTATGCCTCATAAAAGCTGGAAAAAAATAACAGAACTGCACGTCAAAAATTTTTTAAGGAATTTAGAAAAAGATCACAGAAAAGTCAAAGAAAGGAAATAATCAATATGATTGCAGAAATCAATGAAGTAGAAAAGAAACAACAACAAAACAAAATAAAACAATAGAGAAAGCGATTCTTGGAAAACAGCAACAAAATTGACTAACTCTTCCCTAGACCGATCAAAATAAAGAGAATACAAATCACCAATTTTAAGAATGAAAGGATTATCATTACAGATTCTGCAGAAAAAAAAGAGAAACTATTACAAACAAACATTTGCCAACACATTCAACAACTTAAAGTAGACAAATTTCTTTAAAATTGACACAAGATAAAACAGAAATTTTGAACTGTTCTATGTCTCTTAATGAAATTGGATTCATTGCATTGAATGCTAAAAATTAAATAAAAATTTAATTATCAAATTTAAAGGAATAGTCTCCTTTTTTTAACCTTCACATTGTGTTTTTTTCCCTGTGATTATATCATAGGCTAACTCTAATGTTAAGAGTTGTCTTCAGAAGCATGGATCCAGTATGAAGGCAAATTAATTACATGGTCTTAATGGCCCTAGAAATTTTGTTTTGAGATCCTGATGCACCAATCTCTACTACAGTTATATCTTTTCCAAATAAGATAGTTAGGTAACATTTCCTCATGGGAAATCCTCAAATCACAGAGGTTCCCCTTTTCTAAACTTGGCAGCTCACTCTCCTTTTTACACATTTTTTTCAGCCATGCTGATGTTATTGATTAATCACTCACATTCCATCCAATTTTATAAATCTCTGGCTTTGTTCTTCCTACTTCTCATCTAAGAGATATAATGTCTTAAAGTGACCTCTAAAGATGTACAGTTCTGTTATAATTATAAATAAATAATTAAACAAAAACAATCACTTCCTTTGTTGATGATTCTCAATCATTCTCTGCTACCATCTAACTGTATGTAATTTGATAAATCACATGACGTTAGTAGGCATCAGTGTTCTTAAGGGTTATCTCTTCAGGTCAGGGACAATATTTCATCTCTAAATCACCACAAGGGTCAACATTCTACCTCAAGCACAGTAGATGCTTTTAATATTTATTAGCTGATTGATATGTAATGTCCTTTTCAAAATTCCTATTCTTCAAATCACTTTATGTGTTCTTGTCAGGTGTCTAATTATAAGACTCTTACTCTATAGTACAAATATATTTTAAGTCAACTCAGCATAACAATAATAATTGAGTATATCACAAAAATTTATTGTATCATCCTCTAAATTGATTCTTAATATATGTTAGGCAATACTGTAATACATCTATTTCACATGTATCCATAAGATTGAAATTATGGCTGACTATACTTTTATAAATTTTCTTCTGCTATTGTATCTCATAGTTGATTTGTCCACAACAGGTTCTGTTGTAATAAAGCATTTTGGGAACAATTCATTTATTCATTAAATAAATACACATGGGTGGAAAATAAGTTTTTCTTTCATACCTCCATTCCTTATGACAGGTAACTTCCAAGGCCAAAATAATAAAAAATGGCCTTTTAAAATGTAATTAACATTTTTTTGGAGTAATAAGGTACAGGAGTTATACTAGTAGGATGTATACCTTCAAAGAGGCCCATTATTACTTATTTATTTATTTTTACATATTCCACCCAGAAGCCAGTCTGTCATAAAGGCTGGTCACCCAAGCCATTTCTGCCTCAAGGATCCAAAGTTCCCCATTCCACTATTCAGTCATGACACTGGATGAAAAAGAATATGACAAACTACCTAGGTAGAAGGCAGGCACTTGAGAGGGAGAGAAGGAGACAGAGGGAGAAAAGGGTTTGAATCGTGCAGGGTTGGAGCCCGAGAGGGCACAATCTCTGCTGAAAGTGTGTGATGCAGAGCCCTTGCACACCCTGGAGAGTTTAGCCCAGGACCGGTCCATGAGGAAACTCAGGAATAAGATGACAGAGAATGAAAATTCACAAATCTTTATGACCCATTGGCATTTTGTATGAATTTAATTACAAACCCTAGATTGTGGTAAGGAATTGGATAAACATTTATTTGGATTCCTTGTGCATGCAGTAAGATTTTGTTACTATGGCTCCTCTCTCTAGTTGCCATATTGTTATTATTAAGCACTGTGTTAAAACTAGAGATCAAATGCCAGGCTTCTCAACTATGTGTTAGTTATTTGCTTGTTTAAACTTAGCCAATTACCTTCCTGATTGCAAAGGAACTAGTGCAGTGCCAATTACACGCATTATTTTTATTCCTATTTTCTCCCATTTTTATGTTTTAAACCTCTGTGTATGAATACCTTGCTGTGAAAGGACCACATGGATTTTGATTTCTCATATCTGGTTGGAGATTTACCCCTATGACCTTCAGAAAGTTAATAATTAGTATCTTCTTATTTAAATAAAGAGTTTCATCAAATATTAGTTATTATAAAATATTCTCATCATTCTTTCCTTTCTACACTCCCCAAAAATGAAAAATATACTCATTTTGATTCAAGATAAGAATAAAGAATATTTAAATTACTTCTTTGGTTCAGATCTTCTTGACAAAACATACAACGAACAAGATATCTTTTCTCCAGAATATACTCTTTACAATTTTTTCTACCCTAGGAAAAATACCGTACAAAAAAAATCTGTAATAAATAACAAATTAGTTATATTTCAAGGCTATGTAGTCTTGTGACAGATATACTTTTTCTAGCCCAATGTTTCTCAGAAGTCAGAGCTGAGGTTTCTTTGTTAGAAATATGAGAATGATGATTGGGATGTGACTGCCCCAAACTCTTTATAGAGATGAAGCTATATACAAGTAGCTTTAGCCACTGAGGGGAAAAATGATTTGTATATCAGATATATTATTGTGGATAAGTAGAAAATTTTCCTTTTATAAAGAAAGTTAAAACAGACCCGAAAAACCCCACAAATTAAATAATCCCACCAAACAATTAGTCATCTCTGATAATACAAGCCTATTTCAGCAAGAATTTTTACCTTAGAGTTTTGACAATAAGGATTCTGTACAAATGAAATGCCCTACATGAGCTGAAAAGTAGGTTCTTTTATCTTTAATGTTATTGGAATAAACCAGTCTAACACTCACAATGAAATTGTGAGAAGCAGCTAATGCATAGATGTAATAATTCAGAGTCTCTTAAAATGTACATTTCAAAAAGGTAGATTGTTGTGTTTAGATGCAAGCTGAAGTGCTGTAGATAAGACAGAACTCATAAAAAGTGAGAGGCTAATGTTGGAGGGAGTGGATGACTGACACAGTAAGCTCTCTGAGAGGCTAAGGAAGAACAGGGTCCACAGCCTTCTTAAATAAGATGGGATTGGATAGGTTGAAAGACTTCATCTCCCTTGAAGCAGGAAGGAGGGCAGAGAGTGTAAGCACAGGTGGAGGTGGGTGGGAGATTGAAGGCACTCTATCTGCTGGGAGGTGTGAGGCAAGCACGGTTATCAACAGGAAGTCAAGTATGACGGTGAGTATTGGGGGCTAAGATGAGGGGCAGGAAAGTTGGGTCAAATGTTTGTGGACTGAGAAGATGGTATAAAACAGTCATTGTGAAAGAGGTGCAAACTCAGTCTTTCTGTTACTTTAGTGCTTATACAATGTGAGGGAACCATTCCATAAAAGTAGGTACAAAGATATCAATTCAAAATTTGGAGTGGGAATGAATTATTTAAAATGAGAAAAAAATCACAACACAATTATGTTTTAAAAACCTCGTAAGTACCACAAACATGATAAAATCTAGGGAAAGGTAATACATATACTACCCAGCTTACCTCTGTATCATCCTTCCTATATTTTATTGTAACTGTTGTATTGCTTCTTCATATAACAACAATGTTGTAATATTTTTTATAGAGAAGACAGAAAGATAATTTAGTATTTTCTATAGCTTGGATGATTGACGTTTGTTTTCCATAATTTCATTGGTAGTTTAGAAGAATTTGTTTCAGCTTCGCAACTCATTATTGGTATGTGCAAATGTTTATAATTTTTTTTTAAATTTATTATAATACTTTAAGTTTTAGGGTACATGTGCACAATGTGCAGGTTACATATGTATACATGTGCCATGCTGGTGCGCTGCACCCACTAACTCGTCATCTAGCATTAGGTATATCTCCCAATGCTATCCCTCCCCCCTCCCCCCACCCCACAACAGTCCCCAGAGTGCGATGTTCCTCTTCCTGTGTCCATGTGTTCTCATTGTTCAATTCCCACCTATGAGTGAGAATATGCAGTGTTTGGTTTTTTGTTCTTGCGATAGTTTACTGAGAATGATGATTTCCAATTTCATCCATGTCCCTACAAAGGACATGAACTCATCACATTTTATGGCTCCATAGTATTCCATGGTGTATACGTGCCACATTTTCTTAATCCAGTCTATCATTGTTGGACATTTGGGTTGGTTCCAAGTCTTTGCTATTGTGAATAATGCCGCAATAAACATACGTGTGCATGTGTCTTTATAGCAGCATGATTTATAGTCATTTGGGTATATACCCAGTAATGGGATGGCTGGGTCAAATGGTATTTCTAGTTCTAGATCCCTGAGGAATCGCCACACTGACTTCCACAATGGTTGAACTAGTTTACAGTGCCACCAACAGTGTAAAAGTGTTCCTATTTCTCGACATCCTCTCCAGCACCTGTTGTTTCCTGACTTTTTAATGATTGCCATTCTAACTGGTGTGAGATGGTATCTCATTGTGGTTTTGATTTGCATTTCTCTAATGGCCAGTGATGGTGAGCATTTTTTCATGTGTTTTTTGGCTGCATAAATGTCTTCTTTTGAGAAGTGTCTGTTCATGTCCTTTGCCCACTTTTTAATGGGGTTGTTTGTTTTTTTCTTGTAAATTTGTTTGAGTTCATTGTAGATTCTGGATATTAGCCCTTTGTCAGATGAGTAGGTTGTGAAAATTTTCTCCCATTTTGTAGGTTGCCTGTTCACTCTGATGGTAGTTTCTTTTGCTGTGCAGAAGCTCTTTAGTTTAATTAGATCCCATTTGTCCATTTTGCCTTTTGTTGCCATTGCTTTTGGTGTTTTAGACATGAAGTCCTTGCCCATGCCTATGTCCTGAATGGTAATGCCTAGGTTTTCTTCTAGGGTTTTTATGGTTTTAGGTCTAATGTTTAAGTCTTTAATCCATCTTGAATTGATTTTTGTATAAGGTGTAAGGAAGGGATCCAGTTTCAGCTTTCTACATATGGCTAGCCAGTTTTCCCAGCACCATTTATTAAATAGGGAATCCTTTCCCCATTGCTTGTTTTTCTCAGGTTTGTCAAAGATCAGATAGTTGTAGATACGCGGCGTTATTTCTGAGGGCTCTGTTCTGTTCCATTGATCTATATCTCTGTTTTGGTAGCAGTACCATGCTGTTTTGGTTACTGTAGCCTTGTAGTATAGTTTGAAGTCAGGTCGCGTGATGCCTCCAGCTTTGTTCTTTTGGCTTAGGATTGACTTGGTGATGCAGGCTCTTTTTTGGTTCCATATGAACTTTAAAGTAGTTTTTTCCAATTCTGTGAAGAAAGTCATTGGTAGCTTGATGAGGATGGCACTGAATCTGTAAATTACCTTGTGCAGTATGGCCATTTTCACGATATTGATTCTTCCTACCCATGAGCATGGAATGTTCTTCCATTTGTTTGTATCCTCTTTTATTTCATTGAGCAGTGGTTTGTAGTTCTCCTTGAAGAGGTCCTTCACATCCTTGTAAGTTGGATTCCTAGGTATTTTATTCTCTTTGAAGCAATTGTGAATGGGAGTTCACTCATGATTTGTTTCTCTGTTTGTCTGTTGTTGGTGTATAAGAATGCTTGTGATTTTTGTACACTGATTTTGTATCCTGAGACTTTGCTGAATTTGCTTATCAGCTTAAGGAGATTTTGGGCTAAGACAATGGGGTTTTCTAGATATACAATCATGTCGTCTGCAAACAGGGACAATTTGACTTCCTCTTTTCCTAATTGAATACCCTTTATTTCCTTCTCCTGCCTGATTGCCCTGGCCAGAACTTCCAACACTATGTTGAATAGGAGTGGTGAGAGAGGGCATCCCTGTCTTGTGCCAGTTTTCAAAGGGAATGCTTCCAATTTTTGCCCATTCAGTATGATATTGGCTGTGGGTTTTTCATAGATAGCTCTTATTATTTTGAGATACGTCCCATCAATACCTAATTTATTGAGAGTTTTTAGCATGAAGTGTTGTTGAATTTTGTCAAAGGCCTTTTCTGCATCTATTGAGATAATCATGTGGTTTTTGTCTTCTGTTCTGTTTATATGCTGGATTACATTTATTGATTTGCATATATTGAACCAGCCTTGCATCCCAGGGATGAAGTCCACTTGATCATGGGGGATAAGCTGTTTGATGTGCTGCTGGATTCGTTTTGCCAGTATTTTATTGAGGATTTTTGCATCAATGTTCATCAAGGATATTGGTCTAAAGTTCTCTTTTTCAGTTGTGTCTCTGCCCAGCTTTGGTATCAGGATGATGCTGGCCTCATAAAATGAGTTAGGGAGGATTCCCTCTTTTTCTATTGATTGGAATAGTTTCAGATGGAATGGTACCAGTTCCTCCTTGTACCTCTGGTAGAATTCGGCTGTGAATCCATCTGGTCCTGGACTCTTTTTGGTTGGTAAGCTATTGATTATTGCCACAATTTCAGCTCCTGTTATTGGTCTATTCAGAGATTCAACTTCTTCCTGGTATAGTCTTGGGAGAGTGTATGTGTCGAGGAATTTATCCATTTCTTCTGTATTTTCTAGTTTATTTGCATAGAGTTGTTTGTAGTATTCTCTGATGGTAGTTTGTATTTCTGTGGGATCGGTGGTGATATCCCCTTTATCATTTTTTATTGCTTCTATTTGATTCTTCTCTCTTTTTTTCTTTATTAGTCTTGCTAGCGGTCTATCTATTTTGTTGATCCTTTCAAAAAACCAGCTCCTGGATTCATTAATTTTTTGAAGGGTTTTTTGTGTCTCTATTTCCTTCAGTTCTGCTCTGATTTTAGTTATTTCTTGCCTTCTGCTAGCTTTTGAATGTGTTTGCTCTTGCTTTTCTAGTTCTTTTAATTGTGATGTTAGGGTGTCAATTTTGGATCTTTCCTGCTTTCTCTTGTGGGCATTTAGTGCTATAAATTTCCCTCTACACACTGCTTTGAATGAGTCCCAGAGATTCTGGTATGTTGTGTCTTTGTTCTCGTTGGTTTCAAAGAACATCTTTATTTCTGCCTTCATTTCGTTACGTACCCAGTAGTCATTCAGGAGCAGGTTGTTCAGTTTCCATGTAGTTGAGCGGTTTTGAGTGAGATTCTTAATCCTGAGTTCTAGTTTGATTGCACTGTGGTCTGAGAGATAGTTTGTTATAATTTCTGTTCTTTTACATTTGCTGAGGAGAGCTTTACTTCCAACTATGTGGTCAATTTTGGAACAGGTGTGGTGTGGTGCTGAAAAAATTGTATATTCTGGTGATTTGGGGTGGAGAGTTCTGTAGATGTCTACTAGGTCTGCTTGGTGCAGAGCTGAGTTCAATTCCTGGGTATCCTTGTTGACTTTCTGTCTCGTTGATCTGTCTAATGTTGACAGTGGGGTGTTAAAGTCTCCCATTATTAATGTGTGGGAGTCTAAGTCTCTGTGTAGGTCACTCAGGACTTGCTTTATGAATCTGGGTGCTCCTGTATTGGGTGCATATATATTTAGGATAGTTAGCTCTTCTTGTTGAATTGATCCGTTTACCATTATGTAATGGCCTTCTTCGTCTCTTTTGATCTTTGTTGGTTTAAAGTCTGTTTTATCAGAGACTAGGACTGCAACCCCTGCCTTTTTTTGTTTTCCATTTGCTTGGTAGATCTTCCTCCATCCTTTTATTTTGAGCCTATGTGTGTCTCTGCACGTGAGATGGGTTTCCTGAATACAGCACACTGATGGGTCTTGACTCTTTATCCAGTTTGCCAGTCTGTGTCTTTTAATTGGAGCATTTAGTCCATTTACATTTAAAGTTAATATTGTTATGTGTGAATTTGATCCTGTCATTATGATGTTAGCTGGTTATTTTGCTCGTTAGTTCATGCAGTTTCTTCCTAGTCTCGATGGTCTTTACAATTTGGCATGATTTTGCAGAGGCTGGTACCAGTTGTGCCTTTCCATGTTTGGTGCTTCCTTCAGGAGCTCTTTTAGGGCAGGCCTGGTGGTAACAAAATCTCTCAGCATTTGCTTGTCTGTAAAGTATTTTATTTCTCCTTCACTGATGAAGCTTAGTTTGGCTGGATATGAAATTCTGGGTTGAAAATTCTTTTCTTTAAGAATGTTGAATATTGGCCCCCACTCTCTTCTGGCTTGTAGAGTTTCTGCCGAGAGATCTGCTGGTAGTCTGATGGGCTTCCCTTTGTGGGTAACCAGACCTTTCTCTCTGGCTGCCCTTAACATTTTTTCCTTCATTTCAACTTTGGTGAATCTGACAATTATGTGTCTTGGAGTTTCTCTTCTCGAGGAGTATCTTTGTGGCATTCTCTGTAGTTCCTGAATCTGAATGTTGGCCTGCCTTGCTAGATTGGGGAAGTTCTCCTGGATAATATCCTGCAGAGTGTTTTCCAACTTGGTTCCATTCTCCCCGTCATTTTCAGGTACACCAATCAGACGTAGATTTGGTCTTTTCACATAGTCCCATATTTCTTGGAGGCTTTGCTCGTTTCTTTTTATTCTTTTTTCTCTAAACTTCCCTTCTCACTTCATTTCATTCACTTCATCTTCCATCACTGATACCCTGTCTTCCAGTTGATCGCATCAGCTCCTGAGGGTTCCGCATTCTTCACGTAGTTCTCGAGCCTTGGTTTTCAGCTCCATCAGCTCCTTTAAGCACTTCTCTGTATTGGTTATTCTAGTTATACATTCTTCTAAACTTTTTTCAAAGTTTTCAACTTCTTTGCCTTTGGTTTGAATTTCCTCCCGTAGCTTGGAGTAATTTGATCGTCTGAAGCCTTCTTCTCTCAGCTCGTCAAAGTCATTCTCCGTCCAGCTTTGTTCCATTGCTGGTGAGGAACTGCGTTCCTTTGGAGGAGGAGAGGCGCTCTGCTTTTTAGAGTTTCCAGTTTCTGTGCTCTGTTTTTTCCCCATCTTGGTGGTTTTATCTACTTTTGGTCTTTGATGATGGTGATGTACAGATGAGTTTTTGGTGTGGATGTCCTTTCTGTTTGTTAGTTTTCCTTCTAACAGACAGGACCCTCAGCTGCAGGTCTGTTGGGGTACCCGCCCGTGTGAGGTGTCAGTCTGCTCCTGCTGGGGGGTGCCTCCCAGGTAGGCTGCTCGGGGGTCAGGGGTCAGGGACCCACTTGAGGAGGTAGTCTGCCCGTTCTCAGATCTCCAGCTGCATGCTGGGAGAACCACTGCTCTCTTCAAAGCTGTCAGACAGGGACATTTTCATGTTTAGAATTTTTGTCAAATGTGGGAAGTCTCTTAGAAAGGTTTTCTCATGTATGAGCTGTAATACTTGAATAAATGTTCACAGAGTAGCTTTTATTGGACTGTTACCCCAATCCTACATCTCTTATACCTTTCACTTTCTCCTCATGTTTTAGATTATGTTCATAACACAGTGTGACCTAGGGTCTGGCTTCTGTGTGTTGCAACACCGGGTAAGTCGACATAGATGTCTAGTAATAATTTTATATAGAAGTGATTAGGAACCATACAAATCACACCCTACTAAGCCCAAATCAAATGCATGTCCAACTCAGTTTCCCCTTAGCTAGATTTCAAAAATGCTGTAGCTAGTCCACTGTCACTCAACCCCACACCACTTATGATGAAGGAATATTTAGAGTGGAAAGAGAGAATTATCCTAATTCTGGTTAAAATATCTTAATTTTGAAAATTTTACAAAAGCACAGATCTATGCAAACACATAGCTGAGATTTGTTTTGGAGCCTTGCAAGGGGCGCATGTAAGTGAAGAGCCTGAAACCTAATCTTTATCATCTTCACAGAAAATTTAGTCTGCCCGTGTTGTGGAGAATGTATGAGTACATGCTTTGGCTATACCCAGTAAGATGGAATGGACAAACAGAATGGCTGAGTTTATTCAAGGTTGGGTTCATGCCTGGCTATGCCAAGGACAAAGAGTCATAGGTATTAAAGTTATATACAAAGAACTGATGATAAGAAAGCATAGCTCATTTCAGCTGCATAAGAAGGGAAATGAAGGGAAGGCACTCATGCATATTAGAAAAATGCACATGGCAATGAGTTTAATGCCACAAGGAAGGGGCTCTTGAACAATTTGAGTTGGAAAGACCTGAATTATTCCTTGAAAGTATGGTACTTAAGTTCATGATTTTGAAGTTCAGTGATCATGACAATTTCAATGTTATCACTGTGTCAGTGAGTAGTAAGGTACTGTGGGGGAAAAAGCATACCTGATAGAAATACTAACAGCAATGGCTAACATTTACTGAAGACCTTCTCTGTGTCTGGCATTCTTCTAGAGAGGACTTGAAGATGATATGAACAATGAGAGATAATATATAAACTGACAATATCTAGGCCAGATACCAAAATAGAACTCTGACCAACAAACAGCAGTAACCAGTCCTAGAAGACCAAATAATAACCCGTGAAACAACAAGCCTCAAACAGCCAGTACTTGATTAATAACTGTCAGCTTCCGTGTTTTCCCTGATAATTCCCCAATTTTTGCCTCAGTTTCCAACTTAGAACCAATTAGAGAAAGCAAAATATGTATCCATAACCAACCACATGGGATGCCCCACTTCTAGTTTGACTGTGTCCAGCTTCCCCATGCCAACAGCATTAATCAAAGCATTAACCTGAAGCTTTCCCTTTTTTCCACTATAAAGCTTTCCTACTTTTCTGTGTGCCTTTGCATCTCTACCAAATTGAAGTTATGGTGGCCGACTCACTTGCTATAGCAAGTTCAGATAAATAGCAATTGCCGGTTCTTTGCATAGTCTTTGTTTATTTTCTTAGCAGTCAAGGTTTTGAATGAGTTAGCCACCTTAAGAAAATCACGAAAGAGTTAGGATGAAGAAGAGAACAGTGATCCAGTTTCTTTGGCCTTCAGGGAGTGAAGAGCCACGCTGATTATGTCAATAAGACTCATGAAGCAGGTAGTCAGCCAGATGGTGTCAGCCTCGGAGGGGCAGGGGTTTTATTAAGGGATATTATTTAGGACATGGGAGCAGCATGGAAACATGAAAGACACCTTAAGGATTGAGTGTGTGGCTTAAAGAGGCTTTAAAAAGAGTGGAATCTTTAGAAGATGGCTAGGTTCCAGTTGAGGTAAATGAGTGAAAAGAAGGTTCTTTGAATATAAAGAAGAGTTTGCTGATCCCAAGTACAAACTTTCTCACAGCACCAGGAACAACTTTTGGAGGAACGGAGTAAAAGGTTGGGTGAGCTCATGAATGGATTGGGAAGGAGATGTGTATTCTAGAGATGGTAGATAGAGAGTGGTAGACATGTAGGTAGTGACTGAGGAAAGCTGGGATATTAAGAAAAACATATTGCATCCTTATACTAACAGTGGTGTAAAAATTAGGGACTATCAGAGGAGCCTGAAGGGTTTCCCACAGTTTTTGTCAATGGGATGCTCTGGTATACTGCTTAAGGAGATCTTATGTGGCAGGATGGTGGTCACACCATTGTCATTTCAGCTATCACATAATGGTTGCTTAGGAGAGCTGTAGGTACAGATATATCTGTTAAGAAACCCACAGACTAACGAGTGTGGTGCTTGGAAGTGGGACAGGCCAGGATAGAGATTAGAATGGCAAAGAAGAAGCTTTGACTTCACTACAAAGATGCCCTCAAGACATAAGGTTGGTGGTCCTTCCTTCCTCCTTTCCTTCCTTCTTCCTTCTTCAATTCTTCTTTTCTTCCTTCTCTACTTCCCTTCCCTAAAACTTTCTAATAGCAAGTTTAATTATCCATAGTTCATAGAGAAAAAACTTGAGCCACAGCAATTTTAACTCAGTATAATTACTTAGTAGTAATGATGAAGATGAGGAAGAAGAAAAAAAGCATATTTCTAAACTTCTACCTGTCCCTTTGGCAAAGTTAAATGTAGTCTAAATAACTCCCCTTTTGGCCTGTGTTTAGACTTAAGGTTCAGGGTGATGATTTATCCTGTGAGAAAGGGGCTGTAATAACTAGAAGTTCTCTCTGCACAATTTATTGACAGGCACACATGGAAAAGTGTTTGACGATTTGTCAAATCACATATTTGCAAGAGTCCATTTGCTGTGTTATGTCTTCATTTGGCCCTTTTAATATTTTATCATACTATCCCAGGAGTATAAAGATATAGCCACATATTTAGCAAAGACAATAGCCTAGGGATTATCAACAAGTAATATTAATTATCCACTTTTGTAGCCAGACTTGAAATCCTGGTCTTCATAAATTAAAAAATATATGTATTTTTTATTTTTTCAGAGTTTACCAATGACTAAGAGATGGGGTAGTTTGTCAGTATCTTATTCATTTTCCTAGGTCACCTTTAATCAATCCTCCTATTTTAATTTTGGCGTGAGGCAAAAATAAAGCACACGTAAGCAGGGTTCCAGAGCCACCAAATGGGTGTAGTTCTTAATTATGGCAGAGAATACACATTAACTACTTAAGAGGGTGACAGACTTCAGAGCTCAATCCTCAGCCACTACTGGCAGGAGCCTGCAGTGACAGTTCAGCATCACTTCTATAGAGCGTTCCATTTTTCCTTCCTCTGGATTTGTTTTCTTCCTGCTTCTGTCACTCGGGGAAGGTTTAGTTTTGAGTAATGATTATCTTTCTCCCTTGTTTTTGTCTTTTCTTTTCTCCCACTTCTCCAAATGGCCTATCTGCCAGTCACAATTTTTGTGGTCTGCAATTCTGATCATTTTTAAATGAAACCCATGCTGGCTTTGGTAATCATAATGTCATTTACAATTTACCACTAAACACGTTTATTCAGTTAGTAGCACACTGGAGAAAGAGAACTCCATATGAACTCACCGTGAAAGGCCTAATCTGATTATTTCCTCATGAAAATCCAGGCAGGGGTGCTTGTAAGAGGGGCTGAGAGAAGAAGGAAAAAAGCGAGATCTGGCCACAGCTGACTTTCATAATCAATGTGAATAGATAAGTGACACAGCCTGTCAGGGGCAGCCGCCCAGCCACCCCAGGGCATTCCTTTCCAAAAGGCTAGGGTGGACAGGGCTTAATAAATGCTGAGTGACCAGTGAGTATTGGCTTGGCATATGCTATTGCATACACGATGGACAAGAACATGATAAAGTCCAGAAGCTCTTCTCTAAGTGGGGAAAATTAGATTAAGCAGGTTGTATTTGTGTGTGCATGTGTGCCTATGAGCACTTGCTTTGTGTATACTTTAACTTCCTAAAATACCCTGGTCATTCAGTATGCTCTGTCCACCTTTCCCTAGACAGGAAGCTACAGACGTAGAAACCAAGGCAGTGAGTGAAGTCTGTCTGGTGGCAGAGGAGGAGGAAGGAGGCAGGTGTGTATGTGTGTGAGTGCATGTGTAGATTCAGGTTGCTTCCAGGGTTCTAACATATATTAACTTTGTGTCAATATTTGTCCTTCCTGTCGTGAAATGAGGATTTTCCACCTCATTTCACGTTTGAAAAGAAAATATGCCAAAGGGGTCGTCTTTGCTAGAAAAAAAAAAAAATTAAAAGAAAAGAAAAAAAAAAACTTCTATTCTTTATTTAGAAAAATGGATCTGAAGGAAAGAAAAAAATTTAAATAAATGTTCTGACTCAAATGCACATAGAATCCTTCCATATTTCTGTTTTCAACAAAAAAGAAAAATTTATATGTTTAAAATTGAATGAAATACATCAACATTAATGATTTTTTCCTTGAGGTTAACACCACCATTTCCCTCAATAATTTTTTTAGCCATTTTGTAATATATTTCACAATTCATGGTAAAGTGTAGGAGATTTGACAAAAACAAAATATATACTCATTCTCTTATTTTCAAGAAATGAAATCATTTACAATTCTTTTGTGGCAAACAACATTTATACCTCATTTGATTTCTAATTTAACAAATATAAATGGTCCCAGATCAAATAAAGTGAAGACAGGTTGAATTTATCCCCATTTATATATGTTGTCACAGGCCCTCAGGCTATGAGGAGTGAAACTCCAAAATCTCAAAGCTGTGCTCCTCAATACACAAAAGAAGTAACTGTGATCTTCCAAAGAATTATTAAAGAAAATATGTTTTGGTCATAATAGAAATAATAGAGAAAAACTGTCTGCTTTTCTAGAATGGGCAATTCTAAGCAAAAAATCATTTGTTTAAACTTCAAAAAAATGGGTGTATGTTACACTTATAAGGTGAAGGCATATTGAGAGTGATGTTCTTAAGCAGAATAGATTCAATATAGGTGATAGGAAACACACCCTTGCTAATCTGGAGTCTAGAATTAGAGCTACTTAAAGTCTATTGAGGGACCATAATATGGTAGTTCTAATTATTATGAAAAAGATATATATGCTTGCACATATACACACTGATAGGAATTATTATAACCAAACTAAGTACAATTATAATAGTTATTATTACAAGTAATATGAGAAACTTAAAGTTCATTAGATTGAAGAAGTACAACATGTATTCACTCACTGCTTAGGTCCTAGAGCTTCAAAATTAATTCATTTTCAGATTGCCTTTCACAGTTTGTTAGACAGTGGCCCTTCAGAGTATAGTCACCTCTGGCACCATTTTCAATGAGGAGGATGCACTCTAATAGCTAGTTACTGGTGTAGTGAAGTGGCTTTCAATGCTCGGGAGCCACAAAACGCCCAAGAGTGAAGACAGTTCGAAAGGACTGAAGATACTGCCTAAGAACAGGAAGCTGCTGTATGAGGAATATATGCATCTGCAGGTGTAAAATGGGCTGGTAGACTTCAGGAACTACAGATCATAGGATCTGTCACAATTTTATGAGCAATCTCGCCAAAGTTTTGTAGTTGGGCCTATTTTCCATGAGGACGCACTTCCAAATTAATACAAGAAAAACGGAAAACTACATAAAACCAGCTATTGCATGAAGCAAAAAATGTCTGTAAGACTTTCTGTTAAAGGCCTTTCTGTCTCTACAATCAGTTCTTTCAGGGAATATCTCAAAATATTTGTTCTCTTTTAATAAAAGTTGTTGCATTGATAAAAAAGATCAAGAGATGAAAGTTAAGTGATGGCATGACAATATGAGAGAGAAGGTCAGATCTATACCCAATAGACCCTTCTTCTGATTCAACCATTTTTCCTTTTTACTTTTTTAAATTCAAAAAAAAATCCTTACTTTTATTAGTAGAAATCTGTTCAAACAAATTCAATAGACTATTTTATAATTGTTTTACTAGGGTAAAATGTCATCATCTATACATTGCTTGAAAAAGTGGTTTAGAAAGTGTTTTTGTATTTTCGTTATTTTGTTGTAATATGTTTTCACCTGAAAACATCAAAGAATATGGTCCCAATTATGATTTTATTATTTGAATATTACATTGAAAACAGCCCAGGCAAATTCAAACTCAGGAAGTACAGCTTAGCGAGTGGGAGATCAGATTTTAAAGTCAGAGAGACTTGCATTGCAAGCTGGCTCTGCCACTTTCTAGCTGCAAAACACAGACAAGTTACTTATCCTCCCTCTGAATCATTTTTTTCATTGTCAAAGGGATTGGAAATGGTACTTAATTCATAAGCTGATGGAGAGGGCTAAGTTAGATGACGTATGCACAGAGTGAGAGAAAAACACATGTTAATAAATACAAGCTGTTACATTCCTATAATTTTAAAAAGAGAATTTTTAAAGCTACCTTCCAGTCTCCTTTTGCCTTTTATGGCTCTATCCTTATCTCAAACCAGTGTTTGTCTAGTATTCTGGAACAGCACCTGAAGTGTTGCAAACATTCATAATAAACACTGTTGAAAGAGACAAGTTACAGGTGAAGAAAATGCTGGAAGGTAGAAATGACAACCTATGTTTTCAAGAAAATATCAGCAAGAAAGAAATGCACATACATAAGTACATATACATCTGTGTGTGCCTGTGCACATGTGTCTATGAATAGAGCACCTATATTTTCCACCAATCAAGAAAAAAACCCAACCTGAAAATCTAAGATTATTTTCCTGTTCATCTATTCTTAACTTTCTCTTCATTTCTTTTATAATATAATATTCGCCATCATCACCCTACACCTTCTCTCTACCTTCTTACTTTTTAATGTTAATTTTATTTATTTATTTATTTAGCTAGCTAGCAAATCTTGCCTGCCAGCTTTAAACAAACTGATGTTCATGGGTTAAACACAGGAGCAGCCAACAGCATTCTTTGCAGATGCAATTCCTGGCACACTCTTTACCCAGAATGATAAACTTATCACCTCTCCAGCCCTCAGTTTGAAGCTGCAGCAGTAATTTCTGCTGGGTGCCAAAACTAAAATGAATGTGACTGTGCCATGCCCTGCTCTGAGCTGTGGCTATAATGAGATTTGAATGGGAAGCCCCGGACACAATAAATCTGCGCCATATGTGACCATTTCCTGTGTCAGTTCCTTTCTCATAACCAGTGGAGAATTTTTTTCCCTCTCATGACCCCACACCATGACTCTGAAATCTTTCATGGCTGCTTATGGGCCTCAGGCTTTTTGCAGCAGTTGTATAAATAAATGAATTTGACAGCAAACATCATAACAGTTAGCAGTAATGTGTGTTCGCCACAAGTGCCTATACTACTCACTGGAGAAATGGCACAGGAAACAGCTTGTTTTGTTACCTAAACAAAAGTAGTTTCGTTTGACAAGTGGTGAAAGAATTAGTCAAATAAACTTGAAATCCACTAGGACTTTTTTTTTTTTTGCCAACTCTCCCTGCCAGGGGAATGTTCCCAGCTCCTGAGTGCCCATGACTCACAGAAGGTAAATTTCTCCCTTTTTATTCTGAGATAAAGATCTGCACTGGGAATACAAAACCTTCGACTGATATTTTATATTAATCTTTTCAAGGCAAGAGTGTCATGCATGGGAACTCAGGTAGTCAAGAATTTCCAAGGAAGCCTGTGGTAGAAATGCCAAGCAGGATGTTTCGGGAGGAAAGGAAAGGTGGTAATAATGACCCAACTCGGTGATTCCCATTGAAAGCAAATTGAAGCTTACAAGTGCTTCTTTTCCTTTCACACTGCCTTTATTCAGGAACAAAAAATCTCTACACAAGTTGCTGAAGGAAAGGAAATTAGCATTTTCTCTGCATCTCATTTCTCCACCCTTCCTCTGGCATCTTAATGCCAATCCTGTTGTCTCTGCTGTGAAAGATGTTATACCACAGTGATTATTCTCAGGACTCTGGAGCAAACTGCCTAGGTTCAAATCCTGGCTCTGCTTCTTACCCTCTGTGTAACTCTAGGCAAATAACTTGGCCTCATTGCATCTCAGTTTTCTCCTTTGCAAAGTAGGAATAATAATGCTACGGTATCAAGCTCCTAAGGTGTCTGTGCCAATTAAATGTATTTTAAAAGGCTCAGAACAGTATCTAAAGCATAATATATATTATTATTATTATTATGCCAAACAGAGAGATTTGGAAAATAGTCTCTCTAGCAGTACTAGAAATTTTTTCCACGATGGCTTGATATTGGCAGCTAATCTCAGAAATGAAATTTAAAACTTTTTGGGGAAAATCATAATAGGAGCTTCATGTAAACCATTACGATTAATTTCAAGGTACAGTACAACACTACTTGAAATAAAAATATCACCTGGACCTTGAAATTTTTTCTTATATGAAGGTTATTTTCACACTTTTAAAGGTGTTTACACTTTATCATAAGTGGCCAAGTAACTATTGCCCCTAGAATCTTCTCATATTGCACAGAAGTATCACTGATTAGGAGAGCAAAACTCAAGAGTTATCACAAACTAATAAATCTTAGTCCAGGTATATGTTCTATTTTGGTTTTGGTTTTGTTTTTAATTTAATTATTAAAATGCATTCACTGAAGTATTTTGCTTGTGTGACAATTACAAGAAAGTGCCATAAAATTTTAGAAGGTATGGACAGTAATCAACATGAACAATAATTTCCTATTACAGACAGCCTGCTACCTACACTATAGATTCCCAGTGTCTTTATTTTAATTAAATAAAAAATCCACTTGAATATACATTTCTCCATATTTAAACTTCCAGACTATAGTGAAAAGTCACAAATATAAACAAATTAAACTATTGTAAAGATAAATGAACGGTTAACGTTTTGCTCTGAGAGCAATGCCAATAAAACTTGAAAGGGTGTTAACTGAGGGTAAAAAAAAACATATGCCTTTATAAGACAATGAAGAACCAGTAGGGGGACAGAATAAATATACAGTTAAAAATCGGTTGGTTGTGAATTGGGGTTAAGGATTGACAGAAAACCAAATACATAAGTGGCATCCCTCTATTGTAAAGCAAGTTTAAGTACAACTCCATTTCTAGTAAAATCAATGGAAAACCCCATTTTGTCACTGCTGCCCATGTATAGACTGCATTGCTACATCTAGGAAACCTCTCAGAAATTGATCTATGAGAAATGACTTTTTCCCCAAGGCAATTTCACTGCTGTGGAATGTCATCTGATAAAATGGCTCCCTTGCTACTTCCAAATCCTTTCCCAAGATCAGCTTCTAGGATGTATTTCCTAACTCACCTTAGGATTTCCAAAGGTGAAGATTTAATGCTGTGAATAACTCCAGCTCTTCAGACCAGACATTGCCACCAACCCTGAATAAACACAGGCCTTAGCAATGTCATGTTTGGTTGACCAACCACTGCTATTGCCCCTTAACTAGCAAATAAATACTGCCACCTTGTAAAGTCTGTTTTTCTGAGTTAAAGAGAACACTGAAGGGAATAGATGAACTTTAAAAGACCAGTAGCCTTAATCAAGCATGTAGATCTGTGAAAATAACTGCTCAGCTATTTCTTCATTGTTTTCCTTGTATGTGTGTGAATACATATAAGCCTAGCCTTGCACTTCCCCATTATCTTATTGGTATCTTAATGACTAGTTAATAGGATCATTAACTAGTCATTAACCATTGAGCAGAGGTAACTAGTGTCCCTTTTGGGCCATACTATTTAATTGAAAGAGGTGGTGAACTACAAGCCACAGGCCAAATCAGGCCCACTGGCTATTGTTATAAACAAAATTTTATTGGAACACAGCTATACGCATTTGTTTATGTATTGCCTATGGCTACTTTGCACTACAACAGCAGAGTTGAGAAATTGTGACAGAAACTGTATGGCCTACAAAGTTAAAAATATTTGCCACCTGGCCCTTAACAGAACATGTTTGCCAGTCTCTGTTCTAAGAGTTCTGAGTTTGTCTCTTGAGACAGTGACCAGAAAAGTATGAGATGGAAGCTGATCTTTCAGCTTGAGTTCCTGCCAACCAAAGATGGACAAGAAGTACAAACGAGAAATAAGCCTTTGTTGTTTTAAGCTGTTGAGATATATACAGCATCAGGGTAGACTAGGTTAGGATGTCAGTACTCTGATGGATGCAGCATCTATAATATTCTTAGATGCATCTTTTCCTCCGAACATATATACTATCTCCTGCTTCAGGGAAGAGGATAAAGAACATAAGGGAACTCTTCTTTTGTCCCCAGGAGACCTAGGATGAAAACAGAAACATAACACAATTTTCTCTCTAAACACAAGTTTTCTTTACATAATTTATCATAATATTCACTTTTTCTAATACCTGAGCATCAGTATTCTCTGTTAAAGCTCTTTGTAAAACTAGTTCTATGAATCTCTTCAAATTTGCCTTCTTTTCCAGTGTGATATAAAGATGAAATTTACTTGACATACTGCGCACAGATTACTGAAGTAATTAGGTAAAAATATTTTCATAAGCCCAGAATTGGGATGCTCTAGTCTCTGAGAATGAGTTATTATATTTGGGCTTTGCTTTAATATGGGTGAAAAATGCACACAGCTGGCTCTGCTTGCTCATTTTGCTATGTCCAGGTCTTCTCCTTTGGAGGAAAAAGAAACAGGGCAAGTTGAGTGAACAGCTTGCCTCTGCTTCTGCTTTTTGGAGGCAGAAAGTGATGGAGACCAAAATGAGAGTATAATGTTCCTTGTGTCAGCTATAGAAGGGAAAGCCTAGGGGAGTCTTACCAATAGAAGCTCTGTGACCTGAGGAATAGAAACAGTAGATTGAAGTGTCAATTTCAGTTGATTTTCTTCCTAATCCTGCTGACTTTGAAAACAGACAGGCTACCATGCACCTCAGTTTCCTTATTATGCATACAAAGCAATATACCTGGATACTTACCTAATACAGGGAGAATACATAAAAGTTATTTGTACTAATGTCTGGGAGACATGGCAGGGGAAAATATATTGAAAAAGGAGGCTTTTACCCAAACAATCAGCTAACTAGCAGTAATAAATAGGATCCAGAAGAAAGAGTGAATAAGAAACATGGTGAGATCAACCAGATACCATTTAGTCAGTTGAACAAATCAACTATGAAGATTTTTTTACAAACAAATTTGCTAGAGTTCTTACAAATAAGATTCTGGCTCAGAGGATTTCAGGTAAATTACTTCTAAGTTATCCTTTAAGTTCAATGACTCCTCCTGAAAACTGATGTATCATAATTCAGCAAGGTGAGCAAATTTTAAGGACAATTCGGGATCCAATTTTGAGTCAGAAAACATAACTAGATTACAGAGATACACAATTGACACTAAACACTGGGAGACAGAATGGCTTACTTATACCAAAGGCTTTATTCAAACTTTGAGGCAAAGTAGTGGCTGGAACTATAAGAACAAATACCAAAAAATATATTTACAGATGCCAATCAGACAACAAACACAATATATAGGCTCAGGATGGGAAAGTATACCTGATTAAGCAAAATTGTACCTTATTTTCAACCATATATAAGGTTAAAGAACTATAAGCAGCTGTGTACTATGGTCTGCATATAGAAATACTTCAGGACCATCTCTTCAATTTGGATGATGTATGGCATAGACTCAGGAAATCATAGTAATCCTAGGTTTTATTCCATCACATCAGATTTTGGTAAATTCCGGGGGCAGTGTGAGTAATACAGAGGAAAAAGAGGAAAGAATGTAATTTTCTAGCTCTTCCATTGTATAGTTGTGATATTGTAATCATTGATTTTATACTATTTATTGACCATTTGCCATTATCCTGATAATGAATTCAACTTTGAGATTATAATGGTTAAAAATTAAACGAGAGACACAGTGTTTGCCTTCATGGAGCTTACTCAGTCATGTTTTTAGAAACAAATTCTCCTTCTCTTTTAGAGACAATGAGCTCATGAGCAACTTGAGTACAGATATCAGCCTTATTCACCTTTGCATATGTCCTTCTGCTCCCATATACTCAACCAGTGCCCGATATACAAACCAAGAGAGAAGAAACATCAACATTTCCTGAGTATGTACCATGTTCCAGCTATTCTGAAAGTCTTTCAACCAACAGTTCTTATTTTATTTAATTATCATAGCAAACTGAGCGGTGTGTTTTTATTGCTTCCATTTTCCAAATAAGAAAGTTGAACTTGTAGCTGTACTTGAAGGACTGTGAGATAACAGAACTAAATGTTAGAAGCAGCCTGGTTCCCTGAGTCACCACCAGGAGGGCAGCTACCAGGAGAGTCACCCAACCTTCTTCAGGCTGAGATGTGAGTAAAACAAAGTTTTTCTATTCTTAAACAACTGAGATTTGGAGATTATTTGTTAATTGGAGTAACTCTGTCTCATACAATATCCATGTTTTATGTAAATAAAGAAAATTTAAAAAGTAAGTACATACAGAGAGGCAATGAACAAATAATGCTGAGGTCCCAGTTAGTTTAGAAGCAAAAGGAAGAGAAAAATACAAGCAATCTGACATTGTGACCTACACTACAGCTACCATTTAAAGAGGCTCCAAGGGGATCTATAGGACATCGTTGTCTTCATTCTGTGCTCTTGGAAGTTCACTAAGAAATGACTGTGGATAAGGTTTGCCCTGCTAGATATTCCCCCACTTGATGGCCAGCTTAAAACTGATTTAGAAGATTTTAGAGACTGCTAGGGATTCACAGCTTTACTAAGGTCTGAAAAGCAAGCACTTAAGCAGCATACTGCATGCCAAGAAACAAAATCAGAAGGTACAAGCAGCTGGTTTGACCTTTGAGAAAAGTTTGGCAAAAGGGCAAGAGCATATTTATAACTCCTATGGGACAGTTCATGTGCTTTCCATTGGACTTGCTCTGTGTCAAAGGCCAATTTCCATCCATTATGATTCACTAAGTTAGTTTTATGAATATTATGTTTAGAGAAAATCACACACTGGGTCAAAAGCAAAATTAGAGCATATCCATCATTGGGAAGTTTATCATTTCACCAACTATAAAATTCTTTTTGCTTGAATTTAAGGCTGATTTTCCCTGAAATACATGATTTTCCAGATAAAACTAGCCACTGATCTTTCAAGAATAGTTTTCTGGGTCAATAGAAGCCGCCTTCTGGGAAAATATTACACCCCATTACACATCTGGCCAATTCTTTGAGGCCATTCAAACTGTTAGGAGTAAGAGTGGGAGAATTCCTTCCTGTCCTCTGAGACAATCATTTTATACCCCAAAACTTCAACCTCGTTATTCTTATCTTAGGGCATAATTACAATGTTATTATTGGTCATAAAATTAACCAGATTTTCCTCTCTTTTCTTTTCCTCTTCAGCATTTGACTCCCTGACCTTCTTCAACAGAAAAGTCTATGGGCTGATTATACGCTAAGAATAGAAGTATTTCCTCTTACTTGTTTTAAATTTTCCCACTGTTAATTTCTTTGAGAGCATACTTGTTCTCATATTACAAAACAATGTTAAAAAAAATTTTTTTAAAGAATTTTTACTACTTCTATAAAATCTGAAAATTTTTGCTCTTGTATCCCAGTGTTTCTGAGATTGGTCCCTTTCGTTATCTCACCATCCAGAGGTCCTAGCCTACATTTACGTTGGCCTATAGTTACATGATTCAACTTATAACCTAAGGCCCCTTGCCAGTTGCTCCCTGCACTTCACTTTACTATTTCCCGAAGCAACTTCTTTGTTTTAGTTGAGGAGGGTTGCTACCTTCCTGTGGCAGTGGTTGCCAAAGTATTGTTTTAAGAATCATTACCAGGCCATGTAAGGACTTGGTAGAAAAAATGGTTTTATAGGTTAGCAGTCTGCTGGTGTGAGGGGTGGAAGATATGGTGGAGCCTTGGAAAACTCACTGTCAGGAAAACACAGCTATACCTCCTATGCAGACACTTTGCTCAACAGCACTTAGGCACAACTTACCTGCTGTCTAACCCAGAACTCCATCCAAATTCCATTCCACTTATCCACGTCTGACACTTCTTAAGTTTCTATAAAGATTTTTCTAACACTCTTTCTCTGCTGATCACTGGCTGACAAAATTCATTCTATAATTCACTCTGAAATTGACAGCATTGTCCTAGATGGATGGCATGCTTGGATGACAGCACCTAAATCTTACCTAGAGATTCAAGGTGAGAAGGTTTTTGAACCCTTAACTCATGTTCACCTTGTAAAGAAGGATGATCATCCTTCTACTGTTTATATTAAAATGATTAGACTTGGTAATCTTTAAAACCACAACAAAAGCTGGACTTCTTTCCAAAGAACCAGAACGCTTTACCTCTGACTTTGTCTTCTGCTAATTCCCTTCCTGGTCATTCTGCTCAAGCCACTCTGACTTCCTTGCTAATCCTCACACACTGCAGGCACTCTCCCCACTTGGGGACTCTGCCAAGGCAGATCTCTCTACTTTTCTCCCAGGTGTTCCTGTGGCTCAATCCCACACCCTCTTCTCTGTCTCCTTCTCAGTGAGGCCTACTTTGGTCAGCCTATGTACAAGCATTCTTTTTGCTTTCTATGATGCTCTACATTTTTTCTTTTGTCTATAGCACTTATAACTTTATAATCTACTAGAGAATTTACTTATTTATTATGTATATTACTTAGTCACTCCTCTAAGTAAGCTAAGAAAGTAAGCCCTATGAGAGCAGGGTTATTTGTCTAGTTTTGACACTTTACAACTAGCCAGAAAAGCACCAGGCACATAGTAGACTCAGTAATATGTGTTAAATTGAATAAACTTAATGCATCCATTCGTTTTCAATGATTAACTCTAGAATTTTCCTGATTCGCTCAGATTGAAATTGAACATTCAAGTTGAAACTATGATCTACTCACTTGCATGTTTGAAATCTACAAGGACAACTTTCTAAAAATATTTTGCAAGGACTGTATATTTCATATGTCTTTCAGAGGCCAGATATGAAGTTACATTTTCTCAGGTACTCCACTTTCTCTTGGTTTTCAGAAAAGTTGATGTTCTTGCCCTCCTGAAATCATGGCACCAAAAACGGGGATGTAAGTTCTTTCATTGTCAAGAGTGAATGAGAAGGAAAGGGGAAAAGAGGAGCAGGGAAGAAATGGATAATACTATTTCTAGTACCCTTCCTTCACAGAGAGGAATGAATTAAACATGAGGCAAGAAGGTCACCAAGTTAGTTAGGCATATGAATTAAATCAGATTGTCTGAAGAAAGTACTCTATGAAGATAGGGCACAGAGAAAGAATACAACAAAAATCAGATGATAAAAAATGAAAAAAAAAGTTGCATTTGTATGGCACATTTTAATATGTTAAGTACTAATAATAACTCTTGCCATTATGTGTTAATAATAGATCCTTTTCTGTATCAGCTATATTGTATGCATTATATATAAATGTTGACAACATGAAAGATAATTCCTGTATTTCTATTCTACAGATAACTAAACCTAAGCTCATGGTGTTAAATATCCATAGACACCCATCTATTCAGTGGCCAGCAGGGCCTGAAGCCATATGATAGCCACCATTGCACACATTTTGCCACCATGTCACCTGTTATCATTTGCCCTTCACAACAACTTTAAAAGGCAGAAATAAGAGGTGGGATTTCCATTTGCCTGATGAAAAAACTGAGTTTCTTAAAATTTAGTACTTGCCCAAAGACAAAGTGAATTAATTAAATACTGGTCTCTTGACATCTGTGTCTAATGTTCTTGTCATAACATGATGTTCTTGTCATAACATGATGCTCTTGGTGTTGGTAATAAAACTAATGTTTCTCAAATAGAGGATGAATTTGTGAGTTAGTAAATCAGTTCAGTTTTGACACTGCAATCTCCAAAGAGATCCTAAAATTATTTTCATATTTTCAAACGATGTGGATTAATACTCAGTATCAGATTGCATTCTACAAATAGTATTGCCTTGAGATCCATCCACTTGAATTAACCAAAAAATACTACTAATTAACTAGACTTGAGAAAGGGCTGGTACTAGGCAATGTGACTTTTTTATGTCATATGTCACCTGGATTACATTTTCACTCTGATGTACATGTCATTGACAGCAGTAGGCTGCTAGAATTTGACACCATGAATTTATCTGATGAAGTGCACAGAAAGAGATCTGTTTATTAATTCGTAAGCACAATCTAGAGCCATTTTATAATACAGTATTTCCCCCTTCACAGAATGAATCAGTACTTGACTGATTTAAGTATAAAATGCCTTGGTTTGTTAAACACAACCCCATATTGGGGAGAATTGGACTTGGGTTCTACTAGCAGTTGTCCCAAAATTTGCTATTCTTAAACAAGTTGTCTTCCCTCTCAGGACTTCAAAGTCACCATCAAAAACTTAGAAACATCTCAAGTTAACAACCTAATATCACAACTAAAACAACTAGAGAACCAAGAGCAAACAAATCTCAAAGCTAGCAGAAAACAAGAAATAACCAAGATCAGAGCTGAACTGAAAGAGATAGAAACACACACAAAAAAAAAAATTCAAAAAATCAACACATCCAGGAGCTATTCTTTTTTTAATAAAAATAAATAATATAGATCACTAGCTAAACTAATAAGGAAGAAAAGAGAGAAGATTCAAATAAACACAATCAGAAACAACAAGGGGGATATCACCACGGACCCCACAGATATACAAACAACCATCAGAGAATATTATAAACACCTCCAGTGTTTTCTATTTTATGCATACAAACTAGAAAATCTAGAAGAAATGGATAAATTCCTGGACACATACACCCTCCCAAGGCTAAACCAGGAAGAAATTGAATCCCTGAGCAGACCAATAACTACCTTGAAATTGGGTCAGTAATAAATAGCCTACTAACCAAAAAAAGCCCAGGACCAGTCAAATTCACAGCCGAATTCTACCAGATGTACAAAGAAAAGCTAGCAACATTTCTACTGAAACAATTCCAAAAAATTGAGGAGGGACTCCGCACTAACACATTCTATAAGGCCGGCATCATCCTGATACCAAAACCTGGCAGAGATACAACAAAAAAAAGAAAACTTCAGGCCAATATCCCTGATGAACATCGATGCAAAAATCCTCAATAAAATACTGGCAAACCAAAACCAGCAGCACATCAAAAGCTTATCCATCAAGATCAAGTAGTCTTCATCCTCAGGATGCAAGATTGGTTCAACATATGCAGATTAATAAATTTGATTCATCACTTAAACAGAACTGAAGACAAAAACCACATGATTATCTCAATCAATGCAGAAAAGGCCTTCGATAAAATTCGACATCAGTTCATGTTAGAAACTCTCAATAAACTAATTATTGAAGGAACATACCTCAAAATAATGAGTCATATATGATAAACCCACAGCAAACATCATACTGAATGAGCAAAAGCTGGAAGCATTCCCCTTGAAAACTGGCACAAGACAAGGATGTCCTCTCTCACCACTCCTATTCAAAATAGTACTGGAAGTTCTGGCCAGGGCAATTAGGCAAGAGAAAGAAATAAAGAGCATCCAAATAGGAAGAGAAGAAAGCAAACTATCCTTGTTTGTAGAGGACATGATCCTATGTCTTGAAAACCCCATAGTCTCAGCCCAAAAGCTTCTTAAGCTGATAAACAACTTCAGCAAAGTCTTGGGATACAAAATCAATGTGCAAAAATCACTAGCATTCCTATACACCAACAACAGAGAAGCTGAAAGCCAAATCACAAATGAACTCCCATCCATAATTGCCACAAAAATAATAAAATACCTAGGAATACAGCTAATTATGGGGGTGAAAGATTTTTTTATCCAAAACTAAAACAACTGCTCAAAGAAATCAGAGATGACACAAACAAATGGAAAAACATTCCATGCTTATGGAAGAAAGAATCAATATTGTTAATATGGCCATACTGCCCAGAGCAATTTATAGATTCAATGCTATTCCTATAAACTACCATTGAAATTCTTCACAGAACTAGGGAAAACTAGGCCAGGCGTGGTGGCTCACGCCTGTAATCCCAACACTTTGGGAGGCAGAGATGGGCGGATCACAGGGTCATGAGCTCGAGACCAGCTTGGTCAATATGAAGAAACCCCGTCTCTACTAAAAATACAAAAATTAGCCAGGCATGGTGGCATGCACCTGTAGACCCAGCTACTCCGGAGGCTGAGGCAGAAGAATCGCTTGAACTCGGGAGGCGGAGGTTGTAGCGAGCCGAGATCATGACACTGCCCTCCAGCCTGGGTGACAGAGTGAGACTCCATCTCAAAAAAAAAAAAAAAAAAAAAAAAAAAAGAACTAGGGAAAATTATTTTTAAATGTACATGGAACCAAAAAAGAGATCGAATAGCCAAGACAATCCTAAGCAAAAAGAATAAAGCTGGAGGTATCATGCTATCCAACTTCAAACTATACTACAGGCCTATAGTAATCAAAACAGCATAGTACTGGTACGAGAACAAGACACAGACCAATGAAACAGAAGAGAGAACCCAGAAATAAGACCACACACCTACAACTATCTGATATTTGATAAACCTGACAAAAACAAACAATGCAGAAGGGATTCCCTATTCAATAAATGGTTCTGGGAGAACTGGCTAGCAACAGGCAGAAGATTAAAACTGGACCCCTTCCTTCACCATATACGAAAATTAACTCAAGATGGACTAAAGACTTAAATGTGAAACCCACAACTGTAAAAACCCTGGAAGAAAACCTAGGCAATACCATTCAGGACACAGGCATGAGCAAAGATTTCATGACAAAGACACCAAAAGCAATTGCAACAAAAGCAAAAATTGACAAATGGGGTATAATTAAATAAATAGCTTCTGCACAGAAACAGAAAATACCAACAGAGTAAACAGTCAACCTACAGAATGGGAGAAAGTTTTTGCAAACTATACTTCTGACAAAGGTCTAATATCCAGCATCTATAAGAAACTTACATTTACAAGAAAAAAAATCCCATTAAAAAATGGACAAAGGACATGAACAGACACTTTTCAAAAGAAGACATACATGCAGCCAACAACCATATGAAAAAAAGATCACCATCACTGATCATTAGAGAAATGCAAATCAAAACCACAATGAGATACCATCTAACACCAGTCAGAATGGCTATTACTAAAAAGTCAAAAAATAACAGAAGCTGGCAAAGTTGTGGAGAAAAAAGGAATGCTTATATATTGTTGGTGGGAGTGTAAATCAGTCCAGCCATTGTGGAAGACAGTGTGGTATTCCTCAAAGACCTAAAGACAGAAATACCATTTGACCCAGCAATCTCATTACTGGGTATATACCCAAAGGAATATAAATCATTCTATTATAAAGACACATGCATGAATATATTTGTTGCAGCACTATTCACAGTAGCAAAGACATAGAATCAACCTAAATGCCCATTAATTATAGCTTGGTTAAAGAAAATGTGGTACATATATACCATGGAATACTATGTAGCCACAAAAAAGAATGAGATCATGTGCTTTGCAAGGACATTGATGAAGCTGAAGGCCATTATCCTTAGCAAACTAACATGAGAAAAGAAAACCAAATACTGCATGTTCTCACTTATAAGTGGAAGCTAAATGAGGGGAACACACAGACACGTAGACAGGAACAACAGACATTGGGGCCTTTTGATGGGTAGAGGGTAGAAGAATTAAGAGGATCAGGAAAAATAACCAATGAGTACTAGGCTTAATACCTGGGTGACAAAATAATCTGTACAACAAACCCCCATGACATAAGTTTACCTATGTAAAAAACCTGCACTTGTACCCCTGAGCTTAAAAGTTTTAAAAAAGTGGGATTCGATTAAGTAAATTATCATTGATGTGCCTTTCAGCATTCACCACCAAAAGTATTTTATCACCTAGAGATCACCAAGCTACTACCCAATCTAATGGCAAACGCTGGCTCTTTTCATTTCTTACGAACCCTCCATCTCCAACATACTAAACAAGGAAACTTGTCTCTCCAGTCAAACCTCCTTCTTTTCCACATTCACTCTAGTCTTCAGTTGTTCAGCCCTTTCTGGGCTTCCTCCCATTTCATACCTAACAGCAACTCCTTTCTTCATCATTCACTTAATGCTCAAATAAGTATTCTCACTCCTCCCAATCTCTCAACCTTCATTCTTCTCCCATGTTCACATTGAAAATCCCCAGTTCTTGGCAAAGCTATGTATCCACTGCCATCACTTTTGCTTCTGGAAAGTTTAAGAATTCTGTAGAAAATCACATAATTCACACACACACACACACACACACACACACCACTGAGTTCTGTGTCATTTGGTGCTATCACAAATGCTTTATTTCCAACCTTAATTGAGCCTTCAGTACTAATCAACTCATCTTCCATTCATCTCTAGTTAAAATTCTTTTCTGTTCAAAGTTTGACCTCTTGCTATTCTTCTACCTCCATGACTTAGTCACTGATTTCTCAAACAAATCTGAGGACACTTTTACCAAAACCTTTTAAAAATATTCACTCTTCCTTACCTCCCTCCGACATGGTTATTCTTCCTTTTCCCTAGGTATAGTTTCTACACAAGTGACCTTGTCCCAGTCTACTCCTCCTTGAACATCACAAGTTAGTCTCGTCCATTTTTTTCCCATTTCTTAGATGTTCAAAATTCTTCCCATCAACTGACAGATGCATAAGTTTTCTATATAATAAACATCACCTATCTTTTTTTTCCACTTACTGTCAAACTCTTTGAAAAGCTAAGTTTTCTTATGGTTTTGTTTTATATTAGTATTTATTGTTTAATTTTTCTCATGTTTTTGATAAATCTCAATCCACTGACATCTAGATTTTGCCCCAATCACTCTGTCAACACTATTCTCAGTAATGTTATTAGAGGCCTTTATTTTCTGATTTAATCATTTTGACTTAATTATAACATTTTTTGCTGTTCTTGAAATGTTCTTTGGATTTAACTCTTAGGGCATCACTATCTCCTTATTTCTCTCTTATCTTTGTTTCTCCTCAACTGTGGTATGTATTGTTGTTTTTTGCTGTTTTGGTGGCTTTCCTTGACCTGATCATTTATGAAGTGGTATTCTTCAGGGTTCAGTTATTTGTCAACACATATGTCCCCTGCACAAGTGCACATTCATACACACACATAGAAAGGGAGAGAGAGATTCATGTACTAATAGGCCCCAAAATCATCATCTGTCCTGAATAACAGAACTGTATTCTCAGCCACTTTTCTCTATGAAGGCATTTCACACATGGCTCAAACATAACACTTTCCCATTGGCCCTCCATGCCTCCATGTGAACCATATACTTACTATCTACTACTTAACAATTATTTGACTTAAGAGACCCAGAAAACAAATGGCTTATGTATGCCTTATTATACAGGCACGTTTATACAAAAAGATTTCTTTAGAACAACTTCTAACATTTACCTAGAACTGACCATGTGCCTGGGACCTTGTGAAGTGGTTTACAAAGATTGTAGCAAATCTAATCATTACAATAAACCTAAATAGTCCATGTTATTTTTATCTCTATCAAGATGTAGAGATAGACTAAAGAGAAGTTCAGAAATTTGCTGAACAAATAAGTGATGGAGACAGAAAACCCATCCAGCCCAGCTGGTTCAGCGGATGAGATTGCCTCCAGAAGACAATATGGGCAGCTTCATTAAAAACATGGGATGGCAGTGGTATAGCCATTACCTCCTTTGCTCATTGAAAACAATAACAACAATAATAATACCAGATGACATGTACTGAGTGACTGAGTGCTTACAATGAGACAACTGCTGTTTTAAGTGCTTTATAAGCATTAATTCATTTAATCTCCACAATAAAAAGGTATTACTATTACTCCCATTTTACAGATGAGGGAAATGAGGCATATAGGGCTTAAGCATCTTTTTCACTTTTAAGTAGCTTGCAGAAAGTGAACCCAGGCAATCTGATTCAAACCCCCTGTCCTTGACCTCTACATTATATTATTTTACTATATAAACAATTAGTTAAGTTTCTTAAAGTAGCATTGAGTGCTGAGTCCTAGGTACCCCATTCCCGCCTCTCTTACCACCTCACCACCACCACCATGCCACCTGGCTTCATCTTAATAATTAATATTCTTGCTGTTATGATGCTTTTTTTTAAATTTTCTCCCTCCTACCTGCTTTCAGCTTGTTAGTTTTTAACAATGCCTGCAAATGTTTTCTTTCTCAGTTCCAAAAAAATTCTACTACATTCTGGTCTCATCCTGGATAATCTAATTTTACTGATCTTTTTCACAAGCCACACCTCCACCACACCAGCAAAAAAATGAACCACTTAAAACCACTACCACTCTTCCATATGGATTTCTTTTTTTAATTAATTCATTAAATTTATTTATTTACTTATTTTGAGATAGAGTCTTTCTCTGTTGCCTAGGCTGGAATGCAGTGGCGTGATCTCGGCTCACTGCAACCTCTCCCTCCCTGGTTCAAGCAATTCTCCTGCCTCAGCCTCCCAAGTAGCTCAGATTACAGGTGCCCGCCACCACAACCAGCCTTTTTTTTTTTTTTTTTTTTTTTTTTGGTTGAGACCAGGTTTCACCATGTCGGCCAGGCTGGTTTTGAACTCCTGACCTCAAGTGATCCACCTGCCTCAGCCTCCCAAAGTGCTAGAATTACAGGCATGAGCCACTGCACCCAACCTTCCATATAGATTTGTAAGTCGTGAGTAACCACAAAATTTTACTGTTCAAATCAAGAGTTGGTGCTATTACAATTATGTTGGGACTGTGTGTATAAACAGACTGTGCTGAGTAAACTGAGTGGTACAGTCACATCACTTCTGACCCACAGAAGACAACACAGCTGTACTGCCACATTGTCACTGCAGAGATTTCCTTGCTAACAGATTTCCCACTGACAATGATATTATGGTTTCTTCCAATGGCACTGACTATAAAAAAAATTGGAAATTCTGCTGGGATCTATGAATAACAACAAGCACAAAGAAAACAATGTTGCCAAAATTTTAAAACAAAAATTGAAGAATAAAGGAATAAGATTTAAGGTTTTAAGTCTATTATAACCAATGGCAAGTAGACAAAGCTGAATAAAAATGGACTTAAAAGTATTTAATAATATTTCTTTAAATCAGCAGGATTTAAAGAACAGAGACCTTACTTCTTAAAGTCTTTTCAATAAAATCCACAGTATAATCTCATTGAAAACACTCATCTTGTTAAATAAACATTATCTAATGAACAAAGGATTTTCTCAAAATCCTTTCATATCTTGTTATTCTCAAGTATAAATTGAAGCTTTCAACTTGTCTTTATAATGTAACCTCAATCTCAACCCTCTAACCCTTCTCCATAGCACTTAATACTGTTATTCCTGAAACATAAATATTGCTTTGCCAGAGAAGAAGAAGAAAAATGAAGAGGAGTAGGAGGAGAAGAGGAAGAAGAGGAGGAAGAAGAAGAGGAAGGAGAGGAGGAAGAAGAAGAAATCTTTAAGTCCATAGTTTATTAAATTGGTAGGAATCAGGACATAATTTGTATCTATGTAACATATTCCTAGGATTCATTTCTATAGTTATTCAGCTTGAAGCAGTGTTGTGTTTACCTGACACTCAAAAACTGATACTCTTGACACTCAGAGAAAGTTATTTTATAGGTTATGAAAATGATGACTGATGGCTGCCTTATATCCTTGGTTTAAAATAATAACAACATGGATATATGTGAATATCTCTGAAAAATATATTAACAATAAATTTCTACGTTTTGTAGAGGCTAAAAGGTAGAAAAAATTCTTTATGTAACAGGGATTCTAAATGAAATTTTTAATTCCCTCTCTTCCCCCCTTTACTATCTTGTGTCTGTTGTACATTTGAATACGAAGAGCAGAAGAAAAATGGCACAAGCCCAAAGTGAAATTTTGAGGTAAGAAAAGTTTGCGTTGATGGTCCTTTTGCTTCTTGAAAAATAACCTGTTCCACACTGGGGCTCCCAAAACTACATCTATTTCTTCAGAAGAAAGAATCTGTCATCTTTATTTGAATTGTAATAAAAACTTCTTCTAAGAAGCTAGCACTCAGTTTGCATTTACAAATATGAACATTTAAAAAATCTCTAGTTGTGGACTGAAAGGAATTAAAGCACCAAGTTTCAAGCAGTGCTGTGGTTTTTAGAAAAGTCTCTTCTCATTGTTTGCAAACCTGTAGCACTTGGAAGGCTACTCTGCAGCCAGTTCTGCTTTAAAGATTTGGAAGTGATGGGCAGACACAAAGTCAGCAGAGAATGGTAGCTGATCTTTAATCATAGATACATCAGTGATCCCTGGAAAGAAGAAAATGGGGCTGAAGCTTCCAGAAGGTTAGTTCTCAGAAGCAGTAGAGCAAGGTTCACGAGAGCCATCATGAATATCACCCAACTAAGCAAAAATCTGTCCAAATGTCTAGAAAGTGGCTATCTTAAGTCTCAAACCAAGGACTGAGAAACTCAACCCCTTCTGTGCAACCTCCCCTGATCCATTATGTAATCATCTCCTGCTCCAGAACTCTTACCCTACTGTTTTCTATCTCATTATAAAGAGTTTATTTTCAGAACAGAAAGAGACAAAGCAAATGGATATCCTGCTCTAAAATCCATGAAGTTTAATAGGATCAACAGCTAAGGATGGGATGAGCAAGCCAGGTTAGAGGTGGAACACAGGGGAATGTGGCCCTAGAGAACTGTGCGTGGGATAGAGCCCCAGCTGATGGGATATGAGGTCCAGAAACTACGTGTGTCATTGATAGTGGGAGATGGAAAAAATAAACCAAACTGACGACCAATCCTTGAAAATTAACTGTAAAAGAGAAGAGAGGAAAACAGTATTTAGTCTCACAGGTTTAAAAGGATACTCATAATTGGGCCTGGTGTGGTGGCTCATGCCTGGAATCCCAGCACTTTGGGAGGTTGAGGTGAGCAGATCACTTGAGGGCAAGAGTTTGAAACCAGCCTGGCCAACATGGTGAAACCCCATCTCTACTAAAAATAGAAAAATTACCCAGGCATGGTGACACGCACCTGATGTCCCAGCTACTCAGGAGGCTGAGGCAGGAGAGTCGCTGAGGCAGAGGTTGCAGTGACGTGAGATCGTACCACTGCACTCCAGCCTGGGCAACAGAGTGAGACTCCGTCTCAAATAAATAAATAAATAAATAAATAAATATAAAGGATACTAGTAATTGTCCTCTTAATGAGTGCTTTGGATGTGTGCCTAACCAAACACGCTGTGAGGTAATTGTAGTGCATGTCATGAAATTTGTGTTAGATTAGCATTTATTTGCAATTACTTTGATTACAATAATTGCAATCAAATCTGATTGGAGAGGTCTCTTGTGAAAATCCCATCAACACATATTCTGCACCTACCATGTTCAAAGTATTATGCTCAATGCTGAAAACACATTCTCCTCACTTCAGAATGGGGGCTGTCAACCTTGGCACTTTTGAGATATTGAAGTGGAAAATTGTATGAGGCTGTTCTGTACATCATAGGATATTTAGCAGCCTCCCTGGCCTCCATCCACTAAACGCCCATAAGTACACCCCCGTGTCCCCAGTTGTGGCAACTGAAAATATCTGCAGACATTGCCAAATGTCCCCGAAGGGCAAAATCATCCTGGTTGAGAAGTCAGTGCTACAGAGGGATTCTTCACATACCCTGTTCTTAGGTTTCTTACTGCTCTTGCAGCATGGCTGACTTCTTATCATTTTAACACCTCAGCCAGAACTCTGACTATAAACAACAACAGCAAACATTCTTATTGAGTAGGATGCCCAAATTTCAATTCCTGGGCATTTGCAATATGGCTTGTCTCCTACCTGGCATTTACTTTTTTTAAATCCTCATTAAGAAGTTGTAAACACTAAATACATTGCTGTTGGCACTAAAACAATGCTTATACATTCAACAAATACCTAGGAGATAGGAAGTAAGGAAAGGATCACATTATATTAGCCAATTAAATCATCCCTTTCTTAACGAATCAAGTCATCTGTTAGAAAGTAAATGGTACAAAGTAACTGTGTTAAGAGTTATCAATGATCAATTATTTGGAAATAATTCACTCAGAGACCACTAAACAGGTCTGAACAGCCATATTACAAACAGGAAGAGGCTGATTTGCTTTTCTTATAAAATGTTGAGGTTCTAGAGGTATAAAACCCATTAGACTAGACAGAATAATTGTATTCCCATTCGTACAGACTCATTGCAGAGTAGAAAATCAAATCCTTGGGAATCAGATGAAGTATATCATAGCATTCTTAATTATTTGGGATCTAACCAGAATCATTAAAATGGTAAAAACAAAATTATATTTTAAAAGTACAAAAAGAATTTAGTTATGATTATCATCAGCATGGGTTTCTCATCTACACTTCAACAATGAGATTAACACTACATGAAACACTGGTCTAATGCTTTACAAGAAAGAGTTAAACGTCCCTCAAAAGCTTCAGATAATTACCTAAGCCAGAAGCAAGATGTTAGACTAGGCAGACTAATGATCTGATCTAGGATGGTAATTCCCATGGTTCCTAAGGAGCACAAGCATCAATCATTTAATAAATACATGGTTTCCAGTGGACTCCAGAGTGGGTGAAAAAAAATCTCAGCAGTAAGAAAATAGTCCAAATTTTCCTGGTGTATCAATATGTATGTCGCTTAAAGCAAGTCTATTTCTAACATAACACATTTCTAATCTTTCTTTCATATGCTATTATATTAATTAATGCAAGAATCAGTGCCAGAGGGGGAAGTCCCCATAAATGGACAATAAAGTGATGGGTTTTAACAAGATCTCGCAACTCTGCGTTTTGAATAATTATAGGCAAATATCCTTTTTGATCATAACTACTTCATTTCTTTTTAAAAAATTATACTGTAGCTGACTTTTCTACCTTTCCACCTCTCAGATAACTATATCATGGCTTTCAAAACCCATGGTCTCCAGTTATGAAACACCTAAGAAGATTCCACTTGACTCTAAGTAAGCCTCAGTTGGTTAAACAATTATCCAAATCTGAGAGATTTTTAATTTCATTTCTGAATTCTCATATGGTAATTTTTTTCTTTTGTTGTAAAGTTCTATGAAGTTCAACAAATGTATACAGATTCATATAACTACTACCATAATCAGGACAAAAAACAATTCTCTCATCTCCCAAAAGTCCCTTGGGCTACCCCTTACAGTAATACCCTCACCACACCCATATCTCTGGCCACCACTGGTCTTTTTACTGTCTCTATAGTTTTTCCTTTTCCAGAACGCTACGCAGTTGCAATCATACAGGATGTGTAGCCTTTCATACTGGCTTCTCTCACTCTGCATGTCTGAGAATCATCCAAGTTGTTGCATGTATCAATAGTTTGTCCCTTTTTACTTCTCAACACTAGTCCACAGTGTACTTATCCACACTCTTGATGAAGGATATCTGGGTTGTTTCCAGTTTTTGACTGTCACAAATGAAGCTACTATGAATGTTCATTCTTCTAAAAATTTTTGTTGAATATAACTTTTTATTTCTCTAAGGTAAACAACCTGGACCAGGGCTGCCAGGGCGTATGTTAAGTATATATATAACTTTATAAGTAACTGCCAAACTGTTTTCCATAGTGTATGTATACTTTTGCACTCCTACCAGTAAAATTCTCTAAAATTGGGTTATATAATGTGACAGAGGAAGCTGTAATGGTCATAAATGATTTGTTTATTTCTTTTTGTATCTGTGCTAACTATAAAATGTGCTCCATGCTTTTTGGGCTATTACGAAGATCAGAACCACACTCATTAATTCAACAAATATTTGGCGAGAACTATTATGCTGGGAATAGTATTAAATAGAACAAATTTGGCCTCTGGAATATATATATGGAGTGTGTGTGTGTGTGTGTGTGTGTGTGTGTGTGTGTAAAAACAGTAATTTATTATTACCTGAGTAATTTTTCATTCTAAGGATGTATATAGAGTATATTAGCTAAAGATATTTTAGGAGAACTTGGCCTTGTTTTGATCAATTCTAGGTACATCTCATAGGAAGCATAAATAAAAAACATTAACTATGCTATAATTCTGATTTAATAACAATGAAATTACCAAGTGTTCCTGAGAAATTGGTACAAATTAGAAACTAATTAAAATATAATACAAATTTTAATAACTGAACAAGAAACTTTGATTCCAAGATCTAGAAAAAGCAAATTTAGAATGCAGACAGAATGAGAACTATGAAAGGTACTTTAAAATATCAAAATTCTTTTGATAAATGGAGAGAGTATTTGAATGTCATCAATGGCTAACACTCAATTCCCCTCTCTGGCTACACAACCTCACCAAGCTCAATCTCCTCCCCACCTTCTTTCTCTGAAAGTTCACCCTCTTGTCCAGATTCCCAGTATTCCATCTCCTTATTAAGGCTCATTCTAGGATTTTCATTCTCTAATTCCTCTGGATTGATGGGTCACTGCCTCAAGATCATACCTGCAGCTTCCAAGTGGAAGACAATAGCACCCCCCAAGGATTGAATCTCTCCCCAGCTCAGACTACTAGTTTACTGCACCCCAGCCCCTCATTTGGGTCATCCAGAAGAGGAATCTGAGATTAATATCTAACTTGTGATTCGCCAAGGAAGGGAAAATAAGCCAAAACCATTCTGTATGCACTTAACATTGCTTTCTTTGGTAAAATGCAGCCCATTACCTGAAAAGCCTCTGAAATTTGCAGAGAATTAAAAAACCCCATGCTTATATAAAAGGCTGAGTCATTTTCTAAGAGTTAGGCAAGCAACTCAAAGAGTTCAACTGCTAACAAGATTGTTCAGAAATGAAGTCGCCTGAACATAATCAGTCCACCCTAATTGATTGCATACAGTTTTATTACATAACTGATGGTTCTAAACCCCAGCCAATTAGTTTGTCAAACAAAGATTAAATTCTTGACTGGTTTATTCAAGTTAAATTTAGGAAGGATTCACAATAGAACCCACCTTATCCTGGCAGCTGAAAATGTACTCTTTAACAACTAAAATTATTATGGGACTTTCCTATAACCAAAAACAGAAAAAGAGAAAAGTTTCATTGAGATATAAATTTTGAATAACTAAAACATTAACTCTGGGTTGTATTTTATCTAATGCAATTTCCTTTGCTATATAGTTTCCTAATTTTGAGATCTTTTTAAAAAAATTTTCATGGTGAGTATCACTGGTAATGCCATATTCGAAATTATTAAACTAGAATTAAGCAAAAAATTAGCCTATTTGGCCTGACATTGATTCCAAAGAATCTCTTAGGCTGCTTGAGTCATTATTGCCAGTCAATCATTCACAGATGTCACCAACTTCTAATGTTTGGTAAAGAGTTAAGTCTGTCCAAAGATTCTGACATTTATTTCTGAGCATATTCCTCATAGTAGAGCCAAGTCATTTAAAATAATCCTCATTATAAATGCTCATGTTTACATTGCATTTTTAGCATTCCATTAGTTAAATTCCAGTATGATAAAGCAAAATATTTTCCTAAAACTGGGCAGCTAGAGAAATAAATCAATTAACCAGTTTTCATTAAGCACCTGTTATTCATTCAGCCCTATGCAAAGTAAAACAAGATACAAAAGAAGGATTAGAAATAGATATAGGTGAGACACAGAATTCATGATTTCAATGTCCAGGCTAGTGTTAAATATTGCATTGGAAAGATTTTTAGAAACTAATTTTTTCTCCAACTTTATATAAGTTTATATTAGTATTTTATAGTGCAGAAGTCAGCAAAATTTCCATAAGAGACCAAAGAGTAAGAATTTTAGGCTTTGTGGCCAAGAGGAAAAATCAAGGATATTATGTACACACTTATTAAAAGAGAAAATTAATTTCCACATTTTTATTGATAAAATTCAAAAATTATATCATATTAATCATATCTCAAACAATAAAATTTGTGGAAGTAATTACTATGTTTTATTTTATAAGACCTCAATACAGAATAGAGAAGTCATTATACAAGAAAACTACTTGCACACACATGTTTATAGCAGCACAATTCACAATTGCAAAAATATGGAACCAGCCCAAATGCCCATCAATCGAATGGATAAAAATACATATTATTATATATTATATATATTATATGTATAATATATAATATATTATATATATTATACGTATAATATATAATATATTATATATATGTCATGGAATACTACTCAGCCATACAAAGGAATAAATTAGTGGCATTTGCAGTAACCTGGATGGAATTGGAGACTATTATTTTAAGTGAAGTAACTCAGGAATGGAAAGCCAAACATTGTATGATCTCACTCATAAGTGGGAGCTAAGCTATGAGGATGCAAAGGCGTAAGAATTAAACAGTGTATTTTGGCGACTCAGGGGAAAAGATAGGAGGCAGGTGAAAGATAAAAGACTACAAATTGGGTTCAGTGTACACTGCTCGGGTGATGGGTGCACCAAAATCTCACAAATCACCTCTAAAGGACTTACTCATGTAACCAAATACCAACTGTTCCTCCAAATAATGAAATTACCAAGTGTTTCTGAGAAATTGGTACAAATTAGAAACTAATTAAAATATAATACAAATTTTAATAACTGAACAAGAAACTTTGATTCCAAGATCTAGAAAAAGCAAATTTAGAATGCAGACAGAATGAGAACTATGAAAGGTACTTTAAAATATCAAAATTCTTTTGATAAATGGAGAGAGTATTTGAATGTCATCAAATAAGAAATTAAATAATAAATTAATAAATGCACTGTTAAAAGAGAAAGAAAAAGGAATAGATAATTCAAATGTACCAAATTTTTTCTGGGATTCAGAATTATCAGAAATCAATTTTTTTTTTTTTTTTTGCTTGCGGTTACCTTCAATTAAATAGGTGTTAAGCTTTCCTGTAGTTTGTTCTAGATAACAAGGAAACAAAGATAAATGGCCCCCTGCCCTCAAAGCACTAAAATGTAAGAGGAAAAGACAAATAGACAAAGCACAATGATGGCATGTAATGTGTGCTGCAATAAATGTCTGTATACAGAGTGCTCCATAAACATTTATAGAAAGTGCTACATAAACAAAGATGAAGGACTTATGAAAATATTGTTGAAGGTTTATCTAAAAAGGTACATTTCTCCCCTTGTGGTCTTAGTAATAAAAACGCTGGGCCTTCAGAGTGTCTAATTGATTGAGGATCCTTTTGTTGCTTCTGAATGATGGTTCTGATCTGTTTTCATTATATATTAATAGCTTTATAGTGGTGGGTGTTCCAGTAATTTGCTTGAATCAGAAGGGACTGTGAGGATACAGTCAAGAAGTACTTTATTTCTATATTTTTTTTACTAAGTCTATCACAGTGCATTTTCTTTTCTCCTGGCAATTATGATTCTGGTTATTTGAGGGCTCTAGTTAATGGAGAACTTCCCCCTAGCAGTCTCAAGCACTAAAATGAGGATTGACAAAAAACAAACAAACAAAATCCAGATTATTCAATATAATTCCAAGCCAGAAGAAGGAGGGGAATAACTATAATTTTATTATCTTTTTTTAAACCAGTGTGCCATACAGTAGGCAATGAACTACCAAAGCCACATACTTATTATCTAAATTCAGAAGGAAACCAAAGTCTCAAGTCTCCTCTCTCCCAAGGAGGTCTGTTGTAAACTATGACCTAAAATGTAGCAACATGCCTGATTGATGACATATTAAAGAATCTTGCAAACTTTTCTCTTCAAATATCAACTACATGATGACTTCAGCATCTCCCTGTACTACACCAAAAGGATGCAGATGGTACACATTTTGTGTTTTAATTCCTGGAAAGCTCATCTGGAAATAAACATAAATATAAGTCAAGATGCTCTACTGTTTTGGAGGGAATGCAGACCATTCACATTTCTGCTCCAGTGATCCTCATTTGAAGGGTAGCTAGTTTATTTCCAAAAGTCTGTTGCTACCTCAGAGTCACATCAGCCATGCCAATACTGACAGGAGGCACTAATGAGATCAGAATAGCTACATCTTCTATCTTTCTTTATCCTCCCTCTGACAATTTTAGTCAACCAACACCTGTAGAAAGGGAGTTTACTCTGCAATCTCTTCTGGCATGCAATCTATTTTCTAGATTGGTAAATAAAGCATAGACACCCATCAAACGAAAGACAAAACCAGAATAACATATTGCCCAGAGGTACAGAGGCCTCAAGCAACAAGCAGTGTTTATCATACTGCAAAGGAGAGTGGTACCTGAAAAGGAGACCAGAGTCTTGTGATAGAGGTTAGATTACAAAGCACATCAAATGTTATACCAATGAACTGAGATTTTCTTCTATAAGATAAAGGGAAGCCAGTACAAGTTTTATACAGACACTTACATAATCAGATTAACATTTTAGAAAAGAGCACTTCTTTCTGTAGACTGTGGAATTATAGACATTTAGACTAGTAAAAGAAGAACAGTATTTACTGCTATAGCTCAGGTAAAAGCTCACACCAAAGCAGTAGCAAGAAAATTAAGAAGAAAGGATGGATTTAGCAGCTATTAAGAAGAAGAACTTTGCAAGTCTTTGTGACTCTGTGAAGGATGGAACCGAGGGAGGTGCAGTCAAGGGTGACTACTAATTTGGGAGACTGGGTGGAGAGTGTACTGTTGAAAATAAGGCATTCTAAAACAGGTGGAACAGAGATGTTGTCTAGGTAAAATAGTTGGATATTCAGATCTGGAGGTAGTGGATGAAGGGTAAGACTAGGTTAGAGATAGGGATTTGGGATCTTCATCACAGACCTGATAGTTGAAGGCCTGGGCTTTGATAAGATCAGGAGGAGAAAAATTAAGAGGAAAAGGAGAAGGCAGTTAAAGACAAACTTTAGAGAATACTAACATTGGAGGTATAGGTAGAAGAGGATTCAGAGGGAGAATATGAAGAGGAGGCAATGTCTGAGGTAGTGGTGGCTCCCAAACTCCTATTTCAAAAGGACTGAGATCAGCAATGAGGTCAGAAGAGGGCTTGAAGATTTGTTTGCATAGTAGAGTATTTAATCAAATAATTGAGAAAACTCAGTTGTCCATATCAAAGAATGAGGGCTGTTGTGGACATTATGTTCCCAACCCAGCTCCACCTTTCAGTTACTACAGTACCGAGAAGTAGAAGAACCAGGAGAGTGCACTGCCTTGAAAAATCAAAGGAGGATGGGATTTTAAGAACCAGGGAGTGGACTTGGTGTCAAATTCCCCAGAGATCATAAAGTAAGGACAAAATACCAGTCAATTTAGCAATGACTAATGTTTGCCAGTGCAATTTCAGTGAAGTGATGAGGGGAAAAGCCCATGGCAGTGAGGAGAGGGTGAGTAAGAGGTAAGGAAGAGTCAATGTGGGCAGACCTCTTTAAGAAATTTGACTATGAAGCAATGAAGAAGAATATGACAGTAGCTCCAGGGGGATTCTGGGTCAAAGAGCCTCAAAAATAGTTTGACTGCACAAGTAGAGACCCTGTATTAGAGCTACTCCTCAGAACTCCACGATACACCTGCAATGCCAGCAGCACAGATTGATGACTGTTCCTCTCTGGAAAATGTCTCTCCCATAGGGCCCCATTTCCATCTAAAAGTCCACTAAGATTCATTTAGTTGGACCTTAAAGGCTTTTTACTGACAGCAATTTTCTATTAAAGTGCAAACATCCAGTAACAACTGGAAATGAGGCTAGGATAGATGCTTGAAGTAGAAAGGGGAAGTGATAAAGCAAAAGCCAAAAAATAAAAATTAAAAAAAATCTTTGCCTGCTTCATGGTCATGGGCAGAGAAGGGCAATTGTGATTAATCACAGGTGCTGGCTAGCTGAAGTTATTCTTTATGTCTTATATACAGACAGGCATTATACACAGAGTATCAATTTTTAGAATACAAATTCAATTAAATAAACTTAATACTAATTTGGATGAAAATTAAGTCTATTCGGTGATACAGATAGCATTTACAGATATTAAATGCCCCAGGGTAAAACTTATGGAGATCATTTGTAATTTTCCCTAAATGTATAATCATAGAAGTAAAGGAAGGACTTGGGAAAATCAAAGCCTGATAATGATTACTAGGTGACTTTCCTCTCTCGAAATTTTTTCACAATTGAAACAGCTCATTGATACCGTTGCCTGTTGTGTCTGCTGCTGTCTCCATCCCAATTTCTTTCTTCTGATCATAGGTCCACAGGAACAGTGTTGTTGACTTACATATTGAATGCAGTCATTCACAATTTATGCATCTGCAATCTACATATGGCCCTTTATGCATGTAAGAAACTGAAAATAATGCTTCCAACCTGTCTAAGAGATACTGCAGCCCAAGTAGGCCCTTCCTTTCTGCTACAAATTGAAAATCCTTTCCCCACCCTGTCAAGGATAACTTTATATATATATCATCTCTAATTCTCCCATGGTAAAAAAAAAAAAAGGGTAACATGACTAATGAAAGAGGGAGGTGAAAGAGGGAAAGGAGGAGCAGCAGAAGGAGGAGGAACAAGTGGAAGAGGGGTCAGTAAATGCCAAAACTATTTTCCATCCATTGAATCACTGATACTCCACTTCCATCCCTAAACTCTGTCCCATTTTGTCATCTGTCCATTAACACCTTTTCCCTACAGTCCCATCCCAAGCCAAATTCTTGTAATGAAATGTCTAGAAAAGTGTGAATCTGATTCTCCTCTGAAATATTTTGAATTTTACTTTAATTCTCTGGAAAGCCGACGAAGTACCATTAGCTTTTATATGTGAGGTTGCCTTTCTCTAAAGTTGAGCTCAGACCCTGGCTCTGATGATCTGAGATGTGGCAGTGTTGCTATAAGTTGAACTCTCAAAATTATTGCAAAGGATTTGAGAATTCATATGCTAGCCAAGCATTGTGTAAACTGGAAAAATATTAATTTGATGAATAGATTTCTACACTTTTTCTTTCAAATTTGATTATCTGTGTGGTGATTACTAAAACATGTTCACTTAAAAGAATTGCTGAATATATAAGAATTGCTTTATATCAATGTGTATATTTATAATAATCAATAAATAAGAAATCATTGCTACCATGACAGCCTGATAAGTTTGTTGACATTAAGTATGCTGGGGAGTGATTTCCAAATTAAAAATGTGACACTGTCCCAAGAAAGAATGTTGAACTAAAAATGGTATCTGAAAATAAATCCATCAGCATCTTCACTCATCCTTTCTGCTTTCTTTTGCCTCATTTGATGTTCCTATTCCTGCAAAAGGCCCTCTAGCCTACAGGGTGACTTTTTGCAACTGTGAACAAGGCACCTCCAGTATGATGCATCCCATACCAGGTGAACAGAGTACAGGCTGGCCTCATTGGCAAACTCAATTTCTTCCACCTGTGCTCTGAAACCCACATCCTCCCAATTTATCAAGAAATCTTGCTCCCGTACTTTTACTCTAAGTCTACTGACTTATCCTCATGAATATTAAAACATGTCTAAGACCTCCTGGATCTTAACAGATCCTTTCCCCAACTCCAGCTACCACTCTGTCCTTTTTCCTCCAACCTTTCATACTTGCTAGACTTCTTGGTAAAATGTTTTACTCTCACCATCCCTACGTACTCCCACTTACCCCCAACCCATTCCCGTCTGACTTCCAGCCATGCCACTTCTCTGAAACTGCTTGTATCAAGATTATCAATAAAGTCTATATTATCAGATCCAATAATTTCTTCTCAGGACTCATTTTTTCCCTAGTTGAAGGATTTGATACTGTATCATCCCACCCACCTTGGAATGCTTTTATTCTGTGAATTTGGTGACTCTAAAATTACCCTGTATTCCTCCTATATGTCTGTCTACTCCTTCTCAATATGCTTTGTGAGATCGTCCTTGTCTAGTCATTCCTTCAACATTGGGGGGCTCTTATTCTGCACACATAATTTTATTCTGTCCCTGAGCCTTGGTTACATCTACAGGGTGATCCTCAAATCTTTGACCTGTCATGTAAACTTCAGAACTGCATATTTAATTCCTTAAAGGGCATCACCACTTGGATGACTATCATATACCTCATATTCAATATGTCTAAAACTGAATTCTTCAAATCTGCTTCTCCTGCAGGATTCTCCCAGTACATGGCACCACCAGCCACTCAGTTGTTTAAGGAGCAACCTCAAAGTCATCCCTCCCTCCTCCTCTCTTTTCCTCATCTCTTACCTCTAATCAATCAAGAAGTCCAGCTAATTTCACTTCACAAATCTCACTGGAATCCATGTATTTCTCATGTAATCATCCTCATCATTTGCTGCCTCATTATCTCCTATGTCATTATTCTGTACTGAACTTGCTGATTTATCTCTTGTCCCTATCCAATCTATTCTCTGCAACACAGTCAGAATACTCTTTTAAACATGCAGGTCTAATCATGATATTTCCTCATTTAAAATCCTTTATGAATGTGTTACTGCCCTTAGAATCAAGTCCCAACTCCTTAACATGGGTTATTATATATTCTGGGAACTGAGATTTCATGTTCCAATATCATCTTGGTCCATTCTCCAGCCAGGTTGGACTTCTTTTCATTTGTTAAAGATACAACACAGTCTCTAATCTATGGGCTTTTGCACAGATTGTCCCACCATCTCATGTACTTTTTCCAACAACTCTTTCTATACAATGATAACTTGTCTTTCAAATCTCAACCTCCATATCACTTGCTCCAAGAAGATTTCCCTTCTCTCCTAAATCAAATATTGACAAACTATGACCCATAGGGCCAATTTGCCCATGGCTTGTTATGAAACAGCCCTCAGGCTAAGAATGGTTTTAAACTTCTAAAAGGATATTAAAAGAAAAAGAAGAAAAAGAGAAAAAGAACAGGAGGAGAAAGGGAAGAAAGAGCAGGAGAAGGAGAAATGAAGACCATTTATGGCCCTTCTAGCCCAAAACAGTTGCCTTTAAAAACTAAAATATTTACTATCTGACCCTTTTCAGAAAAGTTTGCTAACTCCTGCCTTAGATCATAAGCATAGGTCCCCCTACTACGTGCTCCCTTGATGCCCTGAACTTTCCTGGTTATCACATTTGTGCTTTGTATTACAATCAGTTTTTTAATGTCTCATTTTCACACTAGACTATGAGCTCTTCAAAGTCAAGCACCATGTTCACCTTTATCACACTACATTCCAAGTATGTTGTACCTGGTAGAGTCTCAGTAAACATTTGTTGAATGAACCAAAATGAAAATGAAAACAAATGACAGCTTCCATATTGCTGGTGTCCACAAAAAGGCCATGGAAACACTTCCAGGGGTGTATGACTAGGACAACCACACATCCCCATGTTTTTCAGGGCAGTGATGATTTATTCTTGTTGTCCCAGCAAAATTATTAACTGTTTTCCCTTTCCCTCTCAAGAGTATCTCACTTCGGAGGAAGTTAGGATACTCGGAAAAAGTTCTTAAGCCCAACCCCTGGGAAGATTTTCTAGAGACCATTGTTGCAGAAATGATAGTGATCTTTGTATCAAAAGACAGCACTCTTTCTATGGGAAAAAGAATCATTGTAACACATACTGTTCAGAATCCAGAAAAATATTAGTAAAATGTGTTTATGGAATATTATGATTGAAATAGACTTTTGTTCACTGACGTAAAGGTTTTCCTATGATTTTTAACATGGTCATTGTGTGAAATACATTGCAAATAACCAACTTTTATAAATCCATCTTGAGTTTGGAACAGTCAATATAATTACATTTAATGAATAAATACACAGTAAGTTTTTTTGTGTGTACCTGACATCTATGCTTTAGTCATTTTTTTTTTTTTTTTACATAACTGACAAAACAGATATTCTAGCTAGTCAATGTGCAGGACTGATTTAAAAGGAATTGGCTGGGCACGGTGGCTCATGCCTGTAATCCCAGCACTTTGGGAGGCCGAGGAGGGCGGATCACCTGAAGTCGGGAGATCAAGACCATCCTAGCCAACATGGTGAAACCCCATCTGTACTAAAAATACAAAAAATTAGCCGGGCATGGTGGCGGCTGCCTGTAATCCCAGCTACTCGGGAAGCTGAGGCGGGAGAATTGCTTGACCCCGGGAGGCAGAGGTTCCCGTGAGCCAAGATGGCACCACTGCACTCCAGCCTGAGCGACAGAGCAAGACTCCATCTCAACCAAAAAAAAATTATTTTCAGATATAGAATTGAATTAAAGTTCAGTTTGGGAATCTTCTGGCTCAACATTCCTATTTTATGGATATAAATATGGATGACAAGAGAGGCAAATATTCCTGCAGTGGATAAGGCTCCTTTGAAATCATCAATAGTCCTGGTTGAACATTTTTCCATAAATGTAAATAAAATTAAACATAAAATATCATATTTATATTGCATTCCTTTTTTTAATGACTTTGAAATCACTTTGGAATCTTCACGTCTCAGATTCACCTAACAGAAATCTATATTGTACTTATTTATACATGAATCTTAGCTATCCAATGGAAGATATGAGTTCTACATCTTTTAATTTCCTTTTCACTTCTCTAAATAGTGTTTTGCCACCACTGTTCTGGGACCCAGGCCAAACTCATTAAACATATATATCTATTACTAATAATATATTATTTGAATATGTGTTGAATATACACTCAATACTCAATATAAAATTTGAATACTTATTGAATATATGCAACATATTAGGCAGTAATCTTATGTAATGTTTTTACTCATCACAAAAACCAAATGAGGTAAGCGCCATCTATAAAAATGAGAAGACTGAGGCTAGGAGCAAATAACTTGCCTAGAGATACACAGCTAGTATGTGCAACAGATGGGATCTCAATTCAGATCTTTCTGAGTTGACTATGAACAACAATACTATCATAACCATTTCCTTAGGAGGCTGTATCAGGTACCTCTTGTGTGCTACTTCAAATCTTCTTGGTCTCATCTTTTACTTTAGCCACTGATGAGGCTCCCAGTTCCATGCAGGAGGAAGCTAACAGTGTCCTGCCTTCTGCCCCAGGCCTCTCTGATGTTACTGCATGAGATGAACCACTTAGCATTCATACGTGTGCAACCAAGAAGTGTTGGTGTTGGGGATACTTTAACCAATCAGAGACAGGAACCTGTCCCTTCTCCTTTTTCCCATGGGCAGTGTTGGGATAAATTTCATAAGGATCCTGAGAAAGCCTCACAAGATCAGTATTTCCTGTAGGCATCCTGAGTTGCCTTCCCTCCTTCTTTGTTTCACTAATGCAGTCCCCCACTCCTGTTCCCTGGAACCATCTCCCAAATAAATAACCTATACGCAAGTCTTTGTCCCAGGCTCTGTTTTCAGTGGCATTCAGGACAAGAAGAAGCCATTTCCCTCACCAGCTGAAATCATCTTGTCTCTATCCCTGAGCTTTATGGAACTAATATGCAGCAGCTAATATATTTTATCTGAAGAGGAAATCCCCTGTCTCCGATGGACCTGACTTCTTCATTTCCTGTGAATAGCAGAGCTATCTGCATCTGTAGGGTCTCAGGACCATGTTGAGAATATTTGTCTACCTCTGCTGGAAGCCCTTCTGATTAGTCAGGCTCCTTGAGTTGGAAACATAAGGATTTATAATGAAAAAGAGTCACACAGTAAAAACAGAAAGAATGAAAAGAAAACAAACCAATAAAGAACCTATCCTATCATAACATTTGAGGTTCTGGTATTTGCTGGCTTTGGAGGGAGTTCAAAATAAATGAAAGAAATGTGTATTTTATTAAATGCTAATATTTAGAAGATGTGGTGGAAAAAAGAAAGATAAATGTTTCCAATCATATTTGCAAATATGAGGCATCTCCTACCCCTTTCACAATGGTTAGGTATTTTCCTTGCATTTGAGCAACCTACATGGTTTTGGAAGTAATGCCTGGAACTAGCCAAAAAAATTGTACTAGGAGTAGCATGTGAATCTAACCAACAGAGATTGCACCACATTATGCTCTCAGCCTAGATCACAGTAAAATAATAAGCTTTATCTAGTCGAGTTGTAGCTGCCACCCAACTTCCTCCACAGAAAGGGCCTATTGCTTCTGACTCCACATAGACCAGTCTATAATAAACTCTATCCTTTCCTTGCAACATCTGCTGTCGTTAACATGATCTCTGTTTGTCTTGAAGTATAAATAGGCCCCAAATTTCAAAAGTTCAGAACACACTGAACCGTAACCACATAGCTTCTTCCTTTTCTTCTTGGTAAGAGCCTTATCCCTCTCTTGGGTTTTGGAATTCATTTTAAAAACAACAATGAAATAAAGTGGAGAGGAAGAAGATTTGGAGGGTCAGAAGTACTCAAGGGGGTCAGAAATGAAGACTTCCCTTTGTTTTTGTTTTTAGTATTTTTGTAATAATACAGGTTGACCATGAATTTAAACCATTTCTTGTATACCCTTTTATCCATACTAAAGTGAGGAGTTTATCATCAATATAAGTCAAAAGAAGAAACTAATTTTAATATTGATTATTTTTATTCAGTACTCAAAGTGGTTTACAAGGTTCAGATATACCATTTGTTTTATTTTGCTTGAACAAAACATTTGTAATTAATGCACTTCTTTCAAAAAGAGAAAACAGGTGATTCTTATCTTTCCTCTGATGTAGGGTATTGATAAAGGGCAAAGCACTGAGGCCTGACAGCCCTGTATTACCAGCCTAGCCCTGCGATCAAGCAAATTGACTTCACATCTCTGAAATTCAACTTACTCCTCTAAAACGTGGATGAAATCAGTAATATTTTCATAGTACTGTTAAAGTAGTAGATGCAATAATGCATGTGAAATGTTTGATATGTGTGTTTAATAAATAATAGATAATGATTTTCCAAAGGCATAATTGGATCTTCCAATGTGACTGACAAAGCTTTATGATCCAGTTATCTAACTAAATCAGATATAGACGGAAATCAGTTTCATATGTATCTCCAGCTGAGAGGTTAAAACAGATAAAATGATTAGAAGAGTATCTAGCAGGTTGTAAACACTTGATAAATGTTAGCTATTCATCACTATCATTATTAATATATCATTAATAATGTATAATTATTCATATTATTGTAATCAGTTTACTGAATGGCCTGGGCTCAGCAGGTGCAAGAGAGGAAATTTAGTCTTTCTAACCAATTCGTATTTAACTCATACTGTCAAATGATTTTTCTTAGATCCTGGATAAAACTCTAAGCAGATGACATAACTTTTTTGAATACTTTCAAATATGAAAAATTCCAGTGCAATCTAATGCAATCTCAAATCCTTTTGAAAATTTCTTCCTTCCCTCAGCCCAAGCCTGCCTCAGGCTGGAAAATCTGTGATGGGGAAAAAAAGTTTGGTTGGCTTTGGATCATTTTCCTTGACTCCTCCTCCTCTACTCACTATGAAGCCTCTGGTTCTCCAGGGTTGAGCATAGGGCCTGGAGTTGAGAGAGGGAAGGGCAATGTAAGACAGAAAAGATCTGCCGTGAGTAAGAACATTGATAATCTAGCTTTGATTTTTGCAGATTTATATCTAGCTTTGATTTTTTGTGAGTTTTGCAGATATCTGAAACTGACTCCTTTTGGAGTCAGGCCCTTCTGCAGGTTCTGCAGAGATTTACACTCAAGATATGCAGCTGCTTGCCTGGCATGGACAATACCTGTTCCTTCTGGCTATTTAAGATTTCTCTGGTAGACTCTAGTGTCCAAGTTCAACCCTGCACTTGAGGTCACCTCACTCCTCTTGTATGGGTCTCTGTTAAAATGAGCCATGATACACTCCCCTAACAGACACATATCTGGTCTACAGTTGGCCAGGTATCTTTGCTCAGAAAGCTGAGCAAAGTGGAACCCTCTTTAGCACAACTAGTCTCTCACCTGTAGACTCTTCTTCTTCAGGAATTGCATCAGACAATTCCTGTCTATCTGTAAACTCCTTAGTGGTGCTTTAAAGAAAAATTCATTGGTGTGAGATATGAGGGCAAGCACTATGCTCTTCCTCATCATAGAAGAGATGAAGAATTCATAACACATTGAGAAAAAAAAATTGGCCAGGAACAGTGGCTCAGGCCTGTAATCCCAGCACTTTGGGAGGCCGAGGTGGGCGAATCACGAGATCAGGAGTTCGAGACCAGCCTGGCCAATATAGTGAAACCCCATCTCTATGAAAAATACAAAAATTAGCCAGGTGTGGTGGCACACGCCAGTAGTTCCACCTACTCGGGAGGCTGAGGCAGGAGAGTTGCTTGAACCCAGGAGGCGAAGGTTGCAGTGAGCTGAGATCGTGCCATTGCACTCTAGCCTGGGTGACAGAGTGAGACTCCATTTCAAAAAAAAAAAATTGTCTACAGATGATTCTCATAACAGTCCTCTTCTACCTTCCAATGAACACTCACCTTTCTTACATACCATGGAAGTGCATGACGGGCCAGATGAGCAGAAGCCACACTAAGTTTTAACCACTTCCTTTGCAAGATCATTATAAGTGGTCTTAGTTTACACTGTCCAACACAGTAGCCACTTACCGTATATGGCTATGTAAATTTAAATTTTAATAAAAATAAAATAAATGATTCAGTTCCTCGATCTCATTAGTCCTATTTCACATGCTCAATACCTACCTGTGGCTAGCAGGCTACCATATTGGATAGAACCAATATAGAACGTTCCATCACTGTAAAAAGATACACAGGCAGAGCCAGAACTCTGGAACCTCACTTCAGAAGGTGAATGTTTTGTTATCTATTTTTTTGTTCCCAGATCTTCTCAGATCTTGGGCCCTCTGTTGAAGTTTCAATACCAGAGGAAAAAAATCACATTTACCAATCTGTTACATAGTAAGTAAAGTTTTAGCATCTGAGTTCTGGCTAGGAATATGTCTGAACACATGAATACAAGACCATTTTCACAATTATTTCCAATATTTTATTGGAATTTTCACAAATTCCAATAAAATATTGGAAATAATTAATTAGAATTATTAAGATTGAGCCTTAAGTCTAAAAAAAGTCCACTCCGGCAGAGTAACCATCTCCATCCTTCCTAACCCCATGACGGAACACAGAAGAGCCTCTACCAAAGCTAGTCTCCTTTATACTTGTGGTCTTTCCTAGTTTAGGAATTGTCTCTCTTTTTTTTCTGAAAGCAACTTCCAAAACTAGGCAGAACAGTTATTATCATGCCCATTTTTCCAATGAGGAAATGGACTCAGGGAGCATAAATGAACTTGCCCAAGTTTACAGAGCCAGTAACTGGGAAAGTCAGGTATTCCCAACTCCCCTCCTTCATTATGCTTCTTCCTGAAAAGCAGGAAAAATTCAAAATATAAATTCCTTCTAACATGCAGAGAAAGCAGGAATTCAAAATTGAACCACTGTCAAAGGCCACCGCAATTTTGATTTATCACTCATGTATATTCTTCCAGATACCTAGTATGCCTAGAATTAAAATTAAAGGCTATTTTATTAGCAAAGTATTGAGAACAACCTGGTCTGATGAAGACCATGAAACACACACTAGAGCCTTTCCATGTCCCTGAACAAAATTGGGAAATGGGTTTTGGTCTTTTTGAGCACATTTCTGCTTTGTCTTTTTGTATCTTCATGTCATTTACTCAACAACATTAACAGAGTCAGTGCCCACCACTTGGGAGGACATGGGAAGAAATGTAGCACCTACTAGAAAGAGACATTTAAACACAGATTAGGGTGAGGAATGTCACCGACACTGATACTCATCTACACAGAGGAGCTGTTTGTTCATGTTTTTGTAACCAGGCTTAACAAAGAAGAAAAATAAGAAGAAATGCATAGGAATGAGAAACAGCAAATTCAAGACAGTTATATCTGAGAAAGGACAGGGAAGGAAATTCAAATGGAGTCCGGAAGCCCAGAGTCCAGAAGTCCAAACTGTCTTCAGAAGTTGGGAAAGTTTTACTTCTAGAGATGGATACTGGCTATGTGGGTGTTCATTATACTATTAAAAAGTGGAATTCTTCAAAATCAATTTTAAAAAAATTTAAAAAGTTACTAAAGGCACATTTGCTAAAACAGATTATTTCTGCAGTTCTTTTGGTCTCATTTGTTGAAAGAAAATTGTACTTGTAGTGTTTGAAGTATTTTTGTATAATAAGGCCAAGAGAAGACCAAAAGCTAGAATGTTCTGTGAATAAGGCTGGCTTTGCCTAGATGTACTAATAAAAGAGAGATGTGAAATTAAAATAATATTCATTTAGCTTAACCCCAGCCTTCATATGAGTCATTAGCACACTCTTGATCTAGGTGGAGGAGCTAAGGGGACATAAATCAATTATCTGAAAATATTACAAAAGCATTATCAACTTTAAAAAGCTTTCAAAATTGTAAATACACAAATGTAATACAATGGTTTAGGTTCATTAATAGGCAGAGGCACCAAGAAGGGGTGCCCATTCTCACTTCAGGGTCACAAAAGGCTTCATAGAGTCCCTCCCTTAGTGGGCCTTAAGTGCTGATTAGAGTCCTGCGTGTTGTGTAGCCACTGCTTGGCTGCCCCACATGTCTTTGCTCCCCTTTCTTCTGGTTATGGATCCTGACCTCTGGCCACAAGAGTATATGTATAACTGAGTTCCAGCCAGTCATATTCCCTTATTCCATTGGACTCAGGGATTGGTCCTGAAGTGGGTGTAACAGCCAAAGAGAATTTATCAGTATTTCCCTGGGCCTGATATATAGACATCAGGAGAAAAAAATTCTTTGTCACCTGAGATGACTAAACTGGGTTTACTGAGGCAGTACCATCACCCCCCTCCAACCACATGTAGGATAAGCCCTTTGACAGCAGAAGGAAATAAGGCCAAGAGTCATAAGGAGCAGAGGCAAGCAGAAAAGAAAAAGAGAGAGGGCAAATAGCATTGAACCCTTGACACTAATCCTGGTAGTCCAAGGCCATGGTTCTTCCAGCTCCTTCTTCAACTGTGTTAGGTGTTGCACTATCCTTCCCAGAGGCACAAGCCAAATACTTATGTGTTGCTTAAGGTTCTTAGAGTTGTGACTCTCTTCCTTGTCCTGATTAATGCAGTCACTAACTACATTACGACATTCCAGTCAACAATGGACTCCAATGGCTCACGCCTGTAATCCCAACATTTTGGGAGGCCAAGGCAGGCGGATCACTTGAGGTCAAGAGTTCGAGAACAGCCTGGCCAACATGGCAAAACCCTGTCTTTACTAAAAAAACAAAAATTAGCTGGGCATGGTGGTGTGTGCCTGTAATCCCAGCTACTCAGGAGGCTGAGGGAGAAGGATTTCTTGAACCCAGGAGGCAGAGATTGCAGTGAGCTGAGATCATGCCACTGCATTCCAGTCTGGGGGTCGAGAGCAAAACTCTGTCTCAAAAAAAAAAAAAATGGACTGCATATATGATGATGGTCCCAAAAGATTAAAATACTGTAATTTTATAATACTATATTTACTGTGTTCTATGTTTAGATAAACAAATATCATTGTGTTATAGTTGCCTACAGTATTCAGTACAGTAATATGCTGTGGTGCAGGTTTGTAACCCAGGAGCAATAGCTATGCCATATAGCCCAGGTTTGGAGCAGGCTGCACCATCTAGGTTTGCCTAAGTACACTGTATGATGCTAACACAATGATTAAATAATCTAATGACACACTCCTCAGAACATATCACCATTGTTAAGCAACATATGACTGTATTTTGAGTAAGCAATCCGTCAATAGGCAGGGAAAGGAAGGAGACACTGGGAAGAGAGTGGAAGGGACACAGGCATGAAGGTATGAAATAGTGTTAGAGAAGAAGGTAGCCTGAGTTCAAAAAGATGGATCTCTTAAAAAATAAAGCCAGTGACGTAGGCAAAGGCCAAGCCAAGAAGACCTTGTTTTGCCTTGACCCTCATCACAAGTATCTTCCACTTGAGTCTCATTTCCAAAAGGCCTTTCTCTCAACACAGTATTCCAGCATAGACACCTTTGGCTAAGGAAGCCTTGCTAAATGGTTTTATTCTAATGGTTAACAACTTTTGCTTCATCTCAGATCACTGACATTTTCATAATGGTCTGCTCAAGACAAAACAATTTTTTAATATACGTAATGGATCAATCTTTTCTGTTGGAACTTAAGGCCTGAGGGCAGGTGAGCTGATTAGACATTGCAGGGGAAAAAGCACTTCCCTTATCCCTTCAAATCATGCCCTGTGGACCACGGTTTACTAGGCCTACAAGCCAGTCTTACTTTCTCTCTCTGACTGCTCTTTCACTGTGTCCAATTTGCCACATTATCCCAATGAGGGGTGGCGTTCTCCTGTGTCCTAGAAACCTTAAGCACACTTATTCTATCATGATTATTTCTCCTGGGAAAAGAAAATGTGGAAAATGTGTCTTACGTTTCAACTAAATCACAAAATACTGTCACAGCCTATAAATGTGAGTTGTCACTATTGCGTAGGAGGTATAATTTCTAAAGGGTACATAGAAATATTTAGAATTCCTTTTCATTGTATCTACTTCAAGTTTAAGCAATCAGGATATTACTGATGAGATCTGAAGTTGGGCACAGAGAGATTATACCACTATACTATGTCACATTCATTAAATAACTTGTACTATTTGTTATCTGATCTATAGATAAATAGAGATGGTCTCAATGAAAGTGATTTATGATATTTCCAGTTTCTTTCACATAAAATGGAATAACTATAAATGGAGATATAATCAAATAAAAAAGCATGGAAATGACATTTAAATTTGATAATGCAATTTGATGTGATCATATGTGCAAGTATACTGCATCAAGACAAAAGGAAATACCAGAGCAATCATCATGCGTTCAGAGTTTATTTCACATTTATGTTGTAAGAAATTATCATTTAAGTACCTATAATATGGCACAGGGGTTATATATTTTTGTACTTAAACTGTTTTGATATTTCATGGCTTTATTTAATTCAGAATATAGTCCACACAGGCTTGGGAACAACATCCTAGCTGGCTAGGATGTCTGGATACTAATATATTAACATGACAGCTTCATGAAAATATACAAGAAACAGCCAATTTTAAGTGCATATATAAATATATTTAGTTTGAATATCAACTATTAAAGCTTCTAAAACAAGCAGTGTAGTATAATAAAGAGTGTGCCAAATTAAGAGTTAGATCATGTTTAAGACAATTTTTTTTTTCTTGAGACAGGGTCTCACTCTGTTGCTCAGGCTAGAGTGCAGTGGCACAATCACGGCTCACTGCAGCCTTGACCTCCTGGGCTCCAGCAATCCTCTCACCTCAGGTAGGCAATCCTTCTTATGGTCAAAAAGGAAATCACTTAGTACAGGGTTTCTCACCCTTGCCTATTGACATTTTGTACTGGATGATTATCGGTTGAAAGGTGCTATACTGTGCATTGTAGGATGTTTTACAGCCTTCCTGGTCTCTACCCACTACATGCCAGTAGCACCCCTCCAGTTGGGACAAACAAAAATGTCATCAAATACTGCCAAACTTCCCCTGGCAGCAAAATTAATCATTGACAGCCTCTCCCCACATTGAGAAACACTGACTTGGAGAGGTTTTATGAGACCCCAAATGTGTTACTGTTTTTATAAGTTGTAAATTATCTTACAAATATGTTATCTCTTTATACAATGACTAATTTTCCAATCTATAATTTGACAAATTATATTATATATTGTACAATAAATGGCACTGCTTTCTAATAGCAAAAACTTTATTATGCTGTTGGCAAAATTTATAAACAAAGCAAGGTCTGGCAGCTCTTCAAAAACAGGATCATTCTTTATTCACATTTTTTTAGCCCCAGCACCTAATACATTTCCTGACATATATGCCATGTCTCCATAAATCTTTTGTGAATGAAAAAGAAAGTCTTAAAAGAGATTTTACTATGCATATTTTTAAGAATGCTTTAACTTTAATAGGTACCAATGAATTACACATAGTTGGCAGTCTAACCACTAAAAAAGCTTTCAGATGTGTGTGCATGGAGGCAGGGTAAAGGGGGCACATTGCAAAATGGCAAAAAATATCCTAAATCAATTCTATTATCCATTATGCTTTTCTATCTTGTGTGAAATATTTTCAAAATTTCAGAAAATTAACAAAATCTTCACTGCTACCAGAGTAATCAACATCACCACCATGGATCACTGAGATAGAACTGCTAATTCAGCTCTCTCTTACCCACTCTTGCAAACCTTCCAGAGTTTTAAAAATGAGAAGTAAGTTATATCAGTCTCCTCTGCAAAGAAAAAAGGAAAATCTCATTTTCTTCAAATGTCCCACAGGGCTCCTCAGGAACCAACTCTCATCCACATATCCAGCCTCATCTCAGGCTGCTCATTTGCACGGCACCCTTGTTCAGTCCCTACAGCCTGCTTTCCTCCAGTGCCCAGGCTCTTTCTTACTTGGGGTTTCCACACAGACTGCTCACTCAGCTGTGAGTGGAAGTGGAAAGCGTTTCCCTCCATGCTTTTTCTGGCCAACTCTTACTCAATTTTGGTTTCAGTTTAAACGCACTTCCAAGAGCCACCTGCCTTGACAACTCACATTGTCCCCACCACCACTATTCTAAATTTTGATGCACTTATAGCACTCCTATTTTTTTTTCATTATATAGCATTTATCATATTTAGGATATTATTCATATATACCTATTTACCTATTTATAATTATACATTTGTGTGTGTATGTATATGTGTGTGTGTGTGTGTGTGTGTGTGTGTGTGTGTATATATATACAATTTATCTCTTTTTGTTGATTCTCCCTAATAAGAAATGAGGGCAGAGATTATGTCATTTTGTACATACAGCATTTATTACAATACTTGGCATACAGTAAATGCCCAATAAGTATCTGTTGAAGAAATGAGTTAATAAATGAGTAAATGTCACATTGACTTTATGAAGGAAAAGATCTGGCAGCAAAGGTAGCAATTTTAGGATAGAAAGGAAATGATAACATGGGTAAGGGAAGTATTTGAGGGTCAATAAGGCTCTGGGGGAACCAATTCCTCAAATCACACTGTATCTGTAACTATTTCCTCCATCAGTGCACAAGAATGGCACACTGTTCCAATAATGGAACACTGGGCACATGGGAGTTATTTATATCCTACTGCTTAAGGTCATGGCCAAGGTCTGATTTTGCAATTCAAAAAATTGCAACCTCCAGCATAAATGGGTTATCTTTACCACACCAATATTCTTGGTAATAAACTTACATTTATGTTCTTTCTTTACCAATATTATTAACAATAACCCACTATTATTGGTATATTAGTATTAGTATATTATTGATAATATACCTATATTATTATATTATTAATATACCAATAATAATATATTAATATGCCAATAATAATAATATCTCAATATAATTGGTAAAGAAGAGAGAAATAAAATAAGGCTTCTCTACCATATTATTTCACCTATCACTTTATTCCAGATAATTTATATCTAGCTGCAATTTATCTCCAAAGCTCTAATTCCAAAGATTTCAACACCACCAATTTAATATCTGAATTGCTCCTCTCTCATATAGTGGGTACCCCAAACTCACTAAAGGCAAAGCTTAAGCAACCATCCTCTTCTTTCCTACTCCCCCATATCTGCTACTGGAACTTCCATTCCCAAAGATATCCTGACTACGGACAATGGTGTCACTGTTGACACCCTCTCCACAGTCCCCAAAGTCAGGAGTAAGCAAACTCTATTTCCTCTCTTTTGTATTTCTTTGATCTGTACCATCCTCTCCATTCTGGCTGCCATCAATCTCCTCCCAGTCCTCAATCAATTTCTTCTCAATTTGAACAATTGAAACAGTGTCTTAACAAGTCTTTCCATTTGGTCCATGCTCCAACCCATTCTTCACCCTGCTTCCTGCTGCCTCATTAATCTTTCAAAGTTCAGCTTCCTGCAGGCTCCTCCTCTATTCTGAAATCTTCAAAGCCTGCTCAGTGGTTACTGAAGTAAACAGAAGTACTTTAGTCAGACATTGAAGGCTCTCCAAAAATATGTCTCCACCCTTCTTTTCTTCTCGGCATGCTTTCCACATTGCATCCAAATGAAAATACCCCACACCTTGTAATATCCGAGCTCTTTACTCATGCCCGCCCTCAGTGTGGAGGGTCCTTTTCTCCTTCTGCCAAAATCCCACTAACTTGGAGCTCTCAGAGTACAGATTATACATTTCTAGGTGCTTATCTTACATTGCTTTATATTACAGTTGGTTACTTGGATTTTCCTTCTTACTGAATTGTTATTTCTTTGAGGTTCAAGGTTGCGTCTCACTTATGTCTAAACTCCCCAGAAAGCTTATATAAACGAAAGTTTGCACATTAAGAAAAAGCATGGGCCCTGAATTCAGATGGACTTGAATGCAAAGCCTGGCTTTATCACTTGATATAAAAAAGCAAAGGCCCTAAACTCTGTGAGCATTGGTTTCATCATATTTAGAATTGATTAACCAGAGGCTTATTTTCCAAGTTATTGTAAAGACCTGATCCGTAAAGCATATAACACAATGCAGGCATGCAAGAGGCACCCAGTAAATGGGAGCTATTGGAATAGTAGTAACTATTACCACATTGTAATATATAATCAATATATATTGGTTAAATTAAACTAAAATTAACATAATAAATCTTTCCTGCCCTCCAGGAGGATATAATCTAATTGGGGAAAGCCACATGCTAATGTAATTAACCATTCTAAGTAAAATGTAACATGAATGAATGGAATCAGCTGTAAGTTCCAAGGTTATGTGAAGAGAAAGACTGACTTCCTCTCAGGGTGGAGAAGACGTCCCATGAAAAAAACACAGGACCTCTGCAAAGTCTCCTGCAACAGGGAACCACCACAGAAATAGGCCTGCTCTGAACAATAAAGGGTCATTCTCATTTGTTTTCATTTTTGTTTTCAAATTAGGCATGTTTTAAATGAGTCATTAATCATGTACTTACTTCACTAATTACTCATTTCTTTTCTAGCTAATTTTTTATTGAAAGGCATCCTAAAACAGGGAGAAAAGATATTGTCTTGAAAAAGAGAATAAAAGTCTGCTCAGAATCACATCTCAGTTTTTTCTCTAAGACCAAGTGTCAGAATCTGATGTGATAGTCTATATGATCTTAAAGGTGTCCTTTTGCTCTTGGGACCTCTGTGATGTCAGCTCCAACATGGAAAATACAGGAAACAGCTAGGAAAGACTGTAGTGATGAGTCCCATTTTCAACAGATTCCAAGTGCACACATATGGTCAGTCTAAATAGCTTTCTCCTTAACACAAACAGAGAAAACCTTGTTAGTGCTCAACCTCCTGCACTATTCATTCCCCAACATGCGTGATCCTGTTTGGAGTTGGGAATGTAGGGAATCTGGCCTTTCTAATTACCTGGGTACTGTCACACAGATCAATGTCAGAGTATATACCATAAGACTATTGACTATTGAAGAACAATTCATGGTAAGTAAAGTAATTTTAAGAAAGCTGGGAAAATGAATTATTGAAAATTTCAAAGTGTGATAACACAACTAACTCCAAAACAGGAAGTGAAAACAAGATTAAAATAAAAATTGATGGTGAAATGTTATTTTGGACTAGTTATGTGTGGGTTACCAAGAGTGATTTAAGATATTTTCTTTCCTCTTTCTCCATCTCTCTCAAAAGGAGAAAGGCGAAAGAAAACATCTTAAATCACCAGGTCTGGGCTTTCCAGATGTAATTCCAGAAAGAGAGAAAGACAGAGAGAGAGTTTGGGTACATAGAATGGTACCCCAAAGTATGGTATGATGCTTTGGCATACTGAGCACTTTTGAATTAAAATAAATTGAAAAGCCTTAGAAACTGCCTCAGAACCAGGGACTTTCTAAGCTTCTCTTATTTCTACCACCTCCCCAACAAGTGTAGAAAGGTATTTGCTCTGGTATCTGAGTGAAGAAACCTTCTTCCAAAAGAAATGCAATTGTCTTAAGATCCCCTTTCTAAGAATCTTATCAACTAATCAGGAAAAATTAACCACCAGAGAAGAGACTAAAAATTGTCATATGCCCACAAAACCTTTTCACCTATTCTTCTGAGGGCAGCTGCAAAAGATTACCTGAGAGACTGTATCTGCATAATAAGACAACCTATGTTCACAGTGTACTTTCTCCCCTCACCTTCTTATAACTTGTCCAAAGACTATTGTTTGTCCTTAGGTCCCATTCAGTGTTCAAAGGGAGTGATTTGCAAACAATTATCTAGTCTTTGAGACCACGTACTCCCCCTAGAAATCATTTACTACTCCTCTAAACTGCCTATAGCCCCTCATACCACTCTTTCCTATAAAGAAGGTATTTAAGCCATAATCATCTGGCCCTTCTTTGAATCTGATATTCTCTATGGCTCCCACTCTTACACACATTAATAAATTTGCATGCCGTTTGTCCTGTTGATCTATTTATTGTCAGCTCACCTCAGTAGACTGGAGCCTTCAGAGGAGGAAGAAAAAATCTCTGCACTCTACTATTACTATCTATCTATCTATCCATCTATCTAATCTATCTATATCTTGAAATCTTGGAATCACTGTGTATGTTAGTCTGAATAATGACCCTAAGATGGCCATGTCCTAAACATCAGTATCTATGAATGTTATCTTATATAGAAAAGGGGACTTTGCAGACATAATTAAGTTAAGGATCTTGAGTGAGGAGTGTATCATGGATTATCTAGTTGGTAAATGTAATCACAAGTGTCCTTATAAGAAGGAGTCCTAGGGATATTTGACTACAGTAAACGAGAAGGCAATACAATCACAGAGACAGAAATTAAAGTGATGCAGTGACCATGCTAACAGCAAGGGGTGAACTAGATAGCAAAAAATTTTAATCATGCAGTGAAGGAAGTTAGGACAACCCCTAGCTGTGAGGTTATAGGAAGAAAAGGGTCAAAGAGAGGAACTACTACAAATGCACCTTTATGCCATGTGGCTCAGATCTTCTTGGTTGGAGCTTTTAGTAATAAAAAAGTTAAAGTAGGTCCAGAAATAAGGAGAAGCTGTTCAAAATGAGTCAGGCTGCTGGAAAACAGAGGGGGGTTCCTGTGATCCCTCTGTGTCCCTGCAGTGGGAAGGACCCTCGCCCCAGGCTGGTGAAGGTGCCTAGCTGTGTGACATGATTGGCATCCCCAGTGTGGGACCATGTAAAACCTACGTATCTGGAATAAGGCCTCTGGATCTTTTTTAAACAGGACTGAACAATTGCTCCTTGTTTTGAAAAACTTTTCTGTTGCTGTTGGTATTTTCATGTCCAAGGCAAACAGAGAGTCATGTGGATGCTCAGAAATTGAAACCTTGCCCCTGTTTTGGAAGAGATGTGTTTCAGCCTGTCCTTCAAAGGGATTTCTCACCATGCAACCTATTATGTTCATATTTTATTTGGAAAAATGGAGAGAAAGAGAAGAGGAAATGCAAAGAAGAAGGAAAGGAAACAGAAGTATGGGAGCAAGAAAGTCCAAGAAAGAAAGAGACCATCGGGTGCTTGTGCATGACTGTCTTTCATATGGAATTAATGGTGGTTTAATGGGGTATGAAAGGATGTTTTACTGGAAACAACGAGGAACAATTGTCTAGCTCACGTTTCATTTCACAGGTCATTATTGCATTAAGAAGTAAATCGACCAAGTCTGGTAAATAACAGTCTGTGTATTGCCGAGAGCTTCAAACCAACAATTTTAGCCATCACAAACTAATATCTCTGTCATTTTAACCCTTGCAGGGTTGTGCTAGGGGGCTAAACAATTACAGTCTTCACCCAGTTCTAGAAGGTGAGCATAATTCATTGCCCTTCTAGTCCCTTCTTTTGCAAAACCCAGGAGGCCATATTTTAGCATTGTTGTTTTGTTGATGAGCCAGCCTTAGCCAAATGCAGCTCTGGTGGCCTTGAAAAACAACCCCCATTTTAGTGAGTGCTGCAGGCATCTTTAAACACACTGCTTCCTCTGCAAAATTAATTGCTGCAAAATGCAGTGCTCCCTCATCTAAGCTTTTGCAAGCTCAAACTCAGCTATTTGGGTAGGTCATAGATGTGTCTGAGAGATCCAGGGTAAATGAGCTGCTTTTCTTTATTATAGAAGTTCACGTTCATGTCACCAAACATTATCAGGCACTGGACATACAGGAGTTTCTAATGCTTAAATTCCGGTTCCATTAACTCAGGGGCAATTGGTGGATGAGGCCAATCCTGGCCGTATTTTGAAGCAGTTGTGTAGTAAATAAACACATCAAAGAGAGTTTATTGTAAACAATCATACTTAAAATACATATGGTAAAATAAAGTGCATATTAAAATAAAATTTTCTTGCTTCAACTTGGGACAAAAATGTCAAAGACAAACCAGGCTATACTGGCCCCGCAGGAACTGGTCTTAATCACCTCTTTTCTGCCATCCTATCCATCCTTTTACATCTCTTGGTATACCCCACATGAACTGACCTCTGTTCCCTCTAAGTTCCCATTACCGCTTCATCCCCCTCCAGCTTCCTGGGCCAGCCCCATATGAACTGTCAACATTTCCTCATAATTTTTCAATCAAAAACTGATGTTTATCCTACAGAGTGGATATGGAATTCTCCACACTTCCACAGTACCTCTAAAATGTGGTAAGTAAGGTCTAATTTCTTTCTTGAAAGAGAAAAAATCTTGCAGAGATGGCATCAGTATTCCAATGTCTTACTTTTTTTATTTCAACTAAGACTAAGGTCTTACAAATAACTATGGTGTGCTGAATAATAGCCTCCCTAGGATGCTTATGCCCTAATCCTGATTATGTGAATATGGCAAGGGACTTTGAAGATATTATTAAGTGTATAGATCTTAAAGTAGGAAGACTATCCTGGACTATAAACCTTAGAAGCAGAGAACTTTCTCTGGCTAGAATTAGAGAGTTGTAGTAAAGGAGAAGGCGGGAGAGATTCAAAGCATGAGAGGCACACAATTAGCTATTGCTGATTTTGAAGATGAAGACAGCCGCAAGTCAGGGAATGCAGGCAGCCCTAGAAGTTGAGCATGAAGCCTGGCCTACAGTGAACAAGGACACAGCAACCATAACTGAGCAGCTTAGCAGCTGAGCCTCAAACTGCATTTTAAACTTTTTTTTCTTATTTTCCTTTTCCTCTTTTCTCTTCCAGTCTCGGGATAAAATTTTGAGACAAACTGCATATGTTACTGATGGAAGGTATCCGAGTTACCAGCAGTAAATCTGTGTGGGTCCGCAGCAACCTCAATTTCTGCCTCCTCAGATGAAAGAACTTGACAGAGGGATATAAGGCAGAAAAAGAGACCGAGACAAGTTTCAGAGCAGGTGAGGAAGTATATTTTAAAAGGCTTTGGAACAGGAGAGAAAGGAAAGTACGCTTGATAGAGATCCAAGTGGGTGACTTGAAGAACAAGTGTGGTGTTTCACTGTTAACTGTGATACTAGGACTTTACAGGGTGGCCCCCTTCTGGCGTCTTTAAACCCCTTCTCATGATTCTTCCCTTAGGGTGGTCTGCCCACATATGCAGTGCCCTCCTTACCCTTGGGAGGTGAGCATGCACAGTGTGTTAAGGAAACTGTATGCATGCCCATCTGAGGCTTTCTTCCCTTTGCTGCTGGTGTGCCCCTGGAAAGGCAAACTCTGCCATTTTTGTCTCTTAGTGCATATGCCCAGGAAGTTGCTTCTTCCTGGCGTCTCCATTCAATTAACACTTCAGTGCAACAGGTGTGGCCCATCAGGAAATGGCCTCTTCCTGGCACCATCTGCCAATCTGTCACTTTTAGGGAGGCAATGTGATAATTGCCAAACCATCACTCAACATTCCTAGTGGGTAGGGGAGAGCCCTCTTCTGCCCTACTCTATGCCTGTCTAACAACCTATAACACATCTATGTAACCTCTCATATTAAAATACAGCCTCAGTATGTGCTGTGAATCTCAATTCCTTTTCCTTCTCCATACAATACTCCCATGCCTTATGCACATTTATTTACCTAAATGCTTGTCAAGCACGCACCATGCTTTCTTATCTGGTCATATATTTCCTTATATACTTTAGGAGTCAGATCCTGATAGTGACAAGGCACCTCTGGAATTCTCTCTCTAACAAAAGATTGCTTAAAGATGGAACCCACTCCCAGATGATGAGTGACTACAAAATTGACTGAAAGTAATTTATAACCTGGCAGGGTCTACGATGGCAGCATCCCCTTTGCCAAATAGGACAACTGTTCAAGAGGGGCCACTGGAGCAAGTCACGCTACCTTATACCTCTCAGCCCCCACACTTCTTCTGCATTCCAAATCTTTCCTTTAAAAACCTCTGTGGAATTGAATAGGGGAACTGAAGAGTGGAATTGCTTTCTACTCTTCCCCTGCTAGCATGGATAATAAACCAATTTTGCTTCCTTTTATCACAACTTATTATTTTGACTTCTTTTCATAAGCAGTGAGCAGCCGGACTCTTTGGCCGGTTACACGACCACAGTCCTACAACTACATGGAACTGAATCTGGCCAAGAACCTGAGTGAGACTGAAGGTGAAATCATCTCCAGAAACTCCAGAAAGAAACACAATCCTGCCATTACCTGAATTTTGGCCATCAGAGATCTGAAGCAGAGAAAATAGCCAAGTTCACCAGACTTCTGACCTACAAAACTGTGAGATAATACTTAGGTGTTGTTTGAAGCCACTACATTGTTAATAATTTGTTATAGCAGCAATAGAAAACTTGTACAAAAACCAGGATGTCATGCTCAAATGTTCATCACCATTCCAACCAGGATCATGATAAGTGGTGGCAGTGGTGGCAATGGAATGGAATAGTCAAGTTATTTAGTGCTTATCCTATGACAGGCCTGGGGCCAAGTTTTTTATATGCATTTTGTCTACAAAATTATAAAGCTCTAAGATTTCCTTTGTCTGTAACGTGTTCAAACAGAAAGACAGTATATAGCCTACAGATATGGATAGGCTGGTTTCCACATGGGCAGTGCCCAAGAAAGGTTGCATCCTACCAATATCACCCAAAAGGGAAGAGATTATTATTCATAGCCATATTAAAAAATGGCTTCAACTCCCTTCCTTCATGGCAATGACTTTCAAGAACTTACATTCAGTTTTTATTAATATTTCTCCTGTGAGGAAGCTAATCAAATTGAAATTCAGTCATACTGGAAGTCCTTAATTCTGTAGTAGAAAGATTGGCTTCTAGGTCTAGGAAAATTTCTTTTCTTTGGTGTTCTTTTCCTTGACACACTTTACATAATAACCAACTCATGTTTCAAGATTCTAGTTTTCCATATAAATGAGTTATACTATCATTATTCTTACTATAAAAACTAAATTATACATACACATTTTTTTAATGGCAACCTTCTAGTTTTTCCCTCTGAGTAGTAGTGCTGAAGATCAAGATAGCAGAGGGGTAAGAGGCATGATATATTTTCTTTTTCATTTTCTGTTTTACTGTTTTATTTATTCATTCAACAAAAATCTCTAGGATAATGTCTTAAAAGTGAAGTTGCTAAGTCAGAAGTACAGAGCTTTAGGTGGTAGCCAGATGACAAAAAGCTAAGAAAAGTGATATTTGAGAACGAAGTTTGAGAACTCTTTCTCCACATTTTCCCCAACACTGCAAATTATCACACTTTTTAATTATTGCAAATATGATTGGGAAAATAATAATAATTATAGTAGCAGTGGTCATTATTGCCTTAGAAGTGGTGGAAATCTTTATTAGGTTTATCTTTTTAATCCTTATAATAATCATTTGAGTACATAATATTAATATCTCCAAGTCCTAAATTTAAAAACTGAGGCATAAAGGAGATGAGCAACTTGCTTACAATTGCACATCTGGTTAGTGGACACAATCCAAGCAGCTGGACTCAGTGCAAGAACTCTTAACCTGTGCTTTGATTGTGAGAAAACTTTGGCTTTTTGTATGTTTATTGATATTTGTTTCATTTCTCTGTAAAATGTTTCTTGGAATTCTTTGCAAATTTTTTCAGTTGGTTTGTTCCTTTTTGTTCTTAAATATTAGTAAGTTGTTTTTACATTGATGAAATTAGCCCTTTGCTAGATGAGTTGCAAATTTATTTCTAGTTTTTTAGTTTTGCTTTTAATATTCTTTAAGAAGTTTTAATTCTTTTATATTCAAATTTTTAAATCTACCCACGTATTTTCTAGATTTTGATTCATGCAAAGAAGTATCCCTGTAACTCTAAATAACGTCATCAATATTTTCTAGTAATTCCATGGGGTTTTCCATCTTTAATCCATTTAAAATTTATTTTTGTAAAGAAAAAGATAAAAATTTCTGAATTGTTTTTTCTCCCTACATGATGAGTCAAATGGCTCAACGTTGCTATTTGAATGATTTCTATTTTCCCATAATTTAAAATGCTATTTTTGTTATAAACTAAATTGTCAAATGCATCTGAATCTATTTCCGACTTTTAGAAGTTTATTCCATCAACATATTTATTTCTAGAATATTTTTAATGAATGCTTCCAATTGTCAGAAACTAAGATTACTTTTTACATCTCATGAAAATGTAAATACATAAAGAAAAAACTGTAAACCAGACAAGCGAATTTTTCAGACCCATAATATTGAGATGAGAATTTGCTTAGTACTTATTTATGAGCTGGTTTGGTATCTATTGGCAAGGCACAAGCATTTTATTTATTGGAGGGACTGCTCAAGTATTCCCTTCCATTAAAATGTGCATATATGCATACACATGAAAATATAAAAATAATGAAACTGAAAATAGACAAACATTCATCCATTCATCTTAGGCATAAAATAAGCTCAGGTTTGAGATTCTACCTTCTAAATTTTTGAGAGGTTGAAGGGAGGGAAGAGGGTCTCACTCTGTCACCCACGCTGGAGTGCAGTGGCATAATCATGGCTCACTTCAGCCTTGACCTCTCAGGCTCAGGTGATCCTCTTACCTCAGCCTCCCAAGTAGCTGGTATTATAGGTGTGCACCACCACACCTGGCTAATACTTTTTGTTAAATTTTTCAATACTATTGTACTGAAAGGATTAAAGCAGCAACGCAGGGTTACTCCATTATTAAAACTTGAAGACTAGGAACACAGCTTACTAGTCAATGAAGTCCTTGAAATAATATGGGAAAAAAAGAGAAAAAAGAAATAAACTAAAATAAAAAGAAATAGAAAATACAGAGCCAGTTTATTATTATGGCAAAAAAATCAAGTAATTTCATTTACAGATAGGTATTCAAAAATAGCTCCTCTTGTGGAACACTGATATTACTGCTTTTCAAACATACAATAAAACAGAGAAATGTGAATAGATTTCTCATAAAGGATTGTTAACTTGAGTAGTAAAATTCTCAGTCTCAGAAAATCTTGATGCTTTGGTTGGAGGCTTGAGTATTTAAATAATACCTCCTGCAAATGGCAGGTAATCCAAGTCTAGACAAGCTTTGTTTTTTAATTGACTGAATTATATGCCCAGGATCAATTAGGTGCTCTCTAGATTGGTTTCTAATTCTGTGATTCATTTCTAATCCTAGGAACCCAGGCTACATCTGATGACCACTGACTTATAAAAGGGTAATTTACCAGGGATAAATAGAGTCTACTACATGGCTTAAAAAATCAATTCTCTTTAATGTGTATCCCTCAGAACAAAGGAAGAAAAATATCCATATGATGAATGCAGCTACATGTAGCTATTTAGTCTTTGAAATGTGACTAGTGCACCCAAGGAGCTAAGCTTCAAATTATGTATAATTTTAATTAATTATAATTTAAAATGTAAAACTGATAACAATTATTGGAAAATGTTTAGGTATATTTTAAACAATGTTTATATGTGATTCTACTTTTTCAGTTGCAAAGTTTATAAAATATAGGCAAAGATCAAATACTTTTGATAAAAACACTTTATAAATTGACATGGCATAACAGTAAAAAGCACAACAGATTTTAAACACATAGTATAAGAAACATAATGCAAAATATCTCAACTACACTGATTACATATTAAAATGATGATTTTTAAATATATTGAGCTGTTTCTTTTTACTGCTTTTAGCCTGGATGCTAAGATACTAAGTCACACTGGTGCATTATATTTCTTTTGAACAATACTGTTCTGGATGGTTAATATTCAGTTCTTATTCCTAGATTTAGAAAAAAATCACTGAAAACTGAAGATCATCAAAAATATGCCAGTCCTTCATAAAAATATCAAAAATTTGTGGATCAAAAAACTCTATCAACAGAGTGAAAAGGAAACCTGAAGTATGGGGGGAAATATTTGCAAATCATATGTCTAGTAAAGGATTAATATCCACAACATAAACCACAACTCCTAAGATTCAACAATAACAAAAAAACCCAAACAGCCCAATTCAAAAATTAATATGGGACTTGAATAGACATTTCTCCAAAAAAGATATTCAAATTAACAATGACTCCATGAAAAGATGTTCAACACTACTAATCACTTGGGAAATGCAAATCAAAATTACAACGACATATCACCTCACACCCATTAAAATGGTTACTATCAAAGTAGAAAATTTCAAGTGTCAACAAGGATGTGGAGAAACCATTGTGTACTGTTGGTGGGAATGTAAAATGGTACAGTTATTGTGGGAAACAACATTATGGTTCCACAAAAGGTTGAAAATAGAACTATCACATGACCTTGCTATTTCACTTCTGGATCTATACCCAATAGAATTGAAAGTAGAGTCTCTAAGAGATATTTGTATACCATATTCATAGTAGCATTATTTACAATAGCTAAAACATGGAAGCATTCCAGGTGTCCATGGGTGGATGAATGGATAAGCAAAATGTGGTAAGTTCATGCAATGGAATGAAATTCCATAATATGCTACAACATGGATGAACCCTGAGAACATTATGCTAAAAGAAATAAGCCAGTACCAAAAGGTATTGTATGATTCTACTTATATGAGGTACTTAAGGGTAGTCAAAATCATAGACCCAGAGAGTGGAATGTTGGTTTTCAGGAACACGGGGTAGGGAAGAATGGGAAGTTACTGTTTAATGACATTAGAGTTTCAGTTTTAAGAGTTGAAAAGACTTATGGAGAAGTATGGTAGTGATGGTTGCACAATACTATGAATGTATTTAATACCACTGAACTGTACACTTAAAAATGGTTAAGATGGGCCAGGCACAGTGACTCACACCTGTAATCCCAGTACTTTGGGAGAACGAGATGGGCGGATCACAAGGTCAGGAGACCTAGATCATCCTGGCTAACACAGTGAAACCCTGTCTCTACTAAAAATACAAAAAATTAGCCGGGCGTGGTGGTGGGAGCCTGTAGTCCCAGCTACTGAGGCTGAGGCAGGAGAATGGTGTGAACCCAGGAGGCGGAGCTTGCAGTGAGCTGAGATCACACCACTGCACTCCAGCCTGAGGACAGAGGGAGACTCCCTCTCAAAAAAAAAAAAAAATGGTTAAGATGGTAAATTTTATATTATATGTATTTTACCACAATAAAAACATAAGCCAGTCTAAAAAGTGAAGAACTAAAAAAATGTCATATATTGGCTGATAGAAGGAATTTAGAATTCCTATGCTTGAAAAAGTCTTATTTGGCTTATTATAAAATCATTGTCTTACTGTCTTTGAATATGTAAAATGCTGTAATACAGAAAGACTTATATGAAACCTGGAAAGACTTATACTCTGTCATGCCAAAAGGCAAACTAGGTCACTGGGTAGAAGTCATAGAAGGAAGAGCCTAACAATAACAAGTTATTCAAAATATAATATAGGCAGCCTTAAAAGGGTGTGAACTCCCACTTCCTGGGAAAATGAAAGGTAAAGGGCACGTATGCATGTGAAGTGAAGCTGATTGATCTTCAAGGGACCATCCAAATCAAAGGCACTACAATCTTGTCATTTCTTTCCAAGTAGCATGTATTCCTGTAGACTAATAGATTAACATGAGGCAATATTTCCCAGAATGTGTTCTGAAGTACACTAGTTCCAAGGGACCCTAATGTGTAGTATGAACAGGTATTCTCTAGTCAAAAAGCTTGGGAAACACCGGGTAACACAAAATTAAACAGTGTTTTTAAAAATTTAATTGCAGAACTTATCAGAATCTTCAGTATTTTAATACACATGGTGGTCTCCAAAATAGGAATAGTCAGAGTTTTCAAAATTTATTTGGCCATGTACCACATTTTTTACAATCTCCTGAAATTAGAAAATGGGGGAATATTCTTTGAAAATGCTAAAACAAATTATGCATTAATTAAATCTATAAAATTTACTTTGTGGAAGAGTTGACTGGCAAACTAAACTTAAATTCTTGACTTTCTTATTCACATTTGTTCCCTCATTCAGCAAACATTAACAAAGCCTATATTATGTTCCATAAATTGTACTAGAAATTCAAAGACATTTACCTTGAAGTCACTCACAGTCTGGTAAGAAAGCAGACTTGTAAAATGATGGCGGTAACCCACGAGAGGGGCTGTAATGGAGCTGAGCAACGGGTGAAGGAGAGTCACAAAGGTCCTCCATATTCCTGAGTTCTGCATCAGTGGATTTGATCAAAAATCCGCTGATCAGATCAAAAACTGCAGATCAAAAATATGTGGAGGAAAAAAAAAAACTCTACAAAGTTCCAAACAGAAGTTTCACTTGATTTTGATTTTGCCACCTGACGAGTACTATGTTGAATCCACACAAACGAAGTGATGTGTTAGCCATCTTATTAGGTATTATAAGTAATCGACACACGATTTAAAGTGTACAGGAGAATGTATGTAGATTAGATGCAAACACTACACCTTTTTAATATAAGACTTGAGCATCTGTGGATTTTGGTATCTGTAGGGGTCCTAGAACCAATGCCACATGGATGTTTAGGAATAGCTGTATATATATTATGTATGAAGAAGAGGAACTAAATGAGTTTTTTTGTGGTTGTTATAGCATCGCCCTTCAAAAATGTTAAAGTAGTCGACAGTTACTTGTTAAACTCTAAAAATCTATTTGCTACCAAGTAAAGTAAAAATATGTGAATGATCCAGTTAAATATATCTCTGTATAGAGTCCTACCAGATGATTCAGACCACACAATGATAATTATCCAGAAGTGGTTATGAACTCTGGCTTTGGAGTCAGACAAATATAGATTTAAATCTTGGTTCTGCACATTCTAACTGTGGGACTGTGAAAAATTAGTTAACTTCTCCAAACCTCTATTTTCCCAAATGTGAAGGGGTATAACGATCCCTTCATGTTAAGGTTGTTGTAAGGATAAATGAGAGTATTTATAAACTATTTAGCATAATGCCTGGCACATGGAATGCACTAGATAATGGCAATTATTATTATTGCTAGTTTGTTTGGATAATTGCTAGAATAATTGTACAATCTCAGTTTTGTTTGTTCTGTGTGGACAGAGCTTTGTATGCGATGAAAGCTGACAGATCTAAAACAGTTAACACTGAAGAATATAAAGAAAGAAGGAGAAAACTTGGATAGAGGGTACTGGGTAGTATAGCATAGTCTTAAAAACACAGTTCGGGGCTGGGCATGGTGACTCATGCCCATAATTGCAGCACTTTGGGAGGCCAAGGTAAGAGGATCGCTTGAGACCAGGAGTTCAAGACCAGCCTGGCCAATATAGTGAGACCTCATCTCTACGAAAAATTTTTTTTAAAAAAAACTAGCCAGGTGTGGTGACATGTGCCTGTAGTCACAGCTACTTGGAAGGCTGAGGTGGGAGGATCACTTGAGCCCAGGAGTTGAAGGTTGTAGTGAGCTATGATTGTACCACTGCACTCTGGCCTGGGCGACAGAGTGAGACCTTGTTTCTAAAAATAAAAAATAAAAATAAAAACACAGTTCAATCTGAACCTTGTTAATTAGCTTTAGGACTTGGACAATTTACCTAATGTCTACATCAGTTCCCACACCTATAAAATGGAGGCAACAGGACTATCTCTTAGAGTAGAACCCGTTGATGGCATTAAATGAGGTAACTCATTGAAAGGTCACAGCACAGAGCCAGAAATATGGTGGACACTCAGCAAGTGTTAGATGCTGTTATTGTTAATGGAAGATTTGAGGAGCAAGACAATCACAATAATAACATGTCTAGATTGAGGAAAGGAAAAGGAAATTGTCCCCATAGATCACATGCCTGTTCATATCATCTTTTATAGATCACACATGAAAATCATTCCAACTCACAGCATGGACTACTTTGAAATGTAATCAAATATTGTTATGGCATTCACTGCCTGGAGACCAGGCAAGTCATGAGGGAGTGACAAAATAAGGTGAAGGAAAGGTACTCTTTGGGTCTGAACGATGTACCACTAGAAGCCGTATCCCCCCCTGCTTGGGATTAAAATCCCTTGCAGCTGCGAATCCCAAAGAGTCTAATATTTTCTGAGACTCCACTGTGCCTTTATATTTTAATACCATGACATCTGGAATCCTAAAAGTCTAATGTTTAACCATAAATATCTGCTGAAATTAAAGAGCTATATACCAAGCTTCAATCTTTGGGGCCTGTAATTGCTTGGGAAAAGAGAATGGTATTTTCCCCTCTAGCTAGAAGAAAAAGACCTCTGCAAGCACAGATATTGGCAGACAAATTTTCTAACCGTTTCCTCTCTCCATTCTGTCCTCTCATTTTCTCCCTCCCTCTCCAATCTCCCATTTTATAATACCATCTTGCTGTCATTCTCAGGATAAATGGGAAAAAAGAGAAGCCTAGAAACCTTAAAGAAAAGACACATTTCAAGGTCTAGCAACAAAAAGTTGAGAAACTGCAAGCCACTCTCTGTTAAGTAGCTGAGCAGACGTCACCACAATACCTGAGCTTTCCCCATTATTCAGTTAGAAACCACTTCATCACTCAGTGGGCTGACAGTCAAATGCCAGCTTTATTTTCTTTTTTTTATCAACCTAATCTTTTATTTTTGATTTGAGGCCAGTCACTTTTAAGGTCTCCACAGTGGTTTATAACTTTCTTTCTTGAGAAGTGTCCAAGAAGTAACACAATTTGAAAAATGTTCCCTACTGTCTCATGGTAAAGAATGGGAAACTCACCTGCCCTGAAGGTGTATGTGGTCAGAAATCTTGGTCAGACCACAGTACTTTGCTGGAAATAATGCCAAGGAAAGTGTGGGAAAAGCTTATCGTGAGTTTATATTTTTAATATAACTATTCTATGTGGCATTTAAAACATACACTTAGTATCAAACCCATTTTTATCCACTGATATATTATGAAAGTGACATTTTGAGGTCAGTCACCTCACTTCTAGGAAAAATGATCCATTTAAAAAGAGGTTTAATATGTTGTTTTTATTCAAATAATTAAGATTGTAAATATTCCTGAATCTTTTTAGCTAATGTTCTTTTCTCTTGTGGAAATATATTCAGTGTGTTCATAAGCAAGTATGTTTATATCTGTTGGTATTTGGCACAGAGAGCTAATTCTTGATTATTCATGAAAATTTGAAACTATCCACTCACTAAATTAAAAATATTGTCTTCTTAATATCTTGTTTATTTACTTCAAAAGGAACATATAACTCTATAGTGATGATTCTCAAGCCTAACACAGCAGAATCACTTATTGTTTGTGTGTGTGTGAGTGTGTGTGTGTGTGTGTGTGTGTTTAACTCAAAGGTCTGGACTTTACACACATCTATTGATTCAAAATCTCCCTACATGCCAATGAATGTTTAATGTCCTAGATGATCCTAATGATAAGTCAGTTTTAGTAGCTAGTGTCCTGACCACATCATAAAAAAATATTGGCAGGAGAATGAGGGGGGTTTGTTTTGTTTTAAAATTTTCAGTCTATTGAAGAGTAATAATTTAAAAAAATACAAATAATCAGACAAATTAGATATACAAACTATAAGCCCCACGTTTACTTATTAGACTCAACAGACATAAAATTACTCTGCCAAATTGCTGTGTTTCTAAGTGGTAAATTTCTGTGAATACCTCACTGTAGACAGGTAGCCGATAGTTTGTGGGCCAGCACGCGTGGAGCAGCTACCTCCAAGCCCCACCTGCTCCCCTTCCACCTGCACAGCTTCCTGGCTGCACTGCCCGCCTCCAGACAGCTAGCGCACTCCAACACAGCTAGCACAATCTTTTCAGGGAGCAAGGAAAATCCTACTGCCACCTTTCTTAAAATCTCCCAAAATATATAGAAATAGGAAATAAAACTGTGGTTAACAGAGACAGGGGTTTGGGAGTGAGAGGAAATGAGGGGATGTTGGTCAAAGGACACAGAGTTGCAGATATGTAAGGATATGTAAGGCGAATAAGTCCAGAGGTGTAATTCACAACGTGAGGACCCTAGGTTAATAATACTGTGTTGTAGTCACGATTTTTGCTAATACTATGAATTATAGGTGCTCTTGTCACAAAAAGTAGGGGTGGTTAACCATGTGAGATGATGGATATGTTCATTTGCTTCACTATAGTAGTCATTTTACTATGTGTAAGAGTATCAAAACATCATGCTGTACATCTGAAATGTACACTAAATAAATAAATTGAAATAAAATCCAAACCTTTTACTCTGGCCAAGAAAGAGGCTGGCTCCTGTCTATCTGCAACTGCTTCTTCTCTCAAAAACTGCACACAGTGGTCTCCTTTCCACCCACCTCTCACACATGCTGAGGCCCTTTTGGATCTCAGAGTCCCTGCCCTGGCTGCTCCCTCTGCCTGGAAGTCTCCTCCCTCTGCTCAGGGCAGGCACTCCTCACTCCCCATTCAGGTCTCATTTGAAATGCAACTATTTCAAATAGCAATTCGCCTGCACACAAGACACACACACACACAGACAACTCAAACTACCTTTCTAGCCCAAAACACTATTGTATTTTTTCCATCCTTCTCATCTCTCCTGGAATGTGTGTGTGTGTGTGTATGTACTTTATATATATATATTTTTTATTTTATATATACGTATTTTATATATTTTTTATATATTTTAATATGTATTTTATATATATTTATATATTTTTTTACATATATATAAAATACATACATACACACATATAAAATATACTCATGTTATATACATACACATACACATATATATGTGTGCATGTGTATGTACATGTATTATATATATAATATATATAATTGTTTTAGAGACAGGTCTCACTCTGTCAACCAGGCTGGAGTGCAGTGGCGTCATCTTGGCTCACTGTAACCCCCGCCTCCCGGGTTCAAGCGATTTTCATCCCTCAGCCTCCTGAGTAGCTGGGATCACAGGCATGTGCCATCATACCTGGCTAATTTTTCTATTTTTAGTAGAGACGGATTTTCATCACATTGGCCATGCTGGTCTCCAACTCCCAACTTTGGGTGATCTGCCTGCCTCAGCCTCCCAAAGTGCTAGGATTATAGGCATGAGCCACAGATCCCAGAATATTTTTTATTTGGAATTTTGTTTATGTACCTCTGGAATTTTTATTTGTTTATGTACCTAACCCTACTGGAACATAAGTTTGATGGCAGCAGAAATGTTGTTTTGCTCATTGCTATAGTTTCCATGCTTAGAGACGCTCTGGTAGACAGAAAGTAGGCAAAATACACTTGCCAAATGAATGAAAATGCCAATTTCAGCGTGTAGCATAAAAAAGGTGCTCATGCAATGCTAGTTTTCATTTTACCTCCCTTCCACTTTTTTTTTTGTCATGGCTGAGAAATTGTTAAATTCTGTTGAAACTGAAGCTCTGATTTCTTTCTGCTGCCTCCTGACACTGCTGGTGCCCCACATGTGTGAACCGGGGTGTGAGGTTATGCCATCCATTTGTAGTCTGGGACAGACGGAAACTGAGTTTGGAGCCAGAATGGAAAGCTTTGGTATCTGCCTAATTCTACCTGAATGGGACATTAATTTCAATGCTTTGTTCTTCTAAATGATTTTGAATGTTCAGATCATCAGATGCCTCCATAATCAAAAGAAATCCTTTCGAGAATAAAATGTAAATGGTTCTCAGAAGATCACCTGCTTGGCATGAGCTGTCTTGCTCTCTACTGTTATACATTTTTCCAAGTTGGCTGCACATGCAAACTTACAGATAAGTATAAATCAAAATTAGCAGCTCTCTTCTCCCCTGGCTACACATCCTGCATTACACAGATAGCAAAACCCACTGGCAGAGTGTTCCTCAGAGCTGATCCACATGGATGGTTTTTGCTCCTAATATGACAATATGCTGGGACCTGTGGATATCTGTCTGGGTGAGTAGTTTTTGTACGAACTTATATGTGCAAATAAAATCTGTTATTTTCCAAATTAAAAATAAACCTCAAAGGCAATGGATTCCAAATGACTTGGAGAGATATGTTTAAAAAAATATGGAAAGGATATAAGGGTCTGTTAAACTCAATGACATTTGGAATAAATATAAAATTCCAGTGGTCTCCATCTTCACCTTAGCTGCATTGCTTTCTCTGATTTACTGAAGATGATAATAGATTCTTGTCTTGAACTGAAAAAATACAAAATAGTCATTAATTATCCTAAGATTAAATCTGTGCTTTTTTCATCCAACAGACTGTGGACAGTAACTGCAAAGTAGCTAAGAGAAAATGGTTTAATAATGAAAAGAAATTTGCATTAAGGAAGAAGGGATTTACTCATACTTTGGAAGTCAAAGAAAAATACTGCAATCCTGTCAGCACCCGGAAGGCACCATTTACTATGTGCTGTCTCTTTCATTGCAAGAGGACACAGATTGTATTTTTAGTGCAGTAAACAGCAGATTCCACTGTGGGAATCCTTGCAGTTGGTACCTATAGCAACCTCATTTAAAATGTTATAAAGCTCTAAAACATCAGGGGTTTAGGCAATCAGTCATATATACCTCCATACAGACATTCAGCCACTCACACACATACATGCTTGTCCACACACTGATAGTAAATCGTGTGTAATATGATATTACTCATGGAGTTTTACCATTGAATCATGTTTGACAGCCATGGTAAAGAACTGAGAAAAAGCAAATATTCTACCATTGCAACCAGCAGCAAGAACATATTTGTGCCTAAATAGCATATTACACCATCTGGTAAGCAACCACCTAAAATGAACACTCTTATGATTAAACATGGAGAATCTGACTGACATTTTAGAGTTTCTATTTGTAAGGGATGCTTTTGATGCCACACCCATGTATTTTTGGCACTCACCTTCATACACCAAAGGCTGCTACCACAAAACCTATGACTTCCTTCTGAAAAAGCTTTTTTTCTTTTGATAATTTTGGTATCAATGTTTTTCTCTTTTTTTTTTCCTTCTGAGAGTTTTTGGTGGCCTCAAGGAAGAGCACAGTTAGCCTGTGTTCAGAGAAAGCCAAAGGGCTGGAGAGTTAATGTCCCCAAAGCATCCCCCAAAGTCCTGACAGAAAAGAAAGGTAAGCTCCAAGACAGGGGAGCCAGGATTTGAAATATTAACACATGAGCTTCCCTGTGGCTTGGCTGGGATAATTTGGGGTGCTGTTCCCATGGTCTCCCGCAGTTCCCTATCAGACTTGAGCGCCAGCTTCCACAGTGGTAACCAGTTTGATAACACTTCCCTTATTGGCCTTATTTCTTTTCCTAGGATACTTCCTCATTTTCCTACTGGTGTTTTATAGGATCGCCCCCCATTAAACTACTTGGATTCTAAGCCTTGTATCAGGGTCTGCTTCTGGGACAACCCAAACTAAGACACTATCTTCAGTCTTTATTCCCTTCTGTTAGGATAAAATATAATTTTCATCAAATACTCTGGAACATACATCCCTTATGGATTCCAAAGAAATGGGATCCTCACCAAAAGCTCAAGTCCAGAAAAGTCCCACAATTAGGCATGTGCTTATTTTAACATATCAGAATGTTTTCCCCATAGCATAAATACCTGTAATGGTGGAATAATTCTTAAAACCAATAGAAAACTTACTATAGAACACCATTTGAGTAGATCTAGGGGTAAATAGGAGGGTAACCCCTTATCTTTTCTTCTTTTGCTACTTTCTTTTTAGTGCTACCCACATATTTTCTCAGTATAAATGTGTCCCTGAATTTCATTCTTCTGTGCAAAAAATATATTTGCTGGTTCTATTCAACAAATGCAACCAACACATTAAAACGAACATTTATTCAGCATTTCCATGCGCTTGGCACTGACTTTAAAACCAATACTGTAGTCCTTACAGCTTTTCACTCTATTCCAGAGATAAGCCTTCAACATATGGAAAAACATAAAATAAATGTTAAAAAGTATAAATATTCAAGCATGAAATTTTATGGTAATTAAAAGAATCATATGTAGAAACAGCTCCAAATGTCAAATGCTGTACTGTAGCAGTAGTTCAGGTGAAAGAAAGGTGAAAACAAGTAAAAAGATACATAGAACTGTCTGCATTTTAGGCTTTCATATTACAGATAAATTCTTAAACCAATGACCTGAAGGCCTCAGTTCATTCTGCATGCTCTTGGATGACGTGTAACAGCAAACTCTTCTGGCTGGTTACTTATAATCCATTCATTTGATCAGTCAACCAAAATTTATTGAGTAACCCCCAAATACACATCAGTGAACAACAAAAAAAAAATCCTGCCCTCATGAAGTTTGTGTTCTAAAAAGGATAAACAGTACATTAACATAAGCAATTACATTTATAATATAATGTTAAGTACCACGACTCTAACAAACAATAAAGCAAGCACAGTAGAGCTACAGAAAAATGATCTCATGATTATTTTAGATAGGGTGGTCAAGGATGGCTTCTCTGAGGGTACCTTATTTGAACAGCGGGAACTAGCTCCCAAAGAAGTGAGAATAAAATATTCCAGGAAGAGGAAAAAGCCAGCACAAACGCCCTGATGTAGTGATACACATACCATGTTAAACGAAAAATAAGAGACCAGGATAAGTAAGTAAAAGGCGTGTCACAAGAGAGGAGGTGAGAGAGTGGGCAGGAACCAGGGGCTACAAGACTTACAGGCTTGTAGCTGGGACTTCATTCTGAATGGGTGGAAAGCTGAAAATATCCCTCTGGCCATGTGTGAAGAATAGACTAGAGACTACAAAAGTAGAAGAAAGAAGACCAGCAAGGAGGCTATTCCCTCATCTAGTGAGAGACAATGGTGGCTAGTAGTAAAGGGAATGGTGAGGGTGGTAGTAGTGGAGGAAATGAGAAGTTTGAGAATTTGGGTTAGGAAAAAGAAAAATAAAAGATGACTCCCAGGTTTTTTACTTAAATAGCCTAATGAATGGTGGCACCAATTACTGAGGTAGGGACAGCTAGGCAAGAAGCAGGTTGTAGATTGGGGAAGAGATCAAGAATCTTTTTGAGGCATATTGAGTCTGAGATGTCTACTATCTTTCCAAGTAAAGTCAGTTGGCTATACTAGACCAAATTTCAGGGTCGAGTCTAGGCTGAGGATATAAATTGGAAGTCATCAGCATTTGATGGTATTTCAGTCTTGGTCCTGGGGAGCAAAATTAGAGAAAGAAGGAAAAAGGTCTCAGGACATAGTCCTGTGAAAGTCACACATTCAAAAATTTAAAAGGACAAGGGAGACCAGAAAAGAAATCTAAAAAGAATCAACTAATGAGATAGGGAGAAAACAGAAAAACTTCTTTACATTTGACCGGAGCAGGTTCCAGCTGAACACAAATGAGAATTCAGAGTCAGCTTGTTAGTGGAAATAAAAAGACAATGATCTCTCCAGGGGTCCAGCCATAAAAATTGACATAAAAGGGTGCTTTGTTTGCATAAGCAAGAAGAGGAAGAAGTTTGGAGCACAGCCTTGTTTGGGGGAGAGTTGGAGAATGGAGAAAAGGGAGACAAAACACATGACATCTACCCTACCATTGAGAGAGCGCTTTAAGTCCTGACAGAAAAGAAAGGTAAGCTTAAAGAAAAAGGAGCTGGTTCCATGGCAGACCAGTATGAAACACTGAGCATGATGGCTGCTTCAGGCCCAAGTGCCCAAGCTGGGCGAGAACTGTCCTCCCAGCTGTGCACTAAGTTGGGCATTGAGAATCTGCACTTTTGACATGGACACAGGCAATCTCATAGAGGGCACAGCAGTAAAGTTGTGAGATCACATAATGACTCAGCATTCCTGTAATACAGGTGAATTGGCAGCAGATTAGCACAGACTCCAACTCTAGAATTTAGGTCTTCACCAGTACATTTCATTCTCAGTGAGCACAGCAAAACCAGCTCCTTCACAAGCACCCTTGCCTCTACCACAGGCATTGCATTCAGATATAGCTTACCTGCGTTGAAGAAGGATGCAGTCCATTCTGCCTCTGTTTTAGGAAATACAGAAACTGGTGGAGGCAGACCCAGGGCTCTCCCATCCAGATCCTTGAAGAGATATTTTCTTGGACTTGCACAGTCTAATTCAGGACAGACTACTTTTCCTAAATCTTTCCTGTGAAGACAGTCAAAAAGCAACTCTTTCATTTCATGATAAGCAGCAAGAAGAAAATATACATTGGTAGTGCTAATGTTGTTTAAAATAAATTCAACAGATTTTTATTATTGACAATGTGTTACATAGATATAAAATAAAACTCTTTATGAAATAATTTATTTCCCAATTATATGGTCAAGAAGAAAGACATTCTTACTAACCAAATATTTTGGATATCCTAATATGTAATCTTTATATAGATTGCTGATTTTTTAAGAAGCAAGATACAATAAAGTGTTCCTCTCATAACAACTGAACATAATATAATTATTTTTAGGAATTTCAGGGGTTTGCAGTATTTTAGAATTATTATAAATATCAATTATATTTATGCTATATGCAAAGAAAAATAGATATTCTCATTCAACAAATATCTATTGAAAACCTACAAAAGACAGGCTGGGTAACATGATGGTAATAAAGCCAAACATGGCACTGCACTTTCAGAATTTAGAGTCAAGTGGGCTATATAAACAATTAATAGATAATTATAATGTTGACTTACAGAGAACTTATTTTATTTCCCCTAATCTAATGCTTTGAAATACCATTAGTAATAATATTAAATATTTATTGTATACCAACAATGTATTGAGTATTATCAGCACAAAGATTCAGCTGTTAATATCACATAGTACTATGATTTGAATGATGGTCCTTTCAAATTTCATGTTGAAACTTAATCCTTAATGAAACAGTATTAAGAAGTGTGGCCTTTGGGAAGTGATAAAGCTATGAGGATTCAATTCTCATGAATAAGATAGTACCCTTATAAAAGGGCTTGAGGATGAAGAGAGTACTCTCTTGCCCTTCCATTTCTTCTCCTATGTGAGAACACAGCGTTTCTCCCCTCTGGAAGATGCACGAACAAGGCACCATCTTGGAAGGAGGGAGAAACCTTCACCAGACGCCTATTATGCCAGTGTTTGATCTTGGACTCCCCAGCCTCCAGAACTATAAGAAATAAATTTATGTCCAGGTGCAGTGGTTCAGCCTGTAATCCCAAAACTTTGGGAGGCTGAGGCGGGAGGATCACTTGAGCTCAGGAGGTCAAGGCTGCAGTTAGCCATGATTGTGCCACTGCACTTCAACCTGGGTGACACAGTGAGACCCCATCTCCAAAAATAAAATAAATAAATTTCTGTTCTTCATAAATTATCCAGTCTGTGGTACTTTGTTATAGCAGCACAAACAGACTAAGACATGTAACTTAACAGCTATATCAGCCCGGGATAAGACATGAACATAAGGAAAATTGGATAGTAAATTTTAAAAAGTGACAAAACAACACAAATTGCCTACCTACTCATGTTTAGGTACCTAATCATGATTCAGGGATAGGCATCAAAAAGAGACTCGTGTTAAGCCAAACACATGAATGTTCTAATTAGGGTGGCTTCTTTAGTTTTTTGCTTTGTTTTTTTTTCTTCCAATAAAGGAGTTTGCCCCAGTGTTGTGGGAAAGAAAAAGTAATTCATTCTTCCTGTTTCTAACTTTCTACTCTCTTTCATGGCATAAAAAAATCCTATCTAATTTTCACATATTTGAATGAAACTCTTAGATCATATGTCAGAAAACAGTATTTACACCTGGTCTGAAATACCAATATCTGCTAGACCTCATCGTTCAGTTCAGAGATTCCTGTCAGCAGACACAATCTCCTTCTATCTACTAGTTCCTGCACAAAAGGCTCCCAAGGTCTCCTTCTGAAGACCACTGACACTTTACTCCAATGAAGAATGAAGAATTAGAGTCAATTTATTACCAGCAAGTTTGAAAACATCCCAAAGAAGTCTCTCTAATTAAGACAAAACAATAAAACAATATCAATAAAACTTGCACTTCATTACTTCTGCCTCTTTCATCAGCTAAAGAAAATCACATGGCTGAGTCCAGATTCAAGGGGGAGGGAAATAGCCCCTGCCTCTTTAGTGAGAGATATTTTAAAAATCATATATCACAAGGCGTGAATATAGGAGGGGTAAAGAATTGGTCATTAAGTTAATGTACCTTACCATTCTAAGATTCATTTCTATTTCTTTGATGATTTTATTCCTTTCAAAAAACATGTTTAGGGTTTGAAGAATTGCCAAGTACTTCATAAATATGGCTTATTATAAATACTAAAAATTATACCTGGGTTGTAATGAAGGAAAGTAGAACTTGTTTTTATCTTTTATCTTTAGCATCCTGGTCCTCTCTGCTGTTATTGGGTGCATAATTCCACTGTTCTCTGCATTTGGTAGAATGCAGACATCCAGGTCATCGCTATAGCAACTCTTCACAAAACTAGAAAAGGTAACATCTGAAATTTTAAAAATATGTATCATAATATTATATCATATAAACCACCAGCCACAAATATCGAATATACAACTAAATATTGTTATAATAATGTATACCCTAAGTTAGTTAAAGCTATCCAGGATAGCCTTAGGAGTTTACATACATCTTGATATAAAATATCAGTAGTTCTTCAATACATGGACATTGCATGCAACAGAGAAGAGTATTTCAATACGTTAAACCTTTAAGAGCAATATGGCTTTTCATTTGAGGCTTAATCAAAATCCATTCATTTTACAGAAAGACAAACCCACTGCCAGATAAACTAAGTAACAGGGGAGAGACTACAATGGTGGTACAAGAGATCTAATAGAAGATGAACTGCACCAGTCGTGTCACAACTTTGATTTTAACCCTCGTTGCTCAACCATCTACTAAGCAACTTCAGATGAGACACAACTTCTACATTTCAATTTCCTCACTTGTATAATAGGAAAAATAACACCTAACCAAGAGAGTTCTTATGTAATCAAGTTAAATAATTGCTGTGTTAGCCGGGAGTGGTGGCTTATGCCTGTAATCCCAACACTTTGGGAGGCTGAGATGGGAGGACTGCTTGAGGCCAGGAGTTTGAGACCAGCCTGGTCAAGATAGCAAGATCCCATCTCATTATATTCAAATTTTTTAAATTTTATTAAAAAATAATAGTTGTTGTAGAAAGCTCTTCAATATGTATAAAGCAGTGACTTTTGTAAGAAATTATAAACTACCATTGTGGCTATCAATACTCAGCAGGTTGGACAGCAAGCACTAGACCACAATGTACCTTTTTGTTGATAAAATTTCAGAATGCCATTAAAAATTTTATGCATGGATGTATGAAATGGCACTGCCTAGATAAAATAAAACATCCTACCTTGAAGTTTCATGATTCCTGAAATTGAATGATCATTCCTCACTTTGTGCCATGGCTCCTGAGGCCACTGATTTGGTTCTGAGGTGAATACAGGCCACAGAATACCAATTCGACCTCCTCTTGGATTGGAGGGAGCTCTATCTGTTGATGTCAAGTTGGCTGAGTGCGGCTTCACTTTGTCCTGAATGCAGTCAAAAGAAGAGCTGGTGGCCACAATGACTGAATTCCTAAGCACAATCTGCACTTTTTTGACGGAATTTTGTGGAGCAGAAAATACATACACTACTGCCAAAAGACCAATAGTATTGTCTACCAGAGTAATGTTCTCTATCTCCACGCTGTTCTCTACATGTAACATGGCACCATAGTCAAAGTTCTTGAAAGCCAAGAAGCCAGAGATTCTGGTACAGTTGTCAAGTCCACTTTCCTTATAGAGATGAAGGCCATGAAGACTTGAATGCGCCACATTGTCAGACCAAAGCAGTTCACAAGAGGAGCACTTGTGGCCTCGGATGTGAAAGCCAAGTCTCTCTGATCCTGCCACAACGTTGCCATGGAGGTTGATGTCCTTTACCTGGTTCACTTTGATTCCCGCCACCCAAATGGTGGACCACGCTGGCTGTGTCATCAGAACCACAAGGTTATTAGTGACAGTATAGGCCTGACCCTCTAAATCTATGCCATGGCCAGCTGTGCCAAACACAATATTGTCATTTAAAAGTACTCCATGACTGGCAGCTGCATGAATGCCCCCGCCACAGCTCTGGTGCAGAGTAGATGATATGATCCAGGATCCTGCTGACACATTACTGAATTCAACAGATGAGTACAATGGTGACCCGAAGTTCTGAATTTCCACATTAAGAAGTTGAAGGACACCTATAAACAAATGCATGTCATCAGGTACTTTCCTCTTCCCCACAAAAGGCTGAAGAATGGCCCATTTTGGGGCATTAAGATATGAACATTTTTAATGAAAATGTAAGTTTATTCTCAACACCAACATTATATTTCACACCATAGATTCTCAACTAAAAATGTAGGAATCATTACAAGTATCACATTAATGCCTGAATTGCATGTGCAGTCTGAAGAGTCTGGTGACAGGACAGGGAAAGATGAGAGGAGAAATAGGAAAGAGGCAAACTTTGGGGATGGGCATGGCCAAGTTTAACGATTCTGTGTATTTGTCGGGGGCCGGGTCAAAGAACTGGGTAAGAATAGATTCTGGGTTTCTGGCCCTTCACCTCAAAGTCAAGTCTCCCTCTCAGTGTCTCAGTGACACCACGTGAAAGGCCACAGCCATTCCCAAGAAGACACTGCACAAATGAATATTAAGCATTTCTGAAGAAGAGTATGAGTGCGAAATTTCCTTCTGCTCAGTTGATGTCCAGAAGCCTGATATTCCATACATGCTTCTGATTAAAACATGGTAGGAGCAATAACATGCTTTTAAAATCACTTTAAAGATTCTGTAAAATGTTTTCTATATTTTTATCCTGACTACACTTTATTCACTGTTTCATTTTTATAAGATTTTCTATATCTTTTATGTGAGGAGAAAATAGTGAATTATTTACTCTCATTTGTAGTTTTATTTGTACTGTTTTAAATAGATATTGTTAAAACACACTATAAAATACACCCAGTAAGTTGATTTAAAAATACAATGATTCAGCATACATACTTTTGGTAAAATTAATAATAACATGATTATAGATGAATTAATATGCAATAATAATGAGGTGAATTAAATACTTTAACTCTCACATAACACTCATTATTTGCAGACACCGTTCTAATTCTTATTCATTTATTTATTCATACTCCTAATTTTCAAAAAAATCCTATGAGGTAGGTACAATTATTATCCCCATTTTACAGATAAGGAAATTGAGGCAGAGAAGAGTGAACTAACAAACTAGGACTTAAACTTAGGCATATGGATGAGAAGCCGCACTATTAACCCCATGCAGGCATCCTGGAAAGACAGAAAGACTTTGTGGTACAAAAGTAGCATCTCTGCATTATGATTCAGATAACTGCCCTATAGCTATGAGCCAATAATTAGTTGTGTGTCCTTTGCTAGGTAGGTCACAACTTTGGCTCCTTTTATTTCATTTTTAAGGTACTGACTAAAGTAAACTATAAAGTTATTTATCTCATTAAAAATAAAGGAAGCAATACATTTGAAGTTTCTGTTTCACTGTTTCAATAATAGTATTAATAGTATTTAAGTTTCAAAGGCAGTACAGCCTAAACCCCTCATTTCTCCACTACCTTTTCAGAAATGAGAAACTAGAACCCTTGCAAATCGGCTGCCATGAAGAAGCAAGTCCTTTTGAGAAAGACAGGCTAAGTAAAGGAACCTATACGTCTACTTGGGGCCAGGCAACAGGATTCCGAAGTATCTAAATTTCTCAATGGGTGCTATTGAGGAGGCATTCGTAGATGGTGTGGACATATTCACAGAACAATAAAACATCCAAAAGCTATTTCTTGGGCAATATCCCTCACCAATAGCACATAGCTGAAAGAGCTGGCAAACCTGCTTCGTAGAACTTTGGCACAAAGAACACCAAATGCAAGCATAAGTCCATAAATAAATAGCTTATTTTTAGCATTTAATGTGATTTTAGAATCTCTGTCAAGGCAACATGTCAGTATTATTGTTATTTCCTAGGTTTCTTATAAATGATATTACAAGGGAGATAAATAAAGAGATGTGTAGGGCACGGCATGAGGGAAGGGCATGCAGCTCCCATTCCCTCCCCGGGTGCGCCACCTTAGTCTAGGAAGCTCCACATGTTCGGCTATCCAGAAGCTCTCAGGATTATTTTAATTATCAGTTTTTTTAATGTCTTATGCTTCCATGGATTTGATTCATAGTTTTAAACTGTACAAGGTCTTTTTACTGCTGTGCACATTAACCAATGACTGAAAATTAATCAATTAGTAAAGACTTAAAATGTCTTGAGCATTAAATAAAGAATTAAGCAATTTTTTTTGAGATGGAGTTTCACTCTGTTACCCACACTGGAATGCAGTGGCATGATCTCAGCTCACTGCAACCTCCATCTCCAGGGTGCAAGTGATCCTACCACCTCAGCCTCCCAAGTAGCTGGGACTACAGGTGCATGCCACCATGCTTGGCTAATTTTTATATTTTTAGTAGAGGCAGGGTTTCACCATGTTGGCCAAGCTGGTATCGAACTCCTGACCTCAAGTGACCTGCCCACTTCAGCCTCCCAAAGTGCTAGGATTAAAGGCATGAGCCACAGTGCCCAGCCTGAATGAAGCAATTATTTTATTCACAACTATTTTCCTATTTTTCCTTTTGAAAATCACTACTGAAAAATATTTCAGCAAGTTAAGTACAACTTGCTGGGTATTATTCAGGAAGAGAAGAATGATGGAGCCCTCCAATATAAAAGTAGGACTCAAAAGTCTTGGCCTGCTTTTCTGGTCTATAACAAATCAGTACCCATATCTGCCATCCCTGACCTACACCTGCAGATCCCTTCTTATTCAGGCCCTGGACTATGTTATAGAAAAATGTAAGCATTCTTAATGCAGGGTATAAACCTGAATTGAATTCTGGAACAGAAAAAAACTGATAAAATTTGAAGAAAGTCTTGAGTTTAGTTCATGGTCATGTACCAATGTTAATGTCTTTGTTTTGACAAATATACTAGTATTATATCAGCTATTAATGGAAGAAAATTGAGTGAAAGGTATACAGGATCTCTCTATACTACCTTTGCAGCTTTTCTATAAATCCAAAATTATTACAAAATTAAAAGTTTAATTAACAAGAACCAGGCTCGAATCTACCACTTACTACTTGAATGACTTTCCTTACTCTTCATTAATATTTTTCATTCATATTTATTAAGTACCTAATGTACAGCAGTTACCACACTAGGAAAACAGATGAAAGACCTATTTTTCACCTCAAGGAGTTTATAAGCTAATGAAGGAGCTACATAAATAAATAGGCAATTGTACTATAGACTCTATTTCCTGTAATAGGAATATAAATTTCTCTTATGAGGATTTTAGGATTAAATAAGATAAAATTTTCACTGTATGAAAACCAGCACAGTTTCTGGTCCACAAGAAACACAAAATAGAGTTTCTGTTTCCCTTCCCCAGGGGATGATTTAAGGATCAGCATTGTTAGAAGTTTAGGATCAGGTCAGTCTTGCTGCTGGTTCTGCTCTGGCTTGGTGCTCAGCTGTAAGAACTGGCCTTCTGTCCTGTTCCTGTGACCATGCTCCAGCTTGCCCTGTGGCTTCAGTTAACTGGGGGCTTATCTTGCTCTCTCCTTCCTGATTCCCCATCTTCCTCAACCTTAGAATGGGGTTCTTAAAAGAATGGTTCAATTCTTAAAAGATTTGAACCAGCCTTTGTCTCCATCATCTAGAGCAGGGTTCTCAACCTCAACACTATTGACATTTGGAGCCAGATACTCCTTTCCTATGGGTGGTCGTCCTGTGCATGCAAGATGTTTGGCACTACCCATACATGCCAGAAGCTCCCTCAAGTTGTGACAAGTAAAAATGTCTCTAGATATTGCCAAATATCACCTGGGGTAGCGGGCAGAAATCACCACTGATAACGGCTTATGGAGACAGAGCTTGCTCTATTAACTAGAAATCTTAAATGTCTGATTTAAGGTCCAAACACTGCCCTTTACAAAACTGGTAAAATAGTTGTGCCAACAAAGAGTGTCCCATACTGAATATATTTGGGAAGTGTTTAGATCCTTTATTCTCGGCCTTCTCCAGGCCTTTATATATTCATGTACACCACGATTTTATAAGTTGGAGCTACAGTGACAACCAAACTATTTGATCAGGAAAGAACTTTGGAATAATGTATAAGGAACACAAGTTTAAGAAACGAGGTCCTAATCAAATAATTTTGCAGCATTCCAAAAGGGCTAAAACTTGAAAGAAACAAGAAAGATTGAACTGATCCTTAAAGCAGTCTGAAATATGGAAATCATTTTTATTTAAATTTACGCTATTAATTTATAGCATGAACTGATGCCTGCCATCAGATATAGCATGCTACTGGGAAAGAGTAACAGAAATTCAGGAAAGAGATAAAATTGAAGTGGTCATTAAATCATCTATAATTTCAAAGCAGTGGAAATTTCACATCTGCTGAAGATGTTTTCTTTGAGGTAAAATGTGCATATGTGCTGACCACTAGTATATTATTTTAACATCACACTGATAATTAAGCACAGATTAGGACTGAAAATTCATAGCTTCTCCAAGCACAAAGGAACTATCTCATTTGAACATTTTGTTTTATAAATGAAAATTCTCACAGTTGGGATTTCTGGGTGTCCCAGATGAATAGGCTCCAACTGGTAATGGCCAATTACTTAAAATTTCATTTACCTGAAAATTCTTCTCGGCTGGACTTCCTGAAGGACCCCACAAACAGTCTCCCCCTACATGATACGTCAGGCTGAATTTGTATATTTCGGGTCAACAGTCCAACCTCAGCAGCCAAACGAATGTGTCGGCCATCCTCCGTGACATGTACACTTCCTGGGGCAATAGGAGTTGTGGGAAAAAAAAACTTTAAAAACCTGTTTCAAAAATCACTAGCTGGGGACCCAGCAAACCTGAGAAATGAAAACATCCTTTCCCCTCAGAAGTTCTACCAACATTAAGGTCTGCTTTTCCTGGGGCATTCTCCACAAAGGTCAGCTGAGAAATAAAATAACCCATTCACTTGTCTCTCTTTGGGATCAGAGTCAGAGTGTTTGAGCAAGAATTCATTTCTTCTTAATAACTGTGGGTACTGGAACAGGTCACTGGTTCAGGGAAGTCAGGGCAGACCTGTCCAATTAGTGGGGTCCCCAACCTGCCTTAAATAGGTCAGCGTGAGACTTCAGTGTTGGGTTGTACATTGTCCGTGGACCTCTTTCATGAGAGTGAGGAGTCCCACATCAACTGAGGCAGTGACAGAGCAAAAGCAGCTGTGTGTAAAAGGAAAGCGAGAAGCAGCACCAGGCAGCAGCAGCGCCCTCTCATGGTGGATCTTCCACTCATCACGGCCTGAACAGCTTCCACAGCAGTGGGAACTAAGCGTCTTGCTAGTTTGTTTCACTGTCTACCATTTGCATTTCACCTTGCATTTTACTGAAATCATTGCTGAAGATTTCTTTTTTCTTTGCCACTTACTAAAAAAGAAATGCTCCTGGGAACATTGATTTAGACAGAGCTTTAGATATTCCTGGTGAAACCATGGATTTGCCTCTCAAGTATCAGAGACAAAAAGACATTCTCCATCCCCTTTATTTCCACAGTTTATTACTGATTAGCTATATCTCCTGGATTAGATTTATTTATTAGACTGAATCAGGAAGGTTATTGTGATTTATTATTTATATGTAGTACATTCTAACTGTGTATTGTGTATAAAAATATTTGGTACCTTTTTTATTTAAAAAAAGGTCTGGGCTTTTTTCTTTCATTTTTTGCAGTAATAGTAATAGTAGTAGTTAATACATAAAATGTACTTCATGTCAGGAAGGACACATTTCTAAGTATGGAAAATGAAATCATTATTTACAGTAACTACAATATTCTAAGGGATTATAATTCAATGTGTCAGGAAATAAACTGGAAACTCAGTGCCCATAAGTTTTATTCTGGCTTAGCCAGAAAACTGCCCAGTGACCTTGAACAAGACTCTCAACCCTTCTGCTCTTAGATTTGCCATTATAAATAAAAAGCAAAATGTGTGTGCATGTGTATGTGTGTATGTGTATAACATCCAAGTATTCTTTAAAAATAAAGCAACAAAATTAATGAGGGAATAGAGATAAGGCCACGTAGCATGAGTCTAGGTCAACAGGAAGGCATTGTTCTTCCCCTCTGAATGGCAATCAGATCCGAGGTCCCCAGCTAGGTTACCAAACATGGTCTTCCTAGCTCATTCACTTACCTTAACCAACAAACCAAAGCCTTACCAATATGCCGGTGTTTGAGCCGTTCATAGATCCTCACATGGTGGCCCTTGACTTCTTTCACAGTGAGGACCTCTGCTTCATGAGGCTCATAAGAAGAGGAGCTAAGGACTATTTTGTCATGGGGGCGCCAATCCACTGCATCTTCTACTATAATTCTGTAACAGCATAACAATGGCATTGGATATACTAACAGTGCAGCACAAATCATCTATTAACTCCAGAGCAAGAAAAGGAAATCCACTGTGACCAACATATCCCACCAGAGAAACTGAAATAGAAATAAGACATGGCAGTGGAAAAAGGCTTTCGCAAACAGTTTAATTTAGCTAATGGAGTCAGTTTTCTGGCTTGAAAATGTATATGTTACAGAGACAGTGAAGATATTCGATGACCCCTGAAATACAGCAAAGGAATAAAAAACAATAAAAGTTCCAGAGGTTAGTACACATGTCTACATCAGCAACCTTCTTTCTGGATTAGGGAACAGATTCAATAATAACAGCATTTCAGAAAAGAACTTTTCTCTAATTTTCTAGAGAAATATAATGCCATTTTTTGACAACTTTGGACATTTTGGACAACTTTTCATCATGTGTTACAAATCCTACCTTCATGATGAAACAGATACAAGTGTGAATCGTAGAGGTGTCACTTACCAGCTGTGTGACCTTGAGAAGTCACTTCACTCCTCGGCTTCATATCCTCATCTGAAAAGGCTATATTTGTACTTTCTGTCTTCTCTTTCATCACATTATGAAACAATGAGGGTTGTGTTCATTTTTGGTATTTTTCAAGACACACATTTAATACAGTTTCTGTTCAGTCTTTCACTGCCGCCTAGCATTCCCTCTGAATATGACTGTTTTATTTTCTTCATAGTCATTACCAACTTCAACACCATAAATTTAATTGCCTGCTTCATTAGCTAATGCCCAAAGTTTAGCAAGCTTTGATAAAGAGTCTCCTCTATAGTGAATGTTCATTCAGACAACAGTGTCCATGTGCAGGGCATTCAATCATGCAACCTTTATTGACCGAGCAAATCTTATGCACCAGACAATAGAGTAGATGCTAGAGACATACGATAAATAAAACATATGTCATTTGTATTAAAATACATAACTTAAATTCTGCCTAGCACATATCTTTAAAGAGTCTACTGTATGGGTGTGTATTACACAGTATTCTGTGTAATACCATGGGAGTACATATTAATAATACAGATGTTTAATATATAGTATTAAGCCCCTAAAAGGAAACATAAATTAAACCTAATCATTTGCAAGCCAATGGCATGAGTCTAATAAATGAAATATTATAATTAATTCACATCTACGTACCTAAGGTTGGAGAAAGAGTCATAGAGAAGACAAAAAAACTACTATCAATTGATGCAACTTTAATGAAGGAATTTAGAGTCTTAGCTCTGTTCCTGATTTGCTATGACTTCCTAGAAAACTCCCAGTTACAGAATATTTAAGCACCACAAGCTTTGAAAGGCAAGGAAACTAAGTTCCAAATAGATTTAAATAACAAAATGTAAGACTAGATAAATACATGGAGCCAGTGATTGAATTAGGACAAAGGAAGACTACTGATAAAGTCCAGCATTTTTTCCACTAAATAATCTCACTTTGCCTGTCTTATTTTTAGTTCTTCAGGTGCTAAATGGTATTAGAAAAAGAGTATTCCCACTTTTCATAATCTATGAAATTATAAGAAGTCTATGATCCATACAATGGAATACTGTATAGCCATTTTTAAAGTATTTTGTTGAAGAGCACTGAATTACAAGAAATTTTGTTCATGATGTATTGATTTCAAAAAGCAGGACGTAAAATAATATGCTCCATTTTTTAATAAAATGATACATGCACAGAAAATAGGAAAGATGCATGTTAAAATGTTAGCCTACCTATGGATGGTGGGATTATTAGTGATTTTCACTTAAATCTCAATTTTCTAACTTATCAGGTAGTATATTGTAGTTAGGGAAAAAAAAGTCAATCTGCTGTATAATTGAAATTAATCCTTTACTTCATAGTTAGTATTTCTCAGTAGTCCCCAAGCTTTTTGGCACCAGGGACCAGTTTTGTGAAGACAATTTTTCCACAGGGGAGGTGGATTCGGGATGAAACTGTTCTACCTCAGATCATCAAGCATTAGATTCTCATAAGGAGCATGCAACCTAGATCCCTCACATACACAGTTCACAATAGAGTTTGCATTTTTATGAGAATCTAATGACCCCTAATCAGACAGGAGGTGGAGCCCAGGCAGTAATGCTCCCTTGCCCACCACTCACTTCCTGCTGTGCGTCCTGGTTCCCGATAGGCTAAGGATCTGTACTGGTCTGTGGCCCTGGGGGTTGGGGACCCCTGACCTAGACAATCTTTTTATTATTATTTATATTGTTGAATAAAGCTCTTCAAATAATAGGTCACTATAATATTCTGAGAAGTTTCATGTGAAAGTGAGATTAAAACTCATCCACATGAGATTTTTTAGGGCAATATTCTGTGTAATACTATGGGAGTACATATACACGATCACACATTTGTAAAAATCCATAGAACTGTTTAACATTGAGTGAACACTAATGCAAATTTAAAACTCATAAAGCTTCATTTTCTAACTTCCTTATATAAGCCATCTGCTCCAGCCAGATGAATCAGTTCACTCTCCCCTACTTTGCTCTTCAGGTCTCTCATTCTTGAAAACTGACACAAGTCACTACGGTCACTATGCCTTCAAGAAGTCTTCAATGGGAGTCTCTTTCCACTGAATGCCCAAAGCCTCCCCACTTTCTGTACCACCATCAATTTGACATAAAAAATGCTGTTTATTGCCTTGTGACTGGTTTTGTATTCTTGTCTTCTGTGACCATTCAACTTTTTTATTGTTCATTGATATTTAATAAAAATAAGACTATATAAGGCCAGGTACAGTGCCTCTTGCCTTATAATCCCAGTACTTTGGGAAGCCAAGACAGGAAGATCACTTGAACCCAGGAGTTCAAGACCAGTCTGGGCAACTAGAGTGATCCCATCTCTACAAAAGTGAAAAGAAAAAAAAAATGTAGCCTAGCATGATGTCACACACCTGTGGTCCCAGCTACTTGGGAGGCTGAGGTGGGAGGATGGCTTAGGCCCCTGAGGTTGAAATTGGAGTGAGCTATGATCATGCCACTGTACTCCAGCAGCCTGGGCAACAGAATGAGACCCTGCCAAAAGAGAGAGAGAGAGAGAGAGAGAGAGAGAGAGAGAGAGAAAACAAAGCAAACAGGAAAAAAATCACTATCTAAACCCCATAGCACCTAACAATGTTCTAGGAATTATTAAAATTATTAGTTCAAACTTTATATTAAAAACATAAATAAACTTAATCTGACCTTTTCTGTTCTGGCTTCCCAAACCTTATGAGTTCATTAAAATGTATCTTTCCTCTATACTCCTGAAGTCTTTCGGGTTCTATACATCATGAGAACCATACACAGATGTCAAAGGAGCATTGCCCCTTCCACGTCTATGTCCATATAGCAACAGTGGTAACTTCAGAGGAAACTGGGGTCTCAGTATCAATAGCCTAGTTGGTTCTGCTAGTCAAATGTCAGTTTTCCTTAAATTCCAACATCCACTATTCCTAGTTCCAGTCTTCAAACATTATGGTTACCCTTCAATCATACGAACTAGCTTAACGACTGGCTCAAAATCCCAGCTGTATTCTCTGTATTTTATTCCTCTGATTAGTATGACTCCTAGATCTTCAGGGAAGAGGGGAGACTTGCTTGTTGTTATGAGCAAAACATACCTCAAATAATAAATAAACAAAAAATTAAAAGACTTTTTTTCAACATAATTGTACCTAAATGGAAACCATATGAGAAGAGAGAGGAAATTATGAATAATCACTGTGGAAGTCTTTTTAAAGATAACTCTAAGAAAATATAAACAAAATATCAGTACAGTTTCTTTATTTTGGCATAACTTTTGACCTAGTTCAGAGAAAAATAATATTTACTAGACAAAAATATAATACTTATTATTTACAGAGAATTTAAAAATGCTTCAAAATTTGATTTAAAAGTTTTTACAAAAATGTGTAAGACATTCACGTGTAAACACCTACAACTTAAATGAATTTGTTAACTTAATACTTGTAAGATCTTAATGATAATAACTGCATTTGACCACAGGCTCAGAGTGTACATATCACAAAACATGCCCTGTCTCACCTGCACCTCCAGGAATAGGGATGGCCACAGATTTCTGAACTCTACTAATATTTAGTCTTTTTCATTTTGTAACTTCAGTTTAAAATTTTTCTATCAGTGCCATTAAAATGTAATGAGGATTCTCAGACTGTATTATTCTACACTTGATAGAGAAGAAATTGAATTCTATAATGATGCTGGTAAAGATGGTGAGTGACAACAATTATAGCTATAGTCAATACCAATTATTTGTCTACCTGACTTCCTCTCTGCTTCATTCCAGGAAATCCCTCACACCTCATCTGAGAACTGCTCCCATCCACTATACTGAAATCTGTGAGAGCTGCAGGTTAAAGTCCCACAAACCCTTCACCAAAGGCTGGGCATAGGATCCAACCTGCATTCATTCACCAAAATCTTTCCCCTGGAATTTTGAATGAAACTGAGGGGAATTAGTAGTAACCTCCTCACTGGTGGTATAGCTAGGAAAAGCCAAACAGATCTGAGTTCACTTGCACCATACAGAATGAAGAAAACTATTCTCCAGTAGAAAAAAAAGAGGTTGAAATAAAGAAGTAAAAAAGTAGAGGAGGAGAGGAAGGGCTTGATACAGTCTTCAAAATGGCTTAAGAAGGGTTACTTTTACTTGTACTTTCGACTTAAAGAGCCCCGATTGCCACAATAGCTGCCCTGTCTTAAGGCTTACACTGTGCCAGAAACTGGGCTTAACACCTCATGTGCATTAACTCCCTCAATCCTTATAACTATTCTATTAGCAATGTATTGTTACTCACATAATTAAAGAAAATAAAACTGAGGCTCAGAGAGAGTAATTTACTCAGAGTTACACCTTTAGCTAACCACCTAACTAGAATTAGTCTGCCTGCCCTCAAAGTTCAAACTCCTTTTCATTGCAGAATATATTTCCAACCTACCTTCCAAACATATGCCTTTCACCAGCATCATAATAGTAGTGAATTTGGCAATAGAACCCAATAGTTTATTGGACCTCTAACATATGAAAAAAAATCATCATCTTTTAGAGGTTACATATGTGATCCTGAACTCTTGCCAATGAGTGCATAAGGCCACCAACTCTATATTCTAATACTTAAACTAAGTTGTTATAATAATAAAGTTTGAGGAATGAGCAAAATAAATTATAGTAGTATTTGAAATTAAATTCAAGATTCTCTCATTTGTTAGATAATATGCCATTGAACCAAGAAGCTCAATAAGTTCTGATTTCTAGAAAATACACATCAAGTCAATGTAGCATGCATTTATTGGAGCCCTTCTTTATGTTCTGCTGTGCACTAGACACTAATATACCAAATCAACAATAACAAAAATATATCTCTCCCCTATAGAAGCCACTTGGAGGAACAGGACACACAAATGTTAAACATCTTAGTGTTATGCTTTTCTTAAAATTACAAATCATAAAATCACATCTTACGTTCAGATGATGGGAAAATTTGTAGAGTCGGAGATACCTAAAGTCCTGTGTCTGATGTAATGGAATCTTTAAGGATAAATAGGAAGTTATACAGTCAAGGAGGAGATGCAAGAATACTGCATCTGATACTCTTATTTCATTTATTAGGTACTTAAGGAGCCAGTACAAAAGTTGTTGTAGAGAGCCATGGGTGAAGTGCTGCAATGAGAATGTAGCAGATAGGAAAGAAAAAAGAAACATTCCAAACAAAATATATACAAAGAACACATCATTAATTTAACATAGGAGATAAAGGAATAGATATAATCAATTATGACATTCAATTTAAAGGTTTAGGGCCTGGAGAAAAGGATGAGGTAACAAATGACTTGATTTCTTATTCAGTTCACAGTTTCTTCCTTGTAAATAACAGAGTATGTTAATAAATCACTTCAGACACCTCATACCTGTCAAAATTACCAAAACAGTGAAAGATAACAAAGGTTAGTGAGGATGGAAAGAGAAGAGAACCCTTGCATACTGTTAGTAGAAATGTAAATTAGTACAACCGTTATAGAAAAGAGTTTGGAGGGTCCTCAATAATTAAAAATAGAATATGATCCAGCAATCCATCTTCTAGATATATATTCCAAGGATATGAAATCAGTATGTCTGAGATATTTGCACTCCCATGTTCACAGCAACATTATTCGCAAGAGCCAAAATATAGAGTCAATCTAGGTGCCCATCGACAAATGAATGGATAAAGAAAATGCAGTATACACATACACTCTGGAATACTATTCAGCCTTTAAAAAGAAGAAAATCTGGTCATTAGCATCAACATAGATGAACCTGGAAGACACTACGTTAAGTGAAATGATCCAGGCCCAAGAAGACAAATACCACATGATCTCACTTGCATGCAGAATCAAAAAGAGTGGAATTCACTGGACTAGAGAGTAGAATGCAGGTTACCAGAGGCTGCTGGTTTGGCTGGTGGTGGGGGGAAGCAAAGGTTGAAGAAATGTTGATAAAAGAATACAAAATCTCAGTTAGATAGGAAGAATAAATTCAAGAGATCTATTGTGCAACATAGTGACTACAGTTATTAATATATTGTATTCTTTAAAAATGCTGAGTGTGGATGTGAAGTATCCTTACCACAAAAAAAGATAACTATATGAGATAATACATATGTTAATTATGTAGATTTAGCCAATCCACAATGCAATACATGCATCAAAACATCATGTTGTACAGCATAAATACATAAAATTTTTACTTGTCAATTAAAAAATAAAACGAAATAAGTCAATCACTTGAGAAAGAAAGGATAACAGGACAAAGAGACTGGATGTCTTATATATTTTCTTGAAAATTCAATGAGATAAGAAATGAGAAAAAAATAAGAATTTGGGGGAAGTTTCCTCATAATCCAGCTCTTCTCCCTGTTTTCCCCTTCTCAGTAAATGGCAGCGCTCCTTACCTAGTTTCTTAGGTCAAAAATTTAAGAGTGATCTTTGACTCTTCTCTTTCTCTTTTCCTCAATATTCAGTCCATCAGGAGTCATGTCACTTCTGTCTTCAACATATATTTATCCACATCTTTACTCCTCCATCACTGCCATCCTAATCTAAGCCATCATCATGTGTTACCCAAAAAACTGCCATAGCAATGTCTTAACAGTTAGTGTCTCTATTTCCACTCTTATCTCTTCCTCATCACCACCACCAATAGTCAATTCTCCACACATCATAAATCAGATTAAAATATAAGTCAGGCTCTGTCCATGTCTCGTTTAAAATCTTCCAATGGCCAAGATAAAACCTAATCTTTATCATAAGATTGGTTGACAAAGTAACCATTTAATTTCAAAGATCACATGGCTACCCTTCAAAGACTCACAGCAAAAGATATACATAACATTTGTAATGGGTAAAAGCAATTTTTTGTGTCTAAATCTAACTTGTCTTGATTTATTTACAATCCAAATAAAACCTCAACAGTTTTGTTCATCAGTCTTCACAAGTCAACTCAAGCAAGCAACAACAGAGAGTAATTTAGAGATAAATTGATAAAACACAGAATAAAAGAAAATAATTTTTCTTCAAAATATCTTGCTAAGCTTACTTTGGTTGATTGTGTAAGATACAAGCTTATAAAGTTAACATGAAACTTTTCCTCCGAAGTTTTCACACTACCATTATTCACATATATATATATATATATTTTCAGGTATCAAATTCTTTTGGTGAAAATTCATGAAACAGTTCATCTGAAATATGCTTATATCACAATATATTAGAAAGACAAAGACTTATTGAATTGACTTTTAAGATTGTAGAGCCATGTTTAAAAAGGTGGCCTAAATAAGGTCTGTAGCTCAGTTAATACCGTACCAATATCAACTTGCCAGATTTGCTAATGTTCTATAGTTATGTAATATGCTATCATCAGGGAACACTGAGTGAAGGGTATATGTAAACTACTATTTTTGCAACTTATTTTGAGTCTGAAGTTATTTTTAACATTTTAAAAAAGGTTTTAAAGAGAAAGAATTCCATAAAATGAATATACTACATTAATTGCACATCATTTGTATAAACTCATTAAATTATTTCTCCTCAGGACTGATACTAAGAAACTTTGTTTTTAATATTTGTAATATGTAGAACACACGCAATGGAATCAGACAAATCAGGGTGAAAAATCCAGCCTCAGGAATTTCTAGCTTTATGAACTTGGAACATTTACTTAACTTCTCCAGCCTCAGTTTTCATATCCATAAAATGCAGATAATAATACCTAACTTATAGCATTGAAAGATTTAAATGAGATAATGTATGTAAAATGCTTAGTAGAGGCCTGACATATAACAAGCTTACATGATAAGAACCAAATAAATGGTAGCTAGTTAATGACTATGGATAGTTTTAATTAATAAAATTGAGTTCCTTTCAAAATAGCCTGTAGCTCAGACTCCAAATGAGGTTTTTAACACATTCTTATAAGAAAAATCCATTCATATGGTTCCTGCCAAATTCCAGCTTGCTAACCTTTTAATTATAATTAAAGTTTCTTATTGATCCTTGTTAGAAATGCTTACTTCACAAATCCTTTTGAATATCAGAAAAGCACTTTAAATTCAACATGACCTAATCTGAATTCATAATCTTTTCTCTAAACTTAGTCCTCCTCAAGTGAATGACACCACTATCCAGCTACACAAACCAGAAACCAAGAATGCACTTCATATTCAATGTGTCTTATAGGGTTTATCTCCTGCCTTTAAATCTGCCCACTTCTCCATTGCTCCTGCAGCCCCTGACTACAATTACACTGTCTCTTGCTGGGTGTCTCTGGATCTACTATCAAGCTCTCCTGCTGTCTACATTCTGCCTACAATATTTTAGATGTACAAGTATGATAATAAGTGTTACCTCCTATCCATACTACCCCCTTAAAAACCTACAACAGCTTCACAATGCTCTTAGGGTAAAAACTAAAATTCTTTTTTTTTTTTTTATTATACTTTAAGTTTTAGGGTACATGTGCACATTGTGCAGGTTAGTTACATATGTATACATGTGCCATGCTGGTGCGCTGCACCCACTAACTCATCATCTAGCATTAGGTATATCTCCCAATGCTATCCCTCCCCCCTCCCCCCACCCCACCACAGTCCCCAGAGTGTGATATTCCCCTTCCTGTGTCCACGTGTACTCATCTGACAGAGGGCTAATATCCAGAATCTACAATAAACTCAAACAAATTTACAAGAAAAAAATAAACAACCCAATCAAAAAGTGGGCGAAAGACATGAACAGACACTTCTCAAAAGAAGACATTTATGCAGCCAAAAAACACATGAAAAAATGCTCATCATCACCAGCCATCAGAGAAATGCAAATCAAAACCACTATGAGATACCATCTCACACCAGTTAGAATGGCAATCATTAAAAAGTCAGGAAACAACAGGTGCTGGAGAGGATGTGGAGAAATAGGAACACTTTTACACTGTTGGTGGGACTGTAAACTAGTTCAACCATTGTGGAAGTCAGTGTGGCGATTCCTCAGGGATCTAGAACTAGAAATACCATTTGACCCAGCCATCCCATTACTGGGTATATACCCAAATGACTATAAATCATGCTGCTATAAAGACACATGCACACGTATGTTTATTGCGGCATTATTCACAATAGCAAAGACTTGGAACCAACCCAAATGTCCAACAATGATAGACTGGATTAAAATTCTTGATATTGCCAATGTATGTGGCCCTGACACTTAACCAACTCCTTGGAACCCTGTCATGATCAGCCCCTACTCTCCACATCAACCATCATGGTATTCTTTCAGACCCTCATGTTCTCCATTCTCCCTCCCAACCACAGAATCACGTCTCCACCCTCTGCTTCTCAATCACCTGTGTTGACTCCTCAATATCTAAAAAGTTAGAATGCCCCCAATCTCAATCCCATGCTCCAAATCTCTCTTCTACCCATGTCTTCTTCAATAATGACATCACCTACTTCCAAGATGGCTGCTTCCAAGCCCTAAATTATGCATCTGATTTTCTTCTTGGCATCTACTCTTGGTGTCTCCAACTTCGCATGCCCCTGCTGCCTTCCACCCTGACAAACCTATTCCCCTCTCAGTCTTCCCAACTCAGTGCGTGCTTCCTCCATTCATCAGTGTGCTCCATCAAAACACCTGCAGCACTCTTTCCTTGCCTCCACATGCAGTCATCAGGAGGACCAGTTGTTCTCTCCATCTCCACTGCCTCTTCCAGAGTCCCAGATACATGATTTCTGGCCTCAACTGGCCTCCTAACTGATATCCCAGCTCTACTGTTATCTCCACAATCCATCATCTACACAGCCAGAGAAGTTTTTTAAACAAAAATCAGATTCCACCATCCTCCTGCATAAAACCCTTCAGTGATTTCCCCTTTGACCTCTTATACCTGAACAAGGTCCTGTATGACTTGGCACTTGCCATATCAGACAATGCTGCCCTCTGCTCACTCTGCGCCAGCTATAGTGACCTTCTTCCTGTTTCCCCCCTACCCCCACCCTAGGCCAGCTGGTTCCCACCCATCCTTCAGGTATAAGCTCAAATTTCTCATCCTCAAAGAGACTTTCCCTGTCCATTCAATCTAAAATGGTACCCTTCACATTTTCTGCCCCAGCTATTTTTGATCATATCACCATATTGACTTCCTTACCAGCATATTTTATAATCTCAACCACGTCATTTATATTTCTGTATTTGTTTGAGTATCGTCTTTCTCTCAACTAAGATCTGAGCTCCCAGAGGGCAGCAATCTCTTCTAATTTGCAATCTCTTCTATATGTCTAGTGCTTACAGTCTGACCTGGCACATAGTAAATATTCCTCAGATATTTGCTTAATAATTGAATGCTGTTTGCTCTGGCTAGAACACCGTTTCCACATATAACCCACTTTGCTTAATTAATGTCCATGCTTCTTTCAGATCCCACCTCTGAAATTATGCTTCAGGGAAGCCTTCTCCAACTTCCCATAAATGCCTCAAGTTGACATATTCATGTTTTCAGAATCCTACATAACCCGCCCCTTCACAGAATTTATCATGTATGTAATTTTACATTTACTATTTGATTAACGTTTGAGTTTTTACTTAATATTATATCTCCAGATCATAGCTCAATGTTTGACAAACATAAGCATTTGTGAAAATCATGTCAAATAAATAATTTTAAATAACCATGAACATAATACCTACTCTACAAAGAAATTCTGTACATAGAGAAAAGCACACCAAAGCATACCTATCAAGATAGCTACCTATCATTTCACCAACAGGGATCCTTGCTGTGCTGTATGTCCTTCCAGGGATTTCCCTATTATGTATATGCATACATATTTTTATTTCTTTATCTACAAAACTAGGCTAGTATGTAAGATTAATTCCCATGTGAATGTGAGCCTCTGCTCTATTTTGTCAACTTGGAATTCACTATTTTCCATCTTTGCCAAATTAAAATTTAAAAATGGTATTCCATTACTGTTTTAATTAATATTCAATTCTAGTAAAGATGACCATTTTTTCTATATGTTTATTAGCAAGATGTATTTTTTTTGTGGCTTACATATTCAAACCCTTTCACAAATATGTTTCTGGTGTATTCATATTTTTATTTTCATTCTTGACATATAAAAAATATTAGTCCTTCATCTGTACTATTGTATGCTGCAAATATTTTCTTTTTTTTTAATTTTGTTATTATTATACTTTAAGTTTTAGGGTACATGTGCACAGGGAGGGATAGCATTAGGAAATATACCTAATGCTAAATGACGAGTTAATGGGTGCAAACATTTTCTAGTTGATCATTTGTCATCACATTTTGTAACTGACATGCAGAAATATTGACCTTGTTATATTGTCAAATCTATTATTTACTGCTGTGGCTATTGTTTTGCTTGTTATGATCAGAGCAGTCTTTACTGCTTTAAATTACATGTTTACTTAAATTTTCTTCAAATAATTTTATGGTTTTAACTTTTTTACATTTTGTTTTCTAATCCACCTATAATTTAGAGTAAAACATAAAGTGGGAATCTAATTTTATATTTTTCTAAAGGATTTACTAATTATTCCAGCCTGTCTTCAACTAAATTCAAATGCTAATTTATTCAAATTCTAAAAATAATGCATGACTGTGTTTATTTCTTGGTATTCTTTTTAGTTTTGGTGCCAACAACAGATTACTCATATTAGAGGCATACATTTAAAAAAAAATGCTAATGTTTGGCTATTTTCTCTTTTTTTTGGCCTTTTATTATATTTAGTTACATTTGATTTATCATATTTTGGTGTCCCTCAGTATGTTCCTCTTATTCTTTTCTTTTATTTTATTATTATTATACTTCAAGTTTTAGGGTACATGTGCACAACGTGCAGGTTTGTTACATATGTATACATGTGCCATGTTGGTATGCTGCACCCATTAACTCGTCATTTAGCTATCCCTCCCCGCTCCCCTCACCCCACAACAGTCCCCAGAGTGTGATGTTCCCCTTCCTGTGTCCATGTGTTCTCATTGTTCAATTCCCACCTATGAGTGAGAACATGCAGTGTTTGGTTTTGTGTCCTTGTGATAGTTTGATGAGAATGATGGTTTCCAGTTTCATCCATGTCCCTACAAAGGACATGAACTCATCATTTTTTATGGCAGCATAGTATTCCATGGTGTATATGTGCCACGTTTTCTTAATCCAGACTATCGTTGTTGGACATTTAGGTTGGTTCCAAGTCTTTGCTATTGTGAATAGTGCCGCAATTAACATATGTGTGCATGTGTCTTTATAGCAGCATGATTTATAATCCTTTGATTATATACCCAGTAATGGGATGGCTGGATCAAATGGTATTTCTAGTTCTAGATCCCCAAGGAATCGCCACACTGACTTCCACAATGGTTGAACTAGTTTACAGTCCCACCAACAGTGTAAAAGTGTTCCTATTTCTCCACATCCTCTCCAGCACCTGTTGTTTCCTGACTTTTTAATGATCGCCATTCTAACTGGTGTGAGATGGTATCTCATTGTGGTTTTGATTTGCATTTCTCTGATGGCCAGTGATGATGAGCATTTTTTCATGTGTTTTTTGGCTGCATAAATGTCTTCTTTTGAGAAGTGTCAGTTCATATGCTTCACCTACTTTTTGAGGGGGTTGTTTTTTTTTTCTTGAAAATTTGTTTGAGTTCATTGTAGATTCTGGATATTAGCCCTTTGTCAGATGAGTAATGTTTGGCTATTTTCAAGTGTTTATTATTCCAAAGAATTTAATGAGTCAGATTCTGATGCATACATTAGACCTGTGATTCAAGTTGTATTAGATTTGACATCTTTAAAATAGTGAACCATCAAATTTTTGTTATGCATCACCATTTATTCTGAACTCTTTTTATGCCATTGAATAGTGTTTTATAGTTTTGTTTTTATAGGTTCTGTAATTTTTCCTAAATTTACTTCTAGATATTTGCAGTTGAAATTTTAAATAAGCTTGTACATTATAATTTAAAAGTTTACTACTTGTATATTAAAAAGATGTTGATGTGCATTTATTGAAGGCAACTGAGAGTTTTTCAGATAATTCTCTAGTTTTATAGGATGAAATATCCATTTTATAAACCACATAAAAAGATAGTTTGGATTATTTTCAATAATTGGATCTAATGTATTTTTCTTGCCTGAATATATTGGCTAAAACTTTAATAATAATATTTAATGATTGTTGTAACAAACGATAATATTTAATGTCGGTTTTTCTCCTAAAATACAAAACTGTTTGAGAGGAATCCTTTAATGTTTATTTTGTATTATTACTTAAACCAGTGCTTCTCAACTAATGGTTATACCATCCAAATAAATAGCATTAATTTAAAAGAAGTATCCTTGTAGTCTTCATTTACTGTTTATTCCAAGAATGTTTGCTGAATTTTATTAAACATATTTCCTTTTTGTGCCAAATTGGTCATGTTCTTAATCTTCACATCTGGTATTAAGGTAAATTATATGAATGGATTATTTCATTTCAAATTATCTTTGTTCACTTGAATGAAACACATTCAAACATAGCTTGCTTTGTTTGTTGCTTTTTTATTTATGATTTTTTACATTCTATTTGGATGTTTTCTCAGTTTTCTTTTTTGAGTTATTTTAGTAGCTATAAACAAGTGTAAAGATTATTTTAGGCCTGTTCCCTTAAATTAACTGGGAATAGATTATATAACATAGGAATTATTTGATATTCAACTGATTGGAAGAACATGGTATAAATTTATGTGAGCCAAATGTATTTTTGGAGATAAATCTTTGATAAATTTATATCTTTCACTATTCCTTGTTCTTTGTTTTATTCTTCTCTAGCCAATTATGATAATTCTAAATTATCGTTAAAAATTCCTTTTTATAAAGTATTTTTCTCAGAAATGTTAAAGTTGCACTATATAGATTTATATTTTTTACATTATAACTCTAAACTATTCTGTACTTACATTTGAACTGTCATTTCTCATTTTATATATTGGGGTTTTCTTGGTATGATTAAAGTTATTAGAGATTAAACCACTACCTCTTTTTAAAAATTTAATCTTACTAATTTTCTACTTTCTATTTCACCAATTTCTGCCTTTTTCTTGCATTGATTGAGTTCATTAGACTTATGGGTTATTTTGTTTCTAATTTCTCATATTGACAGTTAATCTTCTTTGTTTAGAAGAATTTTTTGTTTAGAATAACTGTCAATATGAAAACTGTCAATAAGAAAAGTTTGTTTGCTTATTCAATCATGAAAGTATTTAATGTGATGACATGTTCTATAATATCTCGTACGCTATATTCTCATTATTGTTACTTCCCAGCTATTCTGTTGGTAAAGTTTTGATATTTTCTTGGATATAAAAGTTATTTAGAAGATAATTTATTATACCTTTTTTCTTGTAAGAAATTAAGATTGTTGGTTTATATTTTATTTTAATCTCCATGTTTATTATATTGTGATCACATATTATTATTAAAATTTATTAAGGTAATTATGGATATATATTTTTTAGGGTAAAGGAGTAGTTTGATACATAAATTAAATTGCTTTTATTATATTATTCATGTTCTTCTTGTTTTCTTTACCTTTTTTAACCTAATTAAAAGATTTGGAACTGAAAGAGATAAATACGTGTCTTAGATCGTGATTTTTGTTTCTGTCAATTTCACCTTACATTTCCTAGAGATTTGCTTTATATTTCTATATTGTATTATCTGCTGTAAAACTTTTCTGACTGTTAGTGTTTTGCTATGATTGAAGGCTTTACTAATGTAAATTATAATTATTTAACCAATTTGAAACATTTATTTTGATTTTTACCTGTTTTGTTAATAATTTTGAGGCTCCTTTATTTTGTTTTAGATGTCAATGATTTATTCTTATCCAATATTTAACTTTAAATTTCTCCTAGTTGGTTTTAAGTTTTCCTCTGGTAAAAAAGTTATAATTATATTTTGACTTTTAACCCAATTTTTCTATATAGCATTATTTTTAACAAATATTTTGTTTCTGTAACTGGCAAATTTGTACTTACTTTCTTATTTCTGTTTGTTTTAAATATACCTTTTTTGTTGCTTTTATTCTTTTACCATTTCATTTTCTTTTTTTTTCTATTTTATTATTTATTTTATGGTTTCTTTCATTTTTTTCCCACTGGTGATTTGGAAAGTATATATGCTATTCAAAATTCTAGTAAAACAAATTAACTCATATTTACCTCCTATGGCTATAGTTCCAGATTTTTATCTGATAATTTTGAATGGTGAAGATTCATTTATGTGTCATATTTGCTAAGCTATTATACACAGTTACTCAATCAAACACTAATCTAGGTGTTACTGTGAAGGTATTTTGTCAATGTGGTTAACACAGTTGAGTTTAAGGAGATTAGGCCACCCAATAATGTGGGTGGGCCTCATCAATCAGCCAGAAGACCTTAAAAGCAAAAGTGAGATTTCTTTGGGGAAGAAGAAATTCTGCCTTAAGACGGCAAACCAGTTCTTCCGTACTTTACAACATACTGGCCTGCTTACAGATTTCAAACTCTCCAGCTCCCATAATTGTGTAAATCTATCCCTTGAAATACATCTCTTTATATATAAATGTATGTATATTAATATTTACTATACCTATTGTATAATTTACATACATATAACAGGTAGGATACACACACACACACACACACACACATGCACATAACCTACTGATTATGTATTTTTTGTATAAAGAGAACTCCAACTAATACATTAACTTTTCAAGTGTTATGTCATTTCTTTTACAAGAACAATTATTAGAATTTGTTTTAGGCCAGGCACGGTGGCTCATGCCTGTAATCCCAGGCCTTTGGGAGGCCAAGACGGGTGGATCACCTGAGGTCAGGAGTTCAACACCAGCCTGACTGACATGGTGAAACATCTCTACTAAAAGTACAAAAATTAGCTGGGCATGGTGGTGTGTGCCTGTAATCCCAGCTACTTGGGAGGCTGAGACAGGAAAATCACTTGAACCCAGGAGGTGGAGATCGCAATGAGCCAAGATTGTGCCATTGCAATCCATCCTGGCCAATAGAGTGAGACTGTGTCAAAAAAAAAAAAAGGAATTTGTTTTGTTTTAATAACCATAGTTACACTATAATATTTAAATTATTTCAGTGCTTCTTAGTTATTTATATTATTCTCAAATTTTATTTCTGTTCCCAAATTTTAAGTTTAGTTTAATCTCTTTATTTGAACACTGAATTTTCTTCCATTTTCCACATGAGCGTCTTAGCAGTGTGTCCAATTCTTTGGTCACAATATTTTTTTCCTTAAACATTTATAGATGTGGCATCACGATCTTCCCACATGTGATGGTGTAGAGGTGAATGCTAAGGCTAGAAAGCTTGATGTTCCTTTCCTTTACTTTTTGTTCACTCTATTTTTCTTATACTATGAAGATAATGTAATAAAGCAATCACCATCCTTGATATTAATCTTTTCTAATAAAATGTAACTATTCCCATATTTTCTATGTGTATTTCAGTTATAGTGTTCATTATTCTTTCTGTTGTAGTTATTCTGAGTTCTTACTAAAAAGACATATGACCCATAGATAGCTTTTAATTTTCTGATCTCTATTTCTAGTACTTTATCTTTTGTTATTTTTATTTCCTAGTCTTATCCTCTGTGTTTGGATAGGTCTCCATCAGTTTGTTCTTCATTTTACCTATTCTTTGAGGAAGCAATGACTCTGTTCTTTACTGCCTCCAATGCATTATTAAATTTCACAATATACTTCATATGTTTCATCTCCCTCCTATTTTATTTCTGTCTATATCTTAATGAGGTACCTTTTCAGCTTAGACATAGTATTCTTACCTCATACTTCATCTCTTATCTCATGGAATTCATATATTTTAAGATTTTATGGACAGCAATAATTATGTATTATCTAAAATTTTCTCCTGAAATAAACTGTGTTCCTCTATTACCTTTTGCATGTTTTGTTCTCCTTCTGTTATGTTATAGAGATATTTTTTAAATTCCCTATAATCGCTTATTTTTCTACTTGCTCATCCTTTAATTATAATGTTTAACCTAAAAATCAGTTTCATATTGTAACAAAATCTCAAGCAGAAGCAACCTAAACAACAACCAAGAAAAAGCCCTAAGTTACTCTCATTCCTTACCTCTCATTTCCTGAGGCAATATCAGCTCCAAGATGTGTCCAGGAGTTCTTAGGATAAGCACTGTAAAGATGAACTTTCCCATAAACCCCTGAAAATAAAAGGAGTAACAGTTGGATAGAAAAATCCTTCAGAGGAATGAAAGCCAGGTAAGTAAAAGTCATTCCAGAGGCTGTTGTGCAAAACATGTGATATAGAATCTCTATATGAAGGTCCCATATTATCAAAAGCATTATTTAAATGCTCTATTTTACAATACTAAGATATATCTCACATGGCTATGAAATTTATTCTCTCAAATGCTATAGAAAAAAGAATGCTACACCACATCACAATAATCTAAAAGGTGGGAAAATAGACCACTCTAATGACTAAAGTTGAAGAGGTACTCCTTTCCACTCTTACGTGACTCCAAACCATTTGCAATTCTTTTGGAAGTTAACCAGTTTTGATATTTTTTGTTACACACTAGGTTCTCCAAAAGCATGGTTAACTCTATTTCCTTAGGATAGAGTTTTGGAGCTATTAGCTTTATGTTTAGTGGCTGGACTTAATATTTTGTCTTATAAATATCAAGGGAGAGATTTCTAAGTCCTTTGTTTCAAAATGCAGTTTATTTCAGACTAATAAATTAAAGGCTTAGGAGAAATGTGCTTGATACAGCTCAGTTTTATTTTTTCATGTCTTTCTTCCTATATGTTTTATTGCCATTTTCAATCATAATTCCTCATATTCTAGTGGTTTAAAATGTTTTGACCATGAACCTCACCAGAAAAAGAAAAAACATGTGATTGTGTACTCTCAGCACATATATATTTATTTTATTTAGATAACTCAGATATTTATATTTAGATAAAAAATATACACATATATGAATATACTAATATATATTGGAATAGAAGTTCTAATATTTTATTCCTGCACCCAAATGTATTGTCTGCATATCCCTGGATTGATGCACTGTATTTTATTGCAAGTCATTAATCTAAAAATTTAAAAATTTTACAATTTTCATCAGAAAACATAGAAATAAAAGAAGCAGGAGACCACTAAGGTACAAATAATATGACTTTGGTGTTCATCTGATAAGGACCAAAAAAAAAATAATCCCAATTAATTAGAACTTAACCAACTGTTTATATCAACATCCACATTTTTTCCATATATCAACTATGAAAATGTCAGAAGATAAGAAAACTAAATCAGGATAAATGGATATAAAAAGAACCCCATTTTCAGGACGTGTCCTGAAACCAATCTTTCATAATAGCATTTATATATTTCATAAGACATCATCATCTAAAACCAAAATCCATCTTTTTTCACTATAGGCTAAGTAAGCTAGGCTGAGAAGGATCCTGAAGTAATTTAAAGAGATTTTCAACCAAAGCATTTATAACAAAAAGCAGTTCATGTCCTTAAATTTGAATTATCCAGAAAATTCAATTGACCAGAAAAGCAGATTTCTTGGTCATTTCCAATCATCAAAGGTTTACTGTAAAATGACACCATTTCTTAGTTGTTTCAAGAAGATTACAAATGATTTAATACGATTAAAATTTGTCATCTACTTATGATACTACAAAAATTTGAGCATGCAGTAAAAGAAATACTTCATTCTTTATTTCAATTTAGTATCAAAGAAAATTTCAAAGACACTAGTTTGACCGTACAGCCAGGATCGGGGATCAGAGCAGGCATCTGTGGATAGTCCTAACAGAAAGTTTGTTCCAGTGTTATCACGCTACAGAAAAGAGTGAATACCACAGGCAAAAGAAGATCAAATATTCTTATAATAATCCATCTAGTTTGTCAACTTAGAAAAATTAAAACATTCTTGAACCTCTTGTTATTAGAAAGATAAAATAAATAGCATGCATGGAAAAAACCTTTGGAAACTTAAAGTGCTATCAAAGTGTTATATGACAATAGTTATATATTATGGAACTAAGTTAAGAAACTTCATACTAGCTTAACATTATTGCCTCCACTCTATTGAGTACTGAGATCCAGAGAGGGAGCCATTGACTGCTAATGAATATTAAATTTATATCTCATAGTGTTCAGAAACCTCAGAAATGATGGTCCTTGCTCTTTTTCCACAAGGAAAAATGACTTACTTGAAAACCTCCAACACAGCAATGCATCTAAGGGAGAATCCAAGAAAATTAACAACCAATTTTCTTTAAAAATGTTCATATTTTTTCTTTTAGTTAATTTTTTTCTCACTTATATAATAGTTGAAATAAGTTCACTATATTTTATTATTCTTTTAGATATTGTATTGTCACATAGCTTAAATATGATAACATATTTATTATTCTTTTAGCTATTGTATTGTCACACAGCTTAAATATAATAACATATTTTTAAATATAATAACATTTAAGCTGTGTGACAATACAATAGCTAAAAGAGTAATAAAGTATAGTGAACTTATTTCAACTATTATATAAGTAAGGGAAAAATAACCAAAAAAATGAACATTCTTGAAGAAAATTGCTTCATGCCAAGAGTTATCCCTCTTTACTTATAAAATTAGTAATGCCCATATAGAAAAAGTGAGAAAATACTTTAAATCTGATGAACATTCTCTTATGCCTCAAAACTGAGTTAGTTGGGGATACATACATATGGTTATACAAGGCCAGTCCCCGTTTCTGTACTTTTACATAGACCAATTTAAAATAGCATTTGGTATTGTGGCAATAGCAAATAAAGAAATTGTCAACAGTGAATGTTCCTTATTAATTTATAGATCTATCAGTTGTATAAATGTATCAATAATCGAGTAGTATTTATAGTTGATAATATTGACTCAGTCGAAACTTTAGTGTCTGACTAATCTGGATCTTAATCCATAATGCTGACACTATAAAGCTGTGTGGTTTTCTGCATGTCGTTCATCATCTCTGAGTCTTAGTTTTGACATCTCTAAAATGGACACTACTCACAAGAGAGCTGGTAAGTGAAATAATAAATATAAATTGCCTAAAAGGGTGTTTGGAATTTAGCATATGTTCTATGAATAGTATTTCTCTATCAGACACAAGCACACAATACACACACATGCATTTTATTTTTAATAAAAACTATATTATACTCTTACCAATTGTTCCTGGGTCAATATGAATTCCATTCATACGGTCACAAAAGACTCCCTCTGAGGCTCTAAGGAGAATCAGAAGCTTTTGTTCCTTTTCTAAGGGATTTTCTAAAGTACCTGTTTACAAAGAAAAGTATATCATTCAAATCAATTTGAAATTAAAAGAAAGAGAGGGAGAAATTGCAGTATAATTTCAATAATGCAATGTAGATACTGTGAAGTAGACTATATGGAGGAGTCAATGGTCATGCAGATGAAATAAGAGTAGGATAAAAAAGATTCAGTAAACTTCTTTGAAGGAGACTCATGTATTATTCACCAGGTATTCACTCTTCTTTCTTTATTAGGGCAGTGTAAACTTTCCTGACCTACTAATATTTATCCTGGTCATATGACTTGCTTTGACCAATGAAATTTGTGTGAAAGTGGTAGGAATATTAGTTTTCAGTTGATGCTTTAAGGGACTTGGCAAGTTGTTTTGTTTTGTTTTATTTCATTTTTTACCAGATCTCTTTCAATGTTGTTCTCTACCATGAATACAGAATTTCTTAAATAGCCTGTGGTATCTGAATGAAGAGATATGCAGAGCAAACCTGAATAGAATGCACAAGCTGGAGCCAAGTTCAACTAAGTCTAACACAAATATTTCTTGATGTAAACCACTGAGATTTGGGGATTGTTACACACCATTATTATGGCAAAACCTGCCTGATACACTGTCTATGGCTAGATAACCTTCAAATCTCTTTATATGCATTTTAGCATTTACTCCTCACAACAAACCTGAGAAGTCAGTATAATTATTATCCCAGTTTTAAATATTTGCACATAAAGAGGCTTACAGGTTAAGGGACTTGTCTAAATTGATCCAACTATTAAGTAACAGAATCTATTTGAACACAGATCTGTTTATGCTAAGTGTTTATTTAACAGATAAGAGGTTATTTTCTAAAACTAAATTCTTTTAGCAGCATAAAGACTCATAAAGACATAAGGCTATGATACTCAGACAGCAGTTGGAATTCTTTCTGACCTAATTTTATTGATGTTAACAGTGGAGTTTGGTATGAAAATTCATACTTCTATGGTATGAGAATTGTTCAGGGAATTTGTCAAATTAGCGTTAGTGAGTATGGACCTGAGGAAGGTTAGTTTCAATGGAACATATGTCTTAGAGTACAAAAATACTAAAGTTATTAAAGTCAGTTGTTTGAGAAGTAACTGGTGGGAAGGTAATCCCAAAATTATATTCCAAATCAGACAGGTTAATAAAAACCACCGGCTATCAAATGCGACTTCCCAGTATATAAATTCCCGAAAAGATAACCAAAAATGACATTGCTAAATACAATGTGAAATAACTAGTAAACTTACAATTGCCTGGTTTTCATCTTGGTTGCTGGTCTTTTGAGCAACATAAAATCATCCCCCCTTGCTGACACTTCCTATATACCTGGATAGCCAAAAGGCACAAGGTAAGTCTAAAGCTTGCTACATACCTATTTTTATAGTTCAGCCTTCACAGCCATTACTCTAGTACTCTGCTGAAAGCAAGCAAGATTCAGACAGGTAAGTAAATCTGCCTAGAGGCATATAGTAGGTCAATGGGTGAGCAAGCCTATGTATTTCCAATAATATGCAAAGGTGTGTTGCTCCTCTGTGTAGGTAATGCCACTCCTCAGCTGAGAGCCTGATGCATCATCTTAGTGAAAATAAAGATGTGCTAGAGCAGAAAGAAGGGAAGCAGGGGAGGATGAAAATGTTTAGTAAATGTGTATGGCGTAGCTGTTATCTTGCCATTACAAGTCTGTCCAGTAAGCTGTTTTCCAACTGTGATTTCATTTATTTCACGGAGGGTAGTTTAGAGTCTTTGGGAAAAAAAAAAAAAAAAAAAAAAAAAAAAAAAAAAGTGGCCTAGCACTAAAGAGATACCAGAGAGAAAAAAGTAGGACAGTTTTTGCCCTAGAGAAATGTATGCAGAGTCCCACAAAAAGAGTTCAGCGTTCCTCTAAAATTAGAGATTAAATCAATTATGCAACCCAACACTGCAGCACATGTGGAGCTTTCGCAGAAAGTCTGGGCAAAATTAGTTAGCCTGCCGTGATATTTTGCTATCTGCAATGGCCAGAATTTGGCTTCCTTTTTGTAACTGAGAGAAAACGAAAGATGAAGAATAGGGACTAAGTACAAAGAAGGCAAAGGTGACCTAAGAGAAGGAAATACATGCTATTGCAACATAAAAATGAAATGCTTCTTGAATGTGTAAAAGCTGATAAATGGAAAGCTTTAAAGGCTGAGATCCTCATTTTCTTCTCAATCTAGCAATCAAAGAAAGGTGAGGTGCTCTCTCCAGCGTGGACTTTGCCCCTAAATGAGGGTAGCCACCTCTGAGACAGAAGATGCTCAGGATACGCAGCTCATCCTTGGTTTACCTTTGTAAAGCTTCTCTAAACTATACTAAGAGGCATATTAAACCTGGGCAAATTTATGTATTCATAATGGGAGGAAAAATAATTGTCATTGTGCTGCAAAGACATTCCGGATATTTTCACATGCACAATTTAATTCTCACAATTTTATGATGAATACAGTTGAGGTTCTGATGAGGAAACTGAGGCAAAGAGAGGTTAAGTAGCTTGTCAGGAATCACACAGCTGTTAAATGGCGAAGTTGGGCCTTAGACTTAATAAGTACCATCCTAGGACGTGTGGATATGGAGGAATAGAAAAGAAGTAAAGGGAAGCAGGCATTACTTAGTATGATGGTGGGCAGTGAAGGGGAAACAATGTGTTCCAGATGCTAAAATCACCTGGAGAGATGGTAGAAAATGAGTTCTGGCATATGAAAGATAATCATTATAATTATTTGGGGAATATGGTACAAATGGGTTCCAGGAACTTCAAAAGGTAAGAATAAGAAAAAAAGGCATTTCATTATTTTATTAACTAAAGCTCTTTGATGGAATCAAGTATAATCCTAGTTTGCACTTAAGCCCACTCTGTCAACATGACTCACCAGACCTTGTACCAAGCCAACCCGTAAGAAATTATTTACCCTTCCTTCAACTCACTCTCCTCTGTGCTCATGAGATTTCCCAGCATTTATGTTTTACCTTCATCTTAACTAACTCTGATTCATCCCTCAAAACTTGGCTCCACCGTAATTTATTCCTAAAAGCCTTCTATGATCTTGAATTAGATGTCCCCTTTTGTGTGTAAAATCTTCTGTACCCCTTGCTAAAGTAATTCTACTTCAAGAAACTTGTCCTCAAGAACTAGTAGGGGACAAGGACAAAGAATAATGCTCAAAGTTCTCCACTGCAGTGTTATTTATTTATAATTGGCAACATTTAAAAACACCTTGAAATAGCAAACAATTAGAAATATTTTTGTCCATTTTAAACTCCTTCCTTTCTTCCCAGACTTTTTGACACACTTAATAGCTGAAACATACAAGTCCCCAAGCAACCATATACTCCCTTGCCTCTGCCCCCCTCTGCCTTCATTCCTGTTTTTGTCACGGCCAACTCTTACATACTTTCAAACCCAGTTCAGATGCCACCTCTTCTGGAAATGCCCTTGTCAACTAAGTCTGGGTTAAGTGACCTTCTAAGGGCTATCACAGAATGCCATGTTTTGCTACAATACTTCTAAAACTATACTGTAAGGGCCATTTACCTGATTGCCTCCTTCTCTCAGTGAGCGCAAGAAGAAACTATGTATTCCCAGCAGAGTTTATTTGAAGATATTTTATTCCAGAAATGTTTAACTTGGTAATTTTTACCAACCCTCCTGGAGAAAACAATTGGAATAAAGAAAAATACCCCCTAGTAATAAAAGACTAATTTCACCAGTAAATTACAACTTTTAAGCATTTATGTACCTACCATTATAGCTTAAAAATATATACTGCAAAAATCAACAGAACTACAAGGACAAATGGATATACCTATAATACTTGTAGTAAAGCCAACACAACTGTTGCTAAAAAAAAAAATACAATAATGATACAGCAGTTTTGAATAATGCAATTTGCATATTTGACATAACAGGCATAGATGGAAAACTAGACCCACAAAGAATGCGCATTCTTTTAAACCTTGCACAAGACATTTAAAAAAACTGATCATATGATGATGATAAAGCAGTTTAACAAATTTTTAAAAATTGGAATTATACAGCATTTGTTTTCTGACTATAGTTCCATCAAAATTTACAATTCATAATAAAAAAATTTCAAAAGTGAGCTATATTAAAGATCTTTCCAATTATCAAAGAATACCATTAAGAAAGTAAAAAAGCAGCCAGATGTGGTGGCTCATTCCTGTAATCCCAGCACTCTGGGAGGCCGAGGCAGGCAGATCACAAGGTCAAGAGATCTAGACCATTCTGGCCAACATGGTGAAACCTTGTCTCTACTAAAAATACAAAAATTAGCTTGGCGTGGTGCGACGCACCTGTAGTCTCAGCTACTCAAGAGGCTGAGGCAGGAGAATAGCTTGAATCCCAGTTGCGGAGGTTGCAGTGAGCCGAGATCGCACCACACTGCACTCCAGCCTGGTGACAGAGAAAGACTCCATCTCAAAGAAAAAAAAAAAAGAAAGTAAAAAAGCAAGCCACAGAGTGGGAAAAGACATTTGTACTACTTATAACCAACACAAGATACATTCCAAAATATATAAATGACTTTGATAAATCAATATAAAACAGGTACATTCATCATTAAAAAAGAGTAAGAGAACAGCTATTTCACAAAACAAGATACTCTCAAATAAATAATAAATACATTCTACTATGCTCAATCATATCATAAAAAAGAAATAAAAATTAAAACAAGAATGAGATCTCACTACATATCCAGTAGACTGGATTTATAATGTTTAATTAAGCATATATTTTTCATTTTATAAAATTTGTTGTATATGTGTGTCATTTTCCACAATTAATAAAAATATGTTAAATGACTATGTTCCGAGAATACTCTTCAATGAGTTTTGTTGATCAAAAGAGGGGAAACTGGCCAAAATTTTAGTCACATCTTCTGAATATACTATTTTCCAGGTGCTAGTCACTGAATCCAAAGCAACAAATTGTATTTTTATATAATTTGTATTTTTATCTGAGTTAATCTTAAAACTCTATAAATATCACGACTGCACATGAAAGATAAAGAAATTACCCCCAAAATAAATTTCGTACATTTTTCCCTTGTCCTCAGAAGTGGGTTAAATGGTGTTTACTTTGGAAGTTGAGCTTCTACCCAAAGCATAACCATTTTTCTCATGCCCTGCAATAGCAATTTTCTGAAGACCAGAGCCTCTAGAACCTTCTTACTATCATATAAACCCAAGCTGGTAAATAGCACTCAACCAAGTAAATTGCAGCACATATTTTTTTCTGAATTAGCTTTTAATTCCCAGTGTATATTTGACTCGCTTATTCCTAAAACATTCCTCTCCAGTAGAACTGATTCCATCTGAAAATAAATGTAGGGTAGAATGGGGCTTGCAGTCCAGTAAGATAAAAATTGGTTATAAAAATCAGTAGGCATTATCAAATTATAATGTCCAACCCCTCATAAAGTGATTTTATTCAGGCTAACAAATTTTCATTTTTAATGAGGCCTCTCAATTTTTCAATTAATGGAATATTAAAATAAACATGAAAATATGTTATTCATTCACTACTTGCAAAATGTACAAAAATTCTGAAAACTTCCTCCATAAGGTCGAGCAAATTACCTCATTTCTTTAAGCCTCAGCTTCCTCAATGATAAAATAGGCACAATAATAGCATCCATTTTTTGTGAGGTTAAATGATTTAGTCCATGCTAATAGTATATGGCACAGTGTCTGTACATAATACATGTTTTTAAAAAATGTTGGCTCTTAGCAATATTAATAATAGTAGTTAAAAAAACAGTAATAGTAACCATGGAGGTATCACACTTATTTAAAATTAACCTTTAAATTTGAAAACTTAAAAAAATAAGGCAAGCTCTTCCTAGCAAGTAATATCTAATTCCTAAAGTACTAGCTAGACACTAGACATTTCAAAGCAAAAATATTAAGTGACTACTTATTTCAATGGCCAGCCCAAGGAACTTCAGAAAACACAAAGTTTACCTTAAACTGAAACATTCCTGTAAGTTTTCTAACTAAAAAAAAAAATCATTCATTCATTTATTCACTAGCTTTCCTAAAATTATTTTGTTTGTATGCAAAATTAAATAGTTTATAATAAATTTATATGATTAATTATTTTAATAACTAAATAAATCCTTAAGAAATATTATATTACTGTTATATGGATTCATGAATCAAAAGTACAGTTTAAGAAAGACTGATTTAAAAATTATTAAAATAGGAAAGATGATTACTGCAAATGCCTTTAGTAAAGACTAACTGATGTCCCAATAGGACAGAAGAATATTTATTTGTATTAGTGTTTGGCTTAAAAAATATATTAAAACTACACACACACATATAGATTTAAGGATAATGTGATGTTGTGAGAGAACTAATATCCATCAGAAAATAAACAGATCTTTCTATTCTTAATATCATTTTGAAATAAGTATTATTTAACTGTTGGCTGCCAGCCTTATTAGGGACTCTCCAAGCACAGAAATGAGTTTTAGTGTTTCCTGAACCTCTAAGGGGCAAAGGTTTTACACTTTTGCTCCTGGTTAAATGGAGCAAATGGTTAAATGGTTAAATAAGTAACAGCTTCAAAAGTCACATCCCTTTTATGTCACCTTTTTATTTTATCAAACAACCGTTAGTTTGATTAGGGAACTGTGCATCTAAATAAACTGAACTAACCATCTATTTTGCAGGTATCTATGTACACTTATATTATACACATTGCATATGTGGGTATTTGTGTCATTTTCTAATCATAGTTAAATCTGAAGGAGGACATACTTTTTTAACTTTGTATATTTTTTTAAATGAACATCACATACAAGATTCTCTCTGGCTGCTCAATGGGTCTGACTACTGGGTATTGTGGCTTTAAGCTGGAGGATATGTTTTAATCTACGCTTTTCTCAGGTTTGTCTCCTTCTTATTACTTAATCATCCAATGAGCCTTACAGAACTGTCAGTTTGAAAGGCAATAAACTGTGTATGGATTTTTCTTCTTCTTTAGGATTGAGAAAGTCCCAATCATGGAAGCAATGAAAGAAACTTCCATATACCTAGTACTTCGTTTCCTGACAATCAAAGGCACGTGCTAATGATGACCTTAGGCTTCTGGCTACAAATGTGAGACAGGGCTGACAAATACCCATCACTGACCCTGAAAAACAATATGTGACAAGTTTTAGGATAAAAGCCCGAGTGCCTAGGATAATTACTGAGCAACTAGACAGTGCATCATGTGACCTGGTTGTGACAGGCCAAAGAAACAATGAACTGCTGTGTCCCCAGGGATACCAATGGTTGGGGCATATCTTGTTGACTAGGGATCAAGGAGGTTTCTATTAAACTTTAAATATCCATTAGGATATGTGTTTCAAAAATGTATTTTTACAATACAAATAAATTTTATAAAATTATATAAATTTATTATTTTATAATATTTAAATACTATATTTATTTTATATTATTTTAATAATTAATACAAATGTATTATTGGTAACCCCTATCTGAAGTCCTTCTAAAAATATTAAAAGAAGATTTTTCATTTGCAGTTTTAAAAGTACAATATTAAAACAGTCTTTATTGAGTTGACTGTTTGGGTCAATAACAAGTTAACAGCATTGATATCTAAAACAACAAGGAACATATTTGTTAAAGCATGAGAACAATGTCTCATATAAGAGGAGACATTGATGAAAGGGATGGGCTCAGACAGCTATTCATGGGCAAAGCTTTTATATGTTTAAAAAAACATTTAAATCAAATAACAAACAAATGTTTATTGAACAAGCTTTGAGTGGGGGACATTTTTAAGTCAGTTTCCTGTTCTAACAGATTGTAAAAATGAAAATACTTTGAATCCTACAACACATCAACTTTTTAAATTTGTTTTTGTAACTCCTTTTTTCCTTTCACATAGGGGATAAATATATTGTAGTCATTTAAACATTAACACCATAATTTCTTCCTCACAGATGTAGACATTTAAGTGTAAGGAGATTGAATGTTTTCCAAGAAAAAGGCAGTGAGCTGAAAGACAAACCTAAACATGCCCATTCACTTATATATACATTGTCAGTCATAACAGCATATTATCAGAATTCTATAATGCAGTAGGTACTAGGGTTATAAAATGTTCTGATTAAGTCTATCATATAATGGAGATAGGACACTAATTAAAACATGCTATTCATATCATTACCGAATGCAGTAATGGCAACATGAATGAGTAGCACGGATCAGAAGGAAAGGTAACTGAAATCTACTGCATGGAGACAGGAGAGGCTTCATATAGGTTGGTGCAAAAGTAATTGTGGTTTTTGCCATTAAATAATAAAGGTAGTCCTTGGGCAAAGGCTTGAAGGATGATATTTAAGATAGCTAAAACAGCCATTTGTCCTGGTCCTGTTTTTTGTCAGCTCTGAGACCTTGAAACAAATCAATTATCTCTCTGGATTTCAGTTTCCTTACCAATAAAACGAGACAGACGTTTCAAACAATCACAGAGATTTGCAACATCACAGTTATGAATCTTCTATTGGGGAATTTTCCAGAAATTGTACAATGAGTTACTAAACTAAAATCACAATTCATGTCTCTGGAATTTCCATATTTATGAAGCTAATTTCTGTCTTGTTAAAGCCATACTCAAGAGACTATCAATAAGTAGCAATTCTCAGCATAATTTGGACTCATTTAGAAAGCAACACTGTATATCTCAAAATCTAGCCCATGAAACTCATGACGTTCACTATAAACTCACTACTATTCACTATTCTTTAGCTACAGGGGCTGCCTTTCTGCCTCACGACTACCACACAAAGCACATTTCTCCCTCGGGACCTTTGCACTAGCTCTCCCTCAGCCTGAAATGCTATTGTTCAAGTCTTCGCAGGTCTAGCTTTTTCTTGTCTCTATAGTCTGATGTCACATTGACTTGTTAGAAAGGTCTTTACTATCTAACATATGGTTGCCAGCATCCAACCTGGACCTCTCATTAATTACTTTTCCTATTTAATTTCTTTCAGAGAATGTATTACCATCTAAACTTATCTTCCTCATTTATTTTACTATTTAATTGTCTGTTTCCCCCAATAAAATAATGCAAGCAGGAATTGTTCACTACTGAATGTCTTGTTCACTGTGGAATATTCAAATGACAGAAAGAATGCCTGAAACTGAGTTGGCATTCAATGAAAGAGGGAGGTGGGAGGAGGTAAAGGAGGAAGGGACAAATCTACAAAGGAAACTTTGGAAAATCACCATATCAGAGGAATTATTTTCTCCTTAGTATCGATCTATTCATTTCATTTCACCATCCAAAAGAAAACCAGTTATTCATGAAAGCAATCCTATAAAGGTTTGATGCCATGACTCAATATGGACAACTATTCATTTTCAACCATGAAATTCAATATGTTCAATGACACCTCAGGCTATATACTAAAGCCAAAAAATGAAGTTGTTAAAGAATAGATAAATGGTATTGAGTTTATGAAAAGTTATTGCTCCTGAAGCAGTAAGTGTTGCATTTTTATTTGTTTTACATGAAAAGTAATAATTTGTGTCAAAACTGTATTTATCAGCCATTATAAAAAACAAAAAGCTGGAATAAGATGGCCAATTTTCTTTTCTATTTTCTTTGCCATTTCCACTGTATCTCATATTACTGACTACTTCCTCTTGTAAATTGCCTCTTTTGTTTCAAGATATTATTTTCCTGTCATTTCATTTTCTTTCCACCTATATAACTGTTTCTTTTTCATTCTTTTCCTGAACTCAGCTTCCTCTACCACCCTTCAAAGACTTGCGCTCCTCAAAATTTCTATCCACAAAATCTGTTTGGCCAGTTTTATTCACACTTTTAATTTCACATTTGAGCTGATGATCCTCAAATATGTACATTTAGCGCAGACCTCTCTCACTGGTTTCTTTATTCATAAATCTGCTTGTTCTCTAGATATTATCACTTAGATCTTTCACTGAAATCTAACTTTGAAATTTATGAGTCTGGGTACTTAACAAACCAATGTATAAAGTTTACTGTATACTCAACATTGTTCAAGCATTTTAATAAACATTAACTAATTTACTTTTTTAAAAACTCTATGAAATACGTACTATTATTATTTCTACTTTGGAGATAAGAGTACTGAGACACAGCTAGTTCATATAACTTGCCGAGGGCCATTCAACTAATGAGGGATGGAAAGGGCACTCATTCCTGGCATCCCCATTGGCCCAGATCTCCCAACCCGAAACCCTGGATATATCCCAAATAACTCTTCCTTGCCTCAGATCAAAATTCTCACTAGGTTCTAGTGATTTTTACCTCCTCAATGCTTCTCTAATTAATTCTTTACTCTTTAACTCCTGTACCTTACTTCACTCCCTGACGATTTCTTTCCTGAAACATCTCAGTAGGCTTCTCACTTTTCACTGTGTCCCTTTTAAGTGCATTCTCTACACTTCCAGCACTAATTTTTCTAAGAATAAATATAATCATGTCACTTCCTTGCTTAAAACTATCCAGTGACTACCCACTGCCTTCATAGGAAAATCCAAACTCCTTGGCATAGTATATCAGGTCAAGGTGCTTCATCTACTACCACCATTTCATACAAAGCCTACAATCCAGACATACCCATCCCCTACAGTTTCCTAAAAGTATAATGCTCATCTAAAATATGTACCTGTTCACATCTCTTCCTTTATCTTTAAGCTCCCTCTAGGTTGGAAGACATGATCCTTCCAATCATGTTTTTACTCATTTGTCACACTATTTTATTGAGACACCTCTTGAAAGTTCAGGTTCATGATTTCTGTTTCTATATGCCCAGTATCCCCCATGGTACTTGGCACATGGCAGACGCTGAGTAAACCCATGTTAAATGAAAGAATGGACACACATGTGAAATTCTTTAAGCTTATCTTAACTGTTTTATCAGACTAATGAGACAAGCACTGAACGAAGAATGAAATTGAGTTTGGCATTTGTGATGCAGCTATGGCCCTCTAAGCAAAGCTTTGATCTTGAGCTTCCTTTCTAATTCTAGCATTCTATGATTCAACTCTATTAAAAGTCCATTGATACCCTTGCCAGCACCAGTTGCCTTACAAGCAGGACCACCGGCTGGGCATGGTGGCTCATGCCTATAATCCCAGCACTTTGGGAGGCCAAGGCAGGCGGATCACGAGTTCAGGAGTTCAAGACCAGCCTGGCCAACATGGTGAAACCCTGTCTCTAATAAAACTACAAAAATTAGCCAGGCATGGTGGCGAGCAGCTATAATCCCAGCTACTTGGGAGGCTGAGGCAGGAGAATTACTTAAAACTGGAAGGCAGAGGTTGCAATGAGCTGAGATGGCGCCACTGCACTCCAGCCTGGGCAATAAGAGCAAAACTCCATCTCAAGAAAAAAAAAAAAAAGCAGGATCACCAAAAAATATAATTCCACAATGTTGGGACTTGGATCAAATGGCATCAGATAGCAGGCATACTCTGGCAGCACTCTGTGCCAATGTCCAAATCTATTAAGTTTGTTTACTAACTAGTCTTATTATCTGTTTCATGTTGGGATTTCTTTAGGATGTGGTAAAATTGGACAGATGGGTTGAAAGTCTTCCTTCAGGCACAATACACATAGCATTGGGCAGATGGGTTCCAATAACCTACCTTTAGGCCTGGAACACATGGATGAAACAAAGAGAAAAAGAATACACCACTATCCAGTGATGGGTAGAAAATAGAATTGGGAATGGAGAAATTTTTAAATGAGACCTGAAATATATAAAGTAAAACTGGAAAGTGGCACAGTGTCACTTACCTTCAAAGGTACAAATTTTTCAGTCAGCAAGCTATATATTATAGTAATGAGTGACCTTAGAAATCTAAATGTAACTTACTGAAAAAAGAGATCAATCTTAGCAATAAAAGATATCAACTGGAAATAAGTTTTGTAGTAACAAGAACAGGGCTCAACTGTATTTAATATCTCTCAATTAATTGGATGAGGATTTTACAGAATAGTAAACAAATGGGCAAATGGCAGTAATCTGTGAGGAAAAGACCAGACTTCAAGAGAATATCTGCAGTGTAGAAAGATGAACTGAAATAATTAAATGAAGGGATAGGTAAAAAGTATTGCCCTTAGATTCCCTCAAAACCCAAGGGAAAGCAAAATCAGCCCAATACAACTGTACAATGTAGAGATATGTATTTGTGGCAGCACAAATATAAAGAGCAGGAATTAGAGCTGACAGTGTAGTTGGCAGGACTAATGGCATGACCTGGCTGGAAAAAGAAGTTAGTTTAATATTTGACTGTATTAACAGAAGAATCATATCTGTTCTGATAGCTGGAGGCTGACTATGCTGGAGAGCTTCTGTTGACACCTCCATTTCCAAACTCTGTGCTTCTCCACCCTACCCAGTGCCCCAGGATGTGGCTGACCTATGTGTACTGCATCAAGGAGTTCTCCTTTATTCTGACTTCTCCTTTATTCTGACTTCCAGTCGGATGTGGCCAAATGGTAGCACAAGCAGAAGACAGGAGGGAAACAAAAGAATGAGGTAAGAGTGTTTATTCCTATAGTTCCTTCCATGTACTGGTTAAATCCCAGCCATACAAAGGCCATGCCTCTGGGATGGTCTGACAACCATCTCTAAACCTCCCTCTTTATCTCTGGGTTCCTATAACATTCTTTTCTCAATCCTTTATGGCAAGAGGTAGTAAGGATAACTGGCTTTATGAGCCCTAGGGTATACCTCATCCCATTTGGATCTTTGTAAATCATTTCTTTATTTAAATCCCTTCAAACTGTCTAATGCATATGACATATATTTTCTGTGGGCACCCTGGCTGATAAACATTTATTGAACACCTACTACATACCAAGCACTTCCTATGAGTTATGTTTAATATCCCTCTGAAGAAGGTTCTACTCTTATCCCACATATGTTGCAGATGAAGAAATGAAGGTGCCCAGAGGTTGACTTGCTTAAGGTCAAACAGCCAACAGGTGGCCAAGGTGGATTTGGACCCCCAACATCTGACTTAGAGCCCATTCTGTTAACTGCTATACTCATCTCACTCTGTTCAGAATAGTCAGATCCCACCTGGGAATAGTTCTTTCTCCCTGGCTTTCAGAGGAATTAAACAAAACAAAGTTGTGTTTAGAGGCAATGCCAATAAGAAAGAGGGAATCTCATAACTATGGGAAATGGGGTGTACAAATTTGTAAAATTTTTCTGAAAAGCAATTTGGCAGCATGTATTAAAAATCTTAAAATATGTTCTTATCCTTAGGCCCATTAATTTCATTTTTAAAAGCCCATCCTAAGGAAATGAAGATATGAATAATGATTTAATTATTGAATGTTCATTGCAGAGTGAGTTACAAGGACAAAAATCTGAAATAACTTAGGTGCTTAACAATAGAAACATGGCTAAATTATTATATATACATGTATATCTATATATTCCCATATATTATATAATGTTGAAATTATTGAAGTTGGGCCTTTGAAATATAATGAGTTGTGGAAATTCTTACATTGTTTATACAGGATCAAAAAAATCAAAGTATGTACCCTACATTTTGAAATACATGTGTGCATGTGTATGTATGTGTAAGAAAAAAAATGACTTTGAGATAAAACACCAAAATATTAATTGTGGTTATATTTGCACTTGGAAATATTTGCACTTGGAAACTTTGAGTGATCACTTCATTTCCACCACATAATTCTCTTTGTTTTTCTGTGTTTGCAGTTTTGTACCATAGACTAAAAAGAAATACTTAAAACAGCAATAACTATGAACCATGGTTATAAACTGTATGACCTAAAACAGAAAAGATTCAAAAAGATGTGAATGAAGGGCTATAGAATTAAAAGGAGTAAGATACTTGTCCTGAATGGCTCAAGGGGAAGAGCCTGAACCTATAGAAATTAGAGGAAGATAGATTTTAGCTTAATAGAACAAAAAGAATTCTAATAGGATTTTAAACAATGGGAACAGGTTGCCTTGAAAGGTTTTGATTTTTTTGTCACTGGAAGTATTCAAGAAAAGGATTGACCATATTTTTTCAGAAATATTTTTACAGTAACTTAACCTTTGTTCAGGTAATTAGACCTAGAATTTTCTCCCAACTGAGATTCTAAAATTTTCATGCTACCTAACAAGGATATCTAAATATTTCCTTACCACCAGAGATATATTTCTTTGGAATAAGATATGATTTTTTTCTGGGCATTCTCTTTCAATCTTCTTCCTGGGGCAAAGTAAAATGCCTTACTAAAGTTCTAAATTAGTTCCTTTGGAGACAGGGTACATGTCTTTTCAGCATTTATACCTATTGCTTACAACAGTTCTAAGTATATAGTCTACCCATAACATTTCAGGTTTTTTTATTTAAGTAAGCCAAATCTGGTTAATACACTACCCTAGATCCATTCCATTCTGCCTGTCCTGTGGCCTCAACAACATGATCCACTTCCCAGCAAGAGGAGCCTCATCTCCGAGCACCTACTGATTCTCTGGTCCTTCCACTAGCTACCCAGGGAGCCACAAAAATAACAAAGTCAGAGGAGTTAATGGCATGGAATGGGCCAGGTGAGATGCTTGCCTTCTCCTCACTACCTCTTCCATATTGTCCCAAGATATGGTGGTTCTAATAAGGCTTCTCTCAAGATATCCCACATAACCAAGCAAACCAAGCATGCTTCTTTGAGAAGCTGTGGCTACCTTGTATTTGCTTTCCCTCCCTTTCCTCCTCACTTTTCTTTTCCCTTCACTCACACATCTTTGGGATTATTTGTCCCAGTAAAGTGCTAGCACATAGCTTTGCTTTCAAGTCTGTTTTCCCAGGAAATTATGTTAAGACAACAATTGAAATTTTATTGTGAGTTAGTTGATCAGATGATATCAAATCCATCCTATGATATCTTCTGAAAGAGCGAGTTAAAGGCATATTCTGACACAAAGAAAACCTAAAGGAAGAATTGATCTGTAGCCTGGAGGAGGTAAAAAATCACCCTGGAATGAGCAGTAGCAGGCGGACCAGAAACAGCCTGATAGTACACGGGCATGAAAGAATGACCAATACAAGCCACCTCTGACCACATGTAAAGCTTGCCGAAGAGCAACTTTACTGGTGCACTCACTACTACCTTAACCCTCCCTAAACTCTGTTAAGCAACCTGCTTGATGATACCATCTGTTTCCCAGAGCCCCTTCTCACAGAATATAATTCTCAACATGCTCGCAATCCTTGTGCCTTTACTCACCAACTTTCAGCTCCCCGCCTGCAATGACCATGCATGCCACACTCAGAACATTGCTTCTGTCCACAGGGAAGTCTAAGGTCCCCATCACATACAGCCCTTTGAAGAATGGAAGATCTGTATCCACAAGGACAGTTCTGTCTGTGGAAGAAAAAGAAATTGCTCAGATATGTCACAAAAACAAGAATTACGTGTTTATTCTGGGGTTCTCCCAGCAGTTTGGGAGCTGTGTACAGTGTTATCTAAACCAGGACAGGTATAGCAACTGGAAGAACAAATAGTCTGCCAAAAGCTAGGACTTACTGAACAGGAAAATAAGTTCTGATTGATAAATGCTGCAATTGCTTAACATACCACATTCATGGACAAAATGCACTGCTTATGCACCAAACAGCTGCCCCAAGTCTAGTGCAGTGGAAACACACAGATCGAATGAGCTCCCTACCCTTTGTCCTGTCTCTTCACTTTTGGCTCTAGTTTCAGGGATGTACAGAACAGTAGACATGACATTGGCCTCTGAGGGAAGACTATTTGGATGTGAATACCAATTCTGCTACTTACTAGCTGTCTAGGCAAATAACTTTATCTCTCTGTGCCTCGGTTATCTCATCTGTGGAATGGGAATAATACTAAAAACAACTGTTTCGTTCACAGGACTTTTTGTGAGGGTTAACTCATTTAATTGAGTTAATAGATTGAAAGTGGTTATACAATGTTAGTAAGCTATCTCTAATTCCCTAAGTCCCATTGTGTAAGGTAAAGTACATGGTGCATGCTTAATAAACGCTTGATGTTATTATTTTTACTGTTGTCCCTTAGCTTCCCATGCTTATAGTGCTTACTGGACAATTTAAAATCATTATATTTTATTTCCCCTTTCATAAAAGCAGTCTTCATATAACTTCAGAAGAAATAATCATAGCTGTTGCCTGAGATTTACTATAGAGTAATATATAAACACAACATTTTCATTTAAAACAATAAGTATTTCATGTATGCCAAAGCATTAAGTGTTACTTTCTGAAATTTAGCAGTAATTCAACACTATAAATGACATCAAATAAAGATTTTTGCTTAAATTTCTAGTACCATAATCACCAACACATGTAAAGATTTATAAGGAATTCTTTTGTTAGTATAATCTCATCTCTCATTCTAGGAAACAATGCACTTGCTCTTCTTAAGGACATGCCCAAGCAAATTAACTTGTCATGAGTTGTCTTTCCTAGCCCCTCCCTGCTTCCTGCATTATAAGAATGGCCATGCCCTCCTGTGGCAGAGACTATAGGGTTGTAAACCAACCATTTCTCTTGTTTTCCTAAGTTCACAGTTAGACTACAGTTTCCACCTCCTTTGCAGGTTGATGAAGCCATGTGACTGAGTTGTAGCCAATAAAATGTGGGAAAAATTAAAGTATGACATCTCTAGGCCTGTTCCATAAATTCTGTATGCCTTTTCCCTCCCCTTTTCTCTCAGTTAGATGTAGAGCAGTGGTTCTCAAAGTATGGTCCTATCCCATCAGGATGCAAAGCAAGCATTAGTTCTGCTAGCAAGCTATTCTCTCTCCTCACTGGCTCCACCACTCTCCCTGGGGAAACAACCTCTCTCTTTTACACTCCAGTGACACCCTGTACATACATCTATCAGAGTACTGAGACACATTATTCAAATTATATACATACATTATTGTACGTGAGGAAGTAACTGTCACTGGGCTGGTCCTCAGTGTGATTATGACTTCCTCTCCCACTCTGACTTCCTTAAGTGAAGAGATCATTCTTTTTCTTTTTAAATCCCTAGTGTTTTTGCAATACTGAAGATAAAGACACTAAATAAATGTCGTCCAGATCTGTTGAGTTTAATCCCCTACATACCTTAAATTCAAGAGCTCATTGATGACTGGTACAAAATGAATGATCAAGCTAAACAGACAAAAATAAATATATATCTTAATCTCATCTCTAGCACTTTTCAAAATATTCAAATAAAAGAGTGAAGTACCTAGAGAATGTTCTAGGTTTAGCACACATTTTATGGGTTCATGACTTTAAGAATTATTTGAAGCAAAATTTGTAAAAACAAGAGGGTTTTGCCTCCAATTTATTTACTTATTTATTTTATTTTCATCTTTTATTTTAAATTCAGGGATACATGAGCAGGATATGCAGGTTTGTTAACACAGGTAAACTTGTGCCACGGTGGCCTGCTGCACAGATCATCCCATCACTAAGGTATTAAACCCAGCATCAATTAGCTATTCTTCCTGATCCTCTTCCTCCTCCCACCACCTGCCCTCTGACAGACCCCAGTGTGTGTTGTTCCCTGCCTTGTGTCCATGTGTTCTCATCACTTAGCTCCCACTTACAAGCAAGAACACGTGGTATTTTGTTTTCTGTTCCCGTGTTAGGTTGCTAAGGATAATGGCCTCCAGCTCCATCCATATCCCTGCAAAGGACAAATGAGATAATTCTCATTCCTTTTTATGGCTGCATAGTATTCCATTGTATCTATGTACCACATTTTCTGTATCCAGTCTATCATTGATGGACATTTAAGTTTATTTCATGTCTTTGCTATTGTGAATAGTGCTGCAATGAACGTATGCGTGCATGTGTCTTTAAAACAGAATGGTTTCTATTCCTTTGGTTGTATACCCAGTAATGGGATTGCTGGGTCGAATGGTATTTCTGCCTCTAGGTCTTTGAGGAATCGCCACACTGTCTTCCACAATGATTGAACTAATTTACACTCCTACCAATAGTGTAAAAGCATTCCTTTTGCTCCACAACCTTACCAGCATCTGTTGCTTTTTGACTTTTTTTTTTTTTTTTTTTGAGATGGAGTCTCACTCTGTCGTGCAGTGGCGTGATCTCGGCTCACTGCAAGCTCTGCCTCCCGGGTTCACACCATTCTTCTGCCTCAGCCTCCCGAGTAGCTGGGACTACAGGTGTCCGCCACCGCGCCTTTTTTGACTTTTTAATAATAGCCATTCTGACTGGTATGAGATGATATCTCATTATGGTTTTGATTTGCATTTCTCTAATGATCAGTGATGTTAAGCTTTTTTTCATATGTCTGTTGGCTGCGTGTATGTCTTCTTTTGAGAGGCATCTGTTCATGTTCTTTGCCCACTTTTTAATGGGGTTGTTTTTTCTTGTAAATTTAAGATCCTTATAGATGCTGGATATTAGACGTTTGTCAGATGCATAGATTGCAAAATTTTTCTCTCATTCTGTAGCTTGATTACCCTGATGATAGTTTCTTTTGCTGTGCAGAAGCTCTTTAGTTTAATTATATCCCATTTGTCAATTTTTGCTTTTGTTGCAATGGCTTTTGGCATCTTCATCATGAAATCTTCACCTGTGCCTTTGTCCTGAATGGTATTGCCTAAATTTTCTTCCAGGGTTTTTATGGTTGTGAGCTTTACATTTAAGTCTTTATTCCATCTTGAGTTGATTTTTGTATATGGCTTAAGGAAGGGGCCTAGTTTCAGTTTTTCTGCATATGGCTAGCCAATTCTCCCAGCATCATTTATTAAACAGAATATTCTTCCCCCACTGCTTGTTTTTTGAGGTTTGTCAAAGATGAGATGGTTGTAGGTGTGCAGTCTTATTTATGCCTTCTCTTTCTGTTCCATTGGTCTATGTGTCTGTTCTTGTACCAGTACCATGCTGTTTGGTTATGCTGTTTGGTTACTGTAGCCCTGCGGTATAAAGTTGGGTCACATGATGCCTCTAGCTTTTCTCTTTTTGCTTAGGATTGCCTTGGCTATTCGGGCTCTTGTTTGGTTTTATATGAAGTTTGAAATAGTTTTTACTAATTCTGTGAAGAATCTTAATGGTAGTTTAAGGGGAATAGCAATGAATCTATAAATTGCTTTAGATAGTATGGCCATTTTCATGATACTGATTCTTCCTATCCATGAGCATGGAATATTTTTCCATTTGTTTGTGTCATCTCTGATTTCTTTGAGCAGTGGTTTGAAGTTCTCCTTAAGGAGAACTGTTCACTTCCCTTGTTAGCTGTATTCACAGGTATTTTACTCTTCTTGTGGCAATTGTGAATGGGAGTTCATTTGCGAGTTGGCTCTTGGCTTGTCTATTGTTAGTGTATGGAAATGCTAGAGATTTTTGCACATTGATTTTGTATCCTGAGATTTTGCTGAAGTTGCTTATCAGCTTAAGAAGCTTTTGGGCTGAAACAATAGGGTTTTCAAGCTATAGGATCATTTCATCTGCAAACAAAGATAGTTTGACTTCCTCTCCTCCTAGTTAAATATGCTTTATTTCCATCTCTTGCCTAATTGCCCTGGCCAGAACTTCCAATACTATGTTGAATGGGAGTGGTGACAAAGGGCATCCTTGTCTTGTGACAGTTTTCAAGGGGAGTGCTTCTGGCTTTTGCCCATTCAATAGAATATTGGCTATGAGTTTGTCATATATAGCTTTTATTATTTTGAGGTATATTTCTTCAATAATTTATTGAGTTTTTAATTTGAATGTATGTTGAATTTATCAAAGGGCTTTTCTGCATCTGTTGAGATAATCATGTGGTTTTGGTCTTTAGTTCTGTTTGTGTAGTGAATCACATTTACTGATTTGCATACATTAAACCAACCTTGCATTCCAGGGACGAAGACTACTTGATCATGCTGGATAAACTTTTTGATGTGCTGCTGTATTCAGTTTGCCAGCATTTTGTTGAGAACTTTTGCATTGGTGTTCATCAATAATATTGACCCGAATTTGTCTTATTGTCAGGTTTTAGTATCAGGATGATGCTGACCTCATAAAATGAGATAGGGAGGAGTCCTTCCTTTTTAATTCTTGGAATAGTTTCAGTAGGAATAGTACCAGCTCTTCCTTGTAACTCTGGTAGAATTCAGCTGTGAATTCACCTGGTCCTGGGCTTTCTTTGGTTGGTAGGCTACTTATTACTGCCCCATTTTCAGAACTCATTATTAATCTATTCAGGGATTCAATTCTTCCTCGTTCAGTCTTGGGAGGGTGCATGTGTCCAGGAATTTATCCATTTCTCCCAAATTTTCTACTTTATGTGCAAGAGGTGTTTATAATATTCCCTGAGGGTTGTTTGTGTTTCTCTGGGGTCAGTGGTAATATCCCCCTTGTTGTTTCTGATTGTGTTTATTTCAATCTTCTCTTTCTTCTTTATTAATCTAGCTAGCAGTCTATTTAATTAGTTTTTTTTTCAAAAAAATCCTAGATTTGTTGATTTTTTGAAGGCTTTTCATGTCTCTATGTCCTTCAGTTCAGCTCAGATCTTGGTTATTTCTTGTCTTCTGCTAGCTTTGAGGTTTGTTTGCTCTAGGTTCTCTAGTTCTTTTAGTTGTAATGTTAGATTGTTAACTTGAGATCTTTCTAGCTTTTAGATGTGGGCATTTAGTGCTATAAATTTCTGTCTTAATGCTGCTTTAGCTGTGTCCCAGATATTCTGGTATGGTGTATCTTTGTTCTCATGAGTTTCAAATAACTCTTTGATTTCTGCCTTAATTTCATTATTTACTCAAGAGTCATTCAGGAGGAGAAGGTTGTTCATTTCCATGGTGTTGTGTGGTTTTGAATAGATTTTTTTTTTTTTTTGGAGACAGAGTCTCATCACTCTGTCACCCAGGCTGGAGTGCAGGGGTGTGATATCAGCTCAGTGCAGCCTCCTGGATTCAAATGGATTCCCTTGCCTCAGGCTCCTGAGTAGCTGGGATTACAGGTGTCTTCCACCATACCTGGCTAATATTTGTATTTTTAGTAAAGACAGGGTTTCACCGTGTTGCCCAGGATGGTTTTGAACTCCTGAACTCAGGCAATCCACCCACCTCAGCCTCCCAAAGTGCTGGGATGACAGCTGTGAGCCACTGTGCCTGGCCTTGAATAGATTTCTTAATCTTAAGTTCTAATTTGATTGTGCTGTGCTATGAGAGACTGTTATTATTTCAGTTCTTCTGCATTTGCTGAGAGTGATTTACTTCCAATTATATGATCAATTTTAAAGTAAGTGCTGTGTGGTGATGAGAACAAGGTATATGCCTTTGTTTTTTGGTGGAGAGGTCTATAGATATCTATCAGGCCCACTTTATCCAGAGTTGAGTTCTGGTCCTGAATATTTTTGTTAATTTTGTGTCTAAATTATCTGTCTAATATTGTCAGTGGGGTGTTAAAGTCTCACACTATTATTGTGTGGGAATCTAAGTCTCTTAGAAGGTCTCTAAGAACTTGCTTTATGAATCTGGGTGCTACAGTATTGGGTGCATATATATTTAGGATAGTTAGCTCTTCTTGTTGAATTGAACCCTTTACCATTATGTAATGCCCTTCTCTGTCTTATTTGATTTTTGTTGGTTTAAAGTCCATTTTGTCAGAAACTAGGATTGCAACCCCTGCTTTTTTTCTGTTTTCCATTTGCTTGGTAAATTTTTCTTCATTCCTTTATTTTGAACCTATGTGTGTCTTTGCATGTGAGATAGGACTCTTGAAGACAGCACACTGATGGGTCTTGGTTCTTTATCCAGCTTTAAAAGACTCTATGTCTTTTAATTGGGGCATTTAGCCCATTTATATTTAATGCTAGTATTGATATTGTGTGTATTTGATCCTGTCATCATGATGCTAGCTAGTTATTTTGCAGACTTGTTTATGTGGTTGCTCCATAGTGTCACTGGTCTGTGTATTTCAGTGTGTTTTTGTAGTGACTGGTAACAGCTTTTTGTTTTCATATTTAGGGCTTCCTTCAGTTCTTGTAAGGCAGATCTGGTGGTGCCAAATTCCCTCAGCATTTGCTTATCTGAAAAGGATCTTATTTCACTTTCAGTTATGAAGCTTAGTTTGTCCAGATAAGAAATTCTAGGTTGGGGGCCAGGTGCAGTGGCTCGTGCCTGTAATTCCAGCACTTTGGGAGGCTGAGGCAAGTGGATCACTTGAGGCTAGAAGTTCAAGACCAGCCTGGCCAACATGGCAAAACCTCGTCTCTACTAAAAATACAAAAATTAGCCAGGCATGGTGATGCATACCTGTAATCCCAGCTACTTGGGAGGCTGAGGCACAAGAATTGCTTGAACCCAGGAGACAGAGTTGCAGTGAACCGAGATCACACCACTGTACTCCAGCCTGGGGTACAGAGGAAGACTCCATCTCAAAAAAAATAAGAAAGAAAGAAAAAGAAATTATGTGTTGGAATGTCTTTTCTTTAAGAATGTTGAATATCTACCCCCAATCTCTTTTGGCTTACAGTGCTTCCATTAAGAGGTCTGCTGTTTGTCTGATGGGCTTCCTTTTGTAGGTCACCTAGCCTTTCTCTGGTTGCCTTTAACATTTTTGCCTCCATTTTGACCTTGGAGAATTTGATGAGTATGTGTCTACGGAATGATCTTCTCATGGAGTACCTTACTGGGGTTCTCCGCATTTCCTGAATTTGAATGTTGGCTTGCATAGCTAGGTTGGGGAAGTTTTCCTGGACGATATCCTAAAATATGTTTTCCAAATTGGTTTCATTCTCCCTGTCTCAAAGCAAGAGTTTTATACAAATTGGTTTATATCTGTTCCAACCTATAGCACACTCAACCAATATTCAGCTATTAAACCTGATTGTACAAAACAATAAAATTGGTTGAACTAATGCTTTCTCTCATCCACAGAGTACTCACACATACACATAAAAGTATGATAGTAGGTGCTTTTAGATGTATTTCTCAGCTAAAATATGACAAGTACATGAAGTTTTAATTATACCCCTTTCAGAAGAAATTTTCCCTTTCAATTGCCCTACCAACTCCAAATGTACCAACAAATTTCCCATGAATCACAGACAGACTATTATAACCACTTGAGAACAGGAACACAGCTGATGTTCTCACTTTTATTTTCTCAGGACCTAGAAGAATAATATTTAACCCATAATAGATGGTCAAAATTAACACCACACACACACACACAAGCACACGTGTGTACACACACATAAATTCCAATAGTTATCTAAGGAAAAGTATAGAATGAAGACAATAACAGAAACATTAGTCTTATTTCTTTTGGTGCCACACTCTTCACTTTGAAATTCCCTGGATTCATCTCTCCATTTTTTCTTCTTTCTTTCTTTCTTTCCTTTCCCATAATGTGACAAATTTTGAGGTGGTAGGAATTTAAACATGAGTAAGTCATGTTTCCCACCATCAGATGAAAACAGGTATATATACAAATAAATAATGTGATATACTTGAAATGATGACATACTTTTTAATTACATGGAGGTTGACTCTGTTTTTATTCCCAGCTGCTTCAAACTGGAGTCTATCAATGTGTCTATTATAAGAAAATTCTGCTAAAATAAAATAAGCACATGCCATATAGAGATTTTTATAAAGGCATTCTCCTTGTATCACAATAATAAATATTTCAGCTAGTTACATGAGCAAAAGAATTCACCCTAACGTACCCTCCAGAGCAGATCATCTGCAGGTCTAAACTGACAAATCCTCAGCTACAATGACACTTGCAGAGGATTTCTCTCTTTTGAGGAGTGGAAAGCTGGCATCTATGTGCCACATTCTCTAGAATTAACATCCTTTCCATAAAATTACTCAAGATATTTCAGAGCAATCACTCAGAAATAGTTATTTATACAACTTACTTAATAATATAAGTGATGGACCACCTCTAATTTAAGTGTGTTCCAGTGCTTTCCACCGTGTCCTGCCTTGGCTACAGATATTCCACCCTATCCTGTCAGTGACCAATCTATCCTACTTGAGAGAATCAGCACTGGCATATGGAGGGAACCATCTGGAATTTCTGTTGCTCAATGGGTGGCTGATGGGGGAGCTGATCTGGAAAGAGGCTCCAAAAAGAATTAATGAGTTCCAGATGTAATTAAAGACTGCTTTTCCCCCCAAAGGGGCTCAGGACTAGCCATGGGGTGGTGCCTCTTGGTTCCGAATTACACCCTTTAACCACTTGTTCATCCATCAAGCACTAAACACCACCATCTTTATCCTAGTGTGTTTTGCCAAGCAGTGTTTTGGCTTTTTGGTCTTTTTTTCCTGAAAGTGTTCTATTTTTACAATTAGAACACTAAAGCTTTAAAAATAATATCTGGAAAGTTAACAATAAGGAGAAACCCCTGAATTTATCCCTGCACCAAATGCAACAACAACAACAACAAAAAAGACTCAGTGTTTTATTAGAAATGCATTAACTAGCCTCAAGACCAGAAAACCTGAGCCAGACTGAAAGACAGATGTCTCTGAAAGAGGGCTGGGGCTTCTTTTGTATCAAGAACAATTTGACTACCACAGTTACAAAGCATTCCATGTAAGTTGAACGCTAGATTTAAACTCACTTTTTTTCCCAGCAAAGTAGGGAATCAAGGTCACTATTGTGTAGCATTCCAAGGGTCTGACACTTGTCTAAATCCTGTAGAAATGAGATCAAGGGCAAAGGGCACAGATCCTGGGAATAATGATGGGGTCACATGAACAGGCATAATTTAGGGCAGGCAGACCCACTGCTTGTATGGTATGCACTGTATCAGGCCCCATAACTTAGGTGGTAAGACAGTTTCTATTACAACCCTGCTATTGTCAGGAAAGCAGCCTGTACTGACTTTGGACACAGCTCAGACTTCTGAGGGAGAGCAATGGCATGCCAGGCAGAGCAGGACATACAAGGACTATTTGTGGGCTTGTTATTTTCCTGTACCTTCCATAATTAATGGGTTTTTTTTCTACATTCAGCCTTGGCTCCTGTGTTTTCTATTAAATATGTGAACCAAAGGAAAAGTAAATTTTAAAGCTATTTGAATCACTATTAAATGATCTAATCTTCCTTTGTAGAAAGAAAATATTTTTAGCTCCAAAGTGACTGCTTTAAATATACATTTTACACAATGATTGGTGATATTTTCTTTCTTTTGTGGTCTCGTTTAACTTTGGAGGCATCTAACAATTTATTTAAATAGTCTATCATAATTTATAAAGATGAATGATAACATCCAAGAAAAGTATTCCTAAAATAGAATGGAAACTCTTATACATAAATAGTTCACAGAGATGAAAGATGAACATGATTGAAAATTAGTGTCAAGTAGACTAATTTACTGAGATGATGGTATTCAGTTCTCTAGAGTTCATTCTCTTGTAGAAAAAGCTGACCAGAGATGTGCTAGAAGATAAGGATGCAGTCTTTCTATAACTAAACTCTTTTCAAAGAAGTGCTAGCTTTATAGTCTGCCTTTTTCATCAAATCCACACAGGTGGTTTCTTTATTCTACTCTGCCCATCATTTTTTTTCAAACTGGTCTTAAAAATAGGCAGAAGAGGCAGTTTCAAAGTGCCCAGAGGCACACGATTCAAGACTAAAAGCCAGTTTCCTGACACCCTGAAGAAAAACCATCTGCTGGCCTGATTGTGTGTGTGTGTGTGAGAGAGAGAGAGAGAGAGAGAGAGAGACAGGATGGAAGGGGAGGAGAGAAAAATAGCTCTTCTCACTCTCACCTCATGAGAAGAGTCCCATTTAAACTTTGGACAATAAATCCCCATCCCACTCCCCACATTCTTTCTGTGTCTTTTTCAATCACACACAGACATGCATAATTCCCATAGTAGAATAAACATTTTAAATTATGATATTTTAATTGATCAATAAAATGTTTAACATACAATGTTTATTTCTTCCTCTAGTCTATACCATCTGTTCTTCAGAAATATTTTGAATCTATTTAATAGGAAGGTTTTTAAGTAAAATTACCAACTGTATCAGATCAGTCCTCTGCATCCCAAATTCTGAAAGGAGAATACCAGAAGGTGCTGCTGTTTTCATAAAAATAGAAAAGAATCTGTGCCTTCTCTCATCCCAGGCTTTATTATTATTGTTTTAAATCTAGAGACGGTGCTATGCTACTGTTCTCTTCATCAGACTTCAAAGAAATCAGAGTGGACGACATGGCATTGCCATTTAAACCAAGGTCTATAGTTGTCACCTTGCTCAGATGGCTCAAGGCAAAAACAACAACAACAACAATCAAACAAACAAAAAACCTAGACCTTGCAATCCCCAGAAGACCTAAAAAGGAACAATATGCATTTTGATAAATTTTAGGTCTGATGTTAAACTACAGTTTGGCTTTATCCACATAATTCTATTACCTGTATACATTGTTAATGAATTCTAACTAACATGAGGTTTGGAGATAAAATCCCTCTCCAATCCTGTAGTGAATAATGCTTAATATGTGAAAAGGCATAAACTGGCAACTCTCAGGTGATCCAATTATTAAATTTTTACATGTTACAGTTGGTGTTAAAGCCAAACTAAGCGCCAAACTTATTTTCCTATGTGGGTTTTTGTTTTGATTTGTTTCCTTAAGAATAATAACATGATCAACTTTTAGTAAATAAATATATTTTGTACTTTTACCCTGAATAGAAAAATATGAATATCTATGAAATAAGTGATTCACTCCTGAACGGTGCTGTTTAGGCAAAGGTCCAGATATCAAATATTGTATCAAATAAGTTTATTTCTCCCCATCAGGTCTTTTTTGAAAATAAATCTTCTCTTTTTGTCTCTGCTTGACACTAGACAGGGCAATATATCCAAAAAACTATGAGATTCTTTAATTTTCCTCGGTATTATTGACTTTTTTTCTTAAGTTCTCAATTGTTTCTTCTGCAGGAAAAGAAACCCAAAAGATTATTAAAATCTTAAAAATAAGATGCTTGTATCCTATTTGTTTGTTAAATATACATATATTATATCAATTATAATTGATGTTTAAGAGAGAGTTTAAAATGTAGTATCTGAGTAACAAATATTTAGTAAATAATCTCTACTTTCTATTTTAATATGTTGTACCAAAATTTATATTTTCTGAGCAAACCAATCTATATGTTGTGCTCCTAAATTAATAAAGTGCTTATATTTTATAAAGTACAAAATAACTTCTGTAGAAGTTGTCATTGTTCTCAATATTTTTATATTTTCCATATTTTTTGGAAAGTCCCCAAAAATTAACTCCCTTAAAAGTCTTCTTGTAAATTCCAGTAAATTACATGTATTCAAAGCAAGGAGTTCTTGCTTGGGGTTTCCAAAATATGTTATTTTCCACTTGAATTCGAATATTGTCCCAGAGATCATGAAGGTTCCTAGAATGTTTATTCACAATTCTAACTATTCTAACAATAATATCTGGATTCTACAACCTCTATCAAAAGTCCCAATACTCTAAAATATCCTTGCTTGGTAAACATACTGAAATCCTTGTCCTTAGAGTTAATTCCTCTTTTTAATCCAAGATGACTAGAAGACCCCAGGAGAAAAATGATATATAAAGAAAAGGTATTATCACTGACCAATACATTTGCTCATTCATCCATTCATTCACTTAGCAAATACTACCAAGTGCTTTGTCAGACACTGTGATATATGCCAAAGAAACAAACATAAATAAAACAAGGCTCCTACTTCACATAGAGAAGAAATTTTTTTTTTGAGACAGAGTTTCACTCTTGTCACCCAGGCTGGAGTGCAATGGTGCGATCTTGGCTCACTGTAATCTCCGCCACCTGGGTTCAAGCAATTCTCTTGCCTCAGCTTCCCTAGTAGCTGGGATTACAGGTGCCCATCACCACGCCTGGCTAAAGTTTTGTATTATTAGTAGAGATGGGGTTTCACCATGTTGGCCAGGCTGGTCTCAAACTCCTGACCTCAGGTGATCTGCCTGCCTCAGCCTCCCAAAGTGCTGGGATTACAGGTGTGAGCCACCAGGTAATGAAATTGATGGGATGAGTTTTGGAAGAACAAAGAAGTAGATGTGAAGTCCTTTTAGTATTTGCTTGTGATACCCACCAAAATGATCATGGCAAAGCCCAGGCAACATTTCAAAGTAAAAAAGACTATGTCTGTTTCTTCCTACTTTCGAGTGCCCATCCATCTCTGATAAACTACTGACCTCATTTGCTCATAACTACCAAATGGCCAGAATCCCACTGATGCCCAACCACCAACAGTCCACACAGATGAAGGGTCTCAGTAGTTCTATAGTTCCAGTAATTTCTCAGCTGTGTCCCAAGTCCCTCTAGGCTCAACTCACTTATACATGACTAAGTAGAGAAATACTAATTCATTGGGGGGGGGGGGGGCGGTAACAGGAGAAATTAAGCGAAATGCCACATAAAAAATTATTACAGTGGCTGGCACATAAAAGGCATTCAATTATCAGCTATTGTTTTCATATGCCCAACATGTAGCTTGGAGTACTTGCTCTATACCTGTCACTTCGCTATTGTGTGAACCAAAGAGACACAGTTCTTGGCCTCATGAAATCTAAAATTTTGTGGAGGAAATAAGACATTAATACACAATTGCAAAACTTCATAAGCACAAACTCTGCAAATTGGTAAGAAGAAAAATACATAATACTATGAGAGTAACAGTGAGGGATCAAGGGTGAGACCTAAAGAGTGAGCAGCAGTTAACTAGGTGTAGAGTTGCTCCAGAGAAAGGAGGCAGGACAGATGAAAAGTCAGAAGCGGGAAAGAGCTCCATACATCCAAAAGACTGAAAAGCGAGAAATGCAAATCAAAATCACAATGAGATACCATCTCACACCAGTCAGAATGGCTATTATTAAAAAGTCAAAAAATAATAGATGCTGACGAGGCTGTGAAGAAAAAGGAATGCTTATACACTGTTGGTGGGAATCCAAATTAGTTCAGCCACTGTGGAAAAAAGTTTGGTGATTTCTCAAAGAACTAAAAATAGAACTACCATTAAAACCAGCAATCACCTTACTGGGTATATATCCAAAGGAAAATAAATTATTCTACCAAAAGACACATGCACTTGTAGGTTTATCACAGCACTGCTCTCAGTAGCAAAGACATGGAATCAACCTACCTGCCCATCAATGGTGGATTGGATAAAGAAACTGTGGTACACATATGCCATGGAACACTACACAGCCATAAAAAAGAATAAAATCATGTTCTTTGCAGCCACATGGGTGCTGCTGGAGGCCATTATCTTAAACAAATTAACACAGGAACAGAAAACTAAATACTACATGTTCTCACTTATAAGTGGAGGTAAGCGTTGGGTACACATGGACATAGAAATGAAAATAACACACTAGAGACTGCTAGAGACGGAAAGAAGGGATGAAGGCAAGGGCTGAAGAGCTACCTATTGGGTGCTATGCTCACTACCTGGGTGAAAGGATTCACTCATATCCCAAACCTCAGCGTTATGTAATACTTACATGTAACCAGCCTGCACATGTACCATCTGAATATAAATGAAAAGTTGAAATTATATTTTTTAAAAAAGACTGAAAAGCAACAGGAATGCCCACATTGCTGAATCTGGAGGAGAGAGGTAAGAGGCAGGGCTAGAAAGGCGGGCAAGAGAGCAGATTAGGAAGACTATGTAAAAACAATGAGATTTTTGTCATGATAATGAAAGTAAGCCACTAAGGGGAAATGAAAGAGGGAAATTACACAGCCAACTCATATTTTTCAGAGTGCTCTGGCTGCAGTGGGGGAGAATGGAGTAGATGAGGGTAAGCACAGCAGGAGAAGAATAATTAAGAGGCATTCTATGGCTGCATAGTATTCCATGGTGTATATGTGCCACATTTTCTTAATCCAGTCTATCATTGTTGGACATTTGGCTTGGTTCCAAGTCTTTGCTATTGTGAATAGTGCCACAATAAACATACGTGTGCATGTGTCTGTATAGCAGCATGATTTATAATCCTTTGGGTATATACCCAGTAACAGGATGGCTGGGTCCAGATGGTATTTCTAGTTCTAGATCCCTGAGGAATTGCCACACTGATGGGAGGGGGGAGGGATAGGATTAGGATAGGATTAGGAGATATACCTAATGTTAAATGACGAGTTAATGGGTGCAGCACACCAACATGGCACATGTATACATATGTAACTAACCTGCACATTGTGCACATGTACCCTAAAACTTAAAGTATAATAAAAAAAAAAGAGGCATTCTAGTGGTTCACCCAAGAGGCCATGATGCATATATTAGGGTGGTGAGAGAGGAAATTAAAAAACACATATCTGAGTAACATTCAAGAAGCAGAATAGCCAGGATTGGATAAAGTGTCAAGAACAACCCTGAGCAATTGAGAGTGGAAGATGGTGCCATGTGCTGGAATGGGAAAGCTGGAAGAAGAGTAAGTTGGCCACTGGCAATGGCAGGCTTGGTAGGGAGAGAGCAAGAATAGAGGATTCTCTCTGAGTTATTTTAGTTTAAGATAACTGTACATCATCCCAGTGCAGATTTCAAGTGGACAATTACACATATAGGTCTGATCCTTGGGAAAAGACAAAACATATTTATGAGTTCAAGAACCATCAATAGCTTCACAACTAGAAAATGTATGTTCTCCAAAAATCACCAAGACAGAATGAGAAGAATCGTTATCTAAAAATAGATGAGGGTTTTTTTTTAATTCAAGGGAGTTTTTAAAATCATATGGAGCATTCAAAAATGTGTTTGCTAATAGGAAATGTCATATAGAGAGGGAAAGACTGCAGACAAGAAAGAGAAAGGAAGGAGACAATTATGGACTGAGATATCTGAAAAGGAATAACAGCATTAAGATGCAGAGAACATCAGGTGGGATTATCTTTGGGAGAAGGTAAAACACTTTGTTACAACAGGAGGAAAGAAAGAGAAGAAAGGGGTGCTGCAATTTACATATACTTGTCTCCTTTAAAGAGGAGCCTGAGGATACCTAAAATACCCTGCAAAAGACTATGAACTTGGGACACACTTTCAGTTCACCTCTAAATCATATCATGTAAACATTAGACTTCTTCTGCTAATAACCAATAGAAATCAGGGATGATCTCTACTATAAAACTCTGTGTGTAAAAATATATCTATCTGGCCAGGCATGGTGACTCATGCCTGTAATCGAAGCACTTTGGGAGGCCGAGGCAGGTTGATCACTGAGGTCAGGAGCTCGAGACTAGTCTGGCCAACATGGTGAAACCCCATCTCTACTTCTCTACTAAAAAAATGAAAAATATTAGCCAGGCATGGTGGCTCATTCCTGTAATCCCAGATACTTGGGAGGCTGAGGCAGGAGAATTACTTGAACCCGGGAGGCAGAGGTTGCAGTGAGCCGAAATCATGCCACTACACTCCAGCCTGGGCAACAGAGCGAGACTCTGTCTCAAAAAAAAAAAAAAAAAAAAAATATATATATATATATATATATGTATATGTGTGTGTGTGTGTGTGTGTGTGTGTGTGTGTGTGTATCCATCTATATGAGCATCTGGCTTAATGTCTACTTAAAAAACTTTATTACCTTAACACCATCTGAACAGGATTCTTTTAAAAGTAACTAATGAGAATTAATACGTAAGAATGAGTGACTGCTGTATAAATACATAAAATAGTTAATGAAATTAATGCACATGCATCTAGACATCCATATATCAAGCCAAGCATGTATTTTACATATGGAGTCTTTGTATCCATCCATTCATTCTCGAATAGAGACTAGTTCTATATTACAACATGGATGAAACTTGAGAACATCATGCAGGGTGAGAAACTTCACTGTATGATTCCTTTTACATGAAATGTCTAGAGTAGGAAAATCTGTAGAGATGGAAAGTAGATTAATGGTTGCCTGTGGCTGGGGGAGATTGCGGACTAGGGAGTTATAGCCTAAGGGGTATGGGGTTTCTTTGGGGGGTAATCAAATGTTCCAAAATTAATTACAGTAATCGCATGTCTCTGTAAAAACCACGAATTGTACAATTTAAAAGGATGAATTTTATGGTATGTGAATTATATCTCAATAAATCTCTTAAAAATTAAAGTACTTTTTGTACTAATATGGAATAATCATATCTTTCTATACTAATATGGAATAATTACATGGAATAATAATAGCTTTTAAAGCAAGGCACACATAGTGTACAATTTGTAATATTTATACAAAGGGAGTGAATAAAAATAAATGTAGTGTGTGTTTTTTTTAATTTTTGCATATGCAGCACAGAATATCTTTCGAAAGATACCAAAGGAAGGAACCAGTAACACTGCCATCTTCAGGAAATGAAACTGGCTGGCTGGAAGACATGGGTGAAGGGAAAATTTTCAATGAGCAATCTTTTTCTCTTTGAATTTTGAACAAAGTAAATACACTACTTTAAAATCTTTTAAAAAATTGAAATTAAAATTAAAAGTAGAGACTAGTCATAATTTTATTTGAAATGCAAATTAAAAAAGAATCTCTCACACACACACACACATTTGCATGTGTGTGTGTTTATGTATGTGTGTCTTTTAGTCCTTGTCAGACATGTAATTTTTTTCTGCTGACAGGAATATAAGAAATATGAGCAAGAGAATAAGCTGTGCAGACTTCTTATTTGACCTGGCTTTGACTTCCTGTTTCTAATGTCCCTTAATTTACATTTTGATAGGTAATGTTCCTTTCTCATTTTATCTTCATATTTGCAATTTTTACATTTGGATATTTATGGAATGTGGATCTACGCAAAATTTGACTCTGCCATTGGAATTGGAGTTCAGTATGATGTTTCAATTTATTCTGACTTCAGTTTTTGCTTGCTAAGTTAATATTAGGACAAGATCAAACTCCATTACCTTGCATAGATTACTCTCTAGAAAGTTCTCCCTATTGCCACTTTGCTGGTCCATAATCACTGGAGACAACTTCCTGAAATATGGATTTATGGGAAGGCAAACAAAGAATTATAAACACAAAGAAAATCAGAAAACTATGAAAGAGATATACTGAATAATCAATAATCAATTCAATATCCCAAGAACTAATACTCAAAGATACAAAATAAAGCAAATGGAAAATTTAGCTTAAGCATATTCCCAAACACACTTTAAAAACACAGAATATTTTAGAAGCATACAAAAATAGTTTCTTGTATTTCCTTTTGATTCCTTTATATTTAATATAAGACTCTAGTTCGTCTGGCATGGCATGACTTGGGAACACAACAGAATTTTTTTTAGCATGTGGGTAGACAACTATTCCAACATAATTTACTGAAACGTAGTATTTTCCCACTGTTTTGAAATGCCATCTTAATTACTAAGTACATTCTTTTATATCCATGGGTCTGTTTCTGGACTCTATTTTGTCTCATTCACTTTCCTCTCCTGCCTCTTCCTATGACAATATCATACCAGCTTTATCTAGACCAATCCTCCCCAAAATAATGTTTTTAAAATCCTTGCCAGTTGTATATTTGCTTTTCCTAAAAATATTAGAATCAGCTTCTCACGTTCTAATTTTTTTTAATCTAAATGCAATTTTAACTAGGCTTACTTGAATTTATAAATCCATGTGGGGGAGAATCTTTTCATCATTGTGTCTTCCTGTATTTGTACAGCATTCCACCTATTTAGCAAGGTTTTCAGGGGGTTTTTCTTCACATGACATATGAATTTTTTGTTTATATCTAGGTATTTTACCTTTTTCCATCAAAAGTGGAATTTATTGTCTATTGCATTTTCTAATTAGTGATTGCTATTATACAGGAATGCTATTGTTCCTTGCATGCTAGTATTGTTGCCAGCCATTTTACTTAAATATCTTGTATTTTTTTTCTAGAAAAAAAAAAACATAGGCTTACCAGTAATTGTTTTCCTGCTTCTTTCAAGTGGCTGTGCTTTCTATCCTATTTTTTTCATGTACTATTGCATTGTTTGGTATCTCCAGTAATAGAAATAAGAGTAGGCATTCACGTTTTATTCTCGACACTAACAGGAATGAAATTAACCTTTCACACTTAATTATAATATTTCCTATGGACTTCTTGTAAACACCTTATATCCAGTTAAGAGAAATTCCCCTATTTCTGTAATAATAAATTGTTGTTGAGTATTAACAGATAGAAATTTATCAAATGCTTTTAAAAAAATTGATTTGGGGTCTTGGAAAACACCCTACAAAATTCACTCGATACTACCATGTAAACACTTTTTCTTCTAATGGGAAGCAGATGAGTTTAACATACTGTAATTGTTAACTCTTGCCCTTAACCAAGGGATACAAATAATCTATGCCACATTCAAGAGGAAGACAGCATATTTTCTACACCAAAAGAAAACAACAACAAAAAACAGGAAATGCCTTCAAAAATCTTGTTTTAAATGTCTGCTTAGATTTCAGATTTCTTTACTTTAGATGCTTCTATAAAATAACAGAGAAATTTTACCCTCAGTATCCCAAGTTTTCCAAGACTTGTGATTGGGAACCATAATAAGCCTATTAATTTCTGTTTTGGTTCATCTTCTCCTTCTTCAGCCCACTGATACCATCCTTCACTCTGCCCCACTGCCCTAGAAATAGTTTTCTCTGCTCACTCACCCTTAGCCACCTAAAATATGTGACACTTCCCCATGGCCCTGATGTGCCCTGGAACCTTGGACAGTCTGAATATTTAAGAAGCCCTTACTCAGATAAAGACACAGAGTAGTATAGGCAGAAGCTGGCACTGCACGTGACAAGGGGAAGAAAGACAATAAAACTTATTTAGTCATTCTTGGCTCTTTATATATGGAATATCGTGCCTCATTATTATAAAAAGAAAGTACAATCTTGGGGAAACAGAGAGACTTCTAATTTTGTCTTACTGAATTATGTTAGATTATTTTTCCTGATATTCTAGAACTATCCTTGCATTCCTGGGATTAAACCCTATTTAACTATAATTTGTGATTCTTTGGAAGCACAGGTACATTGGATTTAGTAAGACTTCTCCTCAATATCAATGAGATTAGCCTTTAATTTTCTTCTTTGTGCCACCTTTATCTAATTATATAATCAATCCTATAGCCTTAAGAATGAATTAGGAAGATTTTTATTTTTCTCCAGGTTCTGAAAGAGTTTATAATATGGTGATTATGTGTTCCTTGAAGGTATGTTTTGCATTTTTAAAGAAGTAACCCGGATGATCTCAGCTATAGGTAGGCTATGAATTCACTTTAAGATCAACTGACCTGAAAAAATTCTCCCACTTGAACAATGAGGCATAAATATTTTTGTCATTGTATTGTTTATAAAAGTGAAAAAATTGGGGTGAAAATTTATGTTCATCAGTAAGATGGTAATTCAATAAATTATACCACATTCCTACTCTGGGTAACTACACTGTCATTTAAAAGGATGCAGGACATTTGTCATTACTGATATGATAGTATTTTGAATATAGACTTAACTTTTTTGAAAGTCACATATGAATACTTAGAACATATGCTTTTCATTGCTGAATTAAGGAACATCTTAGCATGGCATATAAGAGTTCTAGAGTCAAACTATTGGGTCCAAATATTGTCCCTCTACCAATCACTTTTATGATCTCTATTTCTCAGTTTCCCGGCTACCTGATAAAGAGAGATGGTAATAGTGCTTCACAGGGTGTTGTGAGGATTCCAAAGTGAATTCATCCAAAACGCTAAGGATAGAAACTGATATGTAGTAAAATACTCAATTAATTAATATTTTTAAAGTTATTCATTATATAAATAAATACACATATTTAAAAAAATGTAATCCCAACTGAGAATAGCAGTTATCCAGGGGAGGGCAAAAAGAAAGGGCTAAATGGTTCTTGATATTTTGCTTTGTATATTTTTACATTATTTTGAACAGAAAAAAATTATGTATTATGTTTAAAATTTTTTAAAGAACAAAGTTACAGAAGCCTAATACTAATTGTAAAGATGTCAGATAGCCATATATAATTAGATGTCTAAGACAAGAAAGGTATTGGACTTTCATTCAGGTACAAAGCAACATGGAGGCCAGCATGGAGAGAGCAGCAGGAATGAGACACACCTGGATTTACATCCCGCTCGGTCCCTTTGTAGCTGTGGGACCCAGGGAATATTACTTATCCTCTAAGCTAGGGTTTTAATAGCTGGTAGGTCCACAGACACCCTATTAGAGTTTCAGTACCATTTGCAAAGTTGGTTCAAAATATAGATCACTAGTAATTTAGAAACATTTCCATTGACTTTTATGCATGCTAAAGTTTAAGAAACAAAATAAAGTTAAGAAACCAAAATAAAATACAATAAAAATTCTAAGCCTCCCAACCAACTGAATGGATCCTCCTCTCAGCCAAGGGGATTCCAAAGAAACCTGAAAAATTAGCTCAGGCCACGATGGGAAGGAGTGGTCATCAGACATACCTCATTATACATTCCTGCCTTTGGAATTTAGGTACAACTGACCAGCATTAACATTAAAACAGAGATATTAAAACTGACAAACAGACTATTTTGGAGCAATAAGGTACTAAATTCCAACCCAACTCTAGTAGAGCATCACATGACAGATAGCAGGTCCTGAAAGTATCAAAGTATTTTACCGCAAAATATATTTGTCTGTCATATTTTGAAATGGCTATGCAAAGCTGTCTCTTATGGGGGAAATTTATATTCTTTAGAGAATCGCATTCCATCTCCAGGTCTTTTTTAGATCCTGAAGAGATTAGCTGAGAGTCTAGTACCTTTCAAATGTCTGAATAGGAAATGTTTGCCATCTATTACCTCTAAGGGTAGTCACCTAAAGACTTCATCTTCATAATAAGAACCTTGGTATGCACAACCCTTTATCTTAACCCAGACACTCCTTTCTATTGATTCCAGGTTTTTAGATAATAATTTAACTCTTTCAACCAATTGCCAATCAGAAAATCTTTGAATCCACCTATGACCTGTAAGCCTGCTTCCCACTTCAAGTTGTCCTACCTTTCCAGAGCAAACCAATGTATACCTGACATGCATTCATTGATGTCTTATGTCTCCCTAAAACATAAAAAAACAAGCTGTAACCCAACCACCTTGAGCACAAGTTCTCAGGACCTCCTGAGGCTGTGTCACAGGACATGGTCCTCATATTCAGCTCAAAATAAAACTCTTCAAATATTTTGAAGAGTTTGACCTTTTTATTAACAGAACTGCTCTCAATTTTGATTTCTTAGTGTGTCAAACATGGTGCCAATGTCACACCATATTTATAAAGCTTTAGTGAGATAAAATAAATATTTAATACTGTGCCTGGAACATTAAAAAACTGAACTCATGTTATTATAATAACGGGTACATTGTTGCTAGTACTACCACTGTTATCACCATACTCTGTAATAACTGTTCCTGTGTTTAAATGAAGGATCTGATATTTCCTCAACATGCCATAGCCTTCTATGGCCTTATATTTATATAACTTATTACTTTTTCTGGCTCAAAAAATAAATGTGAATATCTCTACTATTTCCTACATTTTTTTTTACTGGTAATATTTTGTGGCCTTCTGATTTTAACTTCTGACCACTATTATTCAAGTAACCTGGGATCTTGAAAAAGTAAGTGCAGTGCTTGGAACTAAAATTCTGGTATGGTCCTTATTAACGCAATATGATTTGGGCTTGACTGTGATGGGAGATTGTAGAAATAGGATAGGAAAAGAAAAGATATCGGAATAGTAGAGCTTATAAGAATTGTGGTTAAAGTTTTCCTCTCTGGGTGAGGCTTGTACTAAGCATGGGGTGGCAAAAACTATGTTATTAATAAAATACTATATTTTCTAAGAACAAACCAGCCTTCCCCTTCTCTTTGTTACCTGAAAAACCTAGGCATAAAGCTACATGAGTCTTTGGTCCTGATTCTCCATTTCCTTTGGAGGGAAAAAAAAAGTCCACATTTCTCACACAGCTTTGAGGGAAAGACTCATAACCATACTTAATGTATAAAAGCTGTGATTTCCATGCAAACTGCTGCTTTCCCAGAAAAATGTAAAAGCCCCCTTTAGCAGTTTAAAAATCCTTTAACCATTTCCTTCCTGTTCCACTTGAACTAGGGGCCAGCTTGCTGTGCCTTAAAGCCTTCCTTCAGTGGCTTTCAGATGAATAAGTTAATTTTAGAAGTGTTAGAAACATTTTTAATTCATTCAGACTTGCAAGATATCATTAAATACCAGGTACATACACTAGGAGCCAAGAAGAGTTACTCTACGATTCTCTCAGTCACAGATAATTTCCTTACCATACTGGGATTTAGGCCTAGCACTGCAAACAGCAAAACTTGGGCTTCCTCACAGTAGCCAATGTCATAGCTCTAAGCCTGCACCAATGTTTACTCATTTACACTCTTTCTTTTATAGTTTCACCAAAAAAGAAAACAAACAAAAACAGGTGCATCCACACTATACAAATGAGAAAAGGTAACCTCTGAAACCATTTCACAGCAAACAGAAGATCCACAAGCTGCTCACTAGCTAAAACCACAGGAGGTGTGTCAGGCACCTTGATGCTGAGCCACAGGAGGCCTGCAGGCTTGGAAGGCAGTAAATCCCCAGAGAGCTCTAAACTCCTGATTGGCAAGCCACACCAGGCCCATCAGCTCCTCAGGTGCTGAGCCACAGGAGGCCTGTCAACTGCTCAGGTGGAAGGTGTGGGAGGAGGGAGGAGGCAAGCTGTGTGGAGGAGCTTGAATGAAAGGCCACCGGCTCACCAGGGGAGACAGGAAATGAGAGGTGCCTACTGGGAATACTAGAGTTCAGAGAACTTCATCAAGAAAAGGAACGAACCCACCCCCTCCTTGCATCTTCTTACCTGCAGGGAAGCACATCTCACAGAGAGTACATTTCTGGCCCAGGGATTCTAAATAAATAAATGCTAATGTAGAATGATTCCCAGATTGAGTTCTGCAGCAGACCACCAGGTCTTCCAGAGAAAATCAGCACCTCTTTGTCAGTTGCTAAGGTTCTCAGGGAACGGCCACCCTCCATCCACCCTTTGTTTGCCAAGATTCTCAGTATGACAGTGACACAGTGACATCTCCCCCTTAAGTTTCCAAAAGTCCTGGAAATACTTTAGTAGGGACTGACTAGTCAGTGACTGCATCTCACTCTTTCATTTATTTACTCTAGCATTTGTTGTGGCTATAAGCCAAATCCTCTGCTTTGCATTAGAGATATAAAAAGTCAAATAAGACATAACCTCTGTTCTCGAGGTGACATAAAAGTAAGTAATATTTACAGAATAAGGGTATATGACAGAAATATATCCAAGGTGTTGTAGGAACCCAGCGGAAGGAGAATTAAATCAAATGAGGATTCGGGGACACTTTCTAGAAGAGGTGCCACCAAGTTGAGTGTTAAAGGACAAAAATAAATAAGCTGAAAGAGAGGTTTAGGGTGGGGAGGGAGAGAAAGGGAAAGAAAGGAGAAGTGGAAAAAGTTACAGGTAGTAAGAAGAGCAAGTAAAAATAACTGGAAAAGAAATAGTCGATTCCATCCAAGAAGAATGAGTAGATAAGTAGAACTGGACAACAATGCATGCAGGAGAACAGCAGACGATGAGGCCAGATCACAAAGGGCTCTGCAGTCCAAACAAATACGTTTGAAATCGACTCTGAAAGCTTCAGGAAGCCCCCAAGTATCATGCAACATCGATATCCAAGACCAAGGCCTCAGAAAAATTAAAGCCTGCTGATTTTGAAAATTGGGTTTCTCAGGTTTCTGTAAAGGTTAACTTATTTCCAACTAAATAAGAAAAAAACAAGATTATTTCAGATTCATAGTCAGCCTTAGCTCTGGTTCCTGAAGTAAAATTTCTCACTTTATATTTTGCCACTTGGTTGTTAAATCTTTTGTGAAACCATATACATATATGATCATGTATAGCATATATAGCACATATTTTACTAATATGTCTTTAAAAAAGGATGCTTGCCATAGTAAATAAACAGTAATATGATATTAAAACTCAAGTAAGTGCCAAATATTCCTTTTCTGGAAGGGTAAAATTTTAACCATATATTCCCAATATGATTTACTTTCTCATAAATGTATTAATAAATTGCTAATTACACATATGTAGTGCAATACTAATGTAATAAATATTATCTACATAGTAAAACATAGAAAAAGAAAATTTTCAAGGAATAGAATAAAAATAAGGAAAAATAAAGGTTTTGACATTTTCTATTTGTTCTTCAGTAAGTCATCATTCAAACCTATGTTGGAAGCCCCCTACTTACTTAGACAGCTAAGACAGATCTACACCCCCATGCCTCTGTGCTCTGTGCAATTGCATGTAGATGTCTGTACACCTTTCATTAAACCAAATCAACTAAAGGAAGAGGAAAAGAGATAAGGAGAGTGGTGAGGTAACACACCTGTGGTGGGCTTTGTAGCCAATAAGAAGCTGAGGCAATAGAGCTGGATGGGAGAAGACACCTGTTAAATGAAGTTTAGCCTGAAGCTGCCTCCTTACATATTTTAAGTCTGGCTTAAAGGCTTCTCTGCATATAGTTAATTGTAACCTAACTAGATATGTAAACAGACTGTAACCTACTCTTGTGCCAATCACAGAGTTTCAGCCAGTCAAAGGCGACCAACTGATCAAACTGTGTGCAAAAAAGGCAAATGCTAAGCTGTAACCAATCTGGCCATTTCTGTACCTCATTCCTATTTTCTGTATATCACTTTCCTTTTTCTGTCCATAAATCCTCTGCCACATGGCTGCACGAGAGCCTCTTTGAGCCTACTGTGGCTCAGGAGGCTGCCCAATTTGCAAACGGTTCTTTGCTCAATTAAACTCTGTTAAATTTAATTTGTCTTAAGGTTTTTCTTTGAAAATACCCTTCCCTCCACTCCCTGGGGTCAATGTGAGGGTGAAGGAAAACATAAATTATGAACCAAGCTCTTGACCCTCTTTGTAGTACATGAAAAGCAACCTGGGGTGAAGGCAGGGATAGATACAGGACGTTTTATCCGAGGAGCAAGAGAGAGTCATGGGGCTTCCAGGATAGCCTTGGCCCCAGAAGTTCTTTCCCATATTACCAGAACTCTGGGATCTTAGGGACAGACTTGTTTTTTGAGGGGTTTTTTTTCCCATTTTTCTCTAGGAGCATTTAGAAGTCAGCAATTTGGGAACCACTCTACATAAGGTATGTGCCTCTATTTCCTTACTACAGGTGATCTTGCTAAATGTAAACCCTATTCACAAAATGTGTGTCATCATAGGATCTTGCCCACTTCTCTTTTCCGCAGGATTTAGTAAGAAAAAAAAATGCTATTGTGGTGAAGATTGGAATTATCAATACCTCAACCTATGGGAGGAAACTCTGCTGTAGACACCCATCCCCCTAGATTTCTCAAGAAGAAGGAGCTGCCACACACTACTTCCTGCCCTATGATATACTGAGGGGAGAGGGAAGGGGACTGGTGTGTCAGTTTCAGAGTTTTGATTCAGGACTACAGCCGTGTCCCCAGAGCAAACACCCCAAGGCATTCAGCCTCACTATGCCAACAGCAATCATTCCTGCTGATCCAACACACGTTCACCGATTATGAATGAATGAGAGCGGCTGGGATTTAATCAGCACTCTATTCAATCCACCATGCCTCCATCCATTCATTCACTCACTCGCTCACTCCTCTAACAAATAAACAAAGAACTTCTACTCTTCTGGAGCTTCCCTGGACACAGGAAGCACAAAGATGAGAAGGCCCCATTGGTGCCAATAACATTCTGGAAGACAGCAGAGAAGTGCCTGCCATTTGCACCCCTTGCTGACCACAGCCCAGACAGCCTGGGCAGAGTGCAGAACATTCACCACCTCCGTGCGTGGGCTATACAGACACCATCTCTCCACACACTACTGCTGCCTGAAAAATGCAGTCAGATGGGTTGTCATTAAGCCTGACAAAAACCCAGCACCATCTAGGTAAGAGCAATGTTTTTTATCCAGACACTAAATTGCAATCAGGTTACGTTATCATGTAAATAAAGAGGCAAACAGATGGTTTCAAACGAGATCCAGGGCTTTCAGAGCATTGCCGATGTTACAAATGAAGAAAAGCAAGGACAAGCCATTAGACACAGAGCGGGCCCCGGAGTGCACAGCAGCCCAACAAACAGAATCCTGGCCTGGATAATGCAGCCAAAACAAAAGGCAGTCACTTACTGCTTGCAATTGTTTGTTAATCAAATACCACTAATTTCCAAATCTGGGCAAATGCTCTGAGAAACATATATTCATACTTTTTCCATAAAATATATTTTGCAACGGTGTCATCTGTGTATATCACCATGACCCTTAATAACACAGCTTTTTAAAGGCTCTGTTTTATTTCCTCCCACATGTTTAAATAGGAACAGTGTAATGAACTAGACAGACTCAGGGAATCCAGAGGCCTAGATTTGACTCTACTGTCTCTGTTATCTCTGAGCTCTTTCTTGGGCATGCCCTCTTGCGATCATTTCCCTCAACTGTAAAATGTGAAAACAAAAAATGTGGCCGAGGCCATTAGCTGCTTCCCAGTATTTATTTTATCCTCCCTTAGTAATAAGAACTCCAATTTTTAGCTGAATAGTTTGTCACCTAGCCAAAAGACTACATTTCCCAGCTTCCTTTCCAGGTAGAAGTGGCCACGTGGCTAAGTTTACACTATTAAGATGTAAACAGAAGTGTCATGTGAGAAATAAAAGAAGAATCCTTTCTCCTTTCTGCTGCCTGGAATGCGGCTGCAATGGCTGGTGCTCCAGCACATTGATGGACCACCGAGTGACTTTGGAAATAGAAAAAACACTGGAGGACAAAAAGGTAGAAGGGGTCCAAGTCCCTGACACCATGGAACAGATTTTTATGTAAGAGAGATGTAAACTGACATATCTATCAACCTCGTACCATAATAACAATTTTTAATAAAAATAATAATTTTCAGGGTTTTTTTATTCACAGAAGACTTAATCTTCCTAATACCTGGATACCCAAACCCCTAATTCTTAATACCTGGACAACAAAACTCCCAGAATGGTCGTGAGTGTTAAATTAGGTGTGAGAACTCTTTGTACTCAAAATGTTTCCCTGAATCCTCAGCATGATAAGCTGCTCTGTGAATAAAAGTGTTACACGATCAAACATGCTGGAGAACAGCTGGTACTATATCCCCCTCCGAAAGTTATACAACCCATATTGTCATATAAAAGGATTTGAAAAGACCAGAAACAAAAAAAAGTATTTATCTGTGCTTAGTCCAAAATTTTTCAAATTTGTTTGACTTACTTTTTTTTCCATGTGATGCTTACAGGGAGCTAGTTTCAGAGGAAACACTTTGAGAAATCCTGGGTAAATTTCTTACCAGTAATAGCTAATATCTAAATTGTTGCTTTTAGCCTTCAAATATGAATTGTAATTGAATTTACTTCTATGCCAGTCCAGGTCCAGGTCTTACAGTATATGCTTTCATTACTCTCTGAATGTTTCCTATAGCACATTTGTTAGTCGTATTCATTTTTAACTACATGCAATTACATTTCTATCTCCCCAGCTAGGCAGTATGTTCCAGGTGGGTCTCAGAACTATTTTGCTCATCATTTTATCTCCAACATGAGGCAAAGTGGCACATAATAAGTTATGCACCCAGTAAATAGTTGCTGAATAAATGCATGATTTCTGAACTCTGTTTTCATATCACACATTATGCAAACAGCAGTGATGGAATACATGTAAATCAATTTTGGCTTTGCGAGGGGTTTTAATCTCTTTTAGCTCTCTTGGATGGCATTTGGACCATTAGCTCCACCAGTGCCTATGTATATACTCTTAATGAACTGAACGTTAGAATGTCCCTTCTAAGTATCATTATTTAGTAAACATAAGAAATCCTGAGTAACATTGACCTAAAAATAAAATAGGAGATTTTTAACGTACTTGCAGATAAAGAAAATATCAGAATTCTCACCAAGACCCATTACTGGGTTCAACTGGTCTGGATATCCAAGATAGATCACTTACATAGCTGGAAGCTGAGATTGGCTCTTGGCTACAGCTTATCTCCATCTGGGGCTGCCAAGCAGTGCACAAAAATGACCTTTCCATATGATTTAGATTCCCATAGCCTAAGGTATGTGTTCCAAAAGGAAACACCCCAATGGCAAATGAGACTTCTAGGCAAAAGGATCTTCTAATGCAAGGGTTCTTGTGACCTAGCCTTCAAAATCCAAGAACATTATTCTATTAATACAGTCTGTCAGTCCATCTAGTCACAAAGGCCAGCACAGATTCCAGGGGAGGGCAGGAAGCTCTATGTCCCTATAGAAGGAGCAGCAAGCATTTATAGGAAGGAACAAAATTTATGGTAGCCCTTTTTGGAGAATTTCTGCAATAATGACATTGAAACTACGATACCTATTAGAACCAGTGCTAGGTACTGTTACTCAACCTTCTAACAGAGGAGCATATTATATCACATTTTATTTTAATATTTTGATAACCATAACAATATAACTGATTTCTTTTATAATCCTACTTTATTTTATGTATCAAAAAAATTATTTAGAGAATGGGTCTAGGCTTTACCAGACTGCCAAAGGGATCTGGGACATATAAAATGTTAAGAACCCTTGAGCTGCTTAATAGTGTGGTAACCTAAGGGTCAGCAATGAGCCAACTATGCCATTCCTGCCCCTGCTGGCCTGCCTGTACCTACAAAGACCTTGTCACTTCAGCAAAGTTCTTATCTCTAAACCTCTGTACATGAGGAAACTCCAAAAGCTCCCTCAAGGGAGTATAATCAACTCAAGAAATGGCAACTGTACCTAAACCAATGATTGGGAAATCATGAATTATTTAATTTTACATTCCAAAAATATCTGCATGGAAAACAGACCATAAAGAGAAAAAAAGTAATTCAATGAGAACACGTGAAAAAAGCCCTGCTCTGCATTAAAAACTCCCACGGGCAGCTGCTCCTTGCTTGGCTTGTACTTCCCAACCCCAACCAGGGGGGTAAAATACATATGCAATCACTCAGTTTCCCTTCTTTTGTAAGAAAGGCCTTGGTAACACTCCTCAAAGAATATTAATTCCATGAGACAAAGTTCTTAGGGCAATAAAACTAGGTAAAATATGTTTATGCATTTTAATCAGGGGAAATTTTTATTAACCCTCAGCAAACTTGTTGCAGTGCAAATCATAGAATATGGGGTTGGCACAAACTTTAATGGTGATTTCTTAGTAGGGTGACCCAATCATTCTGGTTTGCCTCAGACTTCCCAGGTTTTATCACTGAAAGTCCTATGTCCCAGGAAACACCCTCAGTCCTGGATAAACCAGGGTAGCAGGTCATTCTCTTTACCAATGATTTTAAAGACATTAGTTCCTGATATTTATGTCTCCAAATAAATATTAAAACCTATGGATGCCACTGTCGGTATTCCAGAACTGAAAGGAATTAACCAATTAGCTCTGATAGAGTAATGTTGCCTGTTTTAAATAACATGGACTTCAATTCTTACCTCCAGGATTGAACTCATTCTAAGAGTTATACATAATCTCCTAAATTTTAAAACAAAATATATTTTGTATTGTGTTGTGTTTTTGTAATACTCTACTTTTAGGAAATGACAGGGATTCAGTGATTTCATTTTTTGTTTGTTTGTTTGTTTGTTTTTTGAGACGGAGTCTCGCTCTGTCACCCAGGCTGAAGCGCTCCACCTCCTGGGTTCAAGTGATTCTCATGCCTCAGCCTCCCAAGTAGCTGGGATTACAGGCGCACACCACCACACCAGGCTAATTTTTGTATTTTTAGTAGAGACAGGGTTTCACCATGTTGGCCAGGCTGGTCTCAAACTCCTGACCTCAAGTGATCCGCCTGCCTCGGACTCCCAAAGTGCTGGGATTACAGGCGTGAGCCACTCCACCTGGCTGACAGTAATTCCTTAAATGACATAACCTATTCTATTTTCCAAATCAAGCTGATTGAGCTATACACATTAACCAGTTTGGTGGGACTGAGCCTATTACCTGAGCCTATTAATTTAGAACACCGGGCAGTACTGTAACCAGAAAGTGACCAGGGACACAACCTGGCTGCCACCTTAAAAGTCTGCTCATGGGCAGTAATGGTTTTTAATTTTAACAAAGATATGGGTATCCTTGAAGACACCGATACAATCCAGATGTGTGAAACTATAAAACAAGCAAGAGATGTTACATTAGATTTTGCATTTAATTAGTGGGAGCCTGCACAGAGGATATAGTTTATTCTCAAGCAATTTCCAAATTACCATCCTCCTTGTCCTCCTTGGAAAATTTACTGTTAACCACCTCCATCATCGTGGTATTGCTCCTTTCCTGCCTTGCCTTCTGCTGTCCTGGTTCTAATTTCATGACTACTCGTTCTATGATATCTCTTCCTGAAACTTAAATTAGCATTGCCCTAAGATGCTGACTTCTACCCAATCCTTATATCTCTCTGCAATAGCTCTCATATGAGTCCTAACCCCCATTCAATACTCAAGGCTTCCTTAGTCAATTCTTCTGAGAATTACCAAATTGCAATCCAGATTCTCAATTGGCCTTCCTTTCAATCTTCTGGTCCACATTTCCCGTTACCATCTAGGCATCTGCACATGAACCTGAGTATATGACTATAATGGAATTTATTATCCTCCCTGCTAAACCTACTCCTTTACATGCATCCTCTATTTCTATTGATGGTACCCCTAGGCATTCACCTGTGTGCAAAAGTTCTGGTCATCTTCTCAGCTCATTTTTCTTTATTTTTTTACAATCGATAAATTGTTAACCCTATCAATTCTGCTTTCCCATCAAGTTTATGGTACTTATTATATTTTTCCATAGCAGCCATCATTGCATTTACTGCTACTATATAGCTTGTAATTTGTATTGTTAAGGTCAAAGTATACTTGAAATCCTGGGGAAAGTAATGCATAGTTTCTTTAAGAAATAGTTGTAAACTGCTGCTGAAAGTTTGTACAGGTTAAGTAAGAGAAAGAAGTTGCTATAGTAGCAAAAAAAAAAAAAAATTATACCTATTGCAACTAAAGGAAAGCATCATAGGTGTTTTACAGGAATACCTGCTAGAATCCTCTCAGGCTACAACAGAAGGTGCCCAATACGGTCACACCTCTGGGAGACTGAGGTGGAGTATTTGAAATCATAAAAGTAGTTATTCTCTAGATGGGAGCACATACCAAAATAAAACCCGAGTCTCTTATATACTTCATGCTTGCCAATTACCGCCACCCCATGATCTTTACATCCTGGGGACGTGTGCCCCTCCTAGAAAATTACTATGATCCATGATGCTAATGCTAATGGACCATGACAATGAGTGTGTTTCTCAGGTGAGTGAAAACAAGAAAAGGTTTGTAAAAGTCCTCTATTAGAGTAAAACTCGAATTAGTTCCAGCAAGTTAGCAAGCCATAAAGAGTGTCAAGGCCTACCTGACTTTGGATCCCAAGAGTAGACCCTAAGTGAGTTCTAATTAGCCAGAAACAAATGCCATGACTGATTCAAGCAGACATGGACAAATTAAGATTGGAAAAAGAATCTCAACCTATTTCAATATATTTATATTTTTATGTTTATTCTGTCACAGGGAAAAATGCACTGCTATTTTAATCGAAATTTCATTTTTATGAAGAAAAGCATATATAGTTGAGGGAAAAATTCTTTTTAATTCCCACTCCTAATTGTCCACCCTGGCAAAAGCACTGTGTCACAGATCTTGGTTAGAAAGTTTAGGGGACTGCTGCTACTCATTTGGGAGCATCCGTTTGAATCGTGGTCATTGCAACTAGAAGGAACTCCCTAGCCTCAAAGTGTTTTGTCTCAAAATTCAATCCTATTTTAGGAACAAAACAAATAAATCAATAGTAGTCCCTTTAATAAATTTTAGGGGTCAACTTAAAACACTGGGTTGAAGCATGGGGACTAAAATTTCACTCAGCTTTGGTATAAAACATCATATAAGTTTGGGCAATAATCTTAACATATGTCATAGCATTTTACAATTTATAAAACACATTATTATTTAGATTATTATTAGTTGGATTAGAAAGCCACTACATTTCCTGCCAAATCAACAATTCTATGTGTCTATAATTTACATATATATTAATATTTATAAGTAAATCCACCTCAAAAGAAAACAAATAAATTACTAGGTAATCAGTTCATCAAGGGACTCCATATAGCAAAGCACTTTATACTTAGACTGCTTTAAATTGTAAGTTTCTATAGTATATTTTTAAATGATTTGATATATGAAAAGTTTATTTACATTCATCATTTCAAAGATAAACTGCTTGGGGATGTTGGTGAGAACACCTGCTCTGTGGAGTCTGAAATTCTTCCTTCCAGTGGTGAGGACACGACTTTGACATCCTTAAAGCAAGGTTCACTAAGGTCTATGATTCTCTCTAAGAAATTGCCTAAAAGGAAGGAGAAATAGACAGTTTCCAAAGATCCTTTCATCTTTGACTTCAGGTTTTCTTTTTATTTATTTTTATTGGAAAATAATGTTGATTAAAGTTTTTAGGTCAAAAGTAGCTTAAAGAACAGCTTTTCCATTCACTTTCTAAAGAAGGTCAAAGGAAAGTTCAACTGTTGTCTCCCTGGATCTTTAATGTCTACCCTGAAAGAAAATGCTCGAAATATGTTTCCTTCATGTCTTTCCTCATCCCACCATATCCCTCTCTTCTAAGAAGAGGCTCTGGTCACACATGTAAAGATTTGACCACAAGTTGCAGTTCAACAACTACCGTCCATTCCCACTGCAAAGTGAGCAATTCCAAATTGGGGGCCCAATTATGTTTGGAGAGTTGACAAATACCACTTTCAGGCAGAGAAGAGGTGGTGTAATTAACACTAAGCATTATAGGTAAAAATAAAATAAAATAAAGAAACTAAAACCCTTTGAATAGTCTGTCTCCTGGTGTTCTGTAATTTCTTATTCATGCAAGCCAACAGAGTCTAAATAAAGTCTGTCCAGACAGGGAAGACAGCACAAATTTAGCAGGCTCTAAAGCACTTTTTGAATTAAGTCAGGTACATCTGCTTTTAATTACATACATGCATATATGCTTACACACATAAACACATACACAGAGGTAGATTAAAGACAGCTGCAAATTCTTAGCTATTCCTCCTATTGAGAGGTGGAACCTAATTCTTCTCTCCTAAATCTAGGCTGACCTCAGGACCTTGCTTGACCAAGAAGTTGATGGCCATGATATTCTGAGCTTGCCAGAGCCAGCTTAGAAGGCATGTGGCTTCCACACAGGTCTCTTGGACCACTTACTTTTGGAACACCTTTCTTAGGCTATTCTTTCTTGGAATCCAGCCATCATGCTGTGAGGAAGCCCAAGCAGCCCCATAATAAACCCATGAGGAGAGGAACTGAGGCCTCTTAGTTGATTATCCTAAGCTCCCAGCCAATAACCAGCATCAAGGCCCAGCCATATGAATGACCCATCTTAAAGGCATCTAAAGGCAGCCAAGGTGAGCCTTTCAATGACCACAGTCCAGCCACTATCTAACTATAATGCATGGAAGAACCCAAATTAGAACACCTCGGCCTCGCCTTTCCCCATAAAATTGTAAGCAAAATAAAATGTGTGTTTTATGCTGTTAGGTTTCTGGGTGGTTTGCCAGGTAATGATACAGTTTCAGAACACCCACTCCACTTGTCACCATTCTGATGCCACACATTACAAAAAGGACCCCAGTAGCTGAAGCCCAAATTTCTTCCCTTCCCACTTGCTAATCCAGAATAAGTGGGGTGGTGGGCTTTACTGCTTTTATGTCCCATCCAAAAGGTACAAGACCAAAATTTGAGAACTACACAAGCTATAGAAACATCACCAATATTTGTTTGGTTTCTAATTGGTGTTGTAGACCTACATCTCTGCTATAATTCAGTATGAAATACTGAATTACATATAATCTCAGATAAGAAAAAGGTGAATGAAGTCAATAGTTTTATAATCACAAGATTTCATAGAATTCCTCCCCTCAAAAATTACTTTCTGATTTATGATCATCTTGCTTCATATCACCAACCTATTATGATCTTTTGCAATTTAACAAGGAGGTGCATTACATATTGCCATCTTTGAACATCACACGACTTTGATAAGCTTCTCTGGCATTTAAGGTACTGAATATTAAAAATCAGAACAAACAGAAGAGCTATTATAAAAGAAAAACAGTACTCTCCCATTCATGTCTTCAAATAAGGACAGTTCAAAGTAATATACAAAATGTAACAGTGAATTCTACCACACACATAAACACACAAAGATGCTGGAGGCTACATGATATCATATTTGCACCCTTCAAAACAGAATCCTGAGAAAGCACTGGAGGCATCTTACACAAATCCACTCTGGTCAGTTTAGAACAAGGCATAGAGCAGAAGCTAGAGGGATCTTTTGCCATTTGACCAGCTATTCTTTATGAAGGTTTGAGATTTGCGTAGTAAGGCAGAACTTGTTCCTACTACTTAAGAAGTTGAGAATGCATTCAGGCCAATTTTTCCAATATTTAGAAAGCAAAGACAGTCAGATACACTTACTTGTTGAAGCAAAGTTATCACGAACTTAAACTACAAGAGCAAATTCTTAATGATTACCTCAGCTTACTCCATATAATACCACAGAGAAGAATTTACAGTTCTTTCAAAATCCAATGTCCATAAAGATAGAACGCCTTGAAGGAAAATGGTACCATACTTAAGATAGTGATGTCTTTTATTAGTACAGTAAAGTCCTATTTTTATGGAATAGGATGGGTCTGAGGTCATTCCATAAAATTGATTTCCCAGAAAATGGAAATAGGCAATTTACCCTAAGAATTTTATTGAAAAATTATGCTATTCTATTTGAATAATGATGGGAATGTTCTACACGTTTCCTTTATTAATGAATTAAAATACACAAAACACCATAAAATTATATTAGAGGTTCAAAAGTATCACTTAAATCTTTTTTACCAGTCACTTTCATTTTGTAAAATCAGCAGTTCCATTAAAATCGTATTATGTAAAAATGGGTTTTTACTGTAATAATAGTTATTACCTATTTAGCTCCCAAGGATGTTGTGAAAATTAAATAATAAGCCATTGGAAAGCAAATACAAAGTGTTGCTAATACCAGAGGCCAAGAGGGGCAGCCAGATGGAAAAATGAAGGAAAAGAGCACCTGATACATTACAAATCACAGCTTTCATCTGTAATTCCATTACCGCCAAAACTCTATGCGTTGGTCATGTGCACTGATGTTATCTCATTTCATCTTTCTTAACATTATATTAATTATAGCCCTAATGTTATAAATAAAGGTCAGAAAGGTTTACAGCTTGTCCAATGTCACACCGTTGTAAATGTCAGAAGCCAAATGTGAACCCCAGGTTTATCCTAGTCGACAGCTCATCCTATATCCTGAAGGATCCCCAATATACCCTTGTGTCTCATAACTGCCCCTCTAATTCTTACCTCATCTTTCAAAATTCACTTCAAATGCCTCTTCTTCCATGAAGCCACCTTTACCCTAGAGACACTATGATTCTAAACACATTCAGTATTTATTATGGCTATTTGTTGTATTATTGTGCATTATGTGTTTTATTAACCCAGCAAAATCCCTGGCTGGTCACAGTTGTATGGAACTTGACTTTGGGTTCCCAGATCATGAGCGCTTGGAACTGTGCCTTGAACAGAGTGAATGTTTGGTAAATATTTGCTAAACTGAACTGGAAAGGGGTGTTCATTTGAATTACAACTACATCTGCTACCAGATGCAAAGCAAATGCTTTTACTAATGGTTCATTGCATTAGAATGGTTCTAATGCAATGGTTCATTGCATTGCATACCTCTTTGGGAAGTATCTCCAGTTTTTCCAAGCATGTGTGATAAGATTAAATACCTCAAGCAGTGTATCTGACATACAGGAGATACTCAACAAATAATAGTTTTTTATTTTATTTTTGTTTTATTTCAAGTTAAGAATGCGGATGGTAAGAGAAGAATGTGGAGGGGCATAAATTCAGTATAATATATAGTCTAATTTGGAGATATCAGAGCAGGTATTGATGGTAAGTTTTTTTGAAAAAAGAAAGATACAATGAAGAGTTAGAACTCTTGATTTAAATTCTCTGATTTCCTGCAAAGCTTCTTTACTTACTGGCTGGGTAAAACTTGAGCAAGTTACCCTCTCTGCATCCCAGATTTTTCATCTGTAAAAACAGGGATAATAACAGAATCCACTTATAGAGTGGTAGTGAGAATTATATGAAAAAAAAATCCTTGTAAAATACTTAGTATGGTGCATGTCACACACCAAGCACTCAAGTTATAGTTGCTACTATCACCATCATTACTATCATCGTAAAAATCATTTCATAATTCTTAGGAATCTATTCAAAGGAGAAGACATTTTTTTCCACAGACTGTAAAATCCTATAGTGGTATGTGTCAATGCTGTCAAACACAAAGATTTATTTCTGCTATTGAATTATGGATGGGAGCAATGAGTTCATGCACTTCATCCAAATGATGCTTACTGAACGTCTACTTTGCGCCAGAGTCAGGTGGACAAATTTATTTGATTTAAAGAAGGCTAGGAATGAAAGAAACAAGGGGAGCCAGGAAAAGGTGGAGAGTTCAGAGAGAGACAAAACCACAAGCAGAAAACAAAGGTAGATTCAATCCAGAGACCCATCAGAGGTCAAAATATCAGCCTGTCAAAAATCAGAAGGGAAGAGTAAGGCCAAGCAGCTCCTGCATAAGACCCCAATCCAAATGGCACAATGAATTCAATCGCTCATCAATCACAGATCATTTTTTGGAGATAGAAGAGGGGTTATTAGACAACAGGAGAGGGACAATGAGCAAGGATTTTATTTTTTATATATTACACACCTGTTTTTCACTCACCTGTCTTTTCATGTGAAGGCTAGAAATAATGAAAAATAACTGTGTATGTTTTAAAATTCTTAACTTTTCTGATTATCACAATAACACTGAAAGGCCAACTGGAAAGTCCTTTCTACATCCAATGCCTGTGCCCCACCTCCTTTCCCCCACCCAGCATTGATTTGTGCTATTTAAGAGCAGCTTCACGGAGAATTCAGGCCCATCCTATGATCTTATGAGCTGACCATAGACAAAGGAATGAAGAATAGTGGAGAAAGCCAGGGATCCCGGGACCCAGGACACACAGTGGACACAGTCAACTGCAGTGCCAAGCAAAATGGCCAAGATTGCTCCTTGCTCGGCATAAAAACCCCAAAGGATACTAAAAGCTTGGCAACCTTCAAAAGCTTCTCTTGCTTCCTGCATGGGGTGGGGGAAGCAGCTTGCTTAGTGGGAAAAACCATAGCCCAGGGTGAATCCGCTGGCTAGATTCATCAAAGAGATGGCTGAGACAGAACAGATTTTTCCTTTTCATATAGGAATGACTCACGAGCTTGTTTATTCAAAAAGTTACATCCTCCATCAAAGAGAGGTGGTTTACTGGGAAGTGGGATGATAATAATAATTGACGTTTGTACTGGTCAGCCCACTCACACCTGTCCCTCGTGTCTCTGGGCACAGTTACACAAACACACCACCAATGATAAGAAGGTGGCCAGTATATCTTCTTTCATTCTTCCTTCATTCTGCCACACAAATAAAGCAAACAATACAGTGACCCTCCTTTATTTTACTCGTAGTCATTTTAGAAAGGGAATGTGCGTTATTGGTTCAAGATGAGGACTGGAAGAAAGACTGCTTGGGTTCAAATTTTGACTCTGCAAATTGCAAACCGTGGGACCCTGAACAAGTGACTTAATTGTCCTGGGCCTCTGTTTCTCTGTCTGTAAAAGTGGGGATAATAATATTACTTATTTCATAAGGTTATTGTGAGGATTAAATTAGTTGGTACATGGAAAACAGTTCCCGGCACATTGTTAGTTCTCAGTAAATGTTTGACATTATCATTATTATTACTTCACAGATGGTTAAATGTTCTTCCATTATGGATCTTCTTTTATTCACTATTATCTTAAGAGGTTCAAATTAAACCATAAATGTAATTAGGTCTTTGGGGGAAAATATAATTGTCCTATGAAAAACATTTTCTTCTCAGGCTAGGGAGATATTCTGGAACTTTTGAAAACTCTCCTTTAAATAAGAAGATTTTATAAGTATGGCTGTGTGTTTCTGTATATCTAAGGAATCATCTTTTTTATAACGTGTATACTGGAAGATAGGTCTAGACAAACAGATGAATAGATACATAGATAGGTATTTTTCTATTTTATTAACCTACTTCTCGGCAATTTTCAAAACTCATAGCAACCGAAGAGCTTGTCATTTTTCCTCAGTCCTGTATTTCAAAATTCCCAAAGGCAAACCATCAGAATGCATTAATAAATTGTTGTCTTCCATACCCTCTGTGTCTTTCAAACTTAAGGATACTAGAACCTGTAAATCCATTCTCTGACACATGAAGAAAATTAACCAGTTAGTGGATTATTTTAACTCCTTTCAGCATGACAATTACTTATTCCACTTTTAATGAAGATATGCTAGGTTAATTTTGGGGGGATTTCACTGGTCTATGAAATTGTTCTCCTACATTAACCCCCCCAAAAAGAGGAAGAATGAAACAACATAAGTGCCTACTTATTTCCAAACTCTTTACTGTGTTGTACAATATAAATGAAACATAATCAGATCTGGCTGGGTTCAGCCTGTCTGTGATTCATCTCTTGGGTAGTTTTACTCACTGGGTAAAATGAGAACGTCATCCCCAGGGCCTGGAATGGTATTGTTGTATCCTCCCCAGCCTTCTTCAACACCTTGCCATGTTTCAGGGAGGGACCATTTTAAAGCTGATTCAGGGGCAGAGGTAGAAGCTAGAAAATAAAAAAAAATTTTGAAAATCTAATCCATTGTGATAACTTCCAAATTCTATCCTTATTTTAGGATGCTAGTGGTATTTTCACCTCCCAAAGAAGCTGCCTATCAATATTTTATAAGTTTCTGTACAAATATTTATCAGTTAAAAAGCAAGTAATTATTCAATCCTTAGATTACCTTCACTTCTGAAAAAAATCCCACTTTTGTTATTATACATCTGTTTTGCCTTATAATAAATATGGCATGCTTATCATGAAATATTTAAAAAATGCAAATAAGAAAGGTAATAATTGCCCATAATCTCACTACCTTGCAATAACTACCTTTTATTTCTGTTTCCTTCCAGAATTTCTCAGAATTTTTACATAATTGAGATTATATCAAATCCTGTTCTTATTTTTTACACCCAGTTCTACTTTTGCTTAGCTTAGCCTATTTTCCTATGCATTTTATAATATTATTTAAATGCCTTGTAAACATAATTTTAGTGGCTACATATCATATTTTAAAAATCCATAATTAATTCCTAATGTCTGACATTGAGACTCTTTCTATTCTCTGTTAAATTGTAAATAATGCAGTGTTAACTGTCTCTATGCAAATTTCTCAATAACCCTGATTATCTTCTTCAAATACATTCCTCAATGGAATGACTGAGTCAAAGGTGATGTTCTTCCCACAGCTCTCCCTACACATTAAAGGCGGGGTAATAATCTAAAAACTTCTCAGGGTGGTAACTTACAGACAGATCATACCTTCCAACCAGTTTCTATTGATTCTGCCTTTGATCGTCAAACGGCATTTTCTTTTCAACCATTCTGCTAGTATCTCATCGCATAATTGAAATGTAAATCTAATAATTTCCAATGGGGACTGTCCAATAGCACATCACGCACAACACCATGCTGAACCATATCTACTTGTTCTTTCCTGGGATGTGATTACTGGTACAGAGTTAGAAGGGAAGAGAGATTGTCTCAAAAGGGTAGAATGAAAAGGCCTCCTCTTTTGAGGGGAGGGAGGGAATCATGTCCATGATTTGCTAATTTTACAACATAAATAGTGAGCACCTTCTCTATTAGAACTGCCCTTAAAAAGTAGGGATACAAAAAGAAATAACATGTCACCCTTGCCTCCAAGGAGCTGATAGTGTTATATCAGTATTAGGAGGATAAAAACTCTACACAGGCACTGAGGGGAGTTCTTTTTAATGGTACCTGATCACGAAAGGAAGCAAGATTTTGCCAGGAGAAGCTTCCCGAGGGAAGTAGTAACTCAGCTGCATTTTAAAGCCTTAGAAGTTATTCAGGTAAAGGGGAGGTTGTGATGAGTGTATGACAAGAGGGTTGCACTGCAGACAGAAGGATGAGCATGAGCCGAGGCAAAAATTGGGAAGTCAAGTGGAGGAATGATAAGAAATTTGGTGTTGCTGAACCACAGAGCTAGAAGAGAGGTAAGTGACAAGGTTGGTAAAATAAACAGAGGCCAGAGTATGAAAGATAATAAAGGTGGAGGGTCCAGAGACTTCCAGCACATTAAGACAGAAGTGGATGAATAGTTTGTGCCATAGGGCATTCAGGGTATCTCTGTGGTCTCCAGATGGAGCTATACAGCAAGCAGTGGAAAAATATGAATTGGAAAGATGGGAAGAGCTCTGAGCCCAGAGATGAATTTGGCATCATCGGCCTAGAAGCTGTATTTGAAACTCTGAGGGTGGTTGTAATAGCTCCAGAGGATTTCAAGGTGACAAGGGAAAATACCTGATATCAGAAACATGAGGAACACTTAGTTATTTTTTCTACCAGACCCAATTCCTCAGTAGTCATGGTTTAATTAGAGACCCAGGATAACCTAAAAGTATATAGATTGTGGTCAAGCAAAAACCATAGGCAACTTAATTAGTACAAAATATACCACACACCTTGGGAATAAGGCAATGTCTTGGAATAAGCATCACTCAGTAAGAGGCTTTATAAATATTTCATAAACTCCAATACTGTAATACCTTTCTAAGTTTTTTCCCAATGTTGCCTGCTTCCCAACATTAGACCCAAAATACTCAGCTGGGGGTAGAGTAAGGGGTATTTGTCAGGGTGACCCCTAGCTTGCCCCACAAAGTCCAGATAAAATGTCTCTGATGCCTCATTTCCAGTGATATTTCAAACAAGCAATGATTGTTCTCTAAAACCTCACGCCAAGCTTCAGGAATCTTTAGTTACTCCAATTTTATATCACAGATGATGGAAACAAACATTCTGTACTTTTTTCACCTTTACTCTTGCTTATAAGAGGGCTGACACAGTCTTTAGTTGGACAAATTAGGCCTTAAGGTAGCTATTCTAATGAAGGAATGTTATTATGTACAAATTTAATTATTCTATACCATCCTGCTTAAGATAAGAACACTAAGGGATAAGAAAACATGTTTCAGTCTCCTGTCAGAGTTATCAGATTTCTATACAACTAATATCAGGGTTCTATATGACTATTATTGACAATCAAATTTGTGGAGAGAAAAAGAAGCCTACAAGAGTTAAAGAAGCAGCAGTCAGAGATCTACTGGGAGAATCAGAAGAGAGGAAGGTCTTGGAATCCTAAGTAATACAGCATCTCCAGAGAGCACAAGTGACCTTGTTAATAGTAGAGTTCTGGTAAGAGAGAGAATTAGAAGTCACTGTTAAACTTAGCAATCAAGGCATGGGTGATCCAGATGACAGTGGTCCCAGTTGAGTGGTTGAGACAGAAACCATATTACAGTGGATTGAGGAATGCACTGGAGGTAAGGAAGGAAAGATGTTGGGTCAGACCATCCAAAAAGCTCACTGAGGAATGGACAGTCTTAAGAGTTGAGAACCACAGCCTTTGATCTGTCTTCTGAAGCTTTAGATAAATTAGACTAGTTTCAAAACTGGAGCCCATGAATTTTGGTCTGGACCAACACTCCTGATGAGGCCTCTCCTTGCTTCCCTGTACAAATTTGTCCCTCAACAAGCACTTAAGATTTTAGGTAGTCTCAAGTCTAATACATGAGCCAAATGTTGGCCTCCACACCTTTGCTCTTCATCAACCCAGGTTTTCATGGCTCTGCATGAAGAGGAGGCTAGGCTTTTGAGAAGTTTGCAGGACAGCTGTCTGCTAAAGGAAAATTCAGTATCCACAAATTTGTTTTGTTTTTAAATGGGAGGCACTGAACAGAAGAAGCCAGTAAGGAAAGAAAGGTTAACTACACGAGACAATGAGTTGTTCGCTGATGGGGGAAAGTGTGGAAGATGCAGGAAGGGATGAGTTAACTTTGAACAAGACTAGGGCTGCCTGATTCTCAGAGATCAAAGAAAGCGACAAAAACTTAGGTCTGTGGGAAAATTTAGGAAAAGAATACCCGATGATCTGGATGTTCTTATATGACCATGGACAATATGTGCACTTAGTACGGGTACATATTACATACTCATATCGGTTAACACATAGATAGATGGTTAACTCATTCAAACATTGGATTGACCCATTCAAACAATGGAATGAATGAGTTAACACAGATAGATGTGTTAACTCATTCATTCATTCATTCTTAGTTTTGGCAAAAACGATATTGCAATAATTTTACTGTTTTACGTAGAGCTACTCATTAAACAAAATACATTACCATATTTAAATTTTGGCACTAGCACAGATACTACATACATGAGAATCAGGCAATGTCTTGAAAGTATGTTATTTAAAATTTCCTCCTGATGAAGGATATTGTACTAAATCTGTAACTCTTTGTGTTTTGAAATAGTTTTCTGTTCCCAACTATATGAGGTAGGAAAACTGGCTAGATTTTAATATAACTCATAAATTAATCTATGCTCAATAAGGCAATTTAAACACATTAGAGGCTACATTGTATAGCACAAGGAACACTGGGCTGAGTTGAGACATCTGAGTTCCTATCTAGGCTCATATGACTGACTACTGATATGACTAAGTTTAATATCTGGGCTTCACATCCCCATTTGTAAAATGAGGCAACTGGATAGGATAGCCTGCAAGGTCTCCACCTTTGTTAAAACCCACAACTCTATGAAGTATGGGCTTTCTATTTCTCAGCAGTTGTAATTGACAGTTGTAATGCAAGCATCTCCAGTTAAACTGACCCCTTCTAAAAAGCTCTGAATGTTCCTTCCAGAGAATCCTTAGTACAGAAATCATCATACTACATGCTGAGTGACATGCCACCCTGACTACAGATGGTTGAACCAAGAATGGCCATTCATAGATGGTCCAGTATCCACAGAAGGGGGCCTGGCATGAGAGCTTCCCCAACAGGTGTGTCCTCTACAGAATAGGCACTGACACAGCAAATCAAATCTCTCCTTGGAGAATTTGAACATAGAAACTTTCAAAGAAGAGAAAACTATCCTTTTCCTTATAACAGTAATTTTTAAACAACTGTATTAATTGATTACTTAGTAGTTTGACTGACATCCCCAAGAGATCATAAGACCCCATAAAGTCAAAGTTCATTCCATCTTGCTCATCATGGTATCCCCCACACCTTGCATAAAAGGCACTCAATAAACAAGGCATTTTGAACCACCTAAAGGCAAAGAGAGATGAAGGACAAGGAACATAAAAAACAAAGTGTGGTGGCAGCTCAGAAAACATTCTGAAAACAATCTTGAATCACATTCTTCATAGTCCAATAAGCATGGAGTAGTAACCTTCAGGATTATCATTTATAGTTTTAGTCCAGTCCTCTTACCTCATTTACCTATTAATTTAAACAGAGGAATTAGATCATTTTCTGATTAGCATGGGCTCTGCTCTGACATAGCACAAAAATGCCACTGAAAATTAAAAGAAATCTCTGCGTTTGAAAAGATTTATTCCTCTTGCAAATGTATAGTTAAATTGACTCAGAATAAACAAAAACAAACAATGAAATACATCAGAAGGTGCTTAGGAGACATTTAGTTTTTGAGAATTTGGCTTTTTGAGTTAGAAAGATTTCATAGAACCATCTGACTTTTGAGGAGGGTTTGTTTACCCTGATTTCCTGAAATTACCAGGAACAATTAAAGTTTAGAGATACCCTGAATTTTTCTTTCCATTTGGAGGGGGCCTAATAGCCCATCTGCAGATCTGGAGTCCTATGTGCACATATGGTCCATAATTTATGAAATGTGCTTATTTACATGTTTCAATTCTTACTTTCATTGCTTTGAAAAATAAATCCACCTTTATATCCTTTTTTGACATGCAGATACATATTTTAGTTACAGGGCAACACAATAGAGAGTTATCAGACATATAAGCTTTAGGACTGATACCTGCCTGTTTATTAACAGTATGACAAGGTGGAATTTGTAGAACTACTGGAGGACATTCTGCCATACTAGACACTTCTACTTCGTGTGTTAATACTCACCTGAAATAGTTGGGGGCATACCTTCCTTCACCCGGAGAATGACTTGAACTTGGCCTTCACCTGAAACTAAATACCAAAAGCCACAACTTGCATGTGATACAAAGATCATCTTAATATTAAAGACAGTCACACGTGAGAAAAGAAGAATTTATGCTAAATTCTAGTTGCCTAAATTTTCAAAACAGAAAAATGAAATCCTTGTTAGTTAATCTAACAATTGATTTCCAACATTTGATTTTGATTGCTTTCATTTGATTAAATGTAATTGCAATGAGGTCTCCAGGAGAACTGGCACATAAATAATTAGGAGAAACAAAAACAGAAACGAAACCTTTAGCCATATGTTCTAAGGAAGCCAATGGTGTCCAGCAGGGCATATACCTCATATCCTATTTTCTCTTCATCATTTTGTAGGCTCAGCTTTTAGAATTCATGTGTTTTTCACCAATAGAGTTCAGATCATCCATGAAATGTATTTGGTTACCTTTATCCAAACAAATTGTCCTTTTAATGAAGCCTTTTCCCCACCCCCTATCCTCCTCCTATCATCCAAGCCAACTGAGCACATTTAAAAGGCCTGGGGTTCATTAATTTTAAGCGTTCAATAAATTAGTGGAAATAATCAAAAGGCCTGATTCTTTCTGATAATGACAATTTGATGTCAGGATAAACCAGTAGATTAAGCTGGGAACATATGCTCCTTTGCCAAGAGAGGCTGCTATAATTAAATAGTGAATGCATCTACAAGGTGCTCTCACGCCTGATTAATTAGTAATCAGGTGCACAAACTCCATTTTTCAGTCACACCTTGTCTCTTATTGGTTAATTACCTTTCTGCCTTATTGTTTGTCACATGAGCCACACCTTCCACCACTGGAGCACCCCTTGTTGCTGAAGGCTGCAGCCTTGGGGACTCGGCCAAATTCACATTCTCCACTTTTGTTTTCCTGGAACCCTAAACCCTTTCCTCCATCAGATGAAATAAACACAGGATCATTCTTTCTAAATATAAAACATAAGCAGCCAGGCGCTGTGGCTCATGCCTGTAATCCCAGCACTTTGGGAGGCTGAGGTGGGTGGATCACTTGAGGTCAGGAGTTCAAGACCAGCCTGGCCAACATGGTAAAACCCATCTCTACTAAAAACACAAAAACTAGCCATGCGTACTGGTGCACTCCTATAATCCCAGCTACTAGGGAAGCTGAGGCAGGAGAATTGCTTGAACCCTGCAGTGTGGAGGTTGCAGTGAGCCAAGATCACGCCACTGCACTCCAGCCTGGGTGACAGAGCAAGACTCTGTCTTGAAAAAACTAAAAAATGAAAAATAAAAATAAAATATAAGCCTCAGAATATTACAAAGAAAATGATCCCCAAAGAGATCCATGATGAGACCTCTTCAATTTCTCTAATCTTATTTTGGTCATTTTCTCTTTTTAAAATTTTTCTAAGGATGTAAAGCATGAGTTTGTGTCTTTCTCCTTACACTGCCACATGTTGAGACCTGGTACAATGACAACATGCTCTTGACATGTTCTACCTTTATCACCACTTCCAAGACTTTGCTTAAATTGTTCCTTCACCCTGTTGCTTATTTCATGCATCTTTCTAACTTAATACTAATAATAAAGCCACCAGTCAAGGTGTCATTTCCTTTTTTTAAAATAAGGTCTAACTCATCCACTTCTGTTCACGTTGATTTGTGCATTCTCTAAAGTTCTAAAGTACTTCTAAATCCATCCTGTGATATTCATCCCAAACTTGTTCTCAATTTAATAAATATTTATTAAGCACCAACTGATAATTTAAGATTTCATCAATAATTAGCTTTGTCTTCAAATTTTTGAGAGAGAGATTTTTCTCATGCACCTTATGAGACCAGATATTGCTAGAAATGTAGATACTTCATTTTCATGGGCCAATTTAGAAATCCTAGGTTTAATCTTGTATCTGTAGCTCTTTCCACTACACTGCACCAATGGCTTCTGGACTGAGTGGTGAATGATTTTCTTAAACCTCTACACACGCACAAATGGTCCCTACCTCCAGGAGAACTCCCTACCAAAACAGACATTGCAAAACTAAAAAATATATTGAAAATCTGTTGCTCACTTCATTAACGTTGAGTGTGTGAATGCCAGTCAGTGAAGAGAAGTAGTTTCAGGATCAGAACAGATACAGAAAAGTTAACAAAAGCAGGAAAAATTAGAAGTCTGATTTCCTATACCACCATCTACATGCATCTGGGGGCAGATGAGTATGAGACAGAGGGCTATCTCTTCCCAAACACCATTTCCTGGTCATGGTCATGACAATAGTGAATGGTGGGAAGAATGTGGGTGCTGGAGCCCAACAGCCTGAATCTGAATCCTGGCTCTTCTGGTTCCTAGACATGGGCCACTGACAAGTTATTTGCCATTTCTAAACCTTATTCATTTCATCTAAAAGTGGGAATAATCATACTATCTATCTCATATGGCTATTAGAAAGAAAAGATAGAATAGTCCATGGAACATGCTTAGCACAGTGCCTGGCACATCATGAACAATAAATGTTAACTATTATCAATACTGTCATTATGGCATGTTCATGATTCCAGGTGCCAGTCAACAAGGTTCAAGAAACATGCTTTTACTTTCTACTCTTTTTACAGCTGTATCTAATCATGATGAGCTGTAGTATTACAGAGTTGTAAGCAACTTAACCAGATCTGCTAAAGTTTGTTAAGTGTGTTGACTCTACAAAGAACTGTAAATGTGAAGTGTCATTTCCAATTTGAATAAATACAAAGAGGGATGAAAATCATTTGAGAATGAAGGTATTGACTTGGGAAGAGTTTAAAAGCCTTACACAAGCTGTGATATTGTACATATGTTTTCTCAGTGCTTATGATTTCTGATTTTGTATTTGTAATATGAGAATGGTTAATCTTCCGTGTTTATAAATGGAGCCCCATTGTAGTTGATCCTTCCCAGATTGTAAGAAGATCTGATGCTCAAAAAGACAAAAAAAAAGTCTTTGGGCCAATTATTGCCAACTTTTTCTGACGAGTGCTATGTGATCTAAACTTGCTATAAACACAGACATCTAGGGTGAAGAGGAAATGTGCTAAGAAAATGGCTCCTGGTAAGAGAAAAGAGAGTTACTAAAGTAGATGTGATACGAGGTCCTACCAGGTTAATGTGTTGTGTCTGAAGAACTCTATCCTCACTTAAGGCTCTAGGAAACAGAAAAATTAATTAATTCTCTCCCTAACCAGGTCTAATTCTCTCTTGAAATTTTAGAGGGAGAAATAAGCACCCATTTATTTAAAAATAAAAAACACATGGAATCTTAGTAGGTTATAGACTCCTTCCCTATTTCACTCTTTCATTCATATTCTCATTCTCACTTTGTCGTTTTAGTTTATGCACATATTAGGACCTCTCACTCAGGCCACATTTATCTAGTGTGTCAGCCACTGACTAAACAGTGAAAGAACATAAAACAGCAACTGCAATCAGTGTCTGCAAATGTCATGCAGTCCCACCCTGACTCATGACTTCTCTTTCCGTCTCTGCCTGCCCTGGACCCAAGCCCCAGCTCTGTCTTCTTGTGCTGGCTGTTGGCTCTCTCTGCATTTTTACCTCTTACCTCCACAACCTCTCTGTTACCTCCTCTGTTGCCTCCACATCTTTTCCCTGTCCTGACTCACAAATCTGTACACTCCTTCTATTCCTCCTGTCCTGCTCAGTGAATTTGACCTCATTCCTCAGAAGCTGACCTCTTTGGCTTAGCCACAGAGAAGGCTTGCTTGTCAGTTAGTCCTTGGCAGCTAAAGCTTGATTTACAGGACCACACTCCTGTCTGATTCCAGCCTCAGAGGCAGCCACGGAAGGCATCTTGGCCCTCATAAAACATGATCCTTTAAAGGCGTTCACAGAAATAGTATATGAAAATCCTGTGATTACCTTTGAGTCTTCTATTATCCCTGTATCATTCACTTATGAAACAGTGAATTTTGGGGGGGACAAAAGGAAAAGAACTTGATCAAGACACCAACACATATATCTGCATTAGCCACAATCCTGAAAGTTAGCTCAATTAAACCTTCTTAATTAACTCAGAGAAGAATAACAATTGTTATTCTGACTCAGAGCAATGTTTTTCATACTTCTGTGGAGGTATTTGTGATTTCCCAGACCCTGCCACAGACCTACACAGCCTGAATCTCTCAGGAGGGTCCTGGGAATAAGCATTTCAGCTGTTTACACAGGAGGCAAAAAAACACAAATGTAAGGAACTAAACAAATTTTCTCATACTACACTCTTAAAATATTGTTTGTTCTCAGGAGCAGGTGTTCTTACCAAGTAAAGAGCGAGACCCAGATGGAAAAGATCCTTACTTCACAATTCGTACTTTTTATCAATTATACCAAACCCTTACAGACCAAATCATATTCCCAAGATGTTAAATGCACAATGGTTACTTTAGAGGCATAAAAAGTTTCATTTTAGTATCTATACATTGTAAAGTATTTTAGAAAAAAACAACTAACCCATTAAACCCATGATTTCATGGATATTATTAAGAAAAGTTAGGTTTTAAAAATAAGACAGTGTAGAAATTGATTTAAGAAAAATATTAAGTAAATAATCAGACAAGAGGTATAAGGATATGACACAATTATGAAAATGGTACTAAAATATCTAAAGTTCAGGAAGCACAGTGTTAACTAAGTATTGTTTTTTCTTATAAATTGAAAGAAGAAGAGTTGGTTTAAAAGGTTAGGTATATAAGCTCAGATTTAAAAAAAGAAAAGATGGTATACTAGAAAAAGCACTGAACCTAGAGTCAGAAAAGCTATTTGAATACTGGTTGCACCACCTATGACCTGTGTGAATTAAGGCTAGCAACTCAGCATTGCGGAGCATTAACTCCTTAACCTGAGTGATTCCTAAAAGATGTATTTGATTCTAAGTTTCCTTCCCTTTCCTTTCTCCTCCTCTCCTCTTCTCTCCTCTCCTCTCCTTTCCTTCCTTTTCTCCTTCTCTTCCTGCCTTTTCCTTTTGGAGTTGTTTCCAACCAAGAGGCAAAATCCCTTTTCACATCCCCAGCCTCTGTTCTGTTATCTATATTTTTGCCATAAAGGTTAGTGCAGTTCCCTGAAGTCAATTCTCTACATACTGGTAAAAATCCTTGGGGATCTTTGGGAATGAGTTTTTCATAAGAATGTAAATTAATTTATTAACTAGAATGCTGTGGATTGCCTTAGAGGGGCTCAGCATGGGAATGGCTGCAGAGTTGCAAAAAGATTCTGATTCCGCTCTGCCTACAAAATCTTCCCCAAGAGGTCACAGGAGCCAGCTGACGCCACTCTCCTCCTTAGATCCTAAAGGAATTATTTTCCAGGATTTGCAGGCAGTCTTCTAGGCCAGCTGAAGAAGAGAAGATTTATGCAAGCAGCCTGCTTGGCTCCAGGGCCCTTGTTGCATTGAGGAAAGGAAACCTGGGCAGTGGTAGACAGGATCAGGAGCCTAGGCTCCAACCCAGGAAAGCACTCCTGATTTTTTAGGCTCTCCCAAATTAACAGCATCTTTTCTGACCCATCTTTGTGATGAGACAGACCTGAGTTCTTCTAGGCAACTTGGCACACACAATAAAGTCCATCTGCCTTTCCATGCACAGCCCTCTTGCCCTTTATTCGTGGTGAGGCGGACATTTGGACACAAGTGTTGGCCAGCCTGGCTAGACATGTCCTTTTTTTCTCAGTCAGATCAGAAGGTGGTGGTGCAGCAGGAGCCTCAGCCTTACAGGCAGACCTTCTCAGCTGCCGCCTCACACAATGTCCCAGCTCGGCTGCATCTCTGCTCCATGAGTGGGGGCTGTGTGAACTCGGGAGGGCAACTGTGAATGGCACAGCATCTGATATGAATTTATCACCGGCTGCTGGTCGGGAGGGGGATCAAGCTAGGGGAAGGGGCTGTGTTTAATGCACCCTGCCACAACCCAACAGTTTGCCCTAAAGAGCCTTTTACCAATATAAAAGGACAGGGTCAAAAGTAAGTTGACCCCTGACAGAATGTACAATTATTAGAAGAAGGCTGTGTGCGAGCAGCTGCTGGAACCCCACTGACTCTGCATCGGGCTTCCAAGAGTCAGATTATGAATAATCAACTCAAGATTGTTTTCTCCACCCTTCTCAACCTCCCCCCGCCTCCCTCCAATCTTCTCCTCCTGTTTTGGGCAAGTCCTATTCTATTTCTACAGGAAGAAGCATAGCCCTCCCTAGCAGCTGCAATAATTGTGTTCCTATTGTGATGAAGACCTCCTCCTGGCCACCCCCCTACAAGTGGCCATTGTGAGTGGAAAGTCAGTGATTATACGCTCCCTCTGATGCTTTGGGGGACCCAGCTGCCTAAGTGCTGACACAGGAGTGTGCAGAAGGCCAGGGAGGGGGCTGGTGGAGGTGGAGGCAAGAGGTGGGGGAAACCCACGTCTGTGAGACTGGACTCTGACATACCAGACCTTTTGCATAAGTCAAGCCAAGAACAAATGAGGCATTATCAGGCCCCAGTGTTGAGAGGTCTCATCTCCCTTTGAAGTGGAGCTGAGCGTGGGGCCAAGCAGCTTTTCCTCCTTTGGACCAAGCAAACATCCTTCTTTTGATATGCTACATGCTCATTATCTCTGCCCCATTTAATGATTTTTGATTGAAGGGTGGCGGCTGGGATGCCGAGAGGATCGTTAGAGAGGCTCCATACAGCCAAGCCCATAAGAAAGGCTTTCCTTGTGCCTGGGCCTAAATTTGGAATTTCTTAACAGTGTGCGCTTGTTCTTAGAGGCAGATAAAGGCTGAGCGTGAAATTCTTAATTAAGCAATAAATAGAGAGTGGGGTGTCAGCAGATGTAGCCAGTAGCCATGGCAACAGGAATCACATGGGCAAGAGAGCTGAGACTCGATGTAGGCCTCAGGCCTGGGCCTGACTGACAGCTGAAGAATCCTACAAAGCTTGTAAACCAGATTAATTAGCTGACTAATTATTTCATAGCGTTAATGTAACTAAAAAATAAAAATAGTTCACCATGAACTGAAACATCCTTGGAAAAAAACAGCAGGGAAAGAGGCAGTGGGAAACTGGCTCTGTAAGGCAAAGACATGAGCAGTCAGGGCATCAAATCGCATGAAGGGAAAAATGGGCTTGCTGGATTTTTCTCCCAACTTTGCAAATATAAAAGAACACTTGTTCTACAGTCATACCCATTCCCAAGCACGGCATAGAAGCTACAGTTGGGATACACGATAATAGTTCATCGTATTCATAATTGTTTATCACATCAAATATTGCTCCTGCAGCATCCTAACACAAACAATAGTGCACACAAGGTTCTTCACTTGTGGTCTGTTTCATAAGTAGCTCCTTGGGCAAAATTCTCAGCAGCTTTAGAAAGGCAACATGAACCAATCTCCCTAACAGATCTTTTTAAATGAGTGAGGTTATCTTATTCTGTGGCTAACAATTGCTTAAGTGGCATCACATTTCAATCACGGGAACAATATATCATATATGTCATATTATGGTGAATCCCATTTATCTCACAAAAATCTAGTAAAAGAAAATAGAGGGAGACCCTTTCAGAAAGGTTATAACATATACACTGAGCTCATGACACATGGTATTGTTAATCTTCTAAAAAGAAAGAAAACTTCTAGAGAAATAGTCTATCAGGAAAACGTTGGTGAAATAACATGGCACATTAACCACACTTGAATATATTTGGATGTTTTGTGCCACAATTCCAAGAGACAAGTAAGTATTTTCTTAACCTTGCTGTGTAAACAAAGCCACTGAGGCATGGAGCAATTATAATGCAATGCCCCAGGTAAAATAACCAGCCAGCCACTGATTAAAACCCTAAGCCCCAAGCACTGGCCATGAGCTTTCCAAAAAAACTGCACTCCGTGAAGATGTTTGCTGAGCAAAGGCAAAACTTGCCTTGGTAGAAAAGAAAAATGCAAGGGTCAAAACATATTGTATGCGTATGATTTTTTTCTTTGTCACTGGGAATCCTTGAGAAGGGTTCTCCCACAACCCTGCCTAGCACCCCCGCCATCCTTTCTGGTCAGTGATCCACAATTATTTAGTGGGCAGCACACTCTAGTGGAGAGAGCCACAGCCAGGAGCTAGAATGCCTGGGTTCAGGTTTTTTCCACTCAGCTGGGTTGAAGATGAGTCAGGTATCTTAAATCACACATGCAGCAGCCAAACAGAGGAAATGAAGATAATTGTGATTTTTCTAAAACTTCCTATCCTGGGGGAAGTGGTAAAACAATACAAAAGATGGCCCACTTAGAAGTGGTCAACCAGTGAATGAAAATTCAGCCAGTTGTCAGTGAAGCAGCACTCTGAAGGAAATGCCAGCCAAGAAAAGGAGCCACACCCCCAAAAAAATCTAATATGGAATTCCGTGGCCATGATAGAGATCAAGCAGCTTCCCTACAATAAAATAAATTTCTGTATACACACATTTCCCATGTTTTTCATCCCAGGAATATGTCCACATAGACTATGTGGTCTTGACTTACACCATCTGCATAGATTAAATGTATTTTATGTAAATTATCCCAGTCATGGTCCTATAAAGTCAAGTGGTCTGAAAAAAACAGTTAAGTGAAAGTTACAATCTAATCAATATATAAAATGCATGGCACAGAACTGGAACTCTACTTCTTGGGCTCTTGCTCGGGTACCAACAACAGCAACTACCATTATGGCATTGGGAAATGCAGTCAGGTATATGGAAAACGTGGAAGCCTAATCACCACCTTGCTAAAGATCTTATAAACTTTACACAGATGATATCCAAAATTACAGCTAAATTTACACAACCCAGTATAGCTACATGGCGCACTGCCATGGAGGAGCAGGGTGAGCCTCAGTTCCTGCTGAGTCCTCATACCATCACTGTGACAGCCCAGAAATGAGAACAGAAGTGGCTCTAGCCAGCTATCCACTCCATACACTCAGAGGATAAAGGAGGCACCAATGACCATAAAAGATCCTACGGGGAATCCCTTCAAGAAGCAAGAGTCTCCAAGTTTGTTAAACATTCAACAAATCCTCTGTGACTTCTTATTCCTTTTCCAACTCATATTCAAAGGAGGAGATACTAGGGTATTCCAATACAAATAATTTTTAAAAATTAATAAAGGCTATCTACCTAATAGAAGTGTTTTATACTAAGACATTCATTTATATCATACATATGCACAGATACAGATGTACCTCTACATATAAGCACACATGCACATTCACACAGCTACTTACACAGATGTGCATTTATACCATATGTGTATATATAATAGTATAACTTGCTATTAATTCAATTAATAATGCTATCATAAGGGAAGAAAATCTATAGCTGCATGATTTAATTTTTTTTCTTTGTACCATAAATGGTTTTTATTACGTTTAGTTTATTTGAGTATTCAGATTATTTTGCAGTTCATGAACAGAATATGACCTATGGACAAGACAGCCTCTTCAGAAGCAGGCTAAGTAATGGAAAGAGAGCAATTCAGATTAAAATTTTGTTCCAGAATACATATCAAGTGAATAGCCATAAAGTTAATGGTAACTATTTACTCTTATTTATGGCTGTATTCGGCTGAAGTGGTAAAACAATCTCAGGAATCTCTGTCCGTCTCAAGTTTTTATAGTTTTAGGTTACATTTATGAATGGATCAAATCAGAAATAAAATTTGAATGGTATAATTCAGTGCAAATAAAATATACGACAATCCTTTTGGCAAAGACATAAAAAAAGACCAAGGGAGCACCAGACTCTCTCTCTGATGCTATTAAAATTTAACAGTTCTGGGGCTAGCCTGTAGGTCCGACTCACTGGACTTATGGTTAGGCACAAGTGAAAGAGGCAAAGGGTGGACTCAGGACCATTGCCTCGCCCTCTAAATCCATGGCCACCTTGGGCTTGTGGCAGGGGCTAGAACTTGTTATGCTAATAAGATCCCCTGGATTTGACCAGGATCTACTAAGAGCAATTTATAACAAAATTGTCACTCTTGAGACCTATTTAGCCAGATTCTCCTTTTTACTGTAAGAAGTGGCCTCACAGTGAGCTGCGATTGGAACAAGCAGGTACCATGGTGCTCAGAGAGACCAATGCTGACATGGTATAGAAAAGGAATATGAAATAAACTCCAGGAAATCAAAAGAAGTGGATGGTCCTGACACACTGGTATCCTGAGAAACATGCACAGTAAGAAGATAAGGAAAAACCTTTGGCCTCTGTGACTCTGCAGTCACAGTAGGGTTCCTGATTACTTCAACCTCATGTTAATCTTGACGTAAAACAGACACAGCCCACCCCTAGTGCTCATATCAGCCCTCCATGCTACTCATCTTCCTGACCTCAGATTCTCATCAGAAGTTTTCCTTCTCACCTTCTACATAAACTTCCGTCTTAATTCAGCCTCTCTCTGCATTGGTACTCTCTACCTTGGACTCTCTACTGTTCCTCATACCAATGGTCATAATCAGCCATCCATTTTTTTCTCTTTCTTTTTTTTATTTTTGAGATGGGGTCTCAATCTCTTGCCCAGGTTGAAGTGCAGTGGCATGCTCATGGCTCACTGCAGGCTCAACTTCCTGGGCTCAAGCTATCCTCCCACCTCAGCCTCCCAAGTAACTGAGACTACAGGCATGCGCCACCACACCCAGCTAATTTATTTAATTTTTTGTAGAGATTAGGTCTCACTCTGTTGTCTAGGCTGATATCAAACTCCTGGCCTCAACTGATCCTCCCACCTTAGCCTTCCAAGTAGCTGGGACCACAGGCACATGCCACCATGCCCAGCATTTTTTTTTTTTTTTTTTTTTTGGAGAGATGGGGTCTCACTTTGCTGCCCTGGCTGGTCTCAAACTCCTAGACTAAAGCACAGCCATCCATCTTTACATGTGCAGTTGTTCCACTACAAACAAATATGACACTGCCCTAAGATGAATTAAAGATATTATTAGTACTAACTACCAATGTCTAGTAAGCATTTTTTGTGGGCTAGGCCTTCTGCTCAAGAGTTTTACATGTTATTCTTTATTTAATTTCCTATCCTTTGAGGTAGGCCCTATGGTCATACTTCTCTATAGAGGAGGAGGCTGAGCCTTAGAGAGGCTCTGTGTATGCTAGCTGGTGAGTGTTGGAGCTGGGATTTAAACCCAGGCAATCAGACTTCAGGGAACATTCACTCAACCATAACACACAGCTGTCCCTTTCAGTTCCTCAGCACTTCACAGCACAAATGTCTGGAATTGAAGGGTGATTGGTGATTTCTGACTATGTGCTCTCAAAACATTCATCCAATTGGATACTTACCCAGATAGGTGAGTTGCCTCAGCTGGCTATTGAAGAACCAGTCACAGCCTTGGTTCTGACCTGGTGATGGAAGAAATGGAAAAGACAGACCCACTCGACTCCCACATCTTAGGAGGATGTCAGGGTAAGGCGGCAAATCTGTGTGCACCAGCAGTAGGTAATTACCAGGAGCAAAGTTGTCAAAGGTTGCTGAGTACTTGAAGTGAAAGAAAAACACAATAGTGCTCATTTAGTAAGGAACCCCATCATTCCACCTACTCCACCACACCACCCTGCCAAAACAACTACAGAGAACGCAGATGGAGTAGTTTAGAAATCATACAATTTAGACCCAGATTGTACTTTTCTTGTGGGAAATGGGAATACTTAAATCTACTTCATAAAAAATTCATAACTAGAGCTACAAAATCAGACTATGAAGACTGAAAGATGCCATAAGGTTCATCTCGTTTAACAATCTCAATTACCAGAGGAGAAAGCCAAGGCCCAGACATATGAATTGACACGTCTCAGGTCAAACAGCTAGAAGAGACAAGGCCAGGTCTAGAATTCCTTTCCAGCTTTTCCCACGACTTGAAGCGACAGGCAATGATAGGCATGTCATCCATTTATCACAGTAATAGCTAACATTGTGGGAGCATTTACTATGCAATCAGCACTATTCAGTCCTCGAAAGGCACCCCTGTCATTGTTACTCTTACTGTCCCATTTTTACATTGAGGAAACTGAGGCAGGCAGAGGTTCAGTAGCTTGCCCCATATCACAAAGCAGAAGAGTGCAGTGTCAGGACATAAACCTAGGGTATCCACCTCCAGAGGCACACCCTACTGTTTTCACTGCATGAAAATTCTCCAGAGTGCTCTCACGGGAATCTCAAGGCAAGAAAAGAGAGGCGTACATCCTTTCTGAAAGCCATGGAGAGAAGATCAAAAGTGATTCTGTTCTGAATTCCTCATGACCATGGCAGGGCTTCTGTCTCCCTAAGATAGGCTCTCAGGACTGTTAGCAAGAATGTGTATGATAAGATAGGAAGAAATATATGTGTTAAAAGTATGAAAATAAGCTTAGGGAATTCCACTGGATTGCTGTTTAAAAATATGGAAAAATGTACCCACTTTCCTCATGGCCATTTTTTTTTTTTTAGTTTTTTTTTTTATTTCTTCTGAAAAAAAAAAAAACAGGATACAGGTGCAGAACGTGCAGGTTTGTTACACAGGTATACGTGTGCCATGGTGGTTTGCTGCACCTATTGACCCATCCTCTAAGTTCCCTCCCCTCACCTCCTACCCCCAAACAGGCCCTGGTGAGTGTTGTTCCCCTCTCCATGTCCATGTGTTCTCAATGTTCAACTCCCACTTATGAGTGAGAACATGCAGTGTTTGGTTTTCTATTCCTGTGTTAGTTTGCTAACGATGATGGCTTCTAGCTTCATCCATGTCCCTGAAAAGGACATGATCTCATTCCTTTTTATGGCTGCATAGTATTCCATGATGTGTATGTACCACATTTTCTTTATCCAGTCTATCATTGATGGGCATTTTCCATGTCTTTGCTATTGTAAATAGTGTGGCAATAAACATACATGTGCATGTGTCTTTACAGTAGAATAATTTATAATCCTTTGGGTACATACCCTGCAATGGGATTGCTGGGTCAAATGGTATTTCTGGTTCTAGGTCCTTGAGGAATTGCCATACTGTCTTCCACAATGGTTGAACTAATTTACATTCCCACCAACAGTGTAAAAGCGTTCCTGTTTCTCCACAGCCTCACCAGCTTTCATTGTTTCCTGACTTTTTAATAATTGCCATTCTGACTGGCATGAGATGGTATCTCATAGCGGTTTTGATGTGCATTTCTCTGATGATCAATGATGTTGAGCTTTTTTTCATGTTTGTTGGCCGCGTAAATGTCTTCTTTTGAGAAATGTCTGTTCATATCCTTTGCCCACTTTTTGATGGGGTTGTTTGTCTTTTTCTTGTAAATATGTTTAAGTTCCTTGTAAATTCTGGATATTAGACTTCTGTCAGATGGGTAGATTGCAGAAATATTCTCCCATTCTGTAGGTTGCTTGTTCACTCTGATGATAGTTTCTTTTGCTGTGCAGAAGCTCTTTAGTTTAATTAGATCCCATTTGTCAATTTTTGCTTTTGTTGCAATTGCTTTTGGCATTTTCGTCATGAAGTCTTTGCCTATGCCTATGTCCTGGATGGTATTGCCTAGGTTTTCTTCTAGGGTTTTTATGGTTTTGAGTTTTTCATGTAAGTCTTTAATCCATCTTGAGTTAATTTTTGTATAACGTGTAAGGAAGAGGTTCAGTTTCAGTTTTCTGCATATGGCTACCCAGTTTTCCCAGCACCATTTACTGAATAAGAGATCCTTTCCCCATTGCTTGTTTTTATGAGGTTTGTCAACGATCTGATGGTTGTAAATGTGTGGTGTTATTTCTGAAGTCTCTGTTCTGCTCCATCGGTCTATATGTCTGTTTTGGTACCAGTACCATGCTGTTTTGGTTACTGTAGACTTGCAGTATACTTTGAAGTCAGGTAGTGTGATGCCTCCAGCTTTGTTCTTTTGCTTAGGATTGTCTTGGCTATACAGGGTCTTCTTCGATTCCATGTGAAATTTAAAATGTTTTTTTCTAATTCTGTGAAGAATGTCAGTGGTAGTTTGATGGGAATAGCATTGAATCTATAAATTACTTTGGGCAGTATAGCCATTTTCACGACATTGATTCTTCCTATCCATGAGCGTGGAATGTCTTTCCATTTGTTTGTGTCCTCTCTTATTTCCTTGAGCAGTGGTTTGTAGTTCTCCTTGAAGAGGTCCTTCGCACTGCTTGTTAGCTGTATACGTAGGTATTTTATTCTCTTTGTAGCAATTGTGAATAGGAGTTCATTCATGATTTGGCTCTCTGCTTGCCTATTGTTGGTGTAAAGGAATGCTTGTGATTTTTGAACATTCATTTTGTATCCTGAGACTTTGAAGCTGAAGTTGCTTATCAGTTCAAGAAATTTTTTGACTGAGATGATGGGGTTTTCTAAGTATAAAATCATGTCATCTGCAAAGAGAGACAACTTGACTTCCTCTCTTCCTATTTCAATGCCCTTTATTTCTTTCTCTTGCCTGATTACCCGGCCAGAACTTCCAATACTATGTTGAATAAGACTGGTGAGACAGGGCATCCTTGTCTTGTGCTGGTTTTCAAAGGGAATGCTTCTAGCTTTGGCCCATTCAATATGACATTTGTTGTGGGTTGGTCATAAATAGCTGTTATTATTTTGAGATATGTTCCATCAATACCTAGCTTACTGAGAGCTTTTAACATGAAGGGATGTTGAATTTTATCAAAGGCCCTTTCTGCATCTATTGAAAAAAATCAAGTGGTTTTTGTCTTTGGTTCTGTTTATGTGACGGATTATGTTTATTGATTTGTGTATGTTGAACCAGCCTTGCATCCCAGGGATGAAGCCGACTTGATAATGGTGGATAAGTTTTTTGATGTGTTGCTGGATTTGGTTTGCCAGTATTTTATTGAGGATTTTCACATTGATGTTCATCAGGGATATTGGCCTGAAATTTTCTTTTTTCATTGTGTCTCTTCCCAGTTTTGGTATCAGAATGATGCTGGCTTCATAAAATGAGTTAAGGAGGAGTCCCTCCTTTTCAATTGTTTGGAATAGTTTCAGAAGGAATGGTACCAGTTCCTCTTTGTACCTCTGGTAGAATTCAGCTGTGAATCCATCTAGTCCTGGGCTTTTTTTGGTTGTAGGCTATTAATTAGGCTATTAATTACTGCCTCAATTTCAAGGCTTGTTATTGGTCTATTTAGGGATTCAGCTTCTTCCTGGATTAGTCTTGGTAGGGTGTATGCATCCAGGAATTTATCCATTTCTCCTAGATTTTCTAGTTTATTTGCATAGACATGTTTATAGTATTCTCTGATGGTAGTTTGTATTTCTGTGGGGTCAGTGGTGATATCCCTTTTATCATTTTTTATTGTTTCTATTTGACTCTTTTCTCTTCTTTGTTAATCTAGCTAGCGGTCTATCTATTTTGTTAATTTTTTCAAAAAACCAGCTCCTGGATTCGTTGATTTTTTTGGAGGGTTTTTTGTGTCTATAACTCCTTCAATTCTTCTCCGATCTTAGTTATTTCTTGTCTTCTGCTGGCTTTTGGATTTGTTTGCTCTTGACTCTCTAGCTCTTTTAATTGTGATGTTAGGGTATCGATTTGAGATCTTTCTAGCTTTCTGATGTGGGCATTTAGTGCTATAAATTTCCCTCTTAACACTACTTTAGCTGTGTCCCAGAGATTCTGATACATTTTCTCTTTGTTCTGATTGGTTTCAAAGAACTTCTTTCTGTCTTAATTTCATTATTTACCCAGGAGTCATTCAGGAGCAGATTGTTCAATTTCCATGAAATTTTGTGGTTTTGAGTGAGTTTCTTAATCCTGAGTTATAATTTGATTGTACTGTGGTCTGAGAGACTGTTTGTTATTATTTCAGTTATTTTGCATTTGCTGAGGAGTGTTTTACTTCCAATTATGTGGTCGATTTTAGATTAAGTGCCATGTGGCTCTGAGAAGAATGTATATTCTGTTGATTTGGGATAGAGAGTTCTGCAGACGTCTACTAGGTCCACTCGATCCAGAGCTGAGTTCAAGTCCTGCATATCCTTGTTAATTTTCTGTCTCATTGATCTGTCTAATACTGACAGTGGGGTATTAAAGTCTCCCACTATTATTGTGTGGGAGTCTAAGTCTCTTTGTAGGTCTCTAAGAACTTGTTTTATCAATCTGGGTGCTCCTGTATTGGGGGCATGTATATTTAGATAGTTAGCGTTTCTTTTCTTGTTGCATTGTTCCCTTTACCATTATGTAATACCCTTCTTTGTCTTTTTTGATCATTGTTGGTTTAAAGTTTGTTTTATCAGAGACTAGGATTGCAAACCCTGTTTTTTTTTTTTTCTTTCCATTTGCTTGGTAAGTTTTCCTCCATCCCTTTATTTTGAGCCTGTGTGTGTCTTTGCACATAAGATGGGTCTCCTGAATACAGCACACTGATGGGTGCCTGACTCCTTATCCAATTTGCCAATCTGTGTCTTTTAATTGGGGCATTTAGCCCATTTACATTTAAGGTTAGTATTGTTATGTGTGAATTTGATCCTGTCATCTTGATATAATTTAGTTATTTTGCACACTAGTCAATGCAGTTTCTTTGTAGTGTCATTGGTCTTTATATTTTGGTGTGTTTTTATAGTGGCTGGTACCGGTTTTTCCTTTCCATATTTAGTGCTTCTTTCAGCTCTTGCAGGGCAGGTCTGGTGGTAACGAAATCCCTCAGGATTTGCTTATCTGGAAAAGATTTTATTTTTCTTTTGCTTATGAAACTTAGTTTGGCTGGATATGAAATTCTGGGTTGAAAATTCTTTTCTTTAAGAATGTTGAATATTGGCTTCCAATCTCCACTGGCTTATAGAGTTTCTCCTGAGAAGTCTGCTGTTAGTCTGATGGGCTTCCCTTTGTAGGTGACCTGGCCTTTATCTCTGGCTGCCTTTAACAGTTTTTCCTTCATTTTGACCTTGGACAATCTGATAATTATATGTTGGTCTTCTCATGGAGTTGGGGTTGGTCTTCTCATAGAGTGTCTTAATGGTGTTCTCTGCATTTCCTGAATTTGCATGTTGGCCTGTCTTGCTAGGTTGGGGAACTTCTCCTGAATAATATCCTGAAGTGTGTTTTCCAGCTTTTTTCCATTCTCCCTGTCTCCTTCTGGTACTCCAATCAATCATAGGTTCAGTCTTTTTATGAAATCCCATATTTCTTGGAGACCTTGTTCATTCCTTTACATTCTTTTTTCTTGTGTGCATGTCTTATTTCAGTGAGGTGGTCTTCAAACTCTGATATCCTTTCTTTTACTTGGTCAATTCGGCTGTTGATACTTGTGTGTGCTTCACAAAATTCTCATGCTGTGTTTTTTGGCTCCATCAGGTCGTTTATATTCCTCTCTAAACTGGATATTCTAGTTAGCAATTCCTCTAACTTTTTATCAAGGTTCTTAGCCTCTTTGCATTAGGTTAGAGCATGCTCCTTTCACTCATTGTAGTTTTTTATTACCCATCTTCTGAAGCCTACGTCTCTCAATTCATCCATTTGATCCTCCATCCAGTTCTGTGCCCTTGATGGAGAAATGTTGTGATCATTTGGAGGAGAAGAGGCACTCTGGCCTTTTTGGTTTTCAGCATTTTCTCGTTGATTCTTTTTCATCCTTTTGAGCTTGTCTAGTTTTGGTCTTTGAGGCTGTTGACCCTTGGATAGGATTTTTGTGGGGGCCTTTTTGTTGTTTTTGTTGTTGTTGATGCTGTTGTTGTCGCTTTCTGCTTGTTTGTTTTTCTTTCGGGTCCCTCTTCTGTTGGGCTGCTGCAGTTTGCTGGGGGTTCACTTCAGGCCCTATTCATCTGATTTGCTCCCATGCCTGGAGATGTCACTCAAGGAGACAGGAGTGCAGCAAAGATGGGTGTCTGTTCCTTCTGGGACCTCTGACCTCGAGGGGCACCAACCTGATGCCAGTAGGATCGCTCCTGTATAGGGTGTCTGACAACCTCTGTTGGAGGATCTCACCCAGTTTGGTGGCATGAGGAGCAGGACCCGTTCAACAAAGCACTTTGTCCCTTGGTGGAGAGGGTGTGTTTCACTGGGGGGAAACCCACTCGTCTGGGCTGCCGGGATTCCTCAGAACTATCAGGAGGACAGGCCAAGTCTGCTGGTCCACGGAGACTGCAGCTACCCACTCCCCCTGGGGCTCAGACCCAGGGAGATATGAATTCTGTCCCGGAGCCTCTGGCTGGAGTTATTGGAGATCCTGCGGGGAAGCCCTGCCTGCCCACTGAGGAAGGATGGGTCAGAGTTAGGCCCAAAGAGGCACTCTGGCTGCAGACAGCCACAGCTGGTATGTTGGGCTGTGGGGACAAGTCTTGGGACAAAGCCATCCAGCCTCCCTGGCTCCAACAGGGAAAAAACGCAGCCTAGAGCTATAGAAATGGGTGCTGCCTTTCCCCCATCCACAGAGCTTAGCATGTTAGGCAGTTGCAAGTCCCAGTGCTGGCTGCTGCCTCTCCTGAGCTCCAAACTGGGAGCTCAAATGGCTTAGACAGCAGGCAGCTGCAGCCAGTGCTGGTCGCCCCTCCCCGCGGGAGTTTGGTAGGCTTAAGCAGATTCCAGCTGAGAGGCTGTAAGAATCTGCTTAGGGCTCTAGGCCCGGGTGGTGGTGTGGGTTCGCGAGTGGGATCTTCCGACCCATGGGTTGCACAATTCCGTGGAAAAAGCAGTTTCCCCGGCTGGGTAGCGGCTCACTCACCGCCTCCCTTGGCTGTGGGGAACGGAGTTCCTTTTCCCCGTGTGGCTCTCAGGTGGGCCACCGCACCACACTGCTCTTCCTTCTCTCCGTGGGTCACGCCAGCCTTCTAGTCAATTTTGATAAGAGAACCTGGATACCTTGGTTGCCGATGAAGGCTTCACATGCTTATTATGTTTTTGTTTTGTTTTTTCGATGGTAGCCTCCGAACGTCTCTGTTTCTAGTAAGCCATCTTGCCACACGGCCATTTCTATCTTCACTGCTCTTATTTGTCTCCCTTAACCCAATCCAGCCTGGGGACTCATACAGACTTCGATTGGCAAGTTAATCTTTGACCACAAGGTGGCAGTATGCAATGTATAAATGCTTTGGTAAGGCATTTTCTCTGGCTACAAACACTTCTCTCTAGGGTAAATTGGCTATTGACCAATAAGTTTTAAAGAAATGCAATGCTATAAGATGTGTAGAGGTTGTTTCTCATTGTATTAATAAATTTAAATTTTCAGGCGTAACCATTCTGCATTCACAATAACACATAAATAGATTCTAAAATTTTCAAGTTTAAAAAGCAACCAAATCTCATATTTAGCTTATATTCATCTGGCCAAAATACTATTGAAGTTTTCTTTATCTGCATCAGAATATGCCAAGACTTTCAATAACGAGATAACCTGCTCCTCTTTCAACCCATTATCTCAAACAAAGAAAGATAAGAACAAATGAGAATGCAGCATACCAACTAATGGATTCCTTGGGTTACCTGCAGAGATCTGTTGATCCAAAGGTTCTCAGATTGCAATGAGTAGGTCTCTTGGTCCAAGAGCAGAGCCATCCAGCCACGAGGGTTAGACAATGTATCACGTACATAATTGACAGTGGTTGTTTTATTTCTGCTGTCAGTCATGGTTAAATCATAAGAAACTTCAGGAGTATTCGCTCTAAGGTGATTTTAAAAGGAAAAAAAATGGGTTGAGAGATTATTTGCTCATTCTGAATCCAATACATTCCTCTTTCATCAATTGCAATCATCTTTCCATTCTCTCCACATATGTCTTAGGCCCTCTTTAGTTGTATGTCTAGGGAGGTTTTAGCAGTCACTGTGTGAGTGAAAACAACCCAGTGGGAAGTTGCCATTGGATCATTTGCAAATTACAATGTCCTGGTGAACTGGAGGTGGTGACTCTCAGGTTTTTTATTTTGTTTGTTTTTTGTTTTTCTCCTTGAGACGGAGTTTCGCTCTTGTTGCCCATGCTGGAGTGCAATGCGCAGTCTCAGCTCACTGCAACCTCCACCACTAATAAATGTCACATTAATGATTTTGTATGAACCAAGACTATATACTATGATTTTAACAAAGAAATGTCTATGGCCAGAATTTTGCCTTGGACCAGATTTATCAACAGCAAAAAACATTATTATTGGTAATTGGATATTCACATGAGGAACAATTGACAGAGGCCTGGGACCTGACATGCCTAGGTGCTGAGACTCTCAGAAGTCCTGCTCAAAATGCCCAGCAGGAGTGGCTTCAGCATCCTTCTCTAGAATGATGAGGTAACCTGCTCCTCTCCTGCAGTCTTGTGTAATGCCTAGTACTCACTGCTATTACAGTACCTATGTGTTCTTGGCTTTGCCTTTTTAAAAACATAGATTATAAGATCCCTAAGTTAGAGGTGTTTTCCCCTTTCTTATTGGTATCCTCTGCCCTGGCACAGGGCCCAGCACACAGTGGCACCCAAATCATGTTTGTTATATGAATGAACAATGCATAGATGAGATCTTCCAAAAGCAGCCAGTGACATTTTCTAATGTATATAAAGTTCTATATATAGAACGTATAAAAACGTTCAGAAGAACTGCATTTTACCAAATGAGGAGACTGAGGCAGGGTAGAGCAAAAGCAATATGTGAGTATCACAAAGTAGAACTCGAAATTTGTGAATCCAGTTACCCAACTTATTCTATACAGCCATCCCAGAAAATGATTTTTAAGACTTCATTAAAGCATAAGTAGATTTAGCCAATGATTAGACCCCTAAAAGAGAGTGAAAGTGGACCTAAAGAAATAAAGCAAAATCCAAAAAAAAAAAAAATCAATACACATTATGACTGTTCTTCCTCCTTTGGTTTAGTTTTCATGAGAATCTTTAACTGTGGCATTTTGCCGCAGGCAGATAATTAAATTCTCAAAGTAAGGGAAATGAGTCAAAAGAGGACATTGGGTTTTCACAGTGAGATGGGGCATGAGTATATCTAAAGCCAATTTATAAGCCCGTGGAATAATTCAAAAAGGAACTTTTTTAAGTGTTGCACACTTGGGCACTGGAACAAATGGGTAACAACTGAAATCTAGATTGGCACTCAGTAGGTGTGTAAACCTGGGCAAATTTCAGCACCTATTTAACCTTTAGATTCATTTCTTTTTAAAATGGAGGCAACAATAGAATAGATCTCATATAGGTACTATGAAACATAAAGATAATCTACATAAAGCACTCACCAAGGCCAATAACATCTACTTAGGTCTCATTTAAGAACCTCAAATATGCCAGATTTACCATTCTGCACTACTTATTTGAATGCCTAGAGGTTTATTCAGGATATTCGGTCATTTAAAAACATACCAAAAACCCTTCCATGGTACAGATCATTGACCCTGGCAATGTAGCACTTGACACATATTTCTTGCAAGATTAAATGTATTTGTTTCATCCATGAACTAATGAAATGAAAGGGATGAAAAATGCTCAGGGCATTTGGGAATGAAAGAACTATTCTTTTTTCAGATTTCCCTATGCAGCATTAACTGAACCTTTAGAAATCTTGTGAGGAGGGGAAAATGTCTTCCTTTCTTTGGGTTTTAGATACTTAGGTTTGTTGTCCACCCTTCCCCACCCACCCCTTCAGGATTTAAATTGGAACTAATGGACAATTCTCAACCTATATTCTTAGAATCAGAATGAACACAAAGATCATCTGTTCTAATTTCCAATTCAGTGCAGGAATTCCCACCATATTTCATCCCTCCCCTTCTTTCAGTTATGGGGTGTTTACATCTTCGAATAGAAAACATTCCATATATGGGATTTAGTTTTAAATTGTAATCTTTAGAAAAGCTTTAGAATGTTAAATTTCCCTTCTTAGAATTTCTAGCCATTTGCGCTCAGTCATCATGGCTCTCTCTTCCCCTGATGGAAACCATGAGTCCCATAATCCCAGGATATTTTCCAGGAACAATTTGGCCCAACTATATTTAGCAAATAAAAATAAGCTTTGGGGACATAAGTGTAAAACAAACATGATAAGAGGTAAGTTCGAACTAAGAAATGTCAAAATTGGCTACAGTAGGTACTGTGGTCAGTAAATAAAACACACTAGAAATATCTAAATTTCCTCAAGTACAGGGAATGATTATAAGTGTTTCAGGTTCCAAAAGTATATCCTTCCAGTTTTTACTGAGACATATGGGCTTGGATTTATTTAAATAAATCTTGTGATTTATTTAAATCACAAGACCTAAATCCAAGAGAGACTAATTGATAAATCAGAATTTTTAGTTAATGATTGACCATAAGAAATAAAAGTGCCTTTCATATAGTGGGAGTTTAACAAATATTTTCTGACTGAATAAACAAGTGTTATATGCATCAGAACACTCCAGCTGGTTATGCAGTAACATTTCTCCCCAACTTGGAAGTCTACCTAGAAAAATCACATGAGGGTCAAGAGATTTCCTGCAAACTTATTTTCAAAAGAAATCAGCAGTTGGGTGATCCTAAGTTATTAGAGCTTGATACAATCAACCCCATATCAGTAGGATATTTGCCAAGAGGACAAACATAGTCAGTGGTCAGAAAACCTCTCCTAGGCACACACAAGCAATGTGCACTAATAATGGTCTCTGGTCTAGGAAAATGCTATGATTTCCTTGAAAACTCATATTTCTGCAATCCTAGTCAAGTGCTGTCAATTAAACCACTTTTTAAAAATAGTTTTAACTACAAACCAAAAGAAGATCTCTGTTCAAAAGCATCCATCTGTTCACATTTAATTCCTCCTGCCTCACCTATCTTCTCATGCATACCACGTTGATCATTAAAAAAAATTACCTCGGCCGGGAGCGGTGGCTTATGCCTGTAATCCCAGCACTTTGGGACGCCGAGGCGGGTGGATCATGAGATCAGGAGATCGAGACCATCCTGGCTAACACGGTGAAACCCCGTCTGTACTAAAAATACAAAAAATTAGCTGGGCGTGGCAGCATGCGCCTGTAGTCCCAGCTACTCGGGAGGCTGAGGCAGGAGAATGGCGTGAACCTGGGAGGCAGAGCCTGTAGTGAGCAGAAATCGCGCCACTGCACTCCAGCCTGGGCAACAGAGCGAGATTCCGTCCCAAAAAAAAAAAAAAAAAATTACCTCAATATGTGATAGTATAATCAATTGGGTAGATATTTCCAGAAATATTTTTTAATTCCAGCAATGTGGTCCCAAGAATTCCCCTGGTCACCTTAACTGGACTTAATTGCTCGTCAAATTTCAATTAACACCACATTTACAGACCAATTTTTAGGATGTTATTTCCCCTGACTCAGTTTCTGTAGATTACAATTTCAATTATTGAAGGAAGCATTTTTCAGATAATCTCCCCAGTTTCTGAAGGCCCATACAAATGTGGTCCCTCTTCAAATAGTGTCAAACTGCTAAATGCTAGCAATAATTTGGTTCTATTTGTCTTTGGAAACATTGCACCTTCCTTTTGAGGTTCTTCTCCTTCTAGTCAGAATCCAATAATCTGATGCAAACTCCTTGGCCAACCAGAGACATACCATAGCACACTGTGATCCTAAATTACTTTCTTATTTCTCCTTCATGCACTGCTCATTCTCTCAGAGCCTTGAGTCTATCAAGCTCCCCTCACCCATCTCAACCAAGGTTTATTAGGGATGCAATTTCATAGGCACTCATGTGCAGCACCAGCTTTCTGTAGTGCAATACAGGTAGAGAAGGAGGTTATCATATATACTACACTTTTATCACAGCTGATAGGAGAGAGGGTCATATGGTAAGCATTCAGATATGCTTTCCACTCTGAAAAGCAACTCAAAAAGCAAAAGACCCATCTCCCATCAGGCAAGATGGCTTGTACTGACCATCACCAGGGGCCAAAAATTCAGTCAGGTCATCTCCTGTCCTCCTAGGCCAAATGCCAGAATTGACCATGGAGGGGTCTTCTGAAAAGCACCAAAAGAACATCAAGAGTCCAAAAAACACCATGAAGAGAACTTACCAACAATAATTACTACAATTTTCACTTGCCCTAAATAGCCACCAATTTCCCCATGCCCTAAATAGCCACCAATCTCCCACTCTTTACTGTTAATGAAGCAAAGGAGCACAAAAGTATTTCTAATTTGGAGGAGCCAAGGGAGTCTGCATGGGCCATTAGCAGTAGAGAGCTTCATTACTAGGGGAAGAAGTCTCTCCCTGAACTTCTCATGGCTTTATGTGCAAGAAATCAGGAGGCAACCAGTCCATTTTAAATGTTAACCCTTACCTCTGCATCAGCAACAGCTCCTCCTGTCTATGATCAAAAAGACAAAAGGGCTATAAGCCTTACATGTTGTTTTTCTTTTCTGTGGGCTGTCTTAATGTTTGTTCTTTTTTATTTTATTTTTTATTTTATTATTATTATTATTTGAGATGGAGTTTCACTCTTGTTGCCCAGGCTGGAGCACAGTGGCATGATCTCGGCTCACTGCAACCTCTGCCTCTCAGGTTCAAGCAATTCTCCTGCCTCAGACTCCTGAGTAGCTGGGATTACAGGCACCCACCACCACACCCAGCTAATTTTTTATATTTTTAGTACAGATGGGGTTTCACCATGTTGGCCAGGCTGGTCTCGAACTCCTGACCTCAGGTGATCCACCCGCCTCAGCCTCCCAAAGTGCTGAGATTACAGGCGTGAGCCACCATGCCTGGCCCAAACCTGTTTTTAATTCAGGGAAATGTTCCATTAGAAATATAACACTATCACTTGGTAAAACTTCCTGGTCAAAGTACCAATTTACCATACTAGTTACTTAAAGAGTTATGTAACTTAGTGCCCATGTACTGTAAAGAACTGTTGAATCCCACAAAGGATTTGTTAGGCAATCAATAATACCAATGAGAGCAGATATTAACTCCCTGGTTTTTGTTTACCATTAGCTTACTTTTCCTGAGGGTCCATATCTGTGTATTAAAGACAAGCATTGCACAGAGCTCTAAATGCTCTTGATTTGGAACAGTTGTGAAATAAATCCTCTGTAATTATCCATCTCCTAAGCCAGACACACCACAATACCTAACCTCAAATTGTGTTGCAAACATCTTCTGAGTATTTGTGCTTGTTGATGTCACTCTCATCTTTTACTGCACAAAGGGGAAGAAAAATCAAAACTGTGGGCACAGCCAACAAATTTCTGTGGCATGGTTTTGCATGAGCATCCTTTAAAAATACACCATGCTCATAACAATCCTTGTCACAGCACCACTATTCTATCTGCTAACACCTGCCACCATTCCGTAATATTTCATTATCATTGTATCATTAAGTTTTTCCATCCACAGCCTTATGGATTCAGAAACACTTAAATATTTCTCCTCTAAGGAAGTATCTACAGTTTTTGCAACATAGTTATCTGCTGTTATATTAGGACAATACTTTTTGCCCATTCTATCTTAATATATGAAGAAAAGCAATAGATGTCCATTATCCTACTTTAGGTGACCATATACCATTGCATCTCTACTTTTGATCTGCTGAGTCCAATTGGAATGGCTATTTGAGAACACGAGAACACTGTTATTGAAGCTATGCAACCAGAAGGTAGACAGGTGGACAACTGCTTGTCAGGGATATTGAAAAATATTTTATCCAGCAGGTAGGAAGTTAGACTAAGAAGCTTGTCCTCCCATATATATGCATACCAGAGCTGTGATGGGGATGACTGACACTGGCTGGCAGAAGCCCATCATTGACCCTTCTTCCCAACTATATGTTCAGTGCTTTTAGGTTGGAAGCTTAAAATAAGGCATGTGAGAGTATTTTCACTATAGAATTAGGCAAATGAAATAAACCAGAGCTTTTTATTCTGGAGAGCTAGTTGTTAAACATTTACCAGCATACCACTGCAACCTTTTATTATTCATAAAACTTAATAACCATGTAATATTGTTGATGATATTCCTCAGTTTGGGGTCCATTGTGATTTTTAGATCTTTTTCTACTTTAATTCTGTAACCTTTGCTGCCAAGAAAAGATAATACATCTTTGAATTTTCTTGTCTCACAGGGTTGTTTTTTAAGGACTGAAAAGATACCATTAGTGATGCCATGCCTATTTATCCCTAGGAAGGAAAGTCAAGCGATTATTAGAGGAAAAGGTAGGCCAAAATTTCCATTTGAACTCTTCTTTATTTTTGCATTCACAGAGGCAGGGGGTGACTCGTACTTTGAACACTGACACCTTAAGAGTGGTTACATAGGTAAAAACTGAACGCAAGCACTACAGGAGAGGATATTAAGCAAGATCTAAGAATCAAGGTGATCAACAAGAACACTAACCTTTTATTTTCCAGGAGAGGTGGGAAGGAAGAAACAGAAGGTACTGGGGCACGATGAATCAAAGTCAACGCCCTGAATGACCTGAGGTTCTACAACCACCTGGGAGGTTTTGCTGGGTCAGTACAACGTCATATGATTATTACAAATTATTCCCTATTTTTCAGGAATTGGATTAAGTTACATTACCTAATTCCCTTGCCAGGCATTTGTTTCTCAGAAACAAAAAATTCTGCAGTAACCTATTCAATTAGTATTATGCCTATGCGTTGTTTTGTAAATCACAAATGTAAAATAGATATTCTTTAAAGAGTACCTACTACATGTCAAGCAATGACCCTGAGGGATAAATACCATTATACCCATTTTAGTGATGAAAGAACTGAAACAAAAAGCGGTAAAGTAACTTGTGCAAAGAAATATACCTAGGAAGTAGAGGGGATATGACTTGTACCCACAAAGGATTGTTAATTACTTCTCTATTCTTCAGTCTGAAAAATAATTTCAAACATGTACTGTATATATGTCTTGACTATTTTATGTACGTCCTGTAAAAACTCAGAAGGACTGGTCAGCCAACCTACAAAATCTTGCAAGCTCTTCTAATCTCCCTCACACTCAATACAGTCAAAAATTCGAAGACAGAATCAAGGTCTGATCTGTTGATATCTCAATGAGTCTACGACAAGTGAAGAAGTTATACATTGCTGTAAACAACAATGACAAAAATTTTCGAGAAAATAATTATAAGGGTTGAGCTTACATCCTCTCTATCACAGTTTTATGTACCTATTCCACCAGGACAAGAAAACAATTACAAATAAAGGCAAACTGATGATTGAATGGGGGTAGAGAGGGGTTGGATAGAGAAGGAATCAGCAATTAGAATAAATCCTCCAGTCAAATGATTGCCCCAGGAAAGTAAAAGCCCAGAGAAGATTATGAAAGAAGATTCTTAAATACTAGATATTCCTAGGAATTTTAGAAGACTGGAGATAGCATTTTACTCCTGGGTCTTCTGAAGAAAAGCCGAATGCTGTGGACTCCTCATGAACATGTCCTAGGAGAGAAATAGACAATAAGGACACTAAAGGAAGATCTGGGGGCAGTCCACTATTTTTTATTTATATTTTTTTACTCAACACCAATTTTGTTGAGTTGCTATGTGTTAAACAGAGTTTGGGGCATCATAATACAAAGAAAATCCCTATTTGCCCTCCTTGCCATTTATAAGGACAGACGGACAATTTAGAAAGCTATGCAGGTGCTATAAGTACTGATTAGAGCAAGTATAAAGAGCTAGCACACAACAGAGATATCAAAACCTGCGCAGCATGCTCAGGGAAGCCTAGCAGAGAAAACGACCTCTATGCTGAGTTCATGGAAGCTGAACATTATGAATTGAAGAGCACAAATAAGTTGAATGTGGCTAAGGGACAGAATGCAGGAAAGGTAGAGCAGAGTGCTGAGAGATAATGCTGGAACCCAAAGCAGACAGCAGGACACGGAAGCTCCATGACACATTAGGAATGTCAGACTTTCCTTGGAAAGCACTGAGAATTCTTTAAAAGTTTCACGCAAGGGAATGGATGGCAAGATCAGATCTGCATTTAGAAAGTTCAGAGATTGAAACACCGAAAAATGGCAAGCTAAGTGGCTGTTGTGGTTCTACAGGTGAAAAGTAATGGTAGCCCAGACTGGAGAAGGATTTGGGGAAGGAGAGTAGTAGAAAGACTCAAAAGGGATTTATTAAGGAGGAAAATTGAGCTGATAGGTGATTAGTGTGGGAAATAAGGTACAAAGATGAGTCAAGGATGACTCCATGTTTCAGGTTTAGACCAGCATTTGCCTCAGTGGGATTCTGAGCACCCAGAGAGAAACAGGTCTACAGAAAAAAATCATAAATCCCATTTTGGCAAGTTGAGTTTTAGAGTAGCCACACTAAAAAGCTCAAAATAAACAAGTTAAATTAATTTTAGTAATATATTTAGCCCAATCTATCCAAAATATTATTTCAACATGATCAATATAAACAAATTATTGAGATATTTTACATTCTTTTTTTCATATTAAGTCTTATCTATATGGTGGGTAATTCACTCTTACGGCACATCACAATTTGGACTAGGGAGATCTAAAAAGAGCACACAAAATCCTACTGATAATATTGTACTTGTTTCGTGTAATTATTTCTATACAGAAAAAAAAAATGTTTACCTAAAGTTTGGGATAGATAAATCCAAGAACTATGTGGGACATTTTATAATTATGGGACCCTGGAGAAAAACTGTCACTGGCATGTGTTTCTGATATGAGGTCCTGACTTACATTGGCAGAACTAACACTACCCCTGTCTCACCAGGAACACTGAGGTTCATAGGGGGAAGCTGGTAGAAACAGAAGCTGGGAAAGGAACGCTATCCAGAATACCTGCGGCTTCTACAGAAAGCATGTTTTCAGAGCTGATGAGAGAGAAAACAATATAAGCAGCACTCACGCAGATCAAGCATGCTGTCATTTTAACAAAACATAAACTAGACTCTGCCTTGTAGAGTGGCAGTTTTTTCTTCACCCAAATATTAAATAGTGTGGCCAACTTCAAATATTTAAATACTTCTGTCATCCCAACTGCTGGCTTTGAGTCATAGGAACCAATAAAGTAGGAAGTGCCACAAAGGTAAGCACCGTCAGATTTAAGGCAGTGAGGGACAGGAACAGAAGGTTGCCAATGTCAAACAAATAACTTATAGTGAAAATGGACCAGAGAGGGGGCCTACCAAGGAAGAACTCACACTCCAAGAGCTTGGTTCTTAGCAGAACAGGAAGAGGATGTCTTGTTTATGCAGCTATGTAAAGCCTCACTCCCTGCCCTCTCTGGACCTCTTACTGAGGGAGGGAGTTAAGGGTTGAAAGTGAAGACAGCAGGGTGCTTATGCCATATTAGATCTCCATCAACATGCAACCCCAAAAGATCATAACTGTGAGAGCTTTGTAAATCAACTCTTAGGGTGCTTGCCCCAGGGCAAATAGCACAACAAATTAATCCTTTCTCCATGAAATGCAGCAAAGTTTGCATCTATGCTGAATTCAAATTGCTCATTAGCTCTGACATGTTCCTAATGAGGTTATAATGCTTTGGGACAAAGATCAAGCCACTGAGCACAAATAGCTAGGGATAGAATCATAGAAAGATAAAATTAGAAGGACCTTAGAGGAGTGCCTCTCAGACTTTAATACCAATCACCTGGGCATTGTAATTCAGGACATCTGGGGCCCAGTCTGAGAGTCTGCATTTCTAAAAAAAATCCCTGGTGCTGCTGCTGCTGCTGGTCCATGGACAACATTTTGAGCAGCAAGACCTTAGAGATCATCTAATTCAGTTGCCTCTCCTAGAGGTGAGCACATCAGGGCCAAGAGATTTATAACTGGAAGCACGCTGAGACTTCCAGGTGACTAATTAGGGTCAGTTGAGTATTTGTCCATAGACCTGTGAGTCAACCTGAAAATTTTAAATAGAATCTAAGGAGTAGAGTGACCAATCAGCCTAGATGACTGAGGAAGTTTCCAGAACATGGAATTTGCCTTTTTAAAACAAGAAAAAAATCCAGGAAAACCAGGATAAGTTTTTCATCCTGCTAGACCCTTTTGAATCTACTTAGAACACAGTATCAGTATTACATTTTTCTTGACCTTGTCAGTCCCCAAGTGGTGGGATCATGACCTGCCAAGGCAAGTACCTTAATATCCTGTCCCAAAGATCTCAAAGAGCAAATGCTCAAACAAGTTTCAGGCACTACAGAGCCTTCTAACATCACATTGACAAGTGCCTCTCCAAGAGACAGCCTACCAGTAGATCTCAAAGTAAAGCATGATAAAGGACTATCAGGAACACGCAGAAATAAATATTATAGAAGCATATAATGTTCCTTTTAAGTACACAAATCTATTTTCCTCATTTGATAAAATGCATGTAAGAAATAAATCACTAATTTTTATAACTCTCAAAACACTCATTTAAAACATCCTTGGTAAAAACACTAAAATAATAAAAATCAGGCTGCATCCCTGAGAATGAAGAAAAAGTCATGCTCTGCACAATCAAAATGATTAGAAATAAAAATATATCCCTACATATTATTATTTTACTCACTGGAATTGGGCTCATTAACGTCAGGTAGAATAATGAATGTCTAGAAAGCAAAAATGAAAAATTTCCAGACTATTCAGTGCTACCAGTGCATCGCTAAGGCTTCTAAAACAGAATGCCAAAGCACTGATTCCACATGCATTCAAAATACAGAGTTAGTGCAATCCTAACCACAATGATTCTCACTCCCTGAAGTTTACTTGTTCAAGTAAGAGGCCAATGAGGTCTGACTGAATTACTTGACTTAATACTCATGGAGTTAGGACACTTAAGACAAAGGAAGAAAATAAGTGTGGCTAAATATATACAATGCATTTGGAATAAGTAAAAGACAGAACCCTAGACATTCAGCAATCATTACCTGGAAATTAAAGAGGGCAGGAGCAATCCTATTATGCATTATAAACAGCCCCGCTGCTGACTTAATGGTAGTTTGAGTAGCATAACCAAGGAGTCCTTGCTCCAATATTAATAGGAAATGTATTGTAGGAATCCAATAGTTCATGAAATTAACAAGGAAAATGAACTGGAGTGAAGCAACCTTGCAAGTAATAGGAGGCATCAGCAATTGCTTCCCTGGAGCATATTGAACACTTAAAAAGAGCTTGGGAAGAGTACATGTATATAAATGAGAATGGACATTTTTAGAATTTTTTAATAATACTTTTAATTTAAATATATTTCAAACTCTCTGTTGGCTGTAAGTCTTTCTAAGAAGAAGTTATTAGCCCAAAATGTCAATGAGAGGTCACAAGCTATGAGATCTGGTCCAAAGATATTGCTAGTTAGCTGCCATTTGAGTCAGCTTAAAACTACCATACACTCATGATTCAGCAGCTGTCAAAATTATTCCCATTTCACTTCTTTAGAGCTAAATACTTCAAATAATCTAGAAAACAATTTCCCTTCTATAAGCCTCGACAGCCAGAATAACAGATGCATGCCCATCGGCAAGCTAAAAAGTATAGTTAATTCCACTTACAAACCAATAGACATACGATGAAAAAGAACACCTCCTCCACAGGCACTGCCATGGACAACCCGACCAAAGCTTGAATTGACCAAACAAGAAGCTGAAAGGGTTTCCATAGAAGCAAGAATGTGACTTCTGTTTTTCCCAGACAGAGACCCATCCAAGTCTTCCAAAATTGCTGCATGAGGAAATGGAAATGCCACTAAGTTTGAAGAGTTTGTAAACTTCAACTGGCTGGTCTTCACAGTAAATCCACCTATAAATTGGAAAACAGAAAGATTATTACACAATGGCACAAATAGCAACTAAATTCACTGGAGTGATGGTCTTAGGATTTAAATTGCATATTTATCTAGTTTTACAATTCACCTATTCATGCAAGAAAAAAAGTGTTTTCTGTGGGTGTTTTACAGTGAGTGTTTACTGTCTACCAAGCTCTGGTGTGCTAGAGATACTAAGAGGTATAACTGCAGCATTGGCCCTACCTTCATGCAGTCTATAGTCCACATTGTAGGGCAGTGATTTTTCTATCATGGTTGATTTTACCTTCCAAGAGACATGGCACTATTTTCAATCATTTTTGGCTGTCACAATTGGGGAGCTGGCAGTGCTACTGGCAGCTAGTAGGTAGAAACCAGAGATGCTGCTAAATATCCTACAATGCACAGGACAATCCCCACAACAAAGAATTATCTCACCCAAAATGCCAATAGTGCCAAGGGTAAGAAACTCTGGTCTAGTGGGAAATAGAAGCAGAAAACATTAATTTATTAATTACTAAGCACCAAAGATGCTATGGTTTAGTCTTCCAATCTTTCAGCTTTCATTCCTCTGTGGTGAGTCTAACCCCTCCAATACCTCTTACTATAAGGTTTATTTAAACATTTACTTTCAAAAGCAAACTCAATTAATCACTTGGGCAAATAGTATTAGTAATACACTTTCTAAGTATTAGCTGTAGGGCCACACTTCTTGGCAGTCTTTCCCCAACACCACTGCCATGTGACTCATTGGTACTATCAGTCCAATTGCCTAAAAGGAAAGTATGGCAGTGATCTTCTAATTCACACACCCATGTCATTAAAGGAAGAAAACTAAGTACACATCTCCCAGTACACATACTACCATACCATAATATATTATGTACATTATAAAATATAAAAAAAAGAAAATAAAATGAAAAAGATACAAATAGAGGCTCTAATGTTTTCATTCTGCAGCCCAATAGAGTACATGCAGTGAATTGATTCATACATGAAAGGCTACACAATTGCACCTCTTGCAACTTCTGTATTTCATTTGATACCACAAACCACCTGCAGCTCTACATTTCAGTCATACTGGACTTCTTTGTGATTTCCCAAGCACAACTTACTTCTTGGATTCTATTTTTTGTGTGTATACTGTTCCTAGAAATTCTTCCTTGCATATACCTTCTTGCAAACTTCTATTCACCTTCCTAAACCCTACTCAAGAATAACCTCTATGAGCTCTTGCCTGACCCCCTTCCTCGGCCCCTTCACTGACTTTGTTGAGTCCTCTATTACTGCGTTCATCATGCTCTCTTACAATAATAGGCTTGGACATTTATTTTAGTGCCTAGATCAAGAGTTCCTGGAGGACAGAAACTATGTGTTTTTTATATTTGTACCCCCTAGGTCCTTAAGCAGAGCCTGAAATAGATGGTATTTAAGCAAATGAAAAGAGGGGTTAGCCAATACTATTCAGTGAAAAGGGATTAGAGTTCATAGGAGTAGTGTGATTTTTTTTCACTGTCTCATGAATGATATGAAATAGTCAAGATATTAAAGAATTGAGGAATTGCGATTGCAAGCACTTGTTATGAGGCATTTTTATTTCTATTATTATTTCTACAATCCTAAACTCAGATGCCACCCAAATAAAAACAATCTTTCATTCTGCCTACATAGGAAAAAAAAGTAAAGTGGAGACTTGTTGATTATTCATTTAATTAAAAAAACAAACAATTATCTAAATTGGTGATTCAAACCACAAGAGCATATTTACTTAAATTACTTGGTTTGGCTGTTTACGATGATCAAATCAACTAGATTACTCTCTACCTCTTTCACCTTGGCCCATGAGTCCTCCAAGTTATTTCTTACCACCTCTGAGATGTGGTTAAAAAGTGAGCAAGAACTCCTATGTTTCCCTTTGTGCATACATCAAGCCCTGGACTGTTGAAAACATTAAGTACCTGAACTTTGGCTCCTTCAGGAAAGGCTGTATGCATGTTAGTTTATACCAGGTATCTACCCATCTAACTCCATTCTTTCATTTAATCAATAAACTGCCTACTAGGCATCTGGCTCTGTGCTAGCTACTAATAATTAAAACTCTGAGCAAGAAATACATGATCTCTGCCTTTATGAAGGTCAGAGTCCAGCAGAGACATAGGACCATAATGATAGAATGTGATAGGCACCATAATAGGAGCAGGACAGGGAGCTGCAGAAGCTGTACTGGGAGAACCTCCAGGATGTCTTTTAGGAGATTTAAGCAACAGTTTCTACTGATGCAATCTTATAACTGAAAGAGATAATGATTCACAAAGTATTTGCCACTATTTATAATACTGACTTGAATATGGGCCTTATTTATCATCTGTTCTGTCTATTCAAATAATTACCTTGTCCTTGGGAACAGTCTGAACAGGTTCTAATGGCCACACAGTTGATGAGATCAAAATTAACAAAGGTTGTGTTAGACACCATCAGTTCCCATCTTTTAGGAGTTTTAATCCCAGATGACATACACAGACTTCCCTGTGATTTAAAAGAAAAAAAGATGAAAGCAAAATAAGAAAACTGGACACATGAAATACAATTCATAATGCATGAATAAAAACAAAGATAAAAAAGCGAGCTATTGACTAAGAGAAAATATTTGCCAATCACACATATGACAAAGGACCTATATCCAGAATATAGAAAGAACTCTTAGGTTTCAACAGCAAGAAAATAGACAACGCAATTCAAAAATCAGGAAAAAAAAACCTTCAAAAGATAACCCAGAAAAGAAAATATACAGATAGCAAATAAGCACAGAAAAAAAAAATGTTCAACATCATTATTCACTAGGGAAATGCAAATTAAGATCACACTAAAATATACTATGCACCTATTGAATGAATAAATAAAAATACAGTGACAATAGTAAGTGCTGATGAGGATGAGAAAGTATTAAAACTCTCCTGTTTCTAGTGGAATGCAAAATGAGACAGCCACTGTGGAAAACTTTGGCAGTTTCTTATAAAGTTAAATATGCCCTTATCATATGACCTAGCAATTCAACTCCTAGGTATTTACCTTGGAGAAATGAAAACTTACATTTATATAAAAACCTGAGACAAATGTTCATAACAGTTCCATTTATAATCACCAAATATGGAAACAAGTCAAGTGCACCTCAATAAATGAATGGATTAACAAACTGCATTACATCTATCTAATGGAATACTATTCGTCGATAATAAGGAATGTAATATTGATATGTGCAACAAGTTAGATGAATCCCAATGGCATTCAGGAGTGAAGGAAGCCAGTCCCAAAAGGTTACATACTATATGACTCCATTTATATGACTGTTGAAAAGGCAAAACTATAGTGACAGAGAATATATTAGTGATTGCCAGTGGTTTAAAGCAAGAGGAGGCTGTGGCTACAAAGATGGAGCAAGGAACTGGGGTGGATGCAACTGTTCTGTGTCTTGATTGTCGTGGTGGTTGTTACACAAATGTGTACATGTGTTAAAGCTCATAGAACTGTACATCAAAAAGTCAGTTTTGCTGTATATTAATATATTTTAAAAACTTTAACAAAAAGTCTGAAAAGAAAGAAACAATAAGTGTTTTCATGATTTTCCACAAAATCTCTTTGACAAACACTATCCAATCAAGCTGCTAGTGCCTCACTGTTCCATTGTTAAAAATAGTCTTACATTTGAGGATTACCAGAATTTTTGCAATCACTCCCAACATGAAAAATGATGAAACAATAAACAAATAGCAGAAAAGAAACTCAGTGGACACAAAGCTAGTCTAGAAATCAGAAGAAAACAAAAACTATAATTAATGGCCTTGGAGAAATAAGTATATTATATCCATGAAACAAATAGAAGCCTAAAATATTATTTTTAGAAAAAAAAGGAAATAGGAGAGTAGAAAAAAGGAATTCAATATCATAGAAAGTAGAACAAAAAGACAAAGAGATGGAAAATCAGTAAGAACATTAAGATGAGAAAAACATTCCAGGAGGCCCAATATTTAAATAATCATAGCTTTAAGGAAAAGAGGAAAACATAGGGGAAAGAATTATCAAAGAAATAATTGAAGAATACTGTGCAGAAGGAAAGGATATAATTTTCCAGACTGAAAAGTCCCACTCAGTATCTAGCACAATGTTTAGAAAAAGAGCCACAGCAAAGTGCATCATATTGAAATTGCAAAACACCAGGGACAAGGACAAGTTCCTAAGAGCTTTCAGAGAGAAAAAAAATAAGTTACGTACAAAAATCCTGGAATCTGAGTTTTTGTTTTTTGGTTTTTTTTTTTGAGACAGAATCTCACTCTGTTGCACAGTCTGCAGTGCAGTGGCATGATCTCGGCTCACTGCAACCTCTGCTTCCTGGGTTGAAGTGATTCTCCTACTTCAGCCTCCCGAGTAGCTGGGACTACAGGTGCTTGCCACCACATCTGGCTAATTTTTGTACTTTTAGTAGAGACAGGGTTTTGCCATGTTGGCCAGGCAGGTCTCCAACCCCTGACCTCAGGTGATCTGCACACCTCGGCCTCCCAAACTGCTGGGATTACAGGTGTGAGCCACTGAATCTGAGTATCTTAAAACTATTCAGCCTCAAGACCAGAAGGAGCTACAAGATGATGGAATATTGCCTTCAAAATTTCAATGCAAAATGAACTTCAACCTGGTATCCTGTAACCAACAATCTACTAATAAAGGGGTCTCCATATATAGCTCAGAACTTTCACCTTCCATCGTTTCCTTTTTTTTTTTTTTTTTTTTTTTTCAGAAAGTTACCTTAGGGTATGTTCAAACAAAATGAGGAATTAAGCCAGAAAAGAAGAAGATGTACGAATCAGAAACAAGAGTTCCAATACTAGACAGACATGAAGGAAATCTCCAGGATAATGTTCAAGGGAGATTCTAAGATGGAGCTTTGAAACCCTTCTTATACATTGCTGGTGTAAGCATAAACTCTGGATTGTTGCTTGGCATTATCCACTAAAGTTACACGATGATCCAGCAATTTTACAACTTGGCTTATATTCAACAGAAATGCATGCACATGAAGACCAGAAGGCATATAGAATAATGCTTATAGCATTATTATTTGTAAATAACCAAACTTACAAATGATGAAAACAACCAGGTACAATAAGTTACATGCTTTATGATTCCATTTAGACCAACTTAAAAAACAGGAGAAATTAATCTATATCGATAGAAGGCTGAATAATGCTTGCCCTTTGGCTAGGGCGTGCGGAGTGGGGTTGAATGGGGGGACAAGAAGAGGCTTTAGAGGAGCTGATAATGTTCATTTATTTATTATTAGTTTTTATTTTTTAGAGACAGGATCTTGCTCTGGCAATGTTCTATTTCTTGTTCTTAGTTGTATACATATACATGGTTGGTTTGCTTTGTAAAAATCCACTGAGCTATTCCCCTATGATTTGTGCACATTTCTCCATAAATGTTATATTTCCATGAAACATTTACCTTAAAAAGTAGGACAAATACTAGAGAAAGGTAACATAGAAGATGAGAGGGTAAGGAAAGAAGCTAAAGGAGTTTAATGTCCTTGCATTACTTATGTAAAGTTTAACAGTGCTGATGTAATTTAGACTTTGTTAAGACAAGCAGGCACATTAAAAACTTAAGGCCAATAGCTAAAATAATCATAACAGAATGGATAACTTTCAAATGAGTAAATATAAAAATATGCAACACAAGACAAATCAAAATAGAAAAGAAGAAAAAAACAGAAACCAAAAACGGATTGCAAATTGAAAGTGCAAAATAAGATGGTAGAAATAAATGCAAATATATGGGAGACATCAGCATGTGGAAGGTAATTGAAACCACTAGAGAAAATGAGATTTCTCCCAGGGAGAGCTAGTATATTGAGAAGAAAAGGGGCCCTACAACAGAATTTAGGGAAACAAAAAGATGAAAGGTCTAAATTGAAGAAGACAAATCCACAAGTGAAAATGGGAAATCACCCCTAGAGAAATAGGAGGAAGAATGAAGCAACTCCATCAGCATCTGTCTGAATACGGTATTTTTTAAAGTAGCATCATCTGCTCAAATTAATTACAATAACAACGAAGACAGCCATCCTACAGATACTTCGATAAGTAGGGTGACCGTAATTTAAATTAAAATTAGACATTTTTTTTAGTGTGAAAGGGTATGTTAATTAGACAGAATGCTGGGACAATAGGTATAAACAAACTACGCACCCAAACTAGGATATATCGTCATGCTATATAGCACATGTCTTTCTTGTATATTTAAGTCATTCGTACTGAAAATTATTCTATTCATCTCAATACAAAGGTAACATTGGCTGTGAGAGTACCAACACACGTACAGGTATGCTTAAAGGAAAAAAATTCCTTCTGATGATAAAAAGTTCTTCCAGAAAGTAATGTTTATTTTAGGATGTGACTCACAGATAATTGTATGCCACCAATTATATATGAGTGGAAAGTCTAACAATGGACAGGCCAAATTCTTTAAAAGTCTTAATTCCTGGCCAGGCGCAGTGGCTCACGCCTGTAATCCCAGCACTATGGGAGGCCAAGGCGGGCGGATCACGAGGTCAGGAGATTGAGACCATCCTGGCTAACATGTTGAAACTCCGTCTGTACTAAAAACACAAAAAATGAGCTCCGGTCTACAGCTCCCAGCGTGAGCGACGCAGAAGACGGGTGATTTCTGCATTTCCATCTGAGGTACCGGGTTCATCTCACTAGGGAGTGCCAGACAGTGGGCGCAGGCCAGTGTGTGTGCGCACCGTGCGCGAGCCGAAGCAGGGCGAGGCATTGCCTCACCTGGGAAGCGCAAGGGGTCAGGGAGTTCCCTTTCCGAGTCAAAGAAAGGGGTGACGGACGCACCTGGAAAATCGGGTCACTCCCACCCAAATATTGCGCTTTTCAGACCGGCTTAAGAAACGGCGCACCACGAGACTATATCCCACACCTGGCTCAGAGGGTCCTACGCCCACGGAATCTCGCTGATTGCTAGCACAGCAGTCTGAGATCAAACGGCAAGGCGGCAACGAGGCTGTGGGAGGGGCGCCCGCCATTGCCCAGGCTTGCTTAGGTAAACAAAGCAGCTGGGAAGCTCGAACTGGGTGGAGCCCACCACAGCTCAAGGAGGCCTGCCTGCCTCTGTAGGCTCCACCTCTGGGGGCAGGGCACAGACAAACAAAAAGACAGCAGTAACCTCTGCAGACTTAAGTGTCCCTGTCTGACAGCTTTGAAGAGAGCAGTGGTTCTCCCAGCACGCAGCTGGAGATCTGAGAACGGGCAGACTGCCTCCTCAAGTGGGTCCCTGACCCCTGACCCCCGAGCAGCCTAACTGGGAGGCACCCCCCAGCAGGGGCACACTGACACCTCACACAGCAGGGTATTCCAACAGACCTGCAGCTGAGGGTCCTGTCTGTTAGAAGGAAAACTAACAACCAGAAAGGACATCTACACCGAAAACCCATCTGTACATCACCATCATCAAAGACCAAAAGTAGATAAAACCACAAAGATGGGGAAAAAACAGAACAGAAAAACTGGAAACTCTAAAACGCAGAGCGCCTCTCCTCCTCCAAAGGAACGCAGTTCCTCACCAGCAACAGAACAAAGCTGGATGGAGAATGATTTTGACGAGCTGAGAGAAGAAGGCTTCAGACGATCAAATTACTCTGAGCTACGGGAGGACATTCAAACCAAAGGCAAAGAAGTTGAAAACTTTGAAAAAAATTTAGAAGAATGTATAACTAGAATAACCAATACAGAGAAGTGCTTAAAGGAGCTGATGGAGCTGAAAACCAAGGCTCGAGAACTACGTGAAGAATGCAGAAGCCTCAGGAGCCGATGCGATCAACTGGAAGAAAGGGTATCAGCAATGGAAGATGAAATGAATGAAATGAAGCGAGAAGGGAAGTTTAGAGAAAAAAGAATAAAAAGAAATGAGCAAAGCCTCCAAGAAATATGGGACTATGTGAAAAGACCAAATCTACGTCTGATTGGTGTACCTGAAAGTGATGTGGAGAATGGAACCAAGTTGGAAAACACTCTGCAGGATATTATCCAGGAGAACTTCCCCAATCTAGCAAGGCAGGCCAACGTTCAGATTCAGGAAATACAGAGAACGCCACAAAGATACTCCTCGAGAAGAGCAACTCCAAGACACATAATTGTCAGATTCACCAAAGTTGAAATGAAGGAAAAAATGTTAAGGGCAGCCAGAGAGAAAGGTCGGGTTACCCTCAAAGGAAAGCCCATCAGACTAACAGCGGATCTCTTGGCAGAAACCCTACAAGCCAGAAGAGAGTGGGGGCCAATATTCAACATTCTTAAAGAAAAGAATTTTCAACCCAGAATTTCATATCCAGCCAAACTAAGCTTCATAAGTGAAGGAGAAATAAAATACTTTATAGACAAGCAAATGCTGAGAGATTTTGTCACCACCAGGCCTGCCCTAAAAGAGCTCCTGAAGGAAGCGCTAAACATGGAAAGGAACAACCGGTACCAGCCGCTGCAAAATCATGCCAAAATGTAAAGACCATCGAGACTAGGAGGAAACTGCATCAACTAATGAGCAAAATCACCAGCTAACATCATAATGACAGGATCAAATTCACACATAACAATATTAACTTTAAATATAAATGGACTAAATTCTGCAATTAAAAGACACAGACTGGCAAGTTGGATAAAGAGTCAAGACCCATCAGTGTGCTGTATTCAGGAAACCCATCTCACGTGCAGAGACACACATAGGCTCAAAATAAAAGGATGGAGGAAGATCTACCAAGCCAATGGAAAACAAAAAAAGGCAGGGGTTGCAATCCTAGTCTCTGATAAAACAGACTTTAAACCAACAAAGATCAAAAGAGACAAAGAAGGCCATTACATAATGGTGAAGGGATCAATTCAACAAGAGGAGCTAACTATCCTAAATATTTATGCACCCAATACAGGAGCACCCAGATTCATAAAGCAAGTCCTGAGTGACCTACAAAGAGACTTAGACTCCCACACATTAATAATGGGAGACTTTAACACCCCACTGTCAACATTAGACAGATCAACGAGACAGAAAGTCAACAAGGATACCCAGGAATTGAACTCAGCTCTGCACCAAGCAGACCTAATAGACATCAACAGAACTCTCCACCCCAAATCAACAGAGTATACATTTTTTTCAGCACCACACCACACCTATTCCAAAATTGACCACATAGTTGGAAGTAAAGCTCTCCTCAGCAAATGTAAAAGAACAGAAATTATAACAAACTATCTCTCAGACCACAGTGCAATCAAACTAGAACTCAGGATTAAGAATCTCACTCAAAGCCGCTCAACTCCATGGAAACTGAACAACCTGCTCCTGAATGACTACTGGGTACATAACGAAATGAAGGCAGAAATAAAGATGTTCTTTGAAACCAACAAGAACAAAGACACCACATACCAGAATCTCTGGGACGCATTCAAAGCAGTGTGTAGAGGGAAATTTATAGCACTAAATGCCTACAAGAGAAAGCAGGAAAGATCCAAAATTGACACCCTAACATCACAATTAAAAGAACTAGAAAAGCAAGAGCAAACACATTCAAAAGCTAGCAGAAGGCAAGAAATAACGAAAATCAGAGCAGAACTGAAGGAAATAGAGACACAAAAAACCCTTCAAAAAATCAATGAATCCAGGAGCTGGTTTTTTGAAAGGATCAACAAAATTGATAGACCGCTAGCAAGACTAATAAAGAAAAAAAGAGAGAAGAATCAAATAGACACAATAAAAAATGATAAAGGGGATATCACCACCGATCCCACAGAAATACAAACTACCATCAGAGAATACTACAAACACCTCTACGCAAATAAACTAGAAAATCTAGAAGAAATGGATACATTCCTCGACACATACACTCTCCCAAGACTAAACCAGGAAGAAGTTGAATCTCTGAATAGACCAATAACAGGCTCTGAAATTGTGGCAATAATCAATAGTTTACCAACCAAAAAGAGTCCAGGACCAGATGGATTCACAGCCGAATTCTACCAGAGGTACAAGGAGGAGCTGGTACCATTCCTTCTGAAACTATTCCAATCAATAGAAAAAGAGGGAATCCTCCCTAACTCATTTTATGAGGCCAGCATCATTCTGATACCAAAGCCGGGCAGAGACACAACAAAAAAAGAGAATTTTAGACCAATATCCTTGATGAACATTGATGCAAAAATCCTCAATAAAATACTGGCAAACCGAATCCAGCAGCACATCAAAAAGCTTATCCACCATGATCAAGTGGGCTTCATCCCTGGGATGCAAGGCTGGTTCAATATACGCAAATCAATAAATGTAATCCAGCATATAAACATAGCCAAAGACAAAAACCACATGATTATCTCAATAGACGCAGAAAAAGCCTTTGACAAAATTCAACAACCCTTCATGCTAAAAACTCAATAAATTAGGTATTGATGGGACGTATTTCAAAATAATAAGAGCTATCTATGACAAACCCACAGCCAATATCATACTGAATGGGCAAAAACTGGAAGCATTCCCTTTGAAAACTGGCACAAGACAGGGATGCCCTCTCTCACCGCTCCTATTCAACATAGTGTTGGAAGTTCTGGCCAGGGCAATCAGGCAGGAGAAGGAAATAAAGGGTATTCAATTAGGAAAAGAGGAAGTCAAATTGTCCCTGTTTGCAGATGACATGATTGTTTATCTAGAAAACCCCATCGTCTCAGCCCAAAATCTCCTTAAGCTGATAAGCAACTTCAGCAAAGTCTCAGGATACAAAATCAATGTACAAAAATCACAAGCATTCTTATACACCAAAAACAGACAAACAGAGAGCCAACTCATGAGTGAACTCCCATTCACAATTGCTTCAAAGAGAATAAAATACCTAGGAATCCAACTTACAAGGGATGTGAAGGACCTCTTCAAGGAGAACTACAAACCACTGCTCAACGAAATAAAAGAGGACACAAACAAATGGAAGAACATTCCATGCTCATGGGTAGGAAGAATCAATATCGTGAAAATGGCCATACTGCCCAAGGTAATTTACAGATTCAATGCCATCCCCTTCAAGCTACCAATGACTTTCTTCACAGAATTGGAAAAAACTACTTTAAAGTTCATATGGAACCAAAAAAGAGCCCGCATCGCCAAGTCAATCCTAAGCCAAAAGAACAAAGCTGGAGGCATCACACTACCTGACTTCAAACTATACTACAAGGCTACAGTAACCAAAACAGCATGGTACTGGTACCAAAACAGAGATATAGATCAATGGAACAGAACAGAGCCCTCAGAAATAATGCCGCATATCTACAACTATCTGATCTTTGACAAACCTGAGAAAAACAAGCAATGGGGAAAGGATTCCCTATTTAATAAATGGTGCTGGGAAAACTGGCTAGCCATATGTAGAAGGCTGAAACTGGATCCCTTCCTTACACCTTATACAAAAATCAATTCAAGATGGATTAAAGATTTAAACGTTAGACCTAAAACCATAAAAACCCTAGAAGAAAACCTAGGCATTACCATTCAGGACATAGGCGTGGGCAAGGACTTCATGTCCAAAACACCAAAAGCAATGGCAACAAAAGCCAAAATTGACAAATGGGATCTAATTAAACTCAAGAGCTTCTGCACAGCAAAAGAAACTACCATCAGAGTGAACAGGCAACCTACAACATGGGAGAAAATTTTCGCAACCTACTCATCTGACAAAGGTCTAATATCCAGAATCTACAATGAACTCAAACAAATTTACAAGAAAAAAACAAACAACCCCATCAAAAAGTGGGCGAAGGACATGAACAGACACTTCTCAAAAGAAGACATTTATGCAGCCAAAAAACACATGAAGAAATGCTCATCATCACTGGCCATCAGAGAAATGCAAATCAAAACCACTATGAGATATCATCTCACACCAGTTAGAATGGCAATCATTAAAAAGTCAGGAAACAACAGGTGCTGGAGAGGATGTGGAGAAATAGGAACACTTTTACACTGTTGGTGGGACTGTAAACTAGTTCAACCATTGTGGAAGTCAGTGTGGCGATTCCTCAGGGATCTAGAACTAGAAATACCATTTGACCCAGCCATCCCATTACTGGGTATATACCCAAAGGACTATAAATCATGCTGCTATAAAGACACATGCACACGTATGTTTATTGCGGCACTATTCACAATAGCAAAGACTTGGAACCAACCCAAATGTCCAACAATGATAGACTGGATTAAGCAAATGTGGCACATATACACCATGGAATACTATGCAGCCATAAAAAATGATGAGTTCATGTCCTTTGTAGGGACATGGATGAAATTGGAAACCATCATTCTCAGTAAACTATCGCAAGAACAAAAAACCAAACACCGCATATTCTCACTCATAGGTGGGAATTGAACAATGAGATCACATGGACACAGGAAGGGGAATATCACACTCTGGGGACTGTGGTGGGGTCGGGGGAGGGGGGAGGGATAGCATTGGGAGATATACCTAATGCTAGATGACACGTTAGTGGGTGCAGCGCACCAGCATGGCACATGTATACATATGTAACTAACCTGCACAATGTGCACATGTACCCTAAAACTTAGAGTATAATAAAAAAAAAAATTAAAAAAAAAAAAAAAAAAAAAAAAAAAACACAAAAAATTAGCCAGGCGTGGTGGCAGGTGCCTGTGGTCCCAGCTACTCAGGAGGCTGAGGCAGGAGAATGGCGTGAACCCGGGAGGCGGAGCTTGCAGTGAGCCAAGATCGCGCCACTGCACTCCAGCCTGGGCGACAGAGCGAGACTCCGTCTCAAAAAAAAAAAAAAGAAAGTGTTAATTCCTAAAGGAATGGCAGGCACAAAAGACAGAGGCTAAAATCAGAGTCCCATAACCACAGAGGTCAGGAACCCTCTTTTTCTTTCTTTTTTTTTTTTTTTTTCTTTTTTTGGAACAACTGACACCTGGCAACATAGTGGTTCCCAAATAAATCTGAAAAATACTGTGCTAAGTAAAGATTAATAGATTTTTTTTTGCTTGTTCACTTTAATGCTAGAATTTCTCAGAGCCTTTAGTGTATTTTTTCAATGAATTTTATTCTGTATATTTGAGATTTACAACATATTACAGGGTACACATAGGTTATAGTGAAGCAAATCAACATATCTATTATCTCACAGTTACTTTTCTGTGACAAGAGCAGCCAAAATCCACTTATTTAACAAAATTCCCTGACACAATACAATTTTATTATCTCTAATGCTTATGTTGTACATTACATCTCTGGATTTGTTGGAGATTTTGGGAAATAGAGGGTACGGTAAACAGCACAGTATAAATATAATTATAACCAAATAATCTTCTCTTTCCAGACACTATCTAAGGGCTAGCTTTTCATGAAAAACACTTCAGGGAACATTGGTATGAACACTAATAAATGTCCTTTGCCAAAGCCATTTTCCATGTGCAATTGAAGAATATTTGACCAGGAGTGGGAGGATATCAGGGTGGTCCTAGCTCCACAATACTAGGCATGAACCTTAAACTGCCATTCAAGTTTCCAAGCCTCCATTTTCCCCTAAGTTCAAGAAGTTAACCAGATCATCTCTTAGGTAATAGTTGGCTCTTTAATTATGTGGTTTTATGATTTGGATAACTAACCAGCATCTAGACATCCCCTAGAACAAAACTGTTTAACATTTTCCACCAGGGGACTCTTGTCCTGCACTTACTTAAGAGACTGAAAGGCCCTCAGCTGTACTACATTCCTAGTGAATTACACCCCAAGGGTGTGATTATTTTTGATTATCTCATGATAGCCACCCTTTTGTCATAATTTACATCTTAATTTTTGTCACTTTCCCATTAATTATGATGTCTATTTAACATCAATTAAGATACTGCAACATTAATTTACCAAGACAGTTACTCAGTTTGCTGGGAATTTTGTTTTTAACATCTACTCTAAGGTTATTTCTGGAAAAGTTAAGGACCTCTGATGTACCACAGCATCACAGAATCTAAATCTGGGTACCATCCTCTCTTGAAAACTACACAGTCTGAAAGGAAGAATCATCTCTCAAGGTGGTAATCCTTTTAGAGGGAAAAAAAAACTGGCACTTATTTATCTCCTGAAAAGTATAGTTCAAAGGAGATTTTACTAAGAAAAGTTGAGAGTTAAATCCAGGAAAATGTAGCTCAATAAGAAAATGACTTTTAAAATCTTCACATTTTTATCTATAGCTGTGAAATAAATAATCTTCAATGGAAGTATAAGAATCAAAACTTATCATTTAAATTTCAATTGAACTAAGCACTCAGGAACAAACTGAAGAGAATATTCTTCCTTGGCTCCCAATAAATCTATGATTTCCATAATGATGTGATGACTAGTATGAATGTAGTTCTAATAAAAACAAGAACATAGGGGATCCATTATAGACCTGAAGCCTAAGAGACCAATGGCAGCCAGGAACCCCCACTTAGGAACTAGTGCTTCCCACCCGGGAGTACTCTTTGCCCCATCTGCATCCTTGTACCCTGAGAAGTCATCTAGAGTCTGATTTTTATCATGTGGAAATCCATACTTAGGCACATATTAGTGAATCACATACAAAATAACGAACTAGGCAAATTTCTATTTCATGATTTGACCTCTTACTATGAGTAATAATTCTAAATTGCAACCAAATAAAATTCTGTCAGCTACTTATGACTTCTGTGATTTATCTGTACTCATAACACTAAAGCACTGTGTATATATGAGTTCTATTATCAATATCACCACTATTACAAATAAAAAGGTCTTTTAACTTTTACTAATTAAATATGAGATTCACTAAAGAATGCTATTAAAATTGCATATCCTGGATCATCAGGGGGCCCAGCACATGTAATTTTGTTGTGATTGACAGCCTAAAACAACCACACTAAGGCACTTACCTTGTGGGCAAAATGACCAAGTAATAAGCTGTCAGTAACTGAAGTATTTGCATCACTTTCCAAGACGTCAATTCCAAAATCTCTGCATGAATAAACTTTGAAGTTTTTCAGGCGAAGATTGCTACTTCTAAAAATCTATAAAATACAGCATGTTACAGCAAAGGTCTGAGGCTTGGTTTTTCTTGCGGACTTCCTGTAGCTTTTAAAATTATTGATTAAGTAGAAAGAAGCATGCTATATTGTATTAAAGCACCTTTTGTCCATCAATGTCAGTATAGGCATCCTCAAGTTGCTGTGAGGTCAGCACTAATGAGTCTCCTTTGGTAACACCCCTTTGTACTTTTCATTTCTCCTCATAATAACCAATACATTAAAAAGATCAATATGAATTCTCCACATATCTAAAATAAACTTGGAGTGGCCAAATCACACAAAGGTAACAGAGAAAAACATTGCATCCAAGAACTCTAGTGCTTAACATTTTCTTCAATGTATTATATATTAACTCATACTGTCAGAAGATTGCAAATATGAAATAAGCAGCTCAGCATGACTACAGAGTCACTGTTTGTAATTTCAACATAAGTTATGTACATATATGTTTATGATAACCCAAACAGGGGTCATATAATAACAAAATTAGCTTGGTAGAGTTGTAAGTCTACTACTTGCTATGGTTTAAGCCTGTCCCCGAAAAAGCATGTTTTGGAAGCTTAATCCCTGATATAACAGTGTTAGGAGGTGTGTAGGTTATGAATGGATTAGTGCTGATTACAAAAAAAACTTGGGGCTGTGAGTTCTATCACTTGCTCCTTCTTTGACTTCTTTGCCCTTCTGCTATAGACTGATGCAGCAAGAAGGTCCTCAGAAGATGCTGGCCTCTCAATCTTGGACTTCCAAGCCTCCAGAATCATGAGCTAATAAATTTCTGTTTATTATAATTTTCCCAAATTTTATTATTCTGTTATAGCAGCACAAAAGGGACTAAGACACCACTGGTCTGGGAGACAGAGTTGTGCTTATGTTTACGTCTTTGACCAATTTTTTGCTAATTTTATTTATTATTAATACATAATGACTCATTTGAAGTTAATTTTTGTAAGTAGCATAAATTAAGGTAGGATACAACTTAATTCTTTTGTGTGTGACCATCTAGTTATACAAGCACCATTTGTTGAAAAGACTATATTTCCCACATTGAATGGTCTTGGCATCCTTTGTCAAAAATCATTTGTTTATAGATATATGGGTTTATCTCCAGACTCTCACTTCTATTTCATTGACATATATATCTATCTTTGTGCCCATATACCACACTGTCTTGATTATTGTTGCTTTGTAGCAAGTTTTAAAATAGGGAAGGATAAATCCTCTTACTTCATTCTTCTTTTTTGGTATAGTTCGAGGGAAGTTTACGTTTTAAATTTGCTGCTATTATGTTACTTAATTTTCCCCTTATTCTTCACTATAAAAGTGCAATTCCAAGAATATTTTTATTATTTAAACTTTTTGATTAATCAAATTTGAGTGCACAAGAGTTCAAGTTGTAGTTCTGTATTTTTTTCCTTCATAGGTTTAGCATTTCTGATTGCAGAATTTCAAAAAATGGCTTTATTAGCATCTTTTAATATTTTCATTTTACTAGATTATTTCCTCTAGAACCAGGCTACTCAAGAGCAGGGAGACAGAGTTTAAGCCCCTGCAGGTATAAATCACTTCTCTGCATAAGAGGGCACTCAACAAATGTTTCCACTAGATTTGTTACCCCTATAGGGTATATTTATAGTGCTCATGGGAAGCATTTTATAAAATTAAATGAGAACAAAATACTAAATACATTTCGGACTCCACCTGTTAGCTGTCCTAATTGTATATTTTTGGGCTTTCTTCATCCACAGTTATCTTTCTTTTATGGGATATATGAAACAAATGTTTGACTTTCTTATTGTGACATTATTATATGTTTGTATTCTATTTCCTGAAGGCTCTACAAACATAGTTCTTCACCTATATATCTTATGTTCCAGATTTCTAGGCAGAGACAAAGTGTATGTAATTTTGTCTGTATTGCATCAAATAGTGACCCTGAATAATTTTTACATGTTGCTGTTAGCAGTGAGCATGCAAAGCTTCCTTATAAGAAAATCATTGGGATAATGAAGAGTAAATGATTGAACATGAACCTTTTCTTTTCCTTTAAGAAAAAAATAGAAGAAAATTTAGCTTATTTCTTCTAAAGTAAGAGTGGTATCTTGAGCTAGAATGTTTGTGTATCAATGACGAACAGTGCTTTTTCTTAAGACTGGGGCATGTATTATTCAGGATATCGGGACATCAAATGCACAACATTTGGAGTCTAAATTCTGCACTTGGTTGTACTACTAACCAATTGTGTGATCTTTGACAAGTCCCTTCCCGTTCTTAGCCTTAATTTCTATCTCTAAGTAGAGATGGAAAGAAGGAATAGGGAACCTCTGTGATCTCCCCTGATTATAAATCTTTATGATTCTGTTGTTCTCTTCTAGGGTTGCCAAAAACACCCAATGGAGAAAATGACCTAACCCTGGATTAGTGACTAGGAATTTGTTTAACAACTATTCTACAAGCACCTATGATCCATTGGTGCTTTAAAATTGTGACAGCACAGCAATGCTCCCCTCAAGGGCAAGTCAATCCCATTTAAGTAGATATGCATAATGAATTGCTGTGAGAAAACAAGTGACAGTTTTAATTTTAAAAACAACAACAATAACAACAACAACAAAAAAGCTTACCTGGGCACCACCTGCACTTTCCCAAACTGTGAAGCTCTGGAACAGAGTGGTGCCAGTGACATTATCCCAAGGTGGCTGAAATTTAGGGTATACAAAGAGACCATACCTAAAAAGTGAAACAGAATGAAATTAAGCCAATTTTTATGTTTCTAACTTTCTACTTTTTCTTGTTGAAAAATACAAAGTAAAAGTAATGTATTAGGGAGAATGAAGGTAGATGGAATCTGTGACCCTCCCCCTAACTGTTCTTGCCTACCCCTCAGCCCTCCCACTTTTACCCTCTGTGACCTGCTCCCGAATCCCAACAAAATGCAGATTACTCCAGAGCCCAAGCCTAGCAGCCTCCCAGGGGCTCTGCATATTTGGAAGTTTAATTGCTCTCTCTATTGAATTATCTCTGGCCACAAAAGGTACATTCTGTCCTTCTGCCTTTTCATGTGACTCTCTTCTCTTTACCATCGAACTGTTATGATCTAGAAAATAATGCTAACACAATTATATACAAAAGCCAAGACATAGAGGCAGCCAAGATGTCCATCAATAGGTTAATGGCTGGGGAAAATGTGGTGTATATTTGCAATGGAATATTATTCAGCCTTTAAAGAGAAGGAAATCCTGCCATTTGTGACAATACAGATAAACCTGGGGGACACTGTGCTGGGTGAGGTAAGCCAGACACAGAAGGGCAATAGTACATCATATCATTTAAATGAGAAATCTAAAATATTCAAACTTATAGAAGCAGAGAGTAGAATGGTGGTTGGCAGGGGCTGGAAGGAGGGGAAAATGGGAAGTATTAGTCAAAGGGTACAAAGTTTCAGCTATGCAAAATGAATAAGTCCTAGAGATATACAGTATGGCAAAATGCCAAAGTATAGAATACAGCAAAATTAACAATACTATATTCTATACTTAAAAATTTGCTAAGAGGTCAGATTTTGTGTCAAACGTTCTTACAGTAATAATAATAATTCAAATAAAGAGGCTCTGGAGGAAAACTTTTAGAGGTGATAGATATGTTTGTGACACAGATGGTGATGATGGTTGCAGGGGTGTATACTTATCTCCAAACTCATCAAGTTGCATACATTAAATATGGACAGCTTTTTGTATGTCAATTATACCTCAAAAAAGCAGTTTCAGAAAATGCACAGGAACATCACCCAATCTCCAACAAATGCCCAAAGTGCTCTCATTGTGAGCATTCTACAGTAAAATGTGAAATCATAAGACAGCCAAAACATAGATGAATTTCCCCAAAGTTACCTGGTACAAGAATGTGCAATGTTCTGAGTGAAGGAAAGAAGCGGAGCTTGTGATGTTTGGTTGGTCATGAGATGGAAAAAGTAGCCATAGCCAGCACCACACACTCTGTTCCCCTACAGAAATTAAGAAGAGTTAAAAAATAGTTACCCCATGTATGATAAGGTTGCTGGAAAGAAAGACTCTTGTTTGTACTCATCCCAATTTTATATTCACTTTCTGCCAAAGTACATTAAAACTCTATTATAGACTCATTTATTCTTTTTTTTTCCTTTTGGGAACAAAAATAGTGATATGGTTTGGATTTGTCCCCCTGCCCATATCTCAGGTTGAATTGTAATCCCCAGTATTGGAGGTAGGGCCTGGTGGGAGGTGACTGGATCACGGGGTCAGTTTCTCGTGAATGGTTTAGCACTGTCCCCCCTTAGTACTGTCCTCACCATAGTAAGTGAGTTCTCATGAGATCTGGTAGTTTAAAAGTGTACAGCACCTTGTGGCTCCCACCTTGTCTTGCCTCTGTTCCTGCCATGTAAGTTGCCTGCTCCTGCTTTGCCTTCTGCCGTGAGTAAAGGCTCCCTGAGACCTGAGACCTCCCCAGAAATTGATGCTTCCATGTTTCCTGTATAGCCTGCAGAACCATGAGCCAATTAAACCTCTTTTCTTTATAAGTTACCCAGCCTCAGGTATTTCTTTATAGCAATGCGAGAATGAACTAATAAAAATATTGTCATTCTTCTTCCTCCAGCCAGCTCAACTAGACTGCAATTTGCCCATCTTAATAACTGGTATCTCATGCTCAAGCCTCTTTCTAAGCTTCCACAGTGAGTTTACTCATGACATCTAAAATTCTCCTCTTTGGTGAATGCAACAGTATATGGTAGCTCTCCAAGGCAAAGGTGTACCTTGAAGTCAAGCCTACACAATGTGTTCTCTCTGGCTCTTTGAACAACTCAACGATTTGTCTATTGGCTGAAGGCCACATGATTGGACCAGTCATGACTTAGTACCAAGACAGGGTGACTGAGTACAACTACAACTCAAATCTCTTCAAAGTGCTCTTGTCCTGAATAGACTATTAAGTCGCCTTGATATTTCTTTATAGGTCTTACTATCTAAATAATTTCATGTATTTTATGTGTTCATATAAAATCTGACTTCTCTCTCTTGGACCATATGAGTTTGGGGATCTAATTCTGATCAAACTGAACACAATGAGGTTATCTTTATAAATTCAATGAAGTACCTACAATATGTTCATCCCTATGTAACATAGACTTAAGACAAATTAAAAAACTGACTTCCTAAAGGTTTAAGACTGTACACAGATGTATTTTTTTTTGGCCTACCCAATGTTCATATTTTTTTGGTTCCAACATGTTCAAACCAAGAGATTTAATAAAAAATTCAGACTTTCAGCTTTTCTGAGCCCAAATTCCTGTGAAGTAGCCACAGGTCAGGTGAAGATAAGAAGGGCCTTCCTTCTTGGACTGTGGATGATTTTTCCACAGTCCTCACCCTTCCTGGTTCACTCATTTATGATCCCTGCCTAGTCTCTGCAGTATTTGAATTTGCAACCTCAACTACAGGCAACAAAGTAAATAACATGTTGGCTATTCTATGAAAGTTTCTATTTCTGCTTTCCTGAATCACATCTGAGTTCTCTCAGTGTCACACGCTCACATCTTAAGGATCCCAAGCCTTCTCTTTATCATCAGGGAGAAAGAACTCTGAGAAAAATCGGGGCCCTATCAGGCTGCTGCACTGCAGTGATGCTATTAGTGGGAGGAACAAAGGGCCAATCGATCAAGCTATGAGACTACTTCCTATGTGCCCACGTGCATCTGACCTCTCTCAGTCTGAGTGGTTGTCCAAAGTCAAGATGCCCATGTCTACCTGGAGAACAGAAGTTAAGGAATAGGCTGCTCAGGTGTAAGCCCTGTGCTACATAGATGAAGGGAGTCTCCAAGGCTCCCACATGATTCAATCCTGATCACCTGGGGGTTTTCCATGGCCTGGCTGGTGCGAGACAAGGAATGTCTGGAGTATCCTCCTTGGAAGTCACTCAATCCCGGGAACACAAACTATGGGGCTTGGAGAGCTCATCCTGAACACTGGCATTAGGGTCACAGTAAAGAGAATGGGGAGTCATAAGGACCATGACACTGTGCCACTCAACAAGACATTAAATGCCTTTCTTTAAAAAACAATACTTCAGTGCAGCCCTCTATGCAGGGCTCAGTGGGGACTACGCTGTGAGCATCCCCTTGGAACAGTTTCTTAAACTTTCGTGTGCAACCTGGTAGAGTTGTCATATTTAGCAAATAAAAACACAGAATGCCCAGTGAAATTTAAATTTCAGATAAAAAATAAAATATTTTAGTATAAGTGTGTCGCAAACACTATCTGAAATTTAAATTTGACCAAATATGCTGTATTTTATCTGGCAGGCTTTACCTGGGGGTATATTAGCCAAAGGTTTTTAGATATTTTGATTTATTAGGGGGGTGATGAGGAAGGGATGAGGGACAGTATTCTTTACTCTTGGCCATCACAAGGTGCTCTGATAGGTCTGCTGCAGGTGATATTTTGACCCCATTTTGAGAACTACTTCTCTACAGGTGATTGAGAGAGTAACGCTAAGGGTTACTAACGTTCCTAGGAGACATTCAAAGAGGAGAGAGACACTAGAAAAACCACTTCCTGGTGAAGTTTTTTGCCATGAGTTGCTTTGGGAACCCACTGCAAATGGAAGCCACTGCTGAAAACTGAAGGAGGATAGAGACCTAGAAATCAGGGGGAGAATCCATTGCCAGGTACCCAGCAAAAATGCTGCCCAGCTCAGTGCAAGTTATATTTATGGTGGATTTTTTTTTTCCCTTAGAAGTATTTTTTTTTTAAGTAATGATGAGTAGAATAATAACACTCATAGTGAAAATCTACAGAGAAGGCACTACAGTCCAGGTACTGGATTTTAGAGTCTCATTTATTTTTACAATAGTTTTATGAGTTTTGTATTATTATTACAGTTTCATAGCAAAGAAACTGAAGCTCAGAGATGTTGAGTAACTTTCCCAAAGTCACAGAGCAAATAGTTGTCAGAGCCAGCTCCATCCAAGTCCAAGTCTGGAAAAGTTAGAGACTAGAGTAGAGAAATGAAGGTAGGACCCAAAGGCAGGATGCCCAATAATAGGGTGCAAGTGAAGAAACATAAACAAGAGAGTACAAAGAAAAGTCTTGTCACCCGGTCACGGACAGAACAGGCATTTGCTGTGGCCTCCCCAGTAGTGGAGACAACATATTGAACAACATCCTTTGCAGAAGTCAATGTATCATGGACATTCACGCAAGGGAAATTCCAGAGAGAAATTAACTGTCCAAGTAAGCCAGCTCCTAGAGGTGTGCATCTATAGTCACCAGAAAAAAAAAAAAAGTGAATTAATCCTTAAGGCACCGGAGGTAGTGTTTGATTTCTCCAAATCTGGAGAGCATCTTGCAGGCCAGATTTAACTAAGGAGTTGCTCTTTTCACACCCCAAATCCAGAGAATGTAAAATCCTTCTCATTCTCACCACATGGGGAAAAAAGCATGCACAGCTTAGCGTGCACAGAGAGATACATGGGTAGGGGTGTGGGACATTTCTCAAGAGTAGGAAGAAGACATGACATTTTGAAGAGTACATTTAAGGAGGATGAGGGTTCTGGAATTTCAGCATTATGGAGATCAAGTGTTATTAAGGCTGAGACATGTTGATGAGGACTGGCTTCTGACACAGGAATTTTGAGCAATGACAGATGAAAAGACTGAGATTATCTGCAGTTGTCATCTACTATCAGTGCAGACAGTAGGGCTATGGACTGAATGCAGACAAGGGTTAGAATTTAATGAGGAAGTTCTGACCCATCCAAGGACAGGGTCTTGCACTAGCCTTTCACACAGCTCAGGGAGTTTTACTACATTCTCAGTAAGGATGGATTGAGAGTGAGGACTCCATACCCTTTTACTTGTAGCTATTCTCCATTTCTTTATCCTTAGACTAAGTAAACTCATTTCATCCTATGGCTTCAGTCATTCTAGACTAATATTTTTATTGACTTTAATTTCCAAATGAAAGGAAAACTTCAGGTTTTGGGGTTTTGTTTTTTTGTTTGTTTGTTTGTTTTCTTTTTTGAGATGGAGTTTCACTCTTGTTGCCCAGGCTGGAGTGCAATGGCACGATCTCGGCTCACCGCAACCTCCACCTCCCGGATTCAAGCGATTCTCCTGCCTTAGCCTCCTGAGTAGCTGGGATTACAGGCATGCACCACCATGCCTGGCTAATTTTGTATTTTTAGTAGAAATGGGGTTTCTCCATGTTGGTCAAGCTGGTCTCAAACTCCCGACCTCAGGTGATCCGCCCACCTTGGCCTCCCAAAGTGCTGGGATTATAGGCATGAGGCACCGTGCCCAGCCAACTTTAGGTATTATTAAGGGTAACTCTCTGAACATGGCTGATCCACTGGCAGTGATAATATAGCGGCACCCCCAACAGGAGAAGAACTTAAAGACCCTATTCCTTCCTGAATGTACCACATGTTCCACAAGGAACACACACACACACACACACACACACACACACACACATTCAGCCAAGCAAAGACAGTATGGGGGAGAAAACTGAAAAAGATTGCTCTTAACCCAATAACGCCCAATTCCCTGCCTTGTGTGACAGAAAGAACCAATGCCTCAACCCCTGGAGGCCTTCAGTTTTGGGGGAAGTGTGAGTCAGGGCCAGAGTTCCCCCTGAAACTAGAAGCCTGACCAGCAGGCAGCAGCCAGGACCTGGTCAGGGAGGCCAGCACATACTGACACAATTGCCCCGGGCTGTTTATTTAGCTTTAGCTTCAATTCACTGTGGGTCCCAAAGGTTCTTACCCTGGGTATTTGTAAATAGACAGCCATTTCTTCCTCATTTTTCATTCGGTTACAGGATGTTTTGTTCCTTTGTGGACTAATTGGCCGAGTCACTCCTGCACTTCATTATTTTGGAGTCTGAGCAATTCTCCAATTTCCTAAAAGCACTTAGAATTCTAATCACATGTCTCACCTACCACAGGGTGCTCACCAAAAGTGACTTTTGGATATCACTGAATATTAAGATGAATCACTATCAAAGATGCCAACACGACTTCAAAGAATCAGGTCCATTTCTAAGACTTCAATGGTCTTAGGGTGGCCTAGTCTAGAGTGGTGGTTGTCAATCAGGGATGACTTTGTTCCCTACGGAACATTTAACAGCCTCTGGATACATTTTTTATTGTAACAACTTGGAGGATGAAGAAGAGAGAAGAGGGCTACTGGTATTCAGTGCATAGATACCAGGGATGCTGTTATACAGAGGATAGGCTCGACAACAAGGAATTACCCAGCCCAAAATGTCAATATTGACGTAGTTGAGAAACCTTGGTCTATAGTCTACACTAGAGTCACATATTAGCAAAATAACCCACACTCATTTTCCAGTATCCCATCTCCAAATTTTGATGGAAAGACAAGCCTAAATATGAAAACATGGTTAATTACAATAAGAATGCTTTAATAGTCTTTACTAGGAAACTATTGATATCATTTAAAACCATTAGATGAGGCATCAGGCATTCCCATTAAAAAAACATTTATTAGCATTAAATCAGCTATCTCAATTTTTCTCTTGTGCTAGAAAACAGAGTATGCACTCCTGCTTCTTGGCCTCAAGAAGAATCACTGTCTATTAGTTGGCAAATATAAGTGCCCAGTGTATCTCTTCAGCCCTTGTAAATATACAAAGAAATACCACAGCTGTTGTTCTCAGTCACGATTACACAACACAAACTTTCCCCAGGGAAGTGAAACTCCACCTTCTCTAGGTGTGTCTCTCTATATCCACGAGCCTTGGGAAAGGTCAGCGGTACATAAGAACCGAGGGCCAGAGAAGGGGGCTTCTTAAACACCCACCTTGTCTGCAAGTATACAATGAGAAATGTGGACTGGAAGCTAAAAGTGATCATCTCACTTGTCCACACAGCTCTATTTCATTACCAAGGAAATGCTATTTCATTACCAAGATTTTATGAGGAAAGAAAAGATTCTTAAATTTAAAAAATATATTCCAAGGACTGCATCCTTATTCATCACCTTTGCCAGCACAGATGCTCAGAAAGCACGTGTTTCCCTGAATAAATGGGTTTGTTGAATCATCTGCCCTAGTGCCATTAGCATTTATGGCACATCTGGGTGATCACATATAAACACTTTCCAAGCGCATTTATAGGTGGGCAGGAGACTGCAACTTTGGTCCTCTGTTAGCTGATAAGACTCACTTTTCTTACAAAAGAAGCACTTTAACAGTCAGATCGCATTCCTTCCTGGCCCTTCTTACTCTCAACTCCAATTGTGTATGCTACAAATGATTCATGAGGAAAAACCACATATTTATGCAGGCAGCTGGCAGCTTGCGGGGAAGGTTTAAGGCAAGCAGGGAATTTTGTGTGGAAATCAATTATTTGCGGAAGTCAATGTATTATGGACATTCAAGCAAGAGAAATTCCAGAGAGAAATTAACTGCCCAAGTAAGCCAGCTCCTTGAGGTGTACATCTATAGTCACTAGAAAAAAAGTGAGTTAACCCTTCAGGCAGCTCTTAAATATGCATTACCTATTGAGTGGGGAAAGCTTGAGAACTGAGGTTGGGCCTTTAAACAGAATTCCTTACAAAATTGATTCACAAACCAGAACAAATTCTCCTCAAATTAAATGCATGTCTCCAAAGGGCTCTTCTTCAGAGTTTTTCCACGGACTATCCTAAACAGGGGTCTGGTTATAGGAAATTTCCAACACCTACATAAACATGGGAGACTCTGAGCTCTGGAAGTGAACAGTCCCTTGCTGTTTGAGAGCAAAGACTTCCCAACCAGAGAGAATGAGAACAGATTCACACAGGTTATGTCTTCTGGAAAGATGCAGCCTCTTGACAGATAACAAGGAGCTCCTGTCAAAGAAGTCCTAGACTCCGGAGCTGGAGCTGCTGAGGGAAGACAGCCTGAGGGTGAAGCGCTCTAAGAAGCTACAGGTGATACACAAAAGAACCACCACCAACTTGCTTTTGGAAAGCATGGCAAACGCCTATTTAAGAAATGTACCAGGGAATGCCACAGGCCCCTGGAGACTCAAGCACTTATCACCCATGGGTCCTCACTGGCAAGAAGGTACAAAGCTCAGGTTTTGCTTCTCAGTGAAACTGCCCTGGACTCACCTCAGCTGCAGGCTGGGCAGGGAGAGAAGCAGACCACCTGTGAACATCAAAACTAAAAAAGAATATCATATTTGAAATTTACTTGCATCATGCCAGGTTGAATGTAAGTGAACTAGCAAGGTGACTGACTGCAAGCCCAGCTGAATTCCTTATGTTGTGGCTGAGAGTTTGGTCCCAGCTCTGCATCAGGGCAATTTGAGAATAATATAAAACCACAAACCATTGCACAGACTTAAGAATCATTTCCCCTGCCTACCTACCTTCCAGGTCAGAGATTTCAAGGTCAGACTCAGGTATGTGAGGAGAGAGAGTTTAGGCTTTCAGAGTTGGTTGCCCAAACATGAAGATTAGGCCATCTTCTTCAAGTCTAAATAAATACATTTGTTTAATTAATACTATCATACCAATGTCAATGTCCTGGCCTTGGTACAGCTCCATGACTATGGTTATCGTTATGTTATCATTGGAGGGAGCTAGATGAAGAGCACATAGGAATTCTCTTATTTATGCAGCTTCTCGTAAGTCTGAAATTATTTTAAAATTAAAAGTTTAAAATAACAACAAAGAAAAATCCTAATTAATCACAATTTTCTATCACATCTCTTTCTGTTCCACATATTATACACATACACACAAATACATGCACATACATACACACACACCTTGTTATTGTGGAAGCCTCCTTATTATCCCTTTGGAATAAAGGTATATTTCTAAAATATGTTCTTCAAAGTACTCTGTATATCATCCATACAGGACACAATTAACACTAACTCAGCCAAGAATGGTGGCTCACACCTGTAATTCCAATCCTTTGGGAAGCCAAAGTGGGGAGATCACTTGAGACCAAGAGTTTGAGACTCGCCTAGGGAACACAGGTTTTTTTCACGTATACCCAGTTACCACCTATGTCTTTAAGTAATGGCACATCACAGACAATAGAATGCAAAAAAAGACTGAATAACAGAAAGCCAATGGCACAACTGAAAAACTGGACTAGACTTTGCAAGATTTAATGCTGATAGCCCAACAGAATCTAAATGCTTCCACTGACTAAACTTATTTTTCAGTCATCAAAATGATTTTAGAACTTTGGAACTTGTTCTTTACTTTCCTTTTTCTTCCCCCACATAATTTGGTTATAGGTTTATACCTTCATTCGTTATATTAAATACATTTTTTTTTGAGCAACTACCATGTTTTAGAAATTGTGCTAGTGTCTAAAGGCTAATGAAAATAGAATTAGAACTTTAAGGTCACCGGAGGAGCCAAGATGGCCGAATAGGAACAGCTCCGGTCTACAGCTCCCAGTGTGAGCGACACAGAAGACAGGCGATTTCTGCATTTCCATCTGAGGTACCGGGTTCATCTCACTAGGGAGTGCCAGACAGTGGGCGCAGGTCAGTGGGTGCGCCCACCGTGCACAAGCCGAAGCAGGGTGAGGCATTGCCTCACTCGGGAAGCTCAAGGGGTCAGGGAGTTCCCTTTCCTAGTCAAACAAAGGGGTGATGGACGGCACCTGGAAAATCGGGTCACTCCCACCCGAATACTGCGCTTTTCCGACGGGCTTAAAAAACGGCACACCACAAGATTATATCCCGCACCTGGCTCGGAGGGTCCTATGCCCACGGAGTCTCGCTGATTGCTAGCACAGCAGTCTGAGATCAAACTGCAAGTCGGTAGCCAGGCTGGAGGAGGGGCGCCCACCATTGCCCAGGCTCGCTTAGGTAAACAAAGCAGCCCGGAAGCTCGAACTGGGTGGAGCCCACCACAGCTCAAGGAGGCCTGCCTGCCTCTGTAGGCTCCACCTCTGGGGGCAGGGCACAGACAAACAGACAACAGTAACCTCTGCAGACTTAAATGTCCCTGTCTGACAGCTTTGAAGAGAGCAGTGGTTCTCCCAGCACGCAGCTGGAGATCTGAGAACGGGCAGACTGCCTCCTCAAGTGGGTCCCTGACCCCTGACCCCCGAGCAGCCTAACTGGGAGGCACCCCCCAACAGGGGCACACTGACACCTCACACGGCAGGGTACTCCAACAGACCTGCAGCTGAGGGTCCTGTCTGTTAAAAGGAAAACTAACAAACAGAAAGGACATCCACACCAAAAACCCATCTGTACATCACCATCATCAAAGACCAAAAGTAGATAAAACCACAAAGATGGGGAAAAAACAGAACAGAAAAACTGGAAACTCTAAAAAGCAGAGCACCTCTCCTCCTCCAAAGGAACGCAGTTCCTCACCAGCAACGGAACAAAGCTGGACGGAGAATGACTTTGACGAGCTGAGAGAAGAAGGCTTCAGACGATCAAATTACTCCAAGCTACGGGAGGACATTCAAACCAAAGGCAAAGAAGTTGAAAACTTTGAAAAAAATTTAGAAGAATGTATAACTAGAATAACCAATACAGAGAAGTGCTTAAAGGAGCTGATGGAGCTGAAAACCAAGGCTCGAGAACTACGTGAAGAATGCAGAAGCCTCAGGAGCCATGCGATCAACTGGAAGAAAGGGTATCAGCGATGGAAGATGAAGTGAATGAAATGAAGCGAGAAGGGAAGTTTAGAGAAAAAAGAATAAAAAGAAATGAGCAAAGCCTCCAAGAAATATGGGACTATGTGAAAAGACCAAATCTACGTCTGATTGGTGTACCTGAAAGTGATGGGGAGAATGGAACCAAGTTGGAAAACACTCTGCAGGATATTATCCAGGAGAACTTCCCCAATCTAGCAAGGCAGGCCAACGTTCAGATTCAGGAAATAGAGAGAACGCCACAAAGATATTCATCGAGAAGAGCAACTCCAAGACACATAATTGTCAGATTCACCAAAGTTGAAATGAAGGGAAAAATGTTAAGGGCAGCCAGAGAGAAAGGTCGGGTTACCCTCAAAGGGAAGCCCATCAGACTAACAGCGGATCTCTTGGCAGAAACCCTACAAGCCAGAAGAGTGTGGGGGCCAATATTCAACATTCTTAAAGAAAAGAATTTTCAACCCAGAATTTCATATCCAGCCAAACGAAGCCTCATAAGTGAAGGAGAAATAAAATCCTTTACAGACAAGCAAATGCTGAGAGATTTTGTCACCACCAGGCCTGCCCTAAAAGAGCTCCTGAAGGAAGCACTAAACATGGAATGGAACAACCGGTACCAGCCACTGCAAAATCATGCCAAAATGTAAAGACCATTGAGACTAGGAAGAAACTGCATCAACTAACGAGCAAAATCACCAGCTAACATCATAATGACAGGATCAAATTCACACATAACAATATTAACTTTAAATGTAAATGGACTAAATGCTCCAATTAAAAGACACAGACTGGCAAATTGGATAAAGAGTCAAGACCCATCAGTGTGCTGTATTCAGGAAACCCATCTCATGTGCAGAGACACACATAGGCTCAAAATAAAAGGATGGAGGAAGATCTACCAAGCAAATGGAAAACAAAAAAAGGCAGGGGTTGCAATCCTAGTCTCTGATAAAACAGACTTTAAACCAACAAAGATCAAAAGAGACAAAGAAGACCATTACATAATGGTAAACGGATCAATTCAACAAGAAGAGTTAACTATCCTAAATATATATGCACCCAATACAGGAGCACCCAGATTCATAAAGCAAGTCCTGAGTGACCTACAAAGAGACTTAGACTCCCACACATTAATAATGGGAGACTTTAACACCCCACTGTCAACATTAGACAGATCAACGAGACAGAAAGTCAACAAGGATACCCAGGAATTGAATTCAGCTCTGCACCAAGCGAACCTAATAGACATCTACAGAACTCTCCACCTCAAATCAACAGAATATACATTTTTTTCAGCACCACACCACACCTATTCCAAAATTGACCACATACTTGGAAGTAAAGCTCTCCTCAGCAAATGTAAAAGAACAGAAATTATAACAAACTATCTCTCAGACCACAGTGCAATCAAACTAGAACTCAGGATTAAGAATCTCACTCAAAACCACTCAACTACATGGAAACTGAACAACCTGCTCCTGAATGACTACTGGGTACATAATGAAATGAAGGCAGAAATAAAGATGTTCTTTGAAACCAACGAGAACAAAGACACAACATACCAGAATCTCTGGGACACATTCAAAGCAGTGTGTAGAGGGAAATTTATAGCACTAAATGCCCACAGGAGAAAGCAGGAAAGATCCAAAATTGACACCCTAACATCACAATTAAAAGAACTAGAAAAGCAAGAGCAAACACATTCAAAAGCTAGCAGAAGGCAAGAAATAACTAAAATCAGAGCAGAACTGAAGGAAATGGAGACACAAAAAACCCTTCAAAAAATTAATGAATCCAGGAGCTGGTTTTTTGAAAGGATCAACAAAATAGATAGACTGCTAGCAAGACTAATAAAGAAAAAAAAGAGAGAAGAATCAAATAGACGCAATAAAAAATGATAAAGGGGATATCACCACCGATCCCACAGAAATACAAACTACCATCAGAGAATACCACAAACACCTCTACGCAAATAAACTAGAAAATTTAGAAGAAATGGATAAATTCCTGAACACATACACTCTCCAGAGACTAAACCAGGAAGAAGTTGAATCTCTGAATAGACCAATAACAGGATCTGAAATTGTGGCAATAATCAATAGCTTACCAACCAAAAAGAGTCCAGGACCAGGCAGATTCACAGCCGAATTCTACCAGAGGTACAAGGAGGAACTGGTACCATTCCTTCTGAAACTATTCCAATCCATAGAAAAAGAGGGAATCCTCCCTAACTCAATTTATGAGGCCAGCATCATTCTGATACCTAAGCCGGGCAGAGACACAACCAAAAAAGAGAACTTTACACCAATATCCTTGATGAACATTGATGCAAAAATCCTCAATAAAATACTGGCAAAACGAATCCAGCAGCACATCAAAAAGCTTATCCACCATGATCAAGTGGGCTTCATCCCTGGGATGCAAGGCTGGTTCAATATACGCAAATCAATAAATGTAATCCAGCATATAAACAGAGCCAAAGACAAAAACCACAGAATTATCTCAATAGATGCAGAAAAGGCCTTTGACAAAATTCAACAACCCTTCATGCTAAAAACTCTCAATAAATTAGGTATTGATGGGATGTATTTCAAAATAATAAGAGCTATCTATGACAAACCCACAGCCAATATCATACTGAATGGGCAAAAACTGGAAGCATTCCCTTTGAAAACTGGCACAAGACAGGGATGCCCTCTCTCACCACTCCTATTCAACATAGTGTTGGAAGTTCTGGCCAGGGCAATTAGGCAGGAGAAGGAAATAAAGGGTATTCAATTAGGAAAAGACGAAGTCAAATTGTCCCTGTTTACAGAAGACATGATTGTATATCTGGAAAGCCCCATTGTCTCAGCCCAAAATCTCCATAACCTGATAAGCAACTTCAGCAAAGTCTCAGGATACAATATCAATGTACAAAAATCACAAGCATTCTTATACACCAACAACAGACAAACAGAGTGCCAAATCATGAGTGAACTCCCATTCACAATTGCTTCAAAGAGAATAAAATACCTAGGAATCCAACTTACAAGGGATGTGAAGGACCTCTTCAAGGAGAACTACAAACCACTGCTCAAGGAAATCAAAGAGGATACAAACAAATGGAAGAACATTCCATGCTCATGGGTAGGAAGAATCAATATCGTGAAAATGGCCATACTGCCCAAGGTAATTTACAGATTCAGTGCCATCCCCATCAAGCTACCAAGGACTTTCTTCACAGAATTGGAAAAAAAACTACTTTAAAGTTCATATGGAACCAAAAAAAGAGCCCGCATCGCCAAGTCAATCCTAAGCCAAAAGAACAAAGCTGGAGGCATCACCCTACCTGACTTCAAACTATACTACAAGGCTACAGTAACCAAAACAGCATGGTACTGGTACCAAAACAGAGATGTAGATCAATGGAACAGAACAGAGCCCTCAGAAATAACGCTGCATATCTACAACTATCTGATCTTTGACAAACCTGAGAAAAACAAGCAATGGGGAAAGGATTCCCTATTTAATAAATGGTGCTGGGAAAATTGGCTAGCCATATGTAGAAAGCTGAAACTGGATCACTTCCTTACACCTTATTCAAAAATCAATTCAAGATGGATTAAAGACTTAAATGATAGACCTAAAACCATAAAAACCCTAGAAGAAAACCTAGGCATTACCATTCAGGACATAGGCATGGGCAAGGACTTCATGTCTAAAACATCAAAAGCAATGGCAACAAAAGCCAAAATTGACAAATGGGATCTAATTAAACTAAAGAGCTTCTGCACAGCAAAAGAAACTACCATCAGAGTGAACAGGCAACCTACAAAATGGGAGAAAATTTTCACAACCTACTCATCTGACAAAGGGCTAATATCCAGAATCTACAATGAACTCAAACAAATTTACAAGAAAAAAACAACCCCATCAAAAAGTGGGTGAAGGACATGAACAGACACTTCTCAAAAGAAGACATTTATGGAGCCAAAAAACACATAAAAAAATGCTCATCATCACTGGCCATCAGAGAAATGCAAATCAAAACCACAATGAGATACCATCTCACACCAGTTAGAATGGCAATCATTAAAAAGTCAGGAAACAACAGGTGCTGGAGAGGATGTGGAGAAATAGGAACACTTTTACACTGTTGGTGGGACTGTAAACTAGTTCAACCATTGTGGAAATCAGTGTGGTGATTCCTCAGGGATCTAGAACTAGAAATACCATTTGACCCAGCCATCCCATTACTGGGTATATAAACCCAAAGGACTATAAATCATGCTGCTATAAAGACACATGCACACGTATGTTTATTGCGGCATTAGTCACAATAGCAAAGACTTGGAACCAACCCAAATGTCCAACAATGATAGACTGCATCAAGAAAACGTGGCACATATATACCGTGGAATACTATGCAGCCATAAAAAATGATGAGTTCATGTCCTTTGTAGGGACATGGATGAAATTGGAAATCATCATTCTCAGTAAACTATCGCAAGAACAAAAAACCAAACACCGCATATTCTCACTCAAAGGTGGGAATTGAACAATGAGATCACATGGACACAGGAAGGGGAACATCACACTCTGGGGACTGTTGTGGGGTGGGGGGAGTGGGGAGGAATAGCACTGGGAGATATACCTAGTGCTAGATGACAAGTTAGTGGGTACAGCGCACCAGCATGGCACATGTATACATATGTAACTAACATGCACAATGTGCTCATGTACCCTAAAACTTAAAGTATAATAATAAAAGAAAAAAAAACTTAAAAAAAAAAAAAAAGAACTTTAAGGTCACCAAGGATAAATATGTCAGGAATATACCTAATGAATCTACATTACCAGTTTAACCTAAAACTCCATTCTCAAAACATATGCATTGTATTTTTTTTCTAATTTTGTAAAGCAGATACAAGAGTAAGAAAGTAAATGAAGGGAAATGGAAAGCGTTGGAGGGAGAGCAAGCAGCTAGTTGCAGACTCAATTTTTCCATTGCTGACTGGGTATTATTCTACAGGTCATTTTGCAAAGGCTCACACCACCCACAGCTTTTCAGATTACCCTCTGGTTCTCTGCACCTGCAGCCAGCTCAACCCTTCTTCTTGTCAGCCAGTGGCCAGCACTCCGTCCAGCAGACCACATACTACCCAGTGAGACAAGGACATTCCAGCTTCACACAGCAGGGTGAGCTGGGCAACCCTGAGGGTTTACTTTCCTCCAGGCATTTGATGTAGTCAACATTATGCTACCCAGAAAAGTACACAAAAACATGGTTTCTTAAGCCCAAAAGCTTACAGACATAGAAAGGGCACATAGGAACTCTTTTATTTACGCAGCTTCTTGTAAGTCTGAAATTATTTTAAAATTAAAAGTTTAAAATAACAACAAAAAAATCCTAATTATCATTAGGATTTTTGGCCTGTAGTGACCAACAAGTTAAATGCAGCTCCAGCTGTCCTGGATCTGGGATCTGGGTTCCTACAGTCCGTGTAGTTCTGCTTCCTTTGCTTACTGGCATATTAGCCACTCCCATTAGGCACCTAAAATGGTGTGTGAGTGCTGTGCTTGGAACAAACATAATTAAGAATCTAAGGAAGAAGAGATAACCACTACTTTTACTAGGGTTTATTCAGCTGAAGGTAATTAAAAACAGATGATCAGTGAGAAAGAAGCTCATCCTCTGAGTTCCTTAGAAACTCAGCATAATGACATAGTGGATGCTGAGAGGAGTTTCCTGAAACAGTGAGGCCCTTAACTCCTTTGATAGAAGATCCATGGGATAAAATAATTAGAAAAGGGGAAATGAAATGGCTTGCCACTACTCTGATGCACTTGTTCACTCAGGTCTACAGCTACATTGTCCCCTCAAAAATTAATTTCTTAAATGTTTAAACAGAAATGTGCCAAGGGAAACCAATGTTAAGTTGTACTAAATAATGGGATTTTAAAAATCAAGGTTATTGAAGTGGACTTCATCCTCCTGGAATCTGACATGACCTTATACACCTCATGTCTCAGTTTTGAACACTCTTAAAGGACAAAATATGGCCACATTAACATAGTAAGATAGTGAAGGTTTAAAAAGAAATTGGTATTGGAATCAAGTGAGACAAAAATCAGCACCCAGAGTTGGTAGTTCAGGGAGATATTTTAGTTTGCATTACCTAGATGACCAGGAAACGATCAATATCTACTTTGTTTTGCTCCATTACCTATTGCTTCAAAAAAGTGTTTCCAGAAATCCTGAGAGGAATGCTTACATTTATCCTAAAGTACTTGTTTAATGCAAAATTATAAATTATTTTCTTGATACTAATATGCAGCAAGTAAACATTTCATACCACACCACCACTAACGCTGCCACCTTAAAGAACTTTTGGAGCAAGCTTGTCCAACTGGCAGCCCACAGGTCGTATGCAGCCCAAGATGGCTTTGAATGTGGCCAAACACAAATTCATCAACTTTCTTAACACATTATGAGATTTGTTTTACAATTTTTTTTCAGCTCATCAGCTGTCATTAGCGTTAGTGCATTTTATGTGTGACCCAATTCTTCCAATGGCAATTATTCTTCCAATGTGGCCCAGGGAAGCCAAAAGGTTGGACACCCCTGATTGAGAAAGAACTTTATGCCCTCTCAGTTCTGGTCTTCCTGGTAGAGCTGAACATCTTACCTCTATAACATTGGTGGGACTGCAGATATAGATGCCAGATGGTGTCAACATTTCAGGATTGGAGAGTCCCTCGGCACCAGAAACCTGGATGATCACGTTGTTTCTTATTATATTTCCATGTCCTGACCAGTCTAATGTTTCAACAAATCCAGGGGATCCACAAACATAATTAAAATGTACTCAACTCAACACCCTTGATTCTACTAATACACATCAGAGTTCACATAATGCATTTCATATATATATATATATATATATATATATTTAGAAAATATTTAGTATGCACAATAAACTTAAGAGACCTAACATTTTGCCATCAGGCTTGTCTATAAAATATATGACAATTTTAAATACACTGTAATAGATTTAAAATCAATTTACATATTTACCATCTTTCCTTCCATGAATTGCCTCCCAGGAGATATATCTCATCTCCGTGCATGTCCCTGAGAACAAAAGACCCCATTACTTGAGTATATTTTATGTCACTTAGGAAAACAAGAGATGCTGCAACACTACTTCTTTGGGTGTGGGTTGTTTTGATTTTGTTTTTGTGTTTTTATCTGTAAATCAGGGAAAGAGATACAGATCTTATGTACTCTTCAGTTCTAGAGTATCAGGAATCAGAAGTTCATTTTAAATAAAAAGAACAGAAAAATAGATCTGTTTTACTTTTGAGGAGGAGTCTAAGTGACTATCTCCACTGTTAAGTGCCACATATCCTGTGTCAACACCAACCCCATTCCTAGCTGTTCAAACTGGCCACCTGCTATCTGCATGCCCTCACCTTCCCTTGGAAGATCTGAAATGTCCTGTAGGAACAGGATGGACAACATCTAGGACCTTCTCACCCAAACCACTGAGGTTGGAATAGAAGAGCAAGCATGGGCCATGCTAATAGAGAAATTAGTCACTTAAGGGCTATCAATAAAGAGCTGCCCCAAAGAACCCTTCATTACAAAGTCTTTAAGTATCTAGGCTTCCTCATGCCATTTCATGGGTCTGGGTTTGCATACTTGTTATGTGTGAGATTGAGTGCTTTACCCACCACACATCAATAAACAAAAATTTTAATTCCCTCACTTGTAATACAATAGATGTCAAAATCTTATAATTCACAACATTCAAGCACTAAAGGCTAAATTCTGCCTACAGGTTTTCTTCCTTGCATAGTTAATATCTATTCCACATAATTGTTTTCTGCTAAGGTAATACTGTTAGGATACCTTTCTCAATTTCTCCTTGATGTTTCACCTTTTCCCTTGCACGGACAAACATAGGAACAAACAAAGTCAATCCTACATCTGTTAGTTGACTTCCCTGTGGCTGTCCTTTTCTAATCAAAAGATTTTTCTGCACCTGATCACCTCAGTTACCCTTAGTTTTTGTCTTTTAGAGCTAGAGTATGTTTTAAAGCAAATGTATCTGATTCACATTTTCTCACTAGACAGTTTCCATCTCAGGATAGAACTTTTATAGCTTTTATCTCAACAGATTGTTCTTAAATGAAACATGTATTTTTCCCACTGATGATACTATAGAATTAAATATCAAACGGTATTTAACAAATACAGTTATATTCTCACTTTCAGTGAAAACCTCTGATTTGCTTTTTTATTCTGATAAAACTGGAGACCCTTTGTTTCTTAATTCATTCATTTCTTTCAACTAATAGATCTACAATGCACTAGTTAATATGCTAAGTGTTCAGGAGACAATGTCCTCAAGAAATCCGGTGGTATAAAGACATTAATCAGATGACCAGAAATGTGGTATATAATTTTAAATCAAGAAGTACTGATTGGCGCTTAAAGAGCTTAAACAGAAGGACTTGTCTGGGAGAGAGAATGTTGCAAGAGAAGAGTAAGTGGCATGAACAGAGCCAGAGAGCTTGTGCAAAGACCCTGAGGAAGGAAAAAGTGTGGTCTTTTGAAGGAACTAAAATAAAATATTTTAATGTCACTAGAGTATGGAGAAAGAGAAAAAAAACAAGACAAGTTTACAGAAGTTAACAGAGACAAAATCACTGAAGGGATCTTTTAAGTCTGGTGAAAAGTTTGGGATTCTATTTTAAAAGCAATAAGAATCTCAAAGGAGAGAAGTGATATGATGCAATCTGAGATTTTTAAGGATAATTCTGAGTTTTGCAAGGGGAATGAACTTTAGGAAACAGAAGTAGATAGAGTTGATCAGTTGAAGATTCTGAAACATGGGCTTCTTCAGCAAGCCACAGGAGCTTGAATTCTATTAAGAAGAGAATTCCAGATTTTTAAATCCTTGGCCAACATCCAAGTTTGACAGTCTGTAAGACTATACAAAGACATATGCATGTGACTTAGAATTATTGTGAAAATTACTGGTAGTAAACTTTAAAACTTCCCATTATACACTTATTAACCTGAACTAACCTTTAAAAGATCAGTATCCTATAGGTAAAGTTTAGTAAGCCAATCAGTGATGACTACATTTAAATTTAGAATGTTTTACTGTAGCCCATTTCTAGTGATCATAAAGCCAATATTTTTATAAATTAGGAATTAGAAATTTGGGGAGAATTCATTGTGAAAAACTGTGTCCTACACAAGAATGCAGAAATTCAACAAGCTTGTTTTACTTACCAACTAGCAGCGCATGACCTAAAATATTGTAGAATACATTACTGTCCACCTTCAGGCCCAAGGTCCCGCACATGCTGAGGCCTCTACTGAAGGAGTTCCTCACTGTGCAGCCCTGTATGAAAGACTCTGAATAGGAAAGAGTAAAGTAAAAATTAGATATGGCTCCTGAGATTCTGTTGACCATATTTAGAGCAACCTACACTGTAGCTAAAGACATTCTCCCACACAATAATGAAACTCAGGAGATAAGAAGTTAGAAGCAGCAATCGAATCAAGAGAATGAGTAACTCAAACCAATGGGCCTCAATAATAAAAAGGGTGAAATTCAACAATCAAGTGTTAGAAAAAAAAAAACAATCTGAGAAAGACAAAGTATGTCTAAACAATAAAAGAACTCATGGCTGTCAAGATTTCCAACTGGCTATCATCTTTAGTATCAGCTTTCATCATAATACAGCAGATGAGAAGTTAAGGATAACGTGAAGAGCACTGCTTATGGGCCAGCCTTGATCTTTGAAACCTGGAGCAGTGAATTAATATTTATAATTTATCAGGCAATAATATTCTTGGCCCAAGATAGCCAGAGACTCATTCCTAACTGTAAGCAAGGTCAAAGGTTGGCCTGAGGATCATGACTCTCACATTTGAACTGGATAGGTTTATACAACTAAAGAGGAAGCTATCCTCTACTACGCTAAAAAATTGACAATTAGGAAAATCATTACACTGGTTCCATAGGCATATTCTATGATCCCCAGATCTGGTTACGAGGCCTAGATGAGTCAATGAATACACAATTACTGAGTATCAACTATATGTTTCAGGAATTGTGCATTGCATTGTGCTGGAAACATAAAGATGAATGAAACTAAGTAACCTCTGCATTCATGTATTTGCATTCTGATGGAGGAAACTGACATTAAAATAATAAAAATCCATTATTTGAATAATTAAACTATAAATCCTAAAAAGGGAGCTTTGTATTATTACTAGGTAGTGAGAAAGATACAGATGCCAAGTGCTGGGATATTAGAAAAGTTACTTTAGTTTACAGAATAATTTGACTTTTACAGTTGGGACTATCCAAAAAATTCTAAACTTTAACATCACTATCAACACTGGATCTCCACATTCCCCTCAATCTCAGCTCTCCTACTACTAGGTGCCCTCACATTGCTCATCAAGGATCCACCCCAATAAATTAACCCATCCATATCTACTTCTGTAGCAAACACTGCCCATAGTGCACAGAATCTTCACCATATCACCCAAACAGCATAGGCCTGACCATGTGAAAAACCAGTAAGTACTTATGTGTTTGTGTAGCTCTTATGGGCGGAATACTGGGATTAGTGAACCTTTAAAAAGTACTGTGCAACATTTACCTATGTAACAAACCTGCACATCCTGCACATGTACCCTAGAACTTAAAATTAAATTAAATTTTTTAAAAAGTACTGTTCAAATATCCCAATGCTTTCTAACTCTGGTAGCTGGGAGTAATTAGCTGCGTAGGACATGAGGGGCTTCAGGGTGTTAAACAATAAAAGATTCCTTAATGAGCATTCCAAAAGTTTCTAGCCTCTGCATTTTAACAGGGATTTAAAGGTAATAAATGTATTAATGCAGTAATTTTCAAACTTTTATTTTTTAAGCACTGAACTCTTTTTCAAATAAAACCTAAAATATAAAATATCTATAAAAATAGATGAGTGTGCAGCTACTCTGATTGAAACAGAGGTGGGAGAGATAGGTTAGGTAAAATTTGATCAAGGAAGGGCTTTGATTATGTTCAATTGATAACTTATTTGTGACAGCTACCCTCTTTTTTACTGAATTGGCCGCATGTCAAATATTCTGCAGTACTATATACAGCTGACCAAAGAACCAGAGAGAAGGAAATAAAGATACTAATCAATCCGAAGCACTAGCGGAGAGGCCATATGCGGAGCCATCCTCTGAAATGACTCAAATAAATTTAAAAAGATTGGAAAAATTAGAAGAAATAGACGTCCTTAGCATGCAGATAATTTGAAATGAAGGAAAATGTTGCTTCTGGCAGTTCAGAATCCTGCCCTCAATGACCTGAAGGATTACTCTGCAATTACCTGTTAGAATCCTAGCATCTCTCAAAAGCCACCTGAACCACAAAGTATGCCCTGATGTCCTTTGTCAGGCATCAACCTCTGAACCCCTGGGGCACAGCCTCTTTAAAGAAGGCAAAGCTTGAATGTGTGGGTGTTGAAAGTGCTGATGAATGGGGAGGATTACTCAGAAATGGAGCTGCTGTCCTCCTGACTTGGCATCTGCACCCCCATTCTGTGATTCTCTGCATGTCAGCTTTTGGTAATGAGTTTTTGCCCTGGATGTTCCTACATTCAACTTTTATTTTAGAACTTTTATCAGTGCATTTGGTCATATTCTGTTTTTCTGATTCTGATCTTGTTTTTCACCTAGTTGTTCTCACCTGAATTTGATGTTTCCTGCTCCCTTCTTATATCTTCATGTCTGGCCAAGATCTGCACATGTAACTGCTCCTCATTTCCAGAAAAAGCACCTGGGTTTCAGCCCATTCCCCCTCATTTCCCCAGGCAAAAGATTCCTCTGATTTAGGACAACTTTACATAGAAGTGCCTGGACTCCCACAGTGTTGATAATGTAATGCCAATTCACCTGTAGTCACAAAGCTAGTAAGTGGTAGAGACAGAATTCAAAACACAGGATTGTGTGGTTCACTCTTGTGTGCTGTATTATAGTGATAGTTCTCAAACTGGACTCCTTGGACTGCCTGTTCCAGAATCAAAAGGTTTGTATTTAAAATACACATTCCTAAGCCTACCTTAGACCAGAATTTGTTGGGGTAAGGTCTATAACTCTGAATTTTAATAAGCTCCACAAGTGATTTGTTTAGGCATACTGAAGTTTGGGAACCATAGACCTAGAATATAACAATTATCCATCTCTAAATCCCTCAAATCCCACATATCATCTATCATTCCACCATGCATGTAGTGCCTTAAACATGGGAGAAAGAAACATGAGAAAGTCCTAGGTCCGGACCCCCTTACCTCTCATAGCTCCCACCAGAGTGAGTGAGCTCAGATGCTTATGGAAGGCTTGCCCCAAGACTTGAAACTGCACTCCCTTCAACTGGACCTGGCTGGGCTCTTCTGGGAAGGACTGAACGATCACTCTGGCTCCCATATCCCTGGATCCTAGCATCTTCTCACTCATGGAATACAAACAGTGCTGCAGATTACCTGAAATGCAAAATAAAGTCCAGAGAACCTAAAGCATGTAGAACATGCTTCCAGACAAATCTCCCAGTTTGAAAGGTACTGTCAGCACCGAGGAAAAACCATTACTGTTTATTTCATTTAATAATCTTATTTCCCCTTTTCTTTGATTCTCCTCTGTATATTATTAATTAAAAGATCTGATAAACAGGACATGATGTTGCCTTCATTCTATTTTTTCAAGAAACTCCCAAATCAATCACCTTAATTACTGTCACAAAGAGTCAGACTATAACCCACAAACCCAACCTAAATAGATGCTTATTTCAATCTAAAAGATCCTCTGGAGGAAATGTGCAATAAAATGACCTTCTTGTGGTTGATAATTGTAGGAAAGACATGTTAGCACTGAATATAATAACAGCACTTTTTAATCTTAAGCTGTCCAATGAGGTTTCCCCATTACTGTGCTGTTTTATGGTTTGGGGACTTAGCAATAACGCTACCACAGAAATGTCAAAGGACTCCAGAGAAGCAACTGAGCAGCTCCTGCACCAACACCTACTTCCCCAGCTGTGCCACTAATGAGGACAGCAGCAACCTGAGCCTAACACACACAACTACAAATGCCAGTGAGGACAGCAACCACCTGAACTAACACACACAACTATGAATGCCAGGGAGGGCAGCAAACCACCTGGACCTAACACACACAACTACTATTGCTACCAAAATGTTGTGACCTCAGGATCCAGGGCACCTTCTGTTGATACATGGCATTTGGTGGTACAAACTAATCTGGAGAATAAATCATCTCTCCAATGGATAATAAAGATTTTTCATGTTAATGATCCAAAGAAGCACCAATAATATAAAACACTGTATCATATCACAGTAAATTTCAGAATCCAATCATTTGCTATTACCCAGAGAAGAGGTGAATGAAGAGATATTTATATTTGTATGCCTTATCACAATTTGATTATTTGTGCCACTGATCCATAAGATTTTCAAATGGACAGGCCTTGTGTTATTAAATTCAGCTACCTTGTTCCACACTCCAGCCCCACACAGAAAAGAAATGACTTATTTTGAGAATATTGTAGTTGTATTTACGATTTGTGATGCAATCAAGGATGTTTTCCATTTGGGGCTAACAGATTTATAATGGCTTAAACCTAGAAGCATGATCTCACTGGCAGCATGATCAAATGCAATATTTGGCAAAATATGATCTCAGAATACCAAGGAAGTTTGAATAGAATGTAGATCCCAATTCTGCAGAATTGATAAAGTTGGGCAGTTGATGGAAGTGAACCCACTGTTATCCAAACATTCTTTTTAGAATGACACATTTGTGAGTAGATGATTTGTAGGGAGGGAGGTGAGGCCAAACTGCCTCTCTACTTCTAACAACTCCCCACACCCAACCACATGGCAACATTTTACTCACATGCACCTATATTTAGACACAACTCAAATCTTTAACTCCAGCTCCCTTTGACCTTTCTTCCAGGCTCCACACATTACCAGACATCTCTACACAGTTGGCTGGCCTGCTGGCATCTCAGTTATGACATATACAAAATTAAACTCACGATTGCCACTCTCCCACCCCAAAACCTGCTCCTCTTCCCATCCCAGCAAATAGCCTCATCATCCATCCAGAGCTCATGCCTGGAAGTCATCCTTGACACCCACGCCATCCTGGACCAAAGTTGACAAATGATGTCTTCACAACATGTGAAAGCCTCATAATCTACAGCCTGGGAAACCAAAACATGACCTACTAAACTAACCATCCCTGAAATAGATGCTTAATAGGCACATCAATGTGATTCAGTGCCTGCTATTCTACTAGAAGATAAATTGAATTTTTCCACCACTTACCTAAAGTATGTGGTAGTTCACTCAGAAAACAAATCCCAAAATGGGGATGGGGGAGCCCTACAAGTCTAATCAGTAAGAATGTGCTGCCTGAGCCCAGAACTCTGGCATATGGCTTTCCTGAGAATCTTAGAAGTGGCCTGGAATTTTAACATTGAACCCAGAAATGTAATTCAACTCTTCAGATTTAGTTCTTTAATAGAAATATTTTCCCCAGAGAAATAATATTTTATTTCTTTTGTCTTTTGTTATCTTTTTCACAAGGTTGTTGGGCAGTGGGGCAGAGAGGAGGATGAAATGACAATCAAGAGCATTCTGAAAACTACAGAAAAGTATGGGCATCCAAAGTTTAAGGGCTTATTCTATTTTAAAAGAGGTCAACCACAGCAATGCCATCTATCATCAGACAGTAAGAATATTCTTTTTTGCTCATTAGACTTTCCAACAAAACACTCTTCTACCTTCTGGAGCATTGGCCTCCTGGCATGAAACAAGCAGCTTCTCCCTCTCATTAGTGAGATTTCCTTGTATGGTAATACTCCTGCTGAGCAGAGCCACAGTGGCCTTTAAAATATGGTGCTCTCCAGCCACCCAATTCTCTGTAAAGTTGTGAGAATATCTGGAGAAAAAAAGAGGATGATAGAACTGAGGACATCACTCCAAATCTTACTAGGAATAATAAGCCACTAGATTAACATAATTCTTCCTTTGGGGATCTATTCATGTTTCTTTAGAAACTCAATACCAAATAGTGAACTATAGACACAAGTACATGAAAATTAGAAACTATGCTGATCATTGCCCCAAACATTTGTGTAAGACAGAAGTTCTAGAGACAAGACAAACTAACTTACAAAGTCTAAATCTTCAAAACATTTCATGCTTTTTAATTTTCTTGTCAAAATGTCTACCATTATTTAAGCAGAAGAAATATATCATTGAAAGACCCCAATACAAATGTCCAGACCCCAATACAGTTAAGATCTCATCTTCTTCCATGTCAACTTAGCCAAGCTGACACTCAGTACCTCAAAGGTGACTTAAGATAGAGGTCTGTATCCTGCACAGTTTCCACAGTGACAATCTCTTCCATCGGTTTGGCACCTTTAACACCTGTTCCACTGATGATGACAACTTCATCCCCAGGGTTCCAGTCCACAGCATCTTCTAAAGCCAGCACTGTGTCTAGGGCATGGGCAGTTGCTCTAAGACAGGTGACAATTACTTCTGGTAGTGAACCTAAAGCAGCCCGAGGAAAAGTTGTCCAGATAATTTAATCATTAATCAAAACGTGATTAATTTAATCATTAATAAATGTGATGTTATTTAGCCAAAGAATCCCATAAAATAAGACCTGGAAAAGCAAGCTTCAGGATAGGTAAGCACTAATTTTTTTATATTAGTTTTGTTTTATTTTGTTTGACCTTGGTTTTCTTTTTATCTATAAAAAGAAGTCAATAAAAGTAAGCCAGACTAGAGAATAGCAACGTGTAAAAAGCACAAGAATTGTGGTCAGATTACACTTATATTTGAATCACGATCTTTTCATATTCTAACCCTATTCTTTAGGGTAATAAACTTGATGAATGGGCTTCAGTTTCCTCAGTTAAAAACAGAAGTAGCAGGGTCTTCCATCATAGGGTTTTGGAAGGATTCAATGAAATAGTATCTATGAAACATCTAGCTTGGATCTTACCACATAATAGACCCTAAGGGTATGTTAGTCCTTTCTCTTCCTTTTCTGTGTCACACTGTTTGAGGATGAAATTTTACCACCTCTTTTTTATTCCAAGAAAAAACAAGTGGTTATTAGACTTTCTGATGTAGACCTCCATAACTAATTTCCAATATGAAGACTTCACAAATAACAAAAATAGAGGGGAAAACAAAAATTATCTCTTAGAGTTGTCATAAGTCTTGGTGTATTAAATGATCCCTTCAAACTCTAAAAACTAGACCTATCTAACATAGGACTGCTAAATGCAGTTGAAGAAGGGGAACTTGTGGTTCAAGATAAACTTTGTTTGTATTACACTCCAGCATACCCGCCTGACCATCCCCATACCAGCATGCTAATCTCTAATTATCAAAGATTCAAGAAGGTCATCTGTCTCACAGTTTATTCTGGTCTTTTCCAGCAAGGGTCAAGGCACAGATTTTTTCAAGGCATTATCTGAATACTTCAGAAAACACATGGCTTACTCCCTACTCCTTCCTCTTTCTGTAGTACATTTCCTTCCTCTTTTGCAATGGATGATAATTTACCTTTAGCCCGCAGCAAGTTACTGTCCTCCCTTGTTGTACTAAAGTAAAGTAATAATACTTGAATCTCTAACTACAGAGGTGGCCGACAATAAATCATTTTCAAATTATTTTAAACTTTCCTCTTTATTTATTTGTCTCTCTGTGCATAAGCACTTGTACCAATAATGTTCTAGGTTTAGAAAGGTCTCTGGGTTAATATTGTAATTTCTGAAGTTTACTTGGGCAATAATTTTGTCTTAAAAAAATGTACAGAGTTCAAAATTTCTAATTATAAGGCAGGTGAAAATTAAGACATAAATCATCCCAAAAGAAAATAATTTTAACTTTATTTCTTGTTTGTATATCTTAACCCTTGGAAACAATAAAATGAAATAAAATTTATTTATATGTATATGCATATATATGTGAATTTTTATAACCCATTCTTGAATGCCTACATAGAAAAATCTCTACTAAGCACAGAAAAATGTTTATCCAAGACAAAATGCCGTCAGACTCTGTGATCAGTATTCACAATTCTCAATTAATATGCAACAAATACCTGCTATGTGACTATCAACATGCAAGCTACGCATGGCAGAACCAAGAGTAAAGACCACAAAGGTCTAGCTCAACTAGTTACTCCTATAAATAATGGTCAACTCTGAATGGATGAAAAAATTCACAGATAATCTTTGAAGTACATTTTTAAACTATTAACAAAAAAGTTACATCTTTGTAAATATTGACAGAGCCTCTAGAAAGCAGTAAAACTAGCTTATAACTTATGCACTCCCATTGCAAAAATAACACCTCTATGTGTATGGTTAAAACATCAAGCCTGGATGTTTAATGAGTGTTGGCCTCATATTTCTAGCTACATAGTAGATATTGACATTTAGATGAGCTACTACCATCTTGAAATTATTGTAATAATTATCTGAGCTAGACCCTCTTGCAAACAGCTTTTATTCCTTTAAGTATTCCTCCTTATGTTCTTTTTTTAAACAAATTTTGTGCTAAGTTATTTCAATTACATCCCTTCTTTGTCCATTAACCTGCAGTATTTTCCTGCAATACTCAGTAACAAAGTCTCAAATTTGCTGCTTGACTTCAAAGACTCTCCATAATGTGACCCTACTTTATGGTCTCTGATTTCTTAATAAATTCTGTTCCAAGAAGCCCAGTCTCTTTACCTCTTCTCATTTAACCGGATCGTCCTGCCTCTAATCTTTTGTCAATTTCGTCCTTTCCGCTCATGTCCTTGCTTCTTTCTCTTCATCTATCCTTTTAAAGCACAACTCAAGCCCAATCTTTTCAGTGAATTTCAGAACATACTTCATCTTCACTTCCTCCTACAAACCTTGTAGTGATCAGTGACATCGTTCCTTCAGCAAAATCTGTGTGTACATCTGGGATTTAGGCATTCCCAAGTATGTCTGGGTAGCTTGTGGGCCATTTATTTGAGCTGCTTTGTGTGGGGGAGGAAGTTTGCACAAAGAAACAGATGAGAGAAAAGAAGATGACAGAGAAGATATGGGGTCAATCTCAGATATAGGCCCTCTCTCTTGACCACAAGGACCTATGACTGAACCTGAGGGAATAATTTGGAGGAACCCTCCAGATGGCTTTGTCACCTGATGCTGCTCCACCTGAGATTCTCTCACCAACTCACTCTGCTGCATTCTTTAGAACTTAATCCTGAGAGAAGGCTCCAAGACTTGCTGAGTAGGCAAACCCTGTATATAATCTGTCATATCACCATGGCTGTCTCCTTTCTCACACTTAACACAACTGCAATTTGGCCTCTATTTCTGTACTTAGAATTTGTCTCCCCCACTAAACATAACAGCAAAAACCATACCTATGTTCATTCACCGTCACAATATCAATGCCTTTCACAGTGTCTAGCATGTAAGTGTTCCATAAATACATCCTGAATGCATAAAATCACAAATGAGACAGAGAAACAAGCACCCCAATGTCTTGGTGTCCAGTTGATCAGATGGGACTCTGAGTGGCATGCAGAGACAGTTGCCACATTTCATCATGGGACACAGTACACTCCCACATCTTGGGGTTTTAAATGAAAGCCCACACCCTCAAACCCATGTGTTCAGTACTCTCATGGCAGGTACCAGCAGTAGATGCAGGGATGAGGCAGCCCCTACTACCTTCCTAAATGGAGAACAATGACCAAGAAGCCAAAGTAGGAGGAAAAGAACATGAAAGATGCCTCATGGTGACTAAGGCAGACAGATGAACTCACAGAAAACACATTGTGAGAACACGTAGAACAAGCAAGCAGAACTGCTAAAAAGGGGAGAAGGTTTTGTGAGAGTTGGGGGCCTCAGACAGTAAAATTTTTATCACTATTGAAATATCCACAGGCTGAGCAGGCTCAGGGAAGCCTGGGGAGACTTCAATTACATAAACAATAGTCAGTCCCATGTATCTCAGCACTAAATCATCCTGAAATTACTAAAGTGCATGTGTCTTTTCTCTCCACCTTACAGGTGGCACCATGACTGCTGTGCCACTGCCTCATGTCTCCTTTATATATGGCACAATTCCTAACACAGCACTGGACGCATAATTAACATTCAATTCATAGTGGTTTAAATGACCTATTTTAAGTATTGCCTTCTGGGCAATCACTTGTAAACTCCCATCAGATATATACCCAAGTGAGTATATAATATTCAATATGCAAAAAGCAGAAAAAAATACAAACATTTATTGAAAACTTAGAATAACCCCAACCTATGCAAACTAGTTTCATTGTCAAGTAAGAAATCTTTGGTTTTTTATTTTTGTTATTTATTTTAACAGATTGTACAGATAGGAAACTATGATTCTTCAAGGACAAGATTATATGGTAATAGATATCAGCACAAAGTTCTGAAACTAGTTCTTCTGAATCTAAGACCAGAGAACTAGACAAGTAAATGGAATTTGTAGCCTCTGGAAATAGCTGTAAATTAACTGTACCCAATTAGCTTTGATGTTCAAAAAATTATACTCATTACTTCATAAATGTTATTTAAATGTCATACAAGGTGGACCAACTGACTTCTCTGATGAAGAAGGCATTGCACACATTTTACATCTGAGTCATTTCTGTTCATAGAACTATTGAAACCCAGGTTGGGTAGCTCCCTTCCTTTCTGTACCACAAATCAAAAACACATAAAACTACGCATAAAAAGCTCAATAATTTATGAATATGCTAAATGAAAAAGGACTATGCTTTTAACTTGTAATTTAATACTATGTTTAATCACTTTGGGCTTTCCATGTTGACCTGTTAACCAACAAACTACTCATTTACTCCCACTAATGACTTCTACTCATAATTGTATTTCCTACAAATTATTGTTCAAGCATTTCAATGTCATTCATCCATAATTACACAGTCTCAGAGCACCATTCTTACTAAATGGGCATGGAGAAAAATAAAATAATCCTTGTGGGTTAACACACTAAAATCACTAATTGTCCTCTGTTTGCTTACTTTGTAGGACTTAAATCTTTATTCTAAGAATAACTGCCAAGGCCTTTCAAAATCATTTAGGGTGGGGGAGGGAGAGAGGGAGAGAGGGAGAGGTGGGGGGGAGAGAGAGAGAGAGAGAGAGAAAGGAGAAAGAAAAGGATAATTTATTAAAATAATGTTTGCATCAGAATAAAGGAACTTACAAAAAAAACTAGAAATATTGTCCTCAAATATATACAAATTATTTCCCCCTTATTTCTGGATGCAACATCACCATTATCCATAGCAAAACATTAGATGCTGTCTTGTATGTGGATGAACATTTGTCACGCACTAGGAAGACAAACACAAAGAACAGAGTCCCTTTCCTCCAGGGCCCATGATCAGTACAAGAAATAGACAAAAATCAGAAGTGCACTGTGCAAGGTGCAGTGACACTCAGGGGTGTACAGACATGGAGCACTGCAATCACACCAAGGGAGTGGTCCTTTCCAGGAATGCTTCCCAGAAGAGGTGATAACTGAGCTGGGTCTTGAAGGACAAACCAAAGTGTGCCAGATGACAAAATGGGAAGCGTACCCTAGGCAACGACAATGATGTGTAAGATGGTGGGGGACATTCGAATAACTGCTACATATGTGGCATGGCCAGAGTACAGGTATACAGAAGGTATAGGCACCTAGTGACTGTCCCTTCATTCTGAAGAGGTGAGCAGGACCCATCCAAAAATGACTCACAGGCCCTCCCATAGCACTTAGAGTTTATCCTAAAAATTATTTGGAAACCACTAAATGAATATTTGGGATGAAATCTAAGAAATGATACTGTTGTGAAACTGTTTTAAGCCCATAGTACACATATCAAACTAAGAGAAGAAAATCCTTAGTGAGAAAATGGACTTACTGTATGTTGGGGAAAATGAGTCAAATCCTAAGACAAACAAGAGCCAGCCAGTAGGGAAACTGAGAGCCTGATGTGTTACTCTATGAACTAGATATCAGACCTTTGGAGCAAATGAAGAGGACTGGGCAAAATAATGCAGGACTTTGTTGACCTGTTTTAAAGACCTTAAGTTGTATTTGAAATAGTTATAAAAACAAATATATACATATATATATTCATTATTTATTTTTATATATTTATTTTTAAGTTCTGGGATACATGCGCAGAACGTGCAGGTTTGTTACATAGGTATACACGTGCCATGGTGGTTTGCTGCACCCATCAACCCATCATCTACATTAGGTATTTCTCCTAATGCTCTCTTTCCCCTTGCCCCCCACCCACTAACAGGCCCTGGTGTGTGATGTTGCCCTCCCTGTGTCCATGTGTTGTCATTGTTCAACTCCTGCTTATGAGTGAGAACATGTGTTTGATTTTCTGTCTTGTGTTAGTTTGCTGAGAATGATGGTTTCCAGCTTCATCCATGTCCCTGCAAAGGACATGAACTCATCCTTTTTTATGGCTGCATAGTATTCCACAGTATAGATGTGCCGCATTTTCTTTATCCAGTCTATCATTGATGGGCATTTGGGTTGGTTCCAAGTCTTTGCTATTGTGAACAGTGATTCAATAAACATACGTGTGCATGTGTCTTTATGGTTGAATGATTTATAATCCTTTGGGTATATACCCAGTAATGGGATTGCTGGGTCAAATGGTATTTCTGGTTCCTGATCCTTGAGGAATCACCACACTATCTTCCAGTGTAAAAGTGTTTCTATTTCTACACATCCACTCCAGCATCTGTTATTTCCTGACTTTTTAATGATCACCATTCTCACTGGTGTGAGATGGTATATTGACCAGTAATGATGAGCTTTTATTCATATGTTTGTTGATCGCATAAATATCTTCCTTTGAGAAGTGTCTATTCATATCCTTCGCCCACTTTTTGATGGGGTTGTTTTTTCTTGTAAATTTGTCTAAGTTCCTTGTAGACTCTGGAAATTAGCCCTTTGTCAGATGGATAGATTGCAAATATTTTCTCCCATTCTGTAGGTTGCCTGTTCACTCTCATGATAGTTTCTTTTGCTATACAGAAGCTCTTTAGTTTAATTAGATCCCATTTGTCAATTTTGGCTTCTGTTGCCATTGCTTTTGATGTTTTAGTCATGAAGTCCTTGCCCATGCCTACGTCCTGAATGGTATTGCCTAGGTTTTTTTCTAGGGTTTTTATGGTTTTAGGTCTAACATTTAAGACTTTAATCAAACTTGAATTAATTTTTGTATAAGGTGTAAGGAAGGGATCCAATTTCAGCTTTCTACATATGGCTAGCCAGTTTTCCCAGCACCATTTATTAAATAGGGAATCCTTTCCCCATTGCTTGTTTCTGTCAGGTTTGTCAAAGATCAGATGGTTGTAGATGTGTGGTATTATTTCTGAGGGCTCTGTTCTGTTCCATTGGTCTATATCTCTGTTTTGGTACAAGTACCATGCTGTTTTGGTTACTGTTGCCTTGTAATATCGTTTGAAGTCAGGTAGCATGATGCCTCCAGCTTTGTTCTTTTGGCTTAGGATTGTCTTGGAAATGCAGGCTCTTTTTTGGTTCCACGTGAACTTTAAAGAAGTTTTTTCCAATTCTGTGAAGAAAGTCCTTGGTAGCTTGATGGGGATGGCATTGAATCTATAACTTACCTTGGGCAGTATGGCCATTTTCACGATATTGATTCTTCCTATCCATGAGCATGGAATGTTCTTCCATTTGTTTGTGTCCTCTTTGATTTCCTTGAGCAGTGGGGTTTGTAGTTCTCCTTGAAGAGGTCCTTCACATCCCTTGTAAGTTGGATTCCTAGGTATTTTATTCTCTTTGAAGCAATTGTGAATGGGAGTTCACTCATGATTTGGTTCTTTGTCTGTTATTGGTGTATAAGAATGCTTGTGATTTTGCACACTGATTTTGTATCCTGAGATTTTGCTGAAGTTGCTTATCAGCTTAAGGAGATTCTGGGCTGAGAGGATTGGGTTTTCTAAATATACAATCATGTAATTTGCAAACAGGGACAATTTGACTTCCTCTTTTCCTAATTGAATACCCTTTATTTCTTTATCCTGCCTGATGGCCCAGGCCAGAACTTCCAACACTATGTTGAATAGGCGTGGTGAGAGAGGGCATCCCTGTCTTGTGCCAGTTTTCAAAGGGAATGCTTCTGGTTTCTGCCCATTCAGTATGATATTGGCTGTGGGTTTGTCATAGATAGCTCTTATGAGTTTGACATACATCCCGTCAATACCTAGTTTATTCAGAGTTTTTAGATGAAGGGCTGTTGAATTTTGTCGAAGGCCTTTTCTGCATCTATTGAGATAATCATGTGGTTTTTGTCTTTGGTTCGGTTTATATGCTGGATTACATTTATTGATTTGCGTATATTGAACCAGCCTTGCATCCCAGGTATGAAGCCCACTTGATCTTGGTGGATAAGCTTTTTGATGTGCTGCTGGATTTGGTTTGCCAGTATTTTATTGAGGATTTTTGCATCAATGTTTATCAGGGATATTGGTCTAAAATTCTCTTTTTTGGTTGTGTCTCTGCCAGGCTTTGGTATCAGAATGATGCTGGATAAAATGAGTTAGGGAGGATTCCCTCTTTTTCTATTGATTGGAATAGTTTCAGAAGGAATGGTATCAGCTGCTCTTTGTACCTCTGGTAGAATTCGGCTGTGAATCCGTCTGGTCCTGGACTTTTTTTGGTTGGTAAGCTATTAATTATTGCCTCAATTTCAGATCCTGTTATTGGTCTATTCAGGGATTCAACTTCTTCCTGGTTTAGTCTTGGGAGGGTGTATGTGTCCAGGAATTTATCCATTTCTTCTATATTTTCCATTTTATTTGTGTAGAGGTGTTTATAGTATTCTCTGATGGTTGTTTATATTTCTGTGGGATAGGTGGTGGTATCCCCTTTATCATTTTTTATTGTGTCTATTTGATTCTTCTCTCTTTTCTTCTCTATTAGTCTTGCTAGTGGTCTATCAATTTTGTTAATCTTTTCAAAAAACCAGCTCCTGGATTCATTGATTTTTTGAAGGGTTTTTTGTGTCTCTATCTCCTTCAGTTTTCCTCTGATCTTAGTGATTTCTTGCCTTCTGCTAGCTTTTGAATGTGTTTGCTGTTGCTTCTCTAGTTCTTTTAATTGTGATGTTAGAGTATCGATTTTAGGTCTTTCCTGCTTTCTCTTGTGGGCAATTAGTGCGATAAATTATAATTTAGTGCTATAAAGATCTGTTGTTAGTCTGATGGGCTTCCCTTTGTGGGTAACCAGACCTTTCTCTCTGGCTGCCCTTAACATTTTTTCCTTCATTTCAACTTTGGTGAATCTGACAATTATGTGTCTTGGGGTTGCTCTTCTCAAGGAGTATCTTTGTGGCATTCTCTGTATTTCCTGAATTTGAATGTTGGCCTGCCTTGCTAGGTTGGGGAAATTCTCCTGGATAATATCCTGAAGAGTGTTTTCCAACTTGGTTCCCTTCTCCCCGTCACTTTCAGGTACACCAATCAGACGTAGATTTGGTCTTTTCACATAGTCCCATATTTCTTGGAGGCTTTGTTCATTTCTTTTAACTCTTTTTTCTCTAAACTTCTCTTCTCACTTCATATCATTCGTTTCATCTTCAATCACTGATACCCTTTCTTCCACTTGATTAAATCGGCTACTGAAGCTTGTGCATGCATCACATAGTTCTCATGCCATGGTTTTCAGCTCCATCAGGTCATCTAAGGTCTTCTCTATGCTGTTTATTCTAGTTAGCCATTCATCTAATCTTTTTTCAAGGTTTGTAGCTTCTTTGTGAGGGATTCGAACATCCTCCTTTAGCTTGGAGAGGTTTGTTATTACCGATCTTCTGAAGCCTACTTCTGTCAACTCATCAAAGTCATTCTCCATCCAGCTTTGTTCTATTGCTGGCAAGGAGCTGCGATCTTTTGGAGGAGAAGAGGCACTCTGATTTTTAGAATTTTCAGCTTTTCTGCTCTGGTTTCTCCCCATCTTTGTGGTTTTATCTACCTTTGGTCTTTGATGATGGTGACCAACAGATGGGGTTTTGGTGTGGATGTCTTTTTTGTTGATGTTGATGCTGTTCCTTTCTGTTAGTTTTCCTTCTATCAGTCAGGACCCTCAGCTGCAGGTCTATTGGAGTTTGCTGGAGGTCCACTCCAGACCCTGTTTGCCTGGGTATCACCAGCAGAGGCTGAAGAACAGCAAATATTGCAGAACAGCAAATGTTGCTGCCTGATCCTTCTTCTGGAAGCTTCATCTCAGAGGGGCACCCAGCTGTATGAGGTGTCAGCCAGCCCCTACTGGGAGGTGTCTCCCATTTAGGCTACTCAGGGTCAGGGACCCACTTGAGTCTGTCCATTCTCAGATTTCAAACTCTGTGCTGGGAGAACCACTACTCTCTTCAAAGCTGTCAGACAGGGACATTTAAGTCTGCAGAAGTTTCTGCTGCCTTTTGTTCAGCTATGCCCTGCCCCGAGAGGTAGAGTCTACAGAGGCAGGCAGGCCTAGCTGAGCTGCGGTGGGCTCCACTCAGTTCGAGTTTCCTGGCCACTTTGTTTACCTACTCAAGCCTCAGCAATGGCGGATGCCCCTCCCCAAGCCTCGCTGCCTCCTTGCGTTTGATCTCAGACAGCTGTGCTAGCAGTGAGCAAGGATCCATGGGCATGGGACCCTCCGAGCCAGGCACGGGATATAATCTCCTGGTGTGCCATTTTCTAAGACCATTGGAAAAGTGCAGCACTAGGGTGGGAGTGTCCCGATTTTCCAGGTACCATCTGTCATGGCTTCCCTTGGCTAGGAAAGGGAATTCCACAACCCCCTGCACTTCCCTGGTGAGGCAATGCCCCACCCTGCTTCGGCTCACACTCCATGGGCTGCATCCACTGTCCAACAAGTCCCATTGAGATGAACCCAGTACCTCAGTTGGAAATGCAGAAATCACCCATCTTCTGCGTTGCTCATGCTGGGAGCTATAGACTGGAGTTGTTCCTATTCAGCCATCTTGGAACCCAACCCCGTTTTGCCAAATTTTTAAGGTAACGTTCATGGGTTCCAAGGATTAGGACATGGACATACATGGGTGTCATTTTTTAGCCTATGGTTGAATAAATAGTGCTGTGAAAATTGGCTATTCATTTGAAAAAAAATAGATAACTGACAAACTATATCAGAATCAATTCTAGACTGATTAAAATAAGGGCCTGGTAACTTTTTCTGTAAAAAGAACAGGGAGATAATAAAGAGTTTGGGGTTTGCAGACCACGTGGTCTCTGTCATAATGACTGAACTTTGCCCTTATAGTGCAAAGCAGCCATAGATAATACCTACACAAATGGGTGTGGCTGTGCCTCAATAAAATTTTGTGTATAAAAGCAAGGAATGGACCAGATTTGGTCCATGGCTCATAGTTTGCTGACCCTAGTTAAAGACAGACACAAATGTGAAAAAAAAGAAAAAAAAAAAACAATAAAAGTACCAAAAAACAAGTAGGTAAATTTTTATATAGTCTTTGTACAGAAAAGAGTTGATAAACATAAAATCAAAGGCAGAAACCATAAGAGAAAATATTTGTAGATTTGCCATCACAAAGATTGGAAAACTCCATAGAAGTACTAAAAGATAAATAACGTGTGAAAGAAACCGGTTCTTTGTACCTCTATCAAGAATTTTACAAAGAGAGCTATAAGCCAGAAAGCCCCAATTGGGATCTCAAAATAAGCTGAAAAAGTTAAAATTGAGGAGACTGTTTCAGAAAGAAGTATATTCTGCCTTTCTGCCACAAGTAAATACCAGCTATGTGTACACAAAATAGAAGCGAGGCCATGTGTGTCTTAAGTCCAATGAAGAAAATGGAATGAGTTTTAGTTACATCCCCTTGCAGGCCCCAGTTTCATCATCTCTAAAATGAAAGTAACGATCCCAGTCTTTCAGGCTTCACAGGGTGGTTGTGAGAGTTAAATGAGAGTAAAGAATGGGAAGCAGCTTTGAAAATTATAAAGTGCCAGGATCTAGGTAAAATCCAATTTTGACAAATACCAAATATAATACCCAATTCAATGATACTCTTTTTCCATGACCAGGCTGAAAGCAATACTATTAATAGTATTGCTTTGATGATGCATATGGAAGAATTCTCTTTGAAGGAAAAATCACAAGCTTCTGCCTATGTAGCTTTCCATTTACTTAACAAAGTTGAGTTTCTTGTGGTACTCAAAAATGTAAAAAATGAAAATCTACACCACATTAACCATTTAGTAACCTAAAAGAAGACTACTACTGAAGCATGAGGGTGGCCAAGGGGGAGAGTTGAAAAACAGGACAGAAGGTGTTAGCAGGAAGCTAAATAGCACCTAATAGCCATGCTATAAATTTCGGACTTTACCTTAGAAACAACGGAAAGCCACTGAAGAGTTTTGAGCAGCAGCACAATATAAACAGATTTGTGTTTTTAAAAGATCAACTTGGCTCCAGGGCAAAGAATGAATTGGAAAGAACAGAAGTGGCAACTAGAAAGTAAGTTTAAAAGCTTACACAATAATCCAGGCATAAGTTGAAGGTACCATAAACTAAGGTGACAGTAATGGAGATAGAGAGAAGGATATGGGCTCACAAGTTATCTAAGAATTAAAATCAACAAGACTTAGTGATGGACATGATAAGAGGAATGATAAAGGAGGTATCAAGAATGACAACCAGGTTTCTAGCTGAGAGATTATTGGAAAACGGTAAACACCATCCCATCTTTAGACTAATAATGGGACAACTTCACCAAATCAAAAGTGTAAACAAATAATAACAATGATAATAACTGACATTTATTGAGTACTTGCTCAACATCTGCCATTGTGGTAAGTACATTACATGTTTTGTTTCATTTAAACCACATAACAAATATCATGAGAAATGTCTTAAAATAATGTCCGTTTTATAGATGTGGGAACTGAAACACTGGGGAGTTTTTTAAGGTCCACTAGCTAGTTCACGGTAGAGATGGGATTTGGACCACGCAGTCCACTTCAAGAGCCCAGGCTCCTCATACTTACTCAGAGGAAGATGAGTGAGTGAGTACTCTATGACGGAGCAAAGTCAAGCTCATCTAGAGAAGATGCAGAACGCCAGCAAAGATCCTCACAACCTAGCAGGAAAATGGAAACTACAGAAAGTTTGAAAGGAAGAGATGAACCTTGGAGCTAGTTACTTTCCTTTGAGAAGCTTTGTGTCAAGATGAGAGGCTTGAAATCCTCGTGTGTCTAAAATACGATACAGAGTCAGTTATGAGGTTTGCTTTGGTGACTGTGATGGTTAATTTTGCGCATCAACTTGACTGGGCTATGGGGTACCCACAACTTTAGCTAAATGTAAATTGTTCTTCGTGTGTGTGTGTGTGTATGTGTGTGTGTGTGTGTGTGTGTGTAGGTATTTCTAACGTAATTAACATCTGAATCAGTAGACTAAGTAAAGAAGATTGCCTTCCTTAATGTAGATGAGCCTTATCCAATCAGCTGAAGGCCTGAATAGAACAAAAAGGCTGAGTATGAAGTAACTTGAACTGAGACATTGGTCTTATCTGGTCTTCAAACTTAGACTGAAGCATAGGTTCTTCTTGGATATCCAGCTTGCTGGCCTTCTGACTGGAACTTACACCATTGGTCTTCCTGGTTCTTACGCCTTTGGACTTGGACTCTCTATCTGCTTCTCTTTTTCTCTCCCTCCTTCTCTCTCCCTTCCTCTCTCTCTTTTTATCTCTCTCTCTCTTTTTATCTCTCTCTCTCTCTCAAATGGCTTATGACTCAAATGGGGCGAAAGTTAATCCTGAGGCTTTTGCTCAAGTTTTTCATTCACTTATTCAAGCAAATATTTTTTAAAGCATATTATGAGTCCAGGCACTGTTCTAGGCAATGCAGATTAAAAAAAAAAAAAAAGTAAAGTGCTTGCCCTCATGATGTATATATTCTTCTGGGAGAGGTAATAAAATAAATACAAAAAAATGTGAAAAGTAAACCTTACATAATACATTAAATAATGTTGAAAGCTAAGGAGAAGAAAACCGAAGGAGCAATGTCAAACGGTGATGGGGAAATGTTGAAATTTGCTCAGAAGTTAAACAGCCATTGGGAAAGAGGCATTCCCTTTCATCTGGAGTCACAGGACTGCCATTTCTGCCTCCATGAGGGCAGAGTTTGACTGAAAATGAAGCCAGCTGAGGGGAAAGCAGAACCAAGAGTCGCAGAGAAACAAAATCTTAATGACTTCATTGGAGCACCTGGACTCAGCTGTGCCTCAAGTTTTTTCTTTTCGCCTCAAGTTTTTTATTTTCAGTTATATGAGGCAATAAGTGCTCTTATTTTTTGTTCGAATTGGGTTTTCTGTCACTTGAAACCAAAAAAAGACCTGACTAATGCCGACACTTTCAAGTATATATAGAAACTTGAAGTACCTTACAATGTGTTTCTAAGTGGGGTTCCTGCTGTACTTGGATTATTGAATAGCTAGAACTCATTTCTAATTAGCAGTATACATTTACATGCAAACACCTGAAATTAAAAGACCTTAAAAACAGCATGTTCACTTAAATGTGTTTAAACAAGTCCCCTAAAGTGTGGTTTATACTATTAATTTAAGGAACCCTTTCTTAAAGATTGTTCCAAGGTTACTCTTGTCCAGATCAATGAGATTTTAGCAGACACATATCTGCCACTGTAAATAGAATGGTTATACAGTGTTTAGACTTTTTTGAAGTATTGTTAGACAGAACAGAAAAAAAACCTTATTTTTTGTTGGTGGTGTTGGTTATATTTTAGAGGACATAGAGCCAAGGGTCAGTCTCCATCTGCTCAAAAGAGAGAAACACTCATCAGTCACTGGCTGTCCTACCACGCTAGGGTTCCAAGTATGCCAGGACCATGCTTGCTGATGTTAACTCAACTGTGTAATTACGATCTGCCACAACATGCCAGCTGACCAGAACCCCAACACTGAATTAAAGCTCATTTAAATTTAAGAGTAGAAAAAGGAATAAATACTTTTTTAATTTTCCTCATCCTCCTTTCTCCATTCTTCCCCTCTATTTAATCCTCCTTCCTTCCCAGTCCTAAATAAAAACCAACAAAACAAAGCCAAATAACAACCGCAAAATGACAGTGGCTCTCCCCTTCAACCCCACATCCCTCTAGGGCACCCTTTTTACATACATAGCAGGTTGTTGGGTGGGACTTCTGCTCCTCTAGAACCTACCAGGAGGACACATGCATAGGATCAGGAGATGATAAGCACCCCACATTATAGGGAAGCCACAGACAGGGAGAAAACATCTCCTTGGGGCTTATTAAAGAAAGCTAATCTAACTCTGCCACTTTTGCCATCCCTGGAGCAGAGTCCACTCCATCATTTATGAATGACCAAAAACAAGGAGATTCAAAGAAATCCTGAGAGATGGGGATGAGCCATCAGCCTGGGTGAGCTAACCCTGGCCTTTCCTCCCCTTCCTATAGAGCGAGGTGTGAAACTACTTCTCTCTTATTAAGCAAAGAAAGAGGGCTGCATAAGTATCAATCACAGAGTGACCTGTAAGAAGGGGAGACTGGCTTCTTTTCCCAGGTGGAATGTCTGCATATGCAGCCTATTTGCTCAGCTGCTCATGCTTATCTAAGCAGGGGAAACAATTAGAGAAAGAGCAGAGCAGAGAAAGGGGTGATAAGTGAAACATCTTTCATGTGGATTTGTAAGTTTCCTCTGGATAGCTGAATTGTAGGGAAGATAGCTTGGCTTGAACCAACTTTCTAGTACTCCACCAAGACCAACCCCCAAGGTGGATGCTAACGGATTGAAAACCCAAGTGGGGCTTCCACATTGAGAAACTGTGCAGTGGAAAAGCCTCCTACAAGACTCCAGTGATTTCATGCAGGCATCTTAGGAGGGAGACTCAATAGTCAGCAATTATTATTCAGAGAGAGAGCAACACCCAACAGAGGATATAGGTGCACCGTTAAGTATTAAGCTTGTTAAACCTCTCACCTTACCTCTTCCACCTGCCCCATACTGACAATATGAAATAAGAAGGATTAGAGGAAGAGTGAGGGAGCAGACCCTACCATCCCAAGTGCCTCAAGTTGAAGCTTTGTGGGTGAGGAAGGTAACATTAAATGAATAGGAGACTGAGTTTTTAAACTAGATTAATCAGGACTGGCATTTTCAATATCTGAAATCAACTGGAAAGCTATTGGTAACCAAGGTGTTTTTAAAGGACAAGAAAAAGGATCCATCAGAATACAGACGAAGGTAGTGACTAAAGAAAAATAAAATCTATTCTGAGTCAGACTTCTGTCTGAAAGGTTTGCATCTACCAAACATCCCTAAAATTGTGTCGGTTGCATTTGCTCAGGCCTGTGGCAAATTTACACACCACATCAGCTCAAGTTTCCCATGAAATCACAGGTAATATTTTGTGGTGATAAATGCAAGGGGAAAGCAGAAGTGAAAATGTGGCTTGAGCTTGGACAGTCAGAGTGCACTTTCCCCCTGGGCACCATGTATAGTCCTTAGTCTGCTAAGTAACTCTAGCGGACTTTGGGAGGCCTCCCCTGGTTATTTTTTGAAAAGAATACAGTGTTCCTTTCTTTGGTAGTAGAAAATCAAAGTCCACATGAAATCAGGAAGTCCCAATAACCATAGAGAAGGCAGCAATAAGGAGTAGGAGAGAGTGAAGTCAATACATGCAGAGACAGCCAGGGTAAGGGACTGAGGGGTGAGTCCTGTGGACATTCGGACCCTTGAAGACAGTCACGTCTAAGGCCATTGTCTTTCTCTCCATCCTGCGTTTTGATTACAAGAATTCATAAATCCTTGGTTCTAAGTTTGTTTCCAGTGGGCTTCTGTCCCCTAAAACCAAACAATTTCAGAGTAATAAAGCTACATATAAAAATGCCATGTCATAGCTCTGGTTTGTATCTAGCTCAAGGGAACGAGAGACAGAAGAAAAGGGAGGAGTCTTGGTCTAGAAGAAATAGGTAAGGAAAGGGGCAAGAGGAGACAGCATTGGAGACTATTAATCAGGTGACGAGAGAGTGGAGATTTAAAAATATATTGTTGGATAAGAGGAACTGTTATGACATGAAAATGGGCTCTAGAAAGTTTCACCCTACATCAAAGAACAGACTTTATAGAAAATGTCCCAGAGCTAAATCAGTCTTGGGGAAACAGGAATCATGCAGAGAGGCCCTGGACACCTCAAAAGGATCCATACACCACAGCTAAAAGAATGACCTAGTAGAGTTTTTTAATCACAGTTTTAACAGTGGAACTCTTTCTTCTAACAAACTGTTACTTTGAACACAAATATATAACAGATAAAAGCAATAAATCAATTACTTGAGCAATTTAAACCTTTATTACTTGACCTCCAATATTCATTGTTTAGGGAACCCCTAAATCCCCTCCAGGAAACATTTGGATTTTGTGGAGCACAATGTGAAAACCACTGACCGGAAACACACTCCCACACATGTGCCTGTTCCACACACTTTATACCATGCTTAAAGACAGCCTGATACTCTAGCAACTATGAAAATAGTGCATATTACACAGTACTCATAGCAACCATGGAATTTACATGCAGACACTTGGCATTTTCAGAAGGAAAACAAACCATATCTAAGCTTGCTTATTTAGACCACTGCTTTTATTTATTCCTACCAAATTCTTATGTTCCTTGCAATTGCACTCGTGCTTTCTTCAATCATGCCCCACATACTGCTTTTTCTCAGGAATTTCCATGTATATTTAATGCCTATATCTTGTAATTTCTTGAAAAGGACAAAGACAGAAGTCCAGCCAAGGCCATGAGACTGTTTTTCTCCTAAGAAACTGTCAGCCAAATTTCTCAGGGAGAAACTGGAAATGAAGTGAGAGACATTGATAAATTTCCCTGCTGAACAATCAATAAAAGCTCCACCATCCTGCTCAGATTCCCACTGTGGAAGCAAGAGCCGTAATTACGTTGTCAAAAATTTAAGTTGCCCAGGCTGACAGCAACCCACTTGAAAAGTGACAAGTGATTGGCACTCAGTTTGGAGTGGTGAACCTGGATTGGCAGACAGAGTGATGAAAGCAAAAGGCAAGAGTGAAATTTCCTTATTGACTACAGCTACCCAAACCCCAGACTGCCACTCAGGAGGAATCCTGAGACCCTTTAGTCATATTAACGCATCAAAGTGAGCAGCTGACAGAAGTTACTAAACAATCTGAACTCCACCAGCAACTCAGAACCTGTCCTCATCTACTCTCAAACAGAAACAGAAAAGATGGTGCTGTGTGTGGGTGTATATGTGCAGCTGTGTGTATATGTGAGTGTATAAGGGTGTGGGACTTTTCCTACATTCAAAGAAATACATGTAACGTGCTTTCAACTCCATCTTGCCTTGTGACAGCTGAACACCAAAGCCTGTTTGCTTAGCGATTTTAATCCAAGGTAAAAATCAGCTGGAGCAGAAGGGTTTCAAAGAGCAATAATAAAGAATGAGATGGAAGGAGAAGGTGGGAAAGTGATCGGACTGACATGCAGACCATTTGTGTGATTCTACATGACCTGAGCTGGAGTTAAATTAGAATCCATTCAGCATTGCTGCTGAATATTAGGAACCAAATGTCTGCCAAGGGCCTCATTCGCTGGGCAGTGCCCTGCTTCAGACTATACTGGGACCCATGCAAATAGTTTCTAAGAAGCCTTTTGTAACCACGCCCAGGAATGGTGGTTATCCACAGCTGGGAAGCAGCTGCACCAAGAGAGATTAAAATCTAAAGGTGTTGACTGGGTGGTGGGAAGAGAAGAGAAGATGCCTGGGAATGTTGTTACCACATGATCTCCAAGGTTAAAACCCTTCTGTTACTCTGATGAAAAGAGATAGACAAGAAAATTAATATGTGTTTTGTGTGCCCAACACTCTGGAACACTTCATGAGCAATAAGTTTATGAAGTGGGAACTGTGTTTTTCTGATTTTTTAGAGATCTGTTGAAGGTCATAGCTGATCTGTGGCAGAACTGGGCCCATTTCTGATTCCAATTTGATTAACCACTTGAACCAGTGTTTCTCTGAGTATAGTCAATAGGCCACCTGAGTCACATCACATGTACATTTCCAGGCCCAGAAATCTAGATTTACAAAAACCTCTCCCAAAAGGCTCTTCTGTGCGCCAAAGTTGGTGAATCTCCTCATTATGTTATCCTGGGAAACTGAGTGAATGCTGGGTCATTAGGGACTTCCTGGGTGCAAAACAGTGAATCAAGTTGCTCACTATTTTGCATACTTGATGGTGAAAGAAAATTAGCTTTTTCCTAAAGCCCCAGTGTCACCAGACCCACCTCTGGCCCCGGCAAAAGGCCAGTGAAATTATGAAATGACTTTAGCCATGATATACCACCACGCTGGAGGGGAAATCTGTCTGAGACCTCAGGTGGTGAGGGAGAAGTGACAGGAGAGAATTGATGAGCTGCACGTGGGGCTGCGATTCTCTGACAGATACATCAGGAAAGGAATCCCTGTCACCCAAATGGCTGAGCTCTTTTCTACATAATATTTGTTTCAAATGCATGAGATGCTGCAGCATCACATCAGAGAGGAAATGGCTTGATCTTTGCCTGTGTTCAATGGGCAAGCTCTGTGATTCAGGTGAGATCCTAGTCAATTCTCTGTCCTAAATGCTTTGGGGAATGTTTAACCAGTTTTGAAAATGGCCTAATCTGGGAATATAGGAAAAGGGGGAGAGAGAGAGAGGAGGGAGAAGGAGAATAAAGGAGAGGGAGGGAGGAGAGGAAGGGAGGAAAAAGGGGAGAGAGAGAGAGGAGGGAGAAGGAGAATAAAGAAGAAAGAGGGAGAAGAGGAAGGGAGGAAGCATGGAGAGAGAGGAGGGAGAAGGAGAATAAAGGAGAGGGAGAGAGGAGAAAGAGGAAGGAGGAGATGGAAATGAGGAAAGCAGAGGGAGAGGAGGTCTCATTCTCAATATCCAGTAACATCAGATGGCTGAAGTAGCAACATTTTTTCTGAACTTTCAGAATTTTCAAACCATATTAGAGGCATATACTTTGCTTGAATTGCCCCATATTGACTGTAAGCAATGGGACTAGGGATTTTCTTGACATTTGCTTAACCACAAAGGCTTACATGCACAACGTACATTTAAAATACAGGCACAAAAGGTATATTTATGAGTTCTTTCTTTGATTCTTCACAATAGAGCATGATAATTAGATGAGCTTGGAATGAAAGAGGCAGAAGAAAATAATTAGGAGAGTTTTCATTTTTCCTCATTTGAATTCCTATTTTCAGGAAGAGCTGTGCTATCTGCATCATACAGGACAGTGGCTCTCAAATCTGAGGATTCCTCCTAAGCCTGGGGTCCTCTGGACGATCTATGGGCTGGCTGAACCACAAATATACACCAACTTATTCCCCAGATGCACTTTTTTACTGGTAAAAAGCAACATATTGGGTTAGTGGCTTAAGAGGCCATTGAGCTAGAGCAAACATTTGAAAACCATGGCTGACGTGGGAATAGATCCTGGGCTACAAAATCAATGTAGTTGCTTGCTGATGAAGATAGGAGGTAAAAAGGTCCCCTTGGAAGTTGATCATAGAATCAACATAGCAAGCATTTTGAATTTCTATCCAGTGAGTTATGGGGTATTTTTAACCTCACAAAATTTGATCCCCAGTGTCTAGCACACTGGGTAGCCCACAGTCAACACTTAAATGCTTGAGGAAAAGATCTTGCTTCCTTTCATAGTAAGCCAAAAGAGACACAAGCATGTTTTTTGATAGACAATGATTGGGGCCTGTGGTCGGTATGAGACAGAGTCTGGATAAAGAAAAATGGCAGATTCCTCAGCACAGCTCCATGCCCTCATCTAGAGCAATTATCCTATGACAAGTGGATTATTTTGTGATGCCAATATAGAAATATCATTGTGTAACTGACATTATGATTTCTGGAGATTGAGTCACTATCTGGAGCCCACATTTTTTATCTGCCTTTGGCTCATGCTATGCAACCAAAAGCATATAAACACCCACTGAAATATGCTTACTCATTATTTTATACTGATATTTTACAGTTGATACTAAGGATTATCCTGGCACACCTGGTAATTTCCTGACTCTCAAGAGGGAAAAAAAATGTCCATTTTGCAAAGTGGAATTAGATGATCAGAAAGCAAATAAAGTTGGAGTAGAACACACTGTAGCCTAATCTATTTTCTCCTGGGAATCCTTAAACACCCCACCTATCTGTAAGAGGATTCTAAGTAGAACTGTAATTAAACCCTGCTCATGGGGTAGAGGGTTTGGGGAGACAGGAAGAGGTTCAACAACTAAATGAGGTTGTCTGTATTTGATTTGGGATACCAGGCTACTGCATGTTGAGAGACATCAGTACATGCTAAGTAATTGTATCAGTCAGTTTTCACTAGGCTATGCTGCAATTACAAATGCAAATTTCAGTGGCTTATGACAAAGGCTTATTTCTCACTCACATACATGAGAGCAGTAGGTCAGCTGCAGCACTGCCCCATGTCGTCTTCGTTCAGGTTCTAAGCAGAAGGAACTGCCTCTATCTGGGACAGGCTATTCTCAAGTGGCAGGAAGAAAACGAAATGGCTAAAGCATCGTAACAGGTCTTAAAACCTTCACTTGGCCATGCAGTCCCCCAGTTCTGCTCACATTCCACTGACCAAAGCGAGTATAAGGCTAAGTCTGCTCTTGCAAAGGGGCCGGGAAGTATGGTCCACCCACAAGGAGGCACTGAAAGTCACCTAACAGTGGGTGGAAGTATACACAATCCTCTTACAGAAAGAGGAGCAAACAATTGGGAACGGTAGTGTACTCTGCCACATGAATCGTAACAGTTTTACTTGTTATTTAAGGAAATAGTGCCATGCTCTAACTGACCTGGTTGGCTCAGCAACTATAGTCAAGGACTTTTAAACAGTTTTATCAGTTTCCACTGCTAGACACAGCTCTACTTCATTTCCTCTGATCAATTGCCTCACTCACCGTGCAGAGAAAGAGTTCCATTCCTCACAGCCAGGAACTTGACTCCATAGGGAAAGAAGGGAGTTGAGTAGGAACTCCCGTAGAGTGTGATCTGAGCTCTGCCTTGGAAGGGCTTGTCTTCGGATCCAATCCGGAGCTCTCCACCATCAGAAACAAGGATGGCGTGTGCCCTGAGCTCGATGGGTCCTGGGGCCATGAAAATCAGCTTGCCCCCTAATGGACAAAGGGAAAATTGTCAGTCCCTGGGAGGATAAGGCTTACCGTTTTGTCAGTTTCAATGCCTGATGAAATCCCCTTCATTTAAATACTTCTGCTGGAATGTAGACTTATTTTATCATGCTCTCTCTTGTAGAAGCACAGTAGGGTAGACCAGACATTCAGGAGTGGAAGCACTATTATTTAGCCAGTTTAGGTTAGCTATTACTATTCTCTGCTGCTTTATTACATTTTCATGACAATAATCTAAATGTCCAGCAATTTAGGAATGGTTAAATAATGTATGAGAAGACCACTAACTTTACCATTTAACAATAGATAAAATTAAGAAAAAAAAAAACTGGGACATATACAAGAAATAGGGCTAGAAGAAGATGTGCCAAAATTGTAAGAATTATAGTAAAAGGAAATGTAACTAGGGCTAACACTGTGGCATTTGTAGCATTTTAGCTGACCAGCATCCATTATACTTTCTTTTGTTAACAGACCCTAATTTCCTTGAGGTATTGCTCTGCCCCATTGACTAGAGCTGAGTGGAACTGTCAAGCAAGACATCTTATCCTACCATGGCCAGAGTCACATACTCGGGCTTTAAGAGAAATATGGAGCAAAAGGGAAAAGAGGTAGGAAATATTTAGATCTCAGTTCCAGTGGTGGCATTCTAAGGAGCCTGGGAAGAACACCTGCTTCTGAGATGCCCACCTGCCCATCTCCCTGCCTGCCCCACCACCCGCCACTTGCATCAAATGCTTTGATTCCTACGTATTTCTGTCCCTGATTTTTCAGACTGCTTTCCACTGATTAGTAGGTTACCCAATACCTTCCCAATACATTCCATTTTTAAAAGAAAAGTTGGGTTCTCTTATTGGCAACCAGATAACCTTAACTGATACATATACCATTTTGCTCTGATGTCCAAATTTTCAGTAACACAAGAATATTCGTTTATAATAGAATTATTTTGCATTGTGAGATTAAATAATTTAAAAATTAAAAAGATATTTTCATTTTTATAATATCTTTCTTTAAAAGGCTTTAGAATGTTTATATTTTACGTAGAATTTTCTCAATAATGTCAAAATAATTAAAGCATCCCATATGAATAAACACTTTAACTTCAATAAGCTATTTAGTCCATCTTTCTCCTGCAAGTGGTTTACAAAAATACCAGACTAGACCCTTCCATCCTGTAACAAAGTAGTCAGAATTGTATCTTTATATCAGACACACCAGAGGTCCTCTTTTCTAAATCCAACAATAGTTTCCCATCTCACTCAGAATAGAAGTCAAAGTCCTTACATTGGGCTACAAAAGGTCCCTCATGATTTGCTACCCAACCTCCAATACCTCTCTAATATCATTTTCTAAAGCTCACCTGTTCACACATATGCTACAAACATATTGGCCTGCCTGTTAGTTCTCAAACAGGCCTCAGGGCATAAGCTCTTCCCTCTGGAAGGTTCTTTTGATATTCCCGTGAATATCATGAATAAGAATTATCAAAAATATCGGAAATATCTAAAATGTTATTGGAATTATCGGAATGTTCTGATATTCCCATGGCTCACTCTCCCTTGTTACTATTCAAATGTTAACTTCTCACCAAGGCCTTCCCTCTCCAGTCTATATAAAATAGCACACCCTAGCCCCTTGCCTAAATGCCTTTTTCTTTGTAATACTTGATATCAGGCATATTATATATTTACAGGTTTATTTTCTGCCCTCTCCCCACCAGAATACATGCTTCCTGAGGGGAATTATCTGTTTTGTTCACTTCTAAATTATTGGTGTCTAGAAAAGTGGCTGGTAGGTAGTTGGCACTCAACACACAATTAATGGTTGAGTGAATGAATGAATGGACATATCTTTTTGGAGATTCTGATTTAAGTGCCTCTATTTCCTTATATACAAACACACACACACTCTCCCATTTTCTCAGAAAGGATGTTGTTCTTACACTTAATTTATAAGCCTACATAGTGTCTCAATGAGCAAAGGGGGGCAAAGGATATAGAGATAGCAAAGTATCAGAAATGCCTCAAAAGGCAGATTCTACTATAATAAGAAGAGTCTTGGTGAGATGTAGTGGAGGGCAAAGACTCTTCATCTGCTAATGTAGTCATAAATCCAGAGTGCCAAGTTATTGAGTTGAGTTTTTGTTGCTTTCCAGAAATCACAGCTGGAAGTAGTTAAACATGCACTGGAGAAATGAGAGGGAGAGAGGAAAAAGGCAAAAATGACTTTAGTCATTATCATGTAAACCAAAAATAAAATTTTAAGTCCCCCAAACCAACTGAATTGACCCCTCCTCTTAGGCAAGGGCGTTACAAAGTTAAACTGTAAAACTAGTTCAGGCCATGACGGGGAGTGTCAGAGATGCCTCATTATACCCTCCTCCCTTTGGAATTCAGAAATAAGTAACCAGCATTAACATTAAAACAGAGACATTAAGACTGACAAAATAGACTCTGTAGCAATAAGACACCAAATTCCAACCTGACTCTAGTACAGCACCACATGACAGATAGCCGGCCCTGAAAGAAACTGAAGTATTTTACCCCAAAATATATTAAACGGCCCTGCAAAGCTGTCTCTTGTGGGGAAAATCTACATTCTGTAGAAAATTCCCTTCCTTTTCTGGATCTTTACCCTGAGCTAGGAGAGTGCTAACTAAGAGTCTGGAACCTTTTTAGATCTGCTAAGAAACATTTACAGTCTATTCTCTCTGAAGCCTGCTACCTGGAGGCTTCATCTGCATAATAAGAACCTTGGACTCCACAACCACTTATCTTAACCCAGACACTCCCTTCTGTTGATTCCAGGTCTTTAGATAAGTTAATAAGTTAACTCTTTCAACCAATTGCCAGTCAGAAAATCTTTGAATCCATCTATGACCTGGAAGCCCCCACTCCTACTTGTCTAACCTTTCCAGACCAAACCAATGTACATCTTATATGTATTGATTGATGTCTTACCTCTCCCTAAAACATATAAAACCAAGCTGTAGCCTGACCATCTTGGGCACATGTACTTACGACCTCTTAAGACTGTGCCCCAGGCCATGGTCACTGAAATTTGGCTCAGAATTAATCTCTTCAAGTATTTTACAGAGTTTGACTCTTTTCATTTAATTGTTTACCTCCGTCTTAGTGCAGAGACAGTGATCAATAAATGTTTGACTCAATAGTCAAATATGGAGGCCACTTCTTCCCTAACTTCTCTTCAGCTTTCCTCAGCTCCTTTCCTCAAGACTCTTTTCTTCAATTCTAAAGCCCAAGCCATATGCCATCAGTAATAGTCACGGGATGTATACTTGGACCAGACCCCTTCAAGGACCTTTTCTTTCAGTCACAATTTAGAATGACACACCCCGCATAGGTATCCAGTTTCTCCATCTGTAAAATGGGCATGGTAAGAATTTCACCCTCAGAAGATTAAGGTGAGATTTATTGAAATAGTTCTTATAGATCCCTGGTCTGGAGTCTGACACCTATTCAACCCTTAATGCAATGGTCTCTGTGGCTATCATCACACTCACCATCTTCGCTTCCTCCATTATTGCTGTGAAACCATCCTTGCAAAGATTCTGACAGTGAGAAAAATCTAACATGGCTTACTCCATCTTGTTCCTAGCCTCACAGGCTGGCTGGCTTTGCTCATTCCTAGGTGTAAGCCAAGCTAACTATGGGAGGAATTTAGTTTATAGTCTAACCTTAAACAAGGATGATAATAGCCCTTCCCAAAATTAAACTACCTTTGTAAAACTAATGAAAGGCCACAAGGCTAGGATTATAAGAGGTGCCAAAATTCTAAGATGTTTAGCATATTTAAATGATTACTAGCCATTGTTCAAGAGGTCACAAGATTTGCAACTCTTCCAAATACTCCAATAGATAACATCACTATTTTAGAAACTGTCAGGCCTCTGAGCCCAAGCTAAGCCATCATATCCCCTGTGACCTGCACGTATACATCCAGATGGCCTGAAGTAACTGAAGAATCACAAAAGAAGTGATATTTAAATGGCCTGTTCCTGCCTTAACTGATGACATTCCACCACAAAAGAAGTGAAAATGGCTGGTCCTTGCCTAACTGATGACATTACCTGGTGAAATTCCTTCTCCTGGCTCATCCTGGCTCAAAAAGCTCCCCCACTGAGCACGCTGTGACCCCCCACTCCTGCCCGCCAGAGAACAACCCCCCTTTTTCCTTTACCTCCCCAAATCTTATAAGATGGCCCCACTACTATCTCCCTTCACTGACTCTCTTTTCGGACTCAGCCCACCTGCACCCAGGTGAAATAAACAGCCTTGTTGCTCATACAAAACCTGTTTGGTGGTCTCTTCACACAGACGCAAGTGAAATTTTGCTGCCATGACTCAGATCAGGGAACCTCCCTTGGGAGATCAATCCCCTGTCCTCCTGCTCTTTGTTCCGTGAGAAAGATCCACCTATGACTTCTGGTCCTCAGACCAAGGAACATCTCACCAATTTTAAATCCGGTAAGCAGCCTCTTTTTACTCTCTTCTCCAACCTCTCTCACTATCCCTCAACCTCTTTCTCCTTTCAATCTTGGTGCCACACTTCAATCTCTCTCTTCTCTTAATTTCAGTTCCTTTCCTTTTCTGGTGATGCAGAAGATGCGTTTTATCCATGGACCCAAAACTCTGGCGCCAGTCACGGACTCAGGAAGACAGTCTTCCCTTGGTGTTTAATCATGCGGGGATGTCTGCCTGATTATTCACCCACATTTCAGAGGTGTCTGACCACGTGGGGATGCCTGCCTTGGTCCTTCACCCTTAGCAGCAAGTACTGCTTTTCTGGGGGGCAAGGACCCCCCTGACCCCTTCTCTCCATGTCTCTACCCCTTCTCCACTTTTCTGGGGGGCAAGAACCCCCCCAACCCCTTCTCCTTCACCCTTAGTGGCAAGTACCGCTTTTCTGGGGGGCAAGAACGCCCAGACCCCTTCTCTCCGTGTCTCTACCCCTTCTCCGCTTTTCTAGGGGGCAAGAACCCGCTGACCCCTTCTCTCCGTGTCTCTACTCTCTCTTTTCTCTTGGCTCGCCTCCTTCACTATGGGCAGCCTTCCACCCTCCATTCCTCCTTCTCCCTTATCCTGTGTTCTCAAGAACTTAAAACCTCTTCAACTCACACCTGACCTAAACCTAAATGCCTTATTTTCTTCTGCAATGCCACTTGACCCCATTACAAACTTGACAGTGGTTCCAAATAGCCAGAAAACAGCATTTTCGATTTTTCCATCCTACAAGATCTAGATAATTCTTATCGTAAAATAGACAAACCGTCTGAGATGCCTGACGTCCAGACATTCTTTTACACATTGTTTCCTCCCTAGTCTCTGTTCCCAATGCGACTCATCCCAAATCCTCCTTCTTTCCCTCCCTCCTGTTCTCTCAGTCCCAACCCCAAGCATCACTGAGTCTTTCTAATCTTCCTTTTCTACAGACCCATCTGACTTCTCCCCTCCTCCCCAGGCTGCTCCTTGCCAGGCCCAGCCAGGTCCCAATTCTTCCTCAGCCTCTGCTCCCCCACCCTATAATCCTTTTATCACCTCCCTCATCACACCAGGTCTGGCTTACAGTTTAATTCCTCGACTATCCCTCCCCCACCTGCCCAGCAATTTCCTCTTAAAAAGGTGGCTGGAGCTAAAGGCATAGTCAAGGTTAATGCTCCTTTTTCTTTATCTGACCTCTCCCAAAATCAGTTAGCATTTAGGCTCTTTTTCATCAAATATGAAAAACCCAGCCCAGTTCATGGTTCGTTCAGCAGCAACCCTGAGATGCTTTACAGCCCTAGACCCTAAAAGGTCAAAAGGCCGTCTTATTCTCAATATACATTTTATTACCCAATCCGCTCCTGACATTAAATAAAACTACAAAAATTAAATTCCGGCCCTCAAACCCCACAACAGGACTTAATTAACCTTGCCTTCAAGGTGTACTATAATAGAGTAGAGGCAGCCAAGTAGCAATGTATTTCTGAGTTGCAATTCCTTGCCTCCACTGTGAGACAAACCCCAGCCATATCTCCAGCACACAAGAACTCCAAATGCCTGAACCGCAGCTGTCAGGGGTTCCTCCAGAACCTCCTCCCCCAGGAGCTTACTACAAGTGCTGGAAATCTGGCCACTGGGCCAAGGAATGCCCACAGCCCGGGATTCCTCCTAAGCCATGCCCCATCTGTGTGGGACCCCACTGAAAATCGGACTGTTCAACTCACCTGGAAGCCACTTCCAGAGCCCCTGGAACTCTGGCCCAAGGCTCTCTGACTGACTCCTTCCCAGATCTTCTTGGATAAGCAGCTGAAGACTGATACTGCCCGATTGCCTCGGAAGCCTACAGGACCATCGCAGACGCTCTGGGTAACTCTCACAGTGGAAGGTAAGTCCGTCCCCTTCTTAGTCAATACGGAGGCTACCCACTCCACATTACCTTCTTTTCAAGGACCTGTTTCCCTTGCCTCCATAACTGTTGTGGGTATTGACGGCCAGGCTTCTAAACCTCTTAAAACTCCCCAACTCTGGTGCCATCTTAGACAACATTCTTTTATGCACTCCTTTTTAGTTATCCCCACCTGCCCAGTTCCCTTATTAGGCCGAGACATTTTAATTGAATTATCTGCTTCCCTCACTGTTCCTAGATTACAGCCACACCTCACTGCTGCCCTTTACCCCAGTTCAAAGCCTCCTTCGCATCCTCCTCTTGTATCCCCCCCCACCTTAACCCACAAATATAAGACACCTCTACTCCCTCCTTGGCGACTGATCATGCACCCTTTACCATCCCATTAAAACCTAATCACCCTTACCCCACTCAATGCCAATATCCCATCCCACAGCACGCTTTAAAAGGATTAAAGCCTGTTATCACTCACCTGTTACAGCATGGCCTTTTTTTTTTTTTTTTTTTTTTTTTTTTTTGAGACGGAGTCTCGCTCTGTCGCCCAGGCCGGACTGCGGACTGCAGTGGCGCAATCTCGGCTCACTGCAAGCTCCGCTTCCCGGGTTCACGCCATTCTCCTGCCTCAGCCTCCCGAGTAGCTGGGACTACAGGCGCCCGCCACCGCGCCCGGCTAATTTTTTGTATTTTTAGTAGAGACGGGGTTTCACCTTGTTAGCCAGGATGGTCTCGATCTCCTGACCTCATGATCCACCCGCCTCGGCCTCCCAAAGTGCTGGGATTACAGGCGTGAGCCACCGCACCCAGCCCAGCATGGCCTTTTAAAGCCTATAAACTCTCTTTACAATTCCACCATTTTACCTGTCCTAAAACCAGACAAGGCTTACAGGTTAGTTCAGGATCTGTGCCTTATCAACCAAATTGTTTTGCCTATCCACCCCGTGGTGCCAAACCCATATACTCTCCTATCCTCAATACCTCCCTCCACAACCCATTATTCTGTTCTGGATCTCAAACATGCTTTCTTTACTATTCCTTTGCACCCTTCATCCCAGCCTCTCTTCGCTTTCACTTGGACTGACCCTGACACCCATCAGGCTCAGCAAATTACCTGGGCTGTACTGCCGCAAGCCTTCACAGACAGCCCCCATTACTTCAGTCAAGCCCAAATTTCTTCCTCATCTGTTACCTATCATGGCGTAATTCTCATAAAACGTGTTTTCCCTGCCGATCGTGTCCTACTGATCTCTCAAACCCCACCACCTTCTACAAAACAACTCCTTTCCTTCCTAGGCATGGTTGGATACTTTCGACTTTAGACACCTAGTTTTGCCATCCTAACAAAGCCATTATATAAGCTCACAAAAGGAAACCTAGCTGACCCCATAGATCCTAAATCCTTTCCCCACTCCTCTTTCCATTCCTTGAAGACAGCTTTAGAGACTGCCCCAACCTTAGCTCTCCCTGACTCATCCCAACCCTTTTCATTACCCACAGCTGAAGTGCAGGGCTGTGCAGTCAGAATTCTTACCCAAGAACTGGGACTGTGCCCTGTAGCCTTTTTATCCAAACAACTTGACCTTACAGTTTTGCCTAGCCCTCAAGTCTGCGTGCAGCAGCCGCTGCCGCCCTAATACTTTTAGAGGCCCTTAAAACCATAAACTATGCTTAACTCACTCTCTATAGTTCTCATAACTTCCAAAACCTATTTTCTTCCTCACACCTGACACATATACTTTCTGCTCCCTGGCTCCTTCAGCTGTACTCACTTTTTGTTGAGTCTCCCGCAATTACCACTGTTCCTGGCCCGGACTTCAATCCGGCCTCCCACATTATTCCTGATACCACACCTGACCCCCATGACTTATCTCTCTGATCCACCTGACATTCACCCCCATTTCTCCATATTTCCTTCTTTCCTGTTCCTCACCCTGATCACACTTGGTTTATTGATGGCAGTTCCACCAAGCCTAATTACCACACACCAGCAAAGGCAGGCTATGCTATAGTACAAGCCACTAGCCCGCCTCTTAGAACCTCTCATTTACTTTCCATCGTGGAAATCCATCCTCAAGGAAATAACTTCTCAGTGTTCCATCTGCTATTCTACTACTCCTCAGGGATTATTCAGGCCCCCTCCCCTCCCTACACATCAAGCTCGGGGATTTGCCCCTGCCCAGGACTGGCAAATTGGCTTTACTCAACATGCCCCAAGTCAGGAAACTAAAATACCTCTTGGTCTAGGTAGACACTTTCACTGGATAGGTAGAGGCCTTTCCCACAGGGTCTAAGAAGGCCACCACGGTCATTTCTTCCCTTCTGTCAGACATAATTCCTCAGTTTGGGCTTCCCACCTCTATACAGTCTTATAATGGACTGGCCTTTATTAGTCAAATCACCCAAGCAGTTTCTCAGGCTCTTCGTATTCAGTGAACTAATAGTCTTTTAAAAACACACCTCACCAAGCTCAGCCACCAACTTAAAAAGGACTGGACAATACTTTTACCACTTGCCCTTCTCAGAATTCAGGCCTGAACTCGGAATGCTACAAGGTACAGCCCATTTGAGCTCCTGTATAAGACGCTCCTTTTTATTAGGCCCCAGTCTCATTCCAGACACCAGACCAACTTGGACTGCATCCCTTCCACCAAAAAAAAAAAAAACTCATCATCCCTACTATCTTCTGTCTAGTCATACTCCTATTCACCGTTCTCAACTACTCATAAATGCCCTGCTCTTGTTTACACTGCCGGTTTACACTGTTTCTCCAAGCCATCACAGCTGATATCTCCTGGTGCTATCCCCAAACCACCATTCTTAACTCCCTCTTAAAGTAAATAAATAATCTTTGCTGGCAGGGCTATGCTGAACCTCCTTAAGCACTCTCTAGTTAGATGTCCTGGATCCTCCCAATTCTTAATCCTTTAATACCTGCTTTTCTCCTTGTCTTATTCCATTCTTTTTTCAATTCATACAAAACCATATCCAGGCCATCACCAATCATTCTATATGACAAATATTTCTTCTAACAACCCCACAATATCACCCCTTACCACAAAACCTTCCTTCAGCTTAATCTCTCCCACTGTAGGTTTCCATGCCGCCCCTAATCCCGCTCGAAGCAGCCCTGAGAAACATCGCCCATTATCTCTCCATACCACCCCCAAAAATTTTCACCATCCCAACACTTCAATACTGTTATGTTTTATTTTTCTTATTAATATAAGAAGACAGGAATGTCAGGCCTCTGAGCCCAAGCTAAGCCATCATATCCCCTGTGACCTGCACGTATACATCCAGATGGCCTGAAGTAACTGAAGAATCACAAAAGAAGTGATATTTAAATGGCCTGTTCCTGCCTTAACTGATGACATTCCACCACAAAAGAAGTGAAATGGCCAGTCCTTGCCTAACTGATGACATTACCTTGTGAAATTCCTTCTCCTGGCTCATCCTGGCTCAAAAAGCTCCCCCACTGAGCACTTTGTGACCCCCACTCCTACACGCCAGAGAACAACCCCCCTTTTTCCTTTACCTCCCCAAATCTTATAAAACGGCCCCGCCCCATCTCCCTTCACTGACTCTCTTTTCGGACTCAGCCCACCTGCACCCAGGTGAAATAAACAGCCTTGTTGCTCACACAAAGCCTGTTTGGTGGTCTCTTCGCATGGATGCGAGTGAAAAACACTAAGATTGGTCTTTTGAGATTTTTTTTTAGGCTTTTGTATTTCTGACCACCAGCTGACTTCACTCAGATTCATGACCCAAGACTCAACCAGTGCTGTGGCCCTTACCTAAAGACAGACTCAGTACACAAGGACTGTTTTCCATACCCCTATGATTTCATCCCCAACAAATCAATATTCCCCATACCCTAGTTCCCTGCCCAACAAACTACCCTTGAAAACCCCTAACCTCTGAGCCTCCAGGGAGATTGATTTGGGTAATAACCCCATCCCCCAAATGGTGTGGAGGGCCTTGCATCAGTTAAATGCTTTCTTTACTGCAACGCCATGGTCTTGACGAATTGATTTTGTCTGTGCAACTGGCAGGAAGAACCCACCGGGTGATTATATCTACAACCTGCTCAATTTCTACAAGTGCCCTACCACTTGAGCACTGCTAGACCATCTGCATCCAACATCTCTCTGTTACTGGTCCTTTTGAAATATTTTGTCATATATAATATTTCATACTCTAGGGTAAAGCAGCAAGGTCAGTCTACAGGCTCCATGCCAGAGCAGTACCACACTGCTTACCAGACTTCCAAAGGATTCCCTAACAATTTTGACTTTTTTCCTTTCATTGTCATTACATAGAAATGCAGTAATAATCATGAGTCCCAGTGTGAGCAAGAAGGAAGAAATATGACCTGGGCTACAGATCAAATTTTATGTTAACTAAAATTTTTCCCTCACAGCCACATGTCATTAACATCCTAAATAATTATATTCAACTGGTAGAACATGGATTTGTATGACAGGACTGCCGCATTGTAAATAGTCAGGAAATCTAAACTGACCTTGATGAGCAAGTGGTAAAGGCAGGGAACAAAATCAAGGTTCCTGTCCTGAGTCTGCTATTGACCTCTGAATGAGCCTCAGTAAGTCCCATACAATTGCTGGGCCTCAGATTACTCAGGTCCCAAATCTCTCCTACTCAGTGCCTATTAATGGTCTGTGGTTTCATCCGCAAAGTGGAAGGTGGAATTATGAGTTCCTTTCAACTCTAGAACACTTGACGTCTACATCTTTATGAATGCAGTCAGATGTGCATGGGACACTAATGGAGGCACAAGGCTCATGTTTTCCTGACACTGCCTGTGCTGCAGTAATCACTGAATTTTTTCTTAAGCAAGATATGAGATGCATAGTCAGGAATTCATATAAGACTACAGGGAAAACAAGAAAGCTAACATTTATTCAGCACCTACCATGTACCAAAATCTGTAGATATATTGTCTAAAATGACCTTCAAAACCAGTCTGTGAGATCAAGATCACATTCTTTATTTCACAGAGCAGAATGTGGCTAAGAGGCATTCATACCTATTCCAGCCCAGAATACACAGAACCAAACTAGAACCCAGGACTACCCAACCAAAAGGCTCAGATCCTATCCATTTGCACAAACCTTCCCCAGTAGCTCTCAATTCACTAGGGTTGTTCTCATAGTTACATTTAAGGAAAAACATGTGTGAACCTAAGAAAGTTTGCCTATGGCTTGTTTATACATGATTTATTTTAATTTTGTTAATGAAGATATACCTTGTCTTTTTCCAAAAAGGATTTGAAACAGATTACAAGGATTAGTGGGTAAATATATAAACATGGGCTTTGTCCCTTTTACCATGAAGCAAAATGTTAAATACACTGAAACAAATTGGTAGAAATTTTGAAACATCATTTACTGACAGGAACTAATAATGATGCTAATGAAGGGAGAAAAACTCATCCCAAAGAAAATGAATTATCTGCGTTGTCAGGAGTGTCATAAACAGGACTAATTAATTAATATGAACATCATTAACTCCTGCTAAAAAGCATCCCCACCCCGCTTTATTAGTGGCAAATATAAGAAAATCTAGGTACATTTAGAAGAAAGTTTGATGAGGAATTCAGCTATTTTTGCCTGAAATAATTAGATAAACAAATGAAACCTTCTTTATGTGAAAGAAGATAAAGTTTATACTTAATCTATCTTTATGCCAAGGCACCAAGATTTTCATCCTCACACTTTATTAGTTTAAAATAAATATACAGTGGGCTGCTTTAAAGGATAGTTACTTGAGTATGGGAGGGCTGTGGGAGGACTTTATTCCATACTTTATAGAGCTTGACCCCATTTCTAAATGCTGAAATAAAGAGCAGGGCTGAAATCAGCCTTTGGCTGTGACCCTTAAATTGCTTGTTATGACTTTCATGAAAGCTGACTATGTCCCACAAGTAACCTTGGGTAATTTTATAAAAATCAATCAACCATCATTATTGTTACTTCCCTCTAAAATAAATAAATGAACACAACTTTTTATATGTAATCACCTCTTTCCATTAAACATCTCTTTTGTTTCTTTTAAAGGGAAGTAAAAGAGACTTTTAGCAGCTAGCTAATGTTTGCAAAGTACATCAAAATCTGCTTTTGGCTAACCCAACAATTAGTCATCCTCTATAATAACCACAAAATAATTTGTTGTTTTTTTTAAGAAAACAAATACACAATTCTATTTTCCCCCTTACAGAAAAAATTTAAGTATAAATATTATACCATACAATACTAGTCTTCAAAAGAGTGGCTATACCTACTATCTTCAACTCTTTTTCATGACTGTCTTTTGAACCCTCCCTGGTCAGGCCTTTACCTGATGAACCTGCAAAACTGCTCCTCTCAAGGCCACAGATGGCAACCACATTGGTGAATCTCAGGCTCAATGCTCAGTCCTCACCCTTCCCGAGTGACCAGCAGCATTTGACAACTTGGTCACTTCTTTCCTAAAACTCCCTCTCCTCACTTGCCCAGCCTCTTTGTTTTTCTTTCTTTCATTTTCTCATCTCTATTTAAAAAATCCAATGTTTCTATACTTCTATCAAATTTTCATCATGTGCTATATTCTATACATTGTATTGAATCGCTAAAGAAAACCTCATAAAATGCAAAAGTGCTAGTAACTCATAAAAGAACAGAAGAATAAACTCTTCTATTTAGAACCTTTGTCTTTCCTTCACCTGGTATCTAATTTCATGTCTTCATTTTTAGCAAATACTAAGAAAGCTCCCTATTGACTCAATGACAGTGAGCACATGGGACTTTTCTAATTAAGTAGGTTGGGTACAAACCCAGCTGGTTTTCCTCTTACTTCTTAGGCATCCTCTTCTCAGCCTCTTCTGCCTGATTCCTCCTGATCATCCCAACCACTGACACTTGGTGGGTCCCAAGCCTCAGCCCTCTAAACACGTTTCTTATCAGTCTCTGTAGACCATGCCAGTTGTCCCATCTTGTCTTAAGGTTTTAAACACCATCGCACGCTAATTGTCAATGACTCTCAAATTTATATCTCCAAGCTTGTGCCCTCAGCTCAAGATTCACATACCCAACTGCCTACTCAACATCTCTACTTGGATGTCTCATAGTTTCTTAACTATGAGTATCCATGAACTCCTTTCCTTGTCTTGCCCCACAGATCTTCCCTCAGTCCTTCCCATTCCATGAATGGTAACTTCATCCTTGCAATTGCTAAGTCTGAAAATCACAGAGTTAACTTTCACTGTCTCTCACTCCATAATCAATACTTCAGGAAATTGTATGCATTCCACCTTCAAAACGTCCCCTATAACCCAACCACTTACCACCTCCACATCTACTTCTGGGGTCCAAGTCACTCTCATCTCACCCATGGATTATTGTAACAGCATCTTAACTTAGCTCCCTGTTTCTGCCCTTATCCTCTACCTCAGGGTTAATTCTCAAAACAACACTCAGTGTTGTCATTCCTTCTTTTCATGTGAACCATATCGTGTTACCTCTCTGCCAAAATTCTTCAATGGCTCCCATCATATTTAGAGTCAAAGCCTATCAAACCTTACAGCGTTGGTTCTCTCTGGCCCCATCTGCCTCTGCTCTCCCCCTTGTTCCAATACTCCTTTTTGCTCCCTTGCCTCACAACATTTGCTATCGCTGTGTGCCAATATCCCCAACTACCACCTCCAATGTGTATTCCCTATTCACCTCTCCTGCTGCATTTTTCTCCATGGTACTAAGCAAATTTAACAAAAACTATAATTTTCTTATTTTGTTTATTGACTGTTTTCCTTCTAGAAGTAAACACCATGAGAGCAAGATTTTGGCCTGTTTTGTTCACAGCCATAGTCCCTGTGCCTGGAACATGGGGAACGTGTTAAGTGATCACTCAATACTTGTTGAATAACGAGGAGTTGAAATTATCAAAGTAAATGAGGTCTCCCAGGGAGGACATGTAGAGTAAGAACAGAAGAAAGGTAAGGTGGGTAAAGGTAGGGAAACAACTGTCAACCATCAACATTTAAAGGCTAGAATAAGAAACAAGATTCTTGAGAGCAGATCAAAGAATTAGGTGAGTTAGAAGGATCATAAGGTTGTAGACATAGGCTCAACGAAGAGCCTTAAGAACTGTTAAAGAGGTAGATGAGTGTGTCAAACCCTTAATGCCATTTTTAGGAAGATCAAGAGAGAAAAGGTGCACAGCCAGCATGTACAGAGTTAGGATGTGAATGTCAGGTGATAAAATAAACCCAGGGAGAGTGATTCTATTTTTAAACAGAGGAAAAATGAGAGGTAAATGGAGGCAAGACCAGGGAGGGATCTGAGAACCCCAATTCATTAGATTAATCTGTATCACCAAGCTAGATAATTCATTTACTCAAAGCTTGAACTATCTAAATTTTTAGATGTAAACTAATTTACTTGCCTACATTGATTAACCCCCAATTCACCATTTTTTCTTAAAAAATTTAGCAGCCTATATATTCTTACCTTTCAATTATTAAATAGTCAAATGGATAGTCGAGGAAGCCTGTGGAATTCCCTTTCCCTGGAGAAAAGGAATCATCCATTCAAGATGGACAAATCCTGCTCTGCCTGGGTAAGGAGAGCTGGCTGAGTGATCTGGGCAGAGTTGGAGTATATCCCTGTACCTTACTGCACTGTGCTGCTCTGGGAGCAGGAGCCAGGAGAAGGTGAGGAAGAGGAGGAAAGAGGAGCATTTAGAGAAGGCACCCACAGCCCAAAGAAACCTGCATTGTGACACGGATGGACACAGCTTCCTTTGTTGGCAAGATCCGGATTAGACTTGTGCCTGATCCACTGGAGCAGAGCCTGGGAAGCCTTCGAGGTGGGCTTGTCCCCAGCCAGAGAGGCGGAAAATCAATTTGGCTGGCAAACGAGAGCCCCCAAGAGCTTAGTCCACGCTCCATAATCCTATCCACTAGCAGCTCAGGAAATAGATGCCTGAGCCCTCACATATTCATGGGGGATGTGAGGCATAAATCAGGCTTTAAGGATTGGGGGCAAAGGGAATGGACTCTCTGGCTGGCTACTAATTAATCAAGCACAGAATACCTAAACCTAGCAACCTGGGATGGAGCCACACACACACAGAAGCAGAGGCTGCTGCTGCTGCTGTTTTTCCCATTTTTCAAAATTTCAATTAAAATAGATATCAGAAGAAATTTTCCCCTTTAGCTGATACTGCTTATGCATCTCCCTGTTCTTCCTTTAATTAAAAAACATGCTTATTGCAATACTTGCCAGAATCACTTTAACGGTATTTTAATTGTAATGTCTCTGCCTGATTAAAAAAAGAAAATATGAACTAGAAAGTGTTTGCAAAAATGTTCACAGGATGCAGGACAAGAATCAGACACCTCCCCAGAATGGATGCCACATACTAATTCCTTAATTAGCCTGGTACTGCAGTCAAATGGGCAATATAGAGAAAAAAAAAAATATATATATATATATATATGAAATAAAATCACTGACTCAGAGCTGCAAACAATAGCAGTTGGGAGAAACCATTTTCATCAACTCAGATTTCCCTGGCGGGGTAGGGACCTGTGCATCCAACTAAAAATGCTGTGCTCAAGATAAGCCCATTCAATGTGGCCAGCCAAGTTTCCACTGTTCTTTGCTAAAGGTCTCATAGCCTTTGGGAAATGAGTAGTTGGGCCAGGCTAATTGGCTTCTGGTCCTCACAATTCCATAGGGCTCCTTTTATTGTTTTAGGCTAGTAGTTCTCAAACTTGAACCTGCATCAGAATCACTTGGATGTCTTAAAACACAGACTACTGGGCCTCATTCCCAGAGTAGGTTTACTGTAGAGCTCCCAAATTTACAGTTTGTATAAGTTACCAGGTGATGCCAGTGCTGCTGACTGGGGGCTACACTTTGAGAATCACTACTATCAGTAAATTAAGTGATTGTTCTAGGTGTCCGTAGGCTGGTGATGTTTGGCATCATCTGAAACAGGCTGAGAAAATACAAGCCTGGAATTATAGAATAATTCCCTTAGTCACTCAACCAACATTTACCACTAGTTTCCAGCTCCTCTGCTAGGTACCGAAATAAAAATGTAAAATAGAGTCTCCAGTTTCTGAAGGTCACGGTGAAGTTGAATTGCTCCTCCGGGTGAATGGAAATGTGTTGGTTTTAGTGAATTGTCCCACTTTAGAGATGACTATAAGAGAATATAAAGACTGTGACTCAGCTCTTTACTTTTTCTACAAAATATGAAACTCATTAAGGTAACCTTATAACTGTATTAACTCTGTACTAATTACAGAGTGTAAACATATCTGTGGAAGGCAAACTACACAGAAATATTTAAAGGAACTCAAACACTAAGATATAAGTAAATGCCTTTGTTATTATAGCTACTGTTATCAATTACTACCTAACTAAACTTTGATTTCCTTTCTACATCTAGAAAACCATGACTTATTTTATCAACAAAGCTTCTAGCATTTAAGTGCTCAAGGCCTTCAGCTGTTCCATGGCTTTCTAAAAAGTCACTTAAAATCTCAAGAAGAAAGCTATTTCTAAGGAGAAATAGAAAAGACAAAAAAAAAATCGTCTTTTTCCCGAGGTCTGTACCAAGCATGTAAAAATCCCCCTAGCTACTAAGTTCATTCAGATAATCTTCCTCTTTCTCTTTATCAAAGTTCAGTTAGCACTGACCCAATCTCATTTTTGACCAGCCTGCAATTTGATACACCTCTCTAAGCAACTTGTTTTTTCAAAAGGTTCCAAATATAATTATTCTCTGAATATTATAAAAATGATTTGGTATAGCATAATAGTATTGGAAATAAAAGCAAACAATACTTTTCTTATAGTATTTATTAATTTTAAAAATGAGAATACAGTACTTCCTACCTTTACCTGACCCCAGGAATATTGTATAGAAACTATAATAATGAAATGCTCAGTCCCCAACATATTTTTATCTACACAAGAATCCCAAATACAAAAGTACTTCAGATTTCTAGCTCCACTTCCAGTCCAGGATGAATAGGATATAGGGATCATTAATGAACAAATGAGATGGAGAGGTAAAGACAGACCAAGTCCTGCATGACCCTATAAGCCATATTAAGTTTGGACTTGAACTTACAGGCTAATGGAAAGCCAATGAAAGGTTTTAAGTAAGGAAGCTTGAAACATTTATCTTTCATTACTGAAAATATTATAGCTTCTCTGCTAGGAAGGGACTGGTCCCTTTCAGTAGCATTTTTCATGTTACAATATCCAAGTTGTCAAGACATAAAACTGTAAATTGTTTAATATCTATCTATCTGTCTGTCTGCCCATCTATTGAAAGCATGTCCTTTCTCATAGCAATGGCTTATCTTTCATTTAAGGCTAATCAAGTGTGTCTGGGACTGTTCTCTGGAGGTAAATAATGTAAGTCATTGTCTGATTGGAAAAATAAGGGGTCTCAGAGCCAAGTGTCCCCCACATTAAAAAGCCTTTGTCTCTGATCTCCTGATACACAAATAGTAAATAAAATTGGTCACTGTCTGGACTAATCCACTAACATTTGAGGGTACCAGGAAGGACTCTGATTATAGAGAAATTCTCAACAAACATGAATCTGCCTCTTCAGGTCTGAAACTCATTTATTAGCTTATTCATTCAGCCATTATTTGAGTACCTGTTTCGTGCCTGGAGATAAAATGGTGCTGGCAACACAAAGGTGAGCAAAAACAGAGCTGGCCCCTCCTTTCTTCAGCTTACAGCCTAGACCTTTATAAGCCTCCAAAATGGTAGAGGGAAGAAAAAATACACCTTGATATTCTATTTGTAAATAATTAATATAAAAATAATTCAAGTTTTTAACCAATTAAAAATTCTACCTGTGATACACTTAGCTTTGAATATCAGCAAAGTTCCCCTCCCATGAAATAAGTAACACCTACTTGTCACCAAGAAAAGCCCAGCACATGAAGACACCCAAGAGTTAAGAGTGAACTTCAAAAAAACTCGGGCTAGTTCTGATGCTAACTTCTTCATCAGGCCTCCCTTCTGGATAATGGCACAGACCAGCCCCTTAGGGTACCATGCCTGCCAAATATAGGAAGAAAATTTACTCATTCCTATACTGCTCTTCCTCCACAGAGTTGCACACACACAAACAACATTAACATCCAGTAGAGGTTTATACAAGACATTTTCTCCCTACACAGGGAAGGGAATCACCATTATTTCCATTTTGTGCATTGATTTGAGGACCAGAGCCTTACCCAAAACCATAAAAGAGTCTGTGACTGACTCAAATTTGAAGTCAGGCTCCAGTTTGCTGACCAAACTGCAATGAATCAACCTTGTTGTATTGTCTGCACATAAGCATCCTATCTTCTGGCTTGAAGGGTAGCTACGTTTTGACTACAAAAGAGGGCAATTCAGTCCATCTTCTTTTACAGCCAACTTGCAGATAAATTATTTTGAATTTACCAATTTGCAACAATGTTTCCAGCCCACAAAACCCTCTCCTGTTGACCAAGATATTCTACAGTTAGAGAAAAAAAACAAATTATTGTTGAATATCATATTTTTATCAAAATTACTGCCTTCCTTCAGATTTTGTTTTATCCTAACTGGTAGCTATGAAGTCTTGAAACTATAGGCAGAGGGTAAAATGCCAAGTGACTCACACAGGCCTGATGCACAAAGAGATCACAAGCAACATCTCAGGAAAGTTCTGTGTTGTAACATTTCTAGATAACTGCATTGGAAAGCATTATCTGAAGCATGCATCTACTGAATCTGAGGCTGGCTTAGTGCTAACTAGAAGCAACCAAGTATACAATCCCTGGGATTAAAAAAAAAAAAGGCTGTGATAGGTTCATCATTTAATACCTCACTCTGAAATCCTCAAATGCTTGTCAAGGATGAAGGAATTCTACAATGAACCTGACAGTGAGTCAGAAGAAGATGCTTCATTTCAATAAACCAAGAATATGCATTTCCATGACATAGAAACCCCAGATGTAATGGACTTAAAAAGATCTGAATGTCCTCAAAACTGTGAACTAAAAAACAGTTGAGAGAAAATGAGATCATGTTCCAAGCTACACCAGAAAAACATGTTTCTGTGAAGTCAAAGTAACAAGGAGAATGCCGGCAAGCAAATGGATCCACTTCTCCATCCGTCCCTCCCTCGCAATAGAAGGAAAAACACTTCAATATGCATTCTGAAGATAACAGAAGCAAAAGCAATCCAAGGTCTTTATTACCCAGCTAATTCTTTCAGTAATCCAGTTTGCTTTGTATATAGAAGCAGCCACTATCTGTAAATAAAATTGTAACTTAAGCCTGATATTCAGCCATATCTCCTGTTATCTCTGACAGTCCAAAAGTAACAAAAACTAGCATTAATTGAGTTCTTACTCTGGACCAGGCTGTGTGCTAATGGCTTTACAAATATCCCCTCATTTAATACTGAAAACATCCATACGAGACAGGCAATACATTGTGATATTGCCATGCAACAATGATAAATGCTAGCTCTCATTGTTACTATTATTGTCATTATAACCAGGTATCACCTTAATGAGGAAAAACCTGAGACTTACAGAAGGTCTGCAACTTGCCCAAGGTCACAGAGCTGGGAAGTAGTGGAGCCCAGATTCAGGCTCAGTTCTTTGTGGCTAGAAATACTGCCAAGCATTTAACTGCTTTAGTATAAGCCAGTAGACCAAAAAATAGAAAATCACATTAAAGGAAACCAGTGCACTATTAAGCAGCAACAGAGACTGGAAACAAGTTTCTGCTCAGACACAAGCACTGGCATTGTGAGTAGTAAGAAACTACAAACTGTCTTCCTTTTTTATTGTATATATTTAAGGCAAACAACAGGATGTTTTCATGTGTGTATGTGTGTGGATAAATATGTATTATATATAATGCAGTAATTACTATAGTCAAACAAATTAGCATATCAATCACTTCACAGTTACCTTCTTTTGTGTTGTGTGTGTGTGATAGGAGTACCTACACCTAACAGCTCAACACCAAGGAGAGAGTTCATTCTCCCCTAATTGACCCTTTCATTAATCATTATCGTTACACTACTTCACATCAAGCTGCTTGATGACCAGATCAGAAAGAGATTCATTGCTTCATTCAGGAAATATGAATGTTTCCCCAACTACAGACCACAACCCAAGATCCTTGCCCGGGATGCAGAATGCTCTGACAAGAGGGTAACGTTCCTTCTTTGTGATTATGGCTCATCATAATTACTTGGAATAAAAATAATAAATTTTAATTCAGCAATGCCTATGGCCATTGGGCATCTTAACATAAAAGAATGAAAATATAATTAACTAAATCAAGGCAATATGCCTATTTCCATCCCAGCTCATTAGTATTAATTGATTGGGTTAATTCTCTTTTGTGTTTAACGGTGCCCCTAAAAAATATTTTTTTTTTAAAAAAGGGAGGGAGGGCAGGAAGGAGGGAAGAAGTAGAGATAGTAAGTAGACAAAAGTTCTGGATCTTTTTCTAATTAAAATAAAATAATAAATGCAGCTGAAGCTCTTATCACAGTCACAAAAGAATCTGCTACTTTTTAAGTTGGGAGTCAGTACATATAGCATCATAAATAATGACACAAAACATTGGGGCCACTTCTCAATTGCCCCCCAAAAATTTATGACCCTGCCTTCTACTATATAAGTAATATGTGTAAGAAAAAAATGTCAATTCTATTTTATAGATGAAAATATGAGTAAGGCACAGAGAGTTCAAGACTCTTGAGGGTCCATAAAGTGTTGGTTTTCCTGTTGTACGAGCCCAGTTTTCTACATATCAGGATGCTGGCTTCCATGAATGGAAAAATAATATAAAGGATGTAATACCTTCATAAAGTATTTCCAAATGTAGTTCTTAGGTGATCTAGTTTCACTGTTACTTAGCAGTAATCCTTTCAAAATATATATACTTCATGTAGAATGTATTCTTTGTAATATAGAAATGGCTGAGAAAGTACTTCCATTATAATACTTCATATTTTGTCGGTTAAAATCTTTTGAAGAAATTATTTTTGGCTTGAAATTTCTCAGGCTTTATCTAAGCCTGCAGATGGTATCAGAAAAAGTAAAGAAAATTTCACTCAGCTATTTTTCTGACACTGTGAATGTATATGAAAAAGATAGTAACTAATATTTGGAGGGTGAGTTACTGTTGTTGTTGTTGATGATGATTGTGATTATTCAATCTTATATTTGAAGAGCTCTTTATTATCTTTCAAGTACTTTCACACATATTATAGACCAAGGGAAGACATTAAAAGAGGTTTACAGCTATGTTACATTGATCAGATATTTGAAAGTTGTAGTTCTTCACCAGTGAAGACTTTGGTCATATGCCTTTTAGAAACAGAAATATAACTTACCAACAGATTTTATATTCCTAACAATTCATCATAATATGCAAATATATATAGACATATGTGTGTATGTACATATTTTGCGTGTGTAAATATGTATATGTGAATATGTAAGTGTATATGTGTGTACTTATACATACGTGTGTGTGTGTGTGTGTGTGTGTGTAATCAGTGAGAACAACTAAGGACAGTGAAAGTAAATTAGCTGGGAAAAGTGGTATTTAAGAGAGCAAGGGTTTAAAATATACACTTCTTAAATTTCACCCAGGACCATTTACTTGTCCATTCTTTCTACAATCAACATAAAATTTTTGAGCCTTCGTCATGCATCAGGCACTGTTCTAGACCCTGAAGAGACAACAGTAAATAAATTGATGAAATCCTTTGTCTTTTTTGAGCTTATTCTAGTAGAGGAGACAGACTATAAACAAGCAAGTAAATTGATAATATACCATGTGATGATAAGTACTATGAAGAAAAGTAAAGCAACATCAAAGGATAAAGAGTCCTGGGGGGTGGCTGTAATTTTAGAAATGATGGCCAGCAAGTCCTCCCAGATTAGTTGATATTTTCTCAAAGAGCAAATGAAATAGGTGAGCCAGCCACATGAATGTGGAAGAAGAGCATTCCAGGCCATAGACATTACAGGCAAAGGTCCTGAGGCAGGTATATTCATAGAAGAGCTAGAGCAGAGTGAATGAGAAAGACAAGGTCAACAAGGGGATCAGAGGTTAAATAATAGTAAGGACCAGTGATTTGATTCCCAGTGAGTTGAGATTCCACTGGAGGTTTTGAGGAGAGATTTGACTTAAATTTTTAAAGGAAATGGACCATAAACTGCTGGGGGTTTACTTTACCATATAGCATAAAAGCCAAATATCCATTACTTAAACCCATGAAGCCTTATTTTCCTGTCACAAAAAGTTATTTCAGAGGTGGGTGGTTGAATGCCTTATCATGGCAACTCCAGAGTCATCAGGGTCCTGGGTTTGTCCTATTCTTCCGCTTTTCCATTCTAACTAACAAGTAGCATCATGGTCCAAAATAGTGGCCGAAAATGTTGCTATTACATTTATATACCAGCAAGTAGGAAAGAGAAAGAAGGAAGGGAAAATAGGGTGTAGTTCCTACTGGGTCATCTCTACTTTTGGAAATTTCTCAGATGTTCTGCAGGGTACTTCTTCTATCTCATGGTAAGCCCTTAGCCACATGGCTATGTCTAGCTACAAAAGTGTTCAGGAAACAGAGCATTTCAGCTGAGTACTTTGTTGCCACCAATGAAATTAGGGTTTTACTACTAATGAAAACAAGGAATCTGAAATATGGGAACAAAATAAGAGGCAATTTAAGATGGTCTAGGCCAAAAATGTGGTGGTTAAGACTAGGTTAGTACCAATGAAGTGTTGCTACATGGGACACATGTTGAAGATCCAGCCGACGGGGTTCACTGATGGGGTGGTCATAGGAGGTGAAAGAAAGAAGTCATGGATGCCTCCATGGTTTTTGGTCTGAGCCACTGGATGTATACAATTCCAGTAAGTGAGATGGAGAATTTCCTCAAACTTTGATTTGTGTATATGTTAATATCTATGTGATCGCAATATGTCTCAGACACAAATGATCTGCCCTTCACCTCCTCTCCGCTCTCCAACTCTAATCTTACACAACTGACACCAAGATTACCCCAGTATACATTCGGCCTCACTGCCAGCATCACTTATTTTAGAACCAGAAGTTTTAGTCTTTTACATTTACTTTCTAATTATTTTTCTTTGGTAATATTACATGTTACTGCCAGTATTATTCTTCATTTTTTCTTGTATTTCACACAGGAATCCTAGGCCACTCAATAAGCATTCACAAATTATCTGTTGAACAAAATTTGATCTGTGTCCTTGCCCTGTTCTCATTCTTTCTAGAAGTTATGACCTATATCTCTATGATAAAAACCTCAGCGTTTCACTCTAGGTAGCTCTGTCTTTTGCCAACAACTCCTGTATCTTATTCGTGCAGAAACTGGAATCTACTACTTAGCCTTACATCCTACCTACTCCTCCTCCCCAAGAGAAAGAAGAGACCCTTCAGATGACTTACTCTCCCTCTCCACAGGATGAGGGTTTGCCTTTCCAAACCTAACTCACTTATCTAAATAATATGAGAGTGAAATATTACCTAAACCAGAAATGCTAAGAAAAACCACTATTGGAGGTTGGGGCAAGTATTGGGATTGCTCAGATATTTAAATCCTTAAGAGTGAGAAGTCAAATGAATGTTATACTTATCCTGCCTTTCTCCTACACTTTTCTCTCCTTCTGATGCCTCTTCTCTGTTTTCAGCCTCTGGTGCTGTCAACACTATTCATGATTTACCTGGAAGTAACAGTACATCCAGAGATTTAGTAATCCAAGACTTTCAGCTGGGAAACTTCTCCCAAATGGTAGTAGCAATATAAGGCCAAGACCTTTGAATGCCTGAAGGGGAGCCCATACTCCTGCAGAATTTGATTCATATGGAGAAAGCCCTGGTTAAAGGCCTGCCAAGAGTATCTTTTCTCTGAAATGAGGCTTTAGGTCTGTAATTTTCCTTTGTCATTGCTGGTCCTTAGGTAGTTGATGACTGTCTATAGTGGCATTCCCATAGCCACTAGCTACACACACACACACACACACACACAAACACACACACACAAAGACAGGGCAAGAGCCCAAGCTGACAGACCATTTTATCCCCTAAAGGGCACTAATTAACTGATTTGACTGAAAACTTCTCCTTGCTATAGAAGAGAAAAAAAACAGCTTCCAGAATAGAGAATGACAAAATGCCTAAATCCTGATTCGGTCTAAAAGAGACAGGTATTAAAATTCCATTAGTTTATCCTCTTTAAAATATTTTATTTTTCCCCTCATGTAGCTATATTCTTATCTTAATAAGGATGAATGTTTGTGTGTTAAATATATTTATAGTAAAGAACAGTGTTTTAGTGCAGAGTTTCATAGAGATCCATAACTAATCATATCTCCCATGTAATTTTCATTTGCCAATGAACAGAGGCATTTTGATAACTATTCCTTATTTCCAGCCACTAAAGTAGGCCATGATTTTTATTCTCATTTAGCAGATAAGGAAAGAAATGCACAAAGAGGTGAAATAACTGACTTAGCCATTTGAAGATGTGGTAGTAGGGTTGAAATTCGAAATCTCAGCCTCTTCCAACTTCATAAACCCTAGAGCTATATAGCCGGTTTTGCAATAAGAAAGCCTATTTATATGACTTTCCATGGGACCAAGAAGTCAAAACCACAACAGGGTAAAAGCAGGAAGACATGGCTTTCTTGGCAGGGTATTTCAAAGGCAGCAACGTTAACCAATTTCAGGGCATTTTGCTATATTGTGGGGGCTGTCCTGGATAAGCATGACTAAAAAGTGCTTGAATAAAGAAGCATATTCTTTGAGAACACTGTTAACCTTCTTGTTTTTGAAAAATTAAACTAATCAAGCTCTGTGCTTATAATGAGTCCAAAGAAAGGCCTTTCACTTTGAACCCTCTGACCACTTCTTCCTTTACATAGTAAAATTTCAGTTTGGTCTGAGGATAAATTGTCAACTAAGTTCTGGAACTTATCCAGAAAGTTTCCCTCCTCCATCCCCCCTACAAGTGATATAATCATATAGAATAATATTACCAACCTACAAACTTCACACACCTTTAATGTGCAGTAAGTTGAGGATGCTTGTGTTAGTGTCCAGCAGAAGCAATTGGCCATTCTCCACTGTGACGTTGTCGCCATCTTGTGGCAGCCTTTCAGGAAACCAGCTGTGAGTCCTGGACCATCTCCGGCAGAACTGTAAAGAAAAGTTGCCCTGGAAAACAGAGAGCTGGGTTGGTGGGTTGGTTGGTTGGTTGGCTGGTCTGTTGCTTCGTTGGTTGGTTCGCTGGTTTGTTGGTTTGTTGGTTCATTCATTGTTTTTGGGCGGGATAGTATAAGTATTGAATCAAAATAGAAACTTCTCAAAGAAAGTAAAATTAATTTAAATATTTTAAATGTCTCCATAAAATTGGTTACCTCTCTCTTTTTCATACAACTAACCTAAACAGGAAAAAACATGAGAGGCAAAATTATATTTGAAGTTCTTCTGTGCCCAGCCCCTGGAATTCTCCAATAACATGCTGGTAATGTTTTCTTGCCTTTTTTTTCCCCTCTAGCACAGGCCCCATTCTACCTAACAGATGAGTTTGATTCCATTTATTTTTACAGATATGTATTGAATCTTGGACAAAAAGTCATAAATAGCCTGGAATAGGGAGAATTAAAATGTTCTGCTTGATGGGTGGCATTTTGCTTTATGTAATTGGTATCATTTTTCACTGGCTCTACTGCCAAGAGTCCCTGTTTTATAGGAACATTCCTCTTCCTAAGTGCTCAGATCTATCCTCCCACTCGGCCTTTTTTGATATTATTGTTGCCTTTCCCCCTGTGCCTGGTGCATCAGGGCTGAACAAAGCCCATGCAGGCATAGGCAGAATGCCGACTGACTTCAGATGACAAGTAAATAGTCTGGAACATTTGAGTGAGGGGTAGGGAGCTGTACTGACAGAAGAAGCCAGAAAAGGAAGCACTCCCTCTCCACCCCAGCCTTCAGTCCCTCTCTCAGAACTTTTGGCTTTCCTGTTAATTTGTGGTCACTCTGATGTCATACGTTTTTTAAAACAGGGACATAAAAATCACAGAAAGCAATATTGAGCTCATGCAAGAGGCTGGTAACATGTCTAAATGCCTTGTGAAGTTGTAGAAGTATAATTACGATAAACATAATAAAATCACAATAGAGAAGGTGATTCCTTCAAGGTAATAGATATGACATGTATAAGCCACTCTCTCCAGTCTTCTTCCCATTCAGATTCCAACAAATGTGAAGCCCAAGTTCCTATAAAAATAAACCACCTAGAAGGTCCTCTCATGATGTGTTAGAGGCAGATGGGAGAAGATCATTAGAAGGGAAGGCATGTTTGTAATACCGACAACTACACCTACACAGAGAATAGTGCTCTATAGTATTTCTGAGATAGAAAATGGAAAATTGTGTTGCCAGAAGAGCCGTTACGTTTTCCAGAAAAAGATACAAACCCCAAGGTCAACAGTGCTAAGTTGCAGACCCAACACAATCACTGAGAAGGCTTTGCAATTTATTCGTTTTCTACATCTGCAAAGAAGTAAAAGTCTATGACTCATCACAATTTAAGAGATGGAAGGAAATAAGGCATAGTGATAACCAGTTCCAGTATCACAGAAAAAAGAATAGGTGATCCAGGAGCATCGTTGTGAACTGCAGTATCTGTAGGCTACAAAAGTAGGAGAGAATTTTAACTCTAGATGATTTCACTATAGGACTAGCTTTAGGTTGGTAAAATAATAAACAGTACTTCTTATAAGGCTATATATATTATACATTCTTATAACCCTTTAATTTACTCCTGTAGAATACAGAAAGAGGAAAGGGAGGCAAATCAAAGGAAACTGGAATGAAAGAAGGTGGGAAAAACAGAGATGGTAAAGTAAACTGCAGAACAGGGTGAACCAGGTTATCTGTAGTGTCAGCTGCGAGTCCATGATAAAAGGACATTTGAAAACTCTTGGATTTCCAGAAGCCCAGAGATGGAAAGGACTCTAGCAAAATCCTATCCCATAATTTTACAGATGCTATTTTAGGCAGTGTTCCTTAGAGCTTAATAAAATGTAGATTTCTCTAGTGTCATCATATACCTGTGAAATCAAAAGCTCAAGAATTGGGACCCAGAGACCTACAATTTTAATGATCCTCTCAGATGACACTTCTGCATCAAAATTTAAGGATCAATTCAGAGCAAGGGCTGGAGGAGAAGGAGATATATCTTTAAAAGGAACCAAGATGTTTTCTCCAAACCAACATCCAAAGCTTAGGGTCTTTGGCCAGGATCGCCCAAAGACTAGCAAGCTAGGAAGAATGATGTGTTGATGAACTGTAAGAAATATGAAGACTTCAGCAGCATAACGCTTTCTGAGACATTAACCTGGTGGTCAGATCCATAACCCAGCCACAGAACTATGAAGAAAACCAGGGCTCATTACACACACAGTAAAATGATCGGGAACAACTAGACATTAGTTAGATATTTAAGTGGGTCAAAGGTAGACTATTTCATGGTGTTATCCATTAATTAATTTGAGAACATTTTTAAATTTTTATGATTAGCACAGATATCTGTTATCTAGCTCTCAATAAGCTTTAGAGACTTTCTTGCTCTGAAGCACTTGCTTATGCCATTTGCTGCCTTCCATGTGCTATAACCTCTTGGCCTAGCCTGTCAGCCTTCAAAGATTGCTATACTTGGTCCCAACCCAGTAGGTGGAAAGGTCAAATACTGTTATCTCTACTTTCCAGTGGAGAAAGCAAAGGCTCAAAGTGTTTAAATGATGTGTCAAAGTTCATAGTGATGGAGGCAAACTGGAGTCACAAAAAGGAAGCTCCCATCTGAAGTTTTTCCCTTACCATGGCCTCTCCCGGGATGCTCTTTCCCAAAAGATCTGCATGGCTCACTCCCTTACTTAATTCATGCCTCTGCTCAGGTATCACCTCCTTACCTGTATTATTATTTTTAAAAAGCACCCCCAATCATTCCTTCATTCCTTCTCCCCTAATAATGCCTCATTCTAGTATTAAATAATACAATTCCTTGCATATTTGGTTATCACTTACTAAGCTTACTCAAATGAAGCAGAGACTTGGTTTGGGTCATTGCTATATTCCCACCTCCCTAAAAGATGTCTAGCACATAGTAGTTGCTCAATAAATGTTTTTGAATAATTTATTAAATGAATCTTATACCTGCTGGTGCCATACATGCTTTTACAGATATCACACACAAACACACACACATCTCTTCCTAATGCAATAGGTGAAGATACAGGTGCTAAGACCTTAAAAATGCTATATCCCCTAGGTCTTCTGAAACATTTACATCCCTTTTCGTGTTTTCAAGCTCCATTTAAACATAAACCAAATGATGAATAGTGCTACTTAATTGGAACCTGAGACTCAGATTCGATCTCATAAAATCTTCCACCAATTTTTTCTTTCACCTTAAGTTTCTCTAGTCAATGTGGCCAATTTCAAATGAATACAGATGTTTAAGCATTCAGTTTCAAGAGACCTAAGTTTCCTTGTGCCCTGAATTCCCCTTAGCATAACAAAGATATCTTGAGATGTATAAATGTTTATTGATGTACTCATGCTTTTACACAAAATAATTACTAAATACTAAAAAATCTAAAAATTACTGCAGCATCCACTGCTTACCAGCTACCTGGGGAAATAGAAGAGCAGCATATCTCTATGATTGCAAGTTATCAGTGTAATCCATGATTACATGCACGTTGCCATAAGAATTTTAGCTCTCCTACATTTTCAGTTAACAGAGCTGGTGCTATCATTCCCTCCCAGGGAAATGCTCCATGAAACAGTGAGGATGGCTCACCTTCCAACATCTTCATCCTCCAATCCATGTCACTTTGATCCAATCAAGAAAAAAAAAATGCCAACAGCATTGATTAAAGATTTTGTGAATATATTTGAGAATGTCTCTGTTGATACCAACATATTTTTGGTGAAGGCCATGTTCCGTGTCAACAGCCCAGCTTACTTCCACCTAATATAAGCTCTTTCCTCTATAGTTCCCATGATGCTCAGCCTTTAGCTTTAGTGTTCTTCCTGGAGATAAACACATCACTCATTCTTATTCTGCAGATGAAGAAAATCAATTCCTCATAGGCATATGGGGGCAGCCGTGAAAATAGAGATACAAGAATTGCCCAGAACGTGACCTCATCTTTGCATCTAGCCCCAAATAAACCCCAAAAAAAGCAGAAAAAAACTTTCCTGCCTCAGCTAGGAAGCTTATGCAATTTGTTTTCTTCTTACAGCATGTCAGCACTTCTCTGAACTTCAGGGAATGTGCAGTGTCTGCAAATCTTACATGTCACCTTAAATGTACTTGCAACACCACCAGAGTTATCTTGAAAGAAGTCATTGATCAGCAAGTTGGAACACCCGGCAAAGCAAAGACCTATTTGTGAGTGTATGCATTGAGCTGGGGTGGCAGAGGAGGTGGCGTATGGGAATCTCTGTAATCACAGTGTCTCCTGGCTGACAAGAACAAGAAATAACTGTTCTGACACCTCACCAAAATGTCTTCTTCCTCAGCATCCAAATCCTGGAAATAGGAAAAGACAAGTCCCTGTAACCATTTTCTCCACTCCGTATCCTTCTTTATTTTCTCCAAAGCACTCATCTCTACCTAATACAATGTATACTGGTTTATAATCAGTCAACCCCTAATAGAATGTAAGCTTCACAAGAGTGTCTTGCTTTTCTGCTGTATCCCTAGAACCTACAATAATGCCTGGCATCTATTGGCTACCCCAAAAATATGTTTGAATGAATAAATGGTCAACTCTTATTTGGACTTATGATGCCATAATGAAAAATCTTTAATAACTGAAATAATATGATATGAAGCTATAATTTAATTTTGTTCAGTTCTTCTTTACATTGAAATGTTTTAATTTTTACGAAACCAACTTTATTTACCTTTTTTGTGACATTCTTCATTATGTTATAGATGAAACATCCTCTTTCACCCTGACATAAATAACACTTATATGTCCTTCTTGATTGGTGGGTTTTATATCTGCATGTTACTCCTCAACTAACTTACAATTTATGTTGATGGAAAGTTTTATACTTTTTTCTTGTTTTTATTCCTTGCTATTTTTCCCCCAAATAGCTAACTGATTGTCTTCATACCATTCATTAAATAACATTTATTCTCCCAATTAATACTCTTGGCTATTTTAACAGTTGAATTATAATGTTCAATGACATTAAACCTTTTGGCCAATTAAAATCCCAAATCCTTTTGTATGAGCTAATATAAAGGCGTTTCTCCCAAATAAATGTGACCTCATCCTTGTTCTTAAGGTACTTATATTATCATTTAGAAAAATACAAATAGCCAGATAATTAAAGTGTGATTGATTCAATAATTAAAGGCATAACCAAGATGCTATGGGAGTTCAGAGGATTAGATGGCTGACCACAGTGGAGATGGCCTTGCAGGGGAAATCAAGTGCATTAAACATCGTTTTCTCTTTTTAATCTGGACACAACAGATGACACAGGCTGAGATTATTTCAGCTGATTATAAAACAAAAGATAGTGTAGAAAAGTCAACTATCTACAAATCCAGGATTATGAATAGAGCCCCTAACCTATAATCTAATAACTCTTTAGGGACCAAAAAGGAAATTGAATTAGTTTGGTATAATTTATTCTTACTGACCTCATGCAGGCTCTAAGTGATCACTTTCTTTTCTCGGTGGTTATAAACCCCTCATGATTACAAGATAACATGAGAATGTCCTTCCACACTGCACTGTGTAGCACATTGACTACTCAAAGAAATGTCAACAGTACTTTTTGTCAGAGATTCCTGCCCAGTTCAAATTGACCCTTTCTCATCATTAGAAAACCAGGCAATTCATTGTCTTATCTCTTGGTTCCACACACTTCCTATCCTCTGCGATTTCTCAAAGGTTGCTGACTCTACCTCAGTGCTTCATATATCTAAGTTATTAGCCCTCTTAAGCTTCAGAGGATTTTCAAAGTCTGCAGACAGGACAAATTTACAGTCTTCTTTTATCGTTTCCTCTATTTGAATCTTCAAATCTCCTCTAATAGTATCTCTTCTGAATTTTAAGTCCAAAGACCTTTTCACTTGTGGGAGAAAAAATGATAATGATAGCTACTGATTACTTAATATTTCTAATGTCCCAAGCACAATGCTATACATTTTACTTACAGTATCACTAATCCTTATGTAAACCCTGAATATCTGAGACAGGTCTCAGTTAATTTAGAAAGTTTATTTTGCCAAGGTTGAGGATGCATGCCCATGACACAGCCTCAGCAGGTCCTGATGACATGTGCCCAAGGTGGTTGGGACACAGCTTGGTTTTATACATTTTAGGGAGACATGAGACATCAATCAATATATGTAAGATGTACCTTGGTTCCATCCAGGACAACTTGAAGCAGGGAGGGGGACTTCCAGGTCACAGGTAGATGAGAGACAAATGATTACATTCTTTTAAGTTTCTGATTAGCTTTTACAAAGGAGGCAATCAGATCTGCATCTATCTCTGTGAGCAAAGGGATAATTTTGACTAGAACGGAAGGCAGGTTTGCCCTAAGCAGTTCCCAGCTTGACTTTTCCCTTTAGCTTAGTGATTTGGGAGGCCCCAAGATTTATTTTCCTTTCATACTCACAACTAAAAAATGTAGGTATTACTCTTTCCACTTAAAGTTTAATTAATAATAATGGCCAACACTTACGGGGTGCACTTAACAGGTATTATCTCATTTTGTTACAGACTCTTTTCAGACTACTTTCCAGGAACTACAGAGTAGATGGATCCCTGCCTTCAACAAATGTTTATTGAGCACCCACTACACACCAGGCACAAAACAAATTCCTGACCTCATGGAGCTTATATTTTAGGGAGATAACAGGTTAAATATATAAAACTAATAGTGTGCTCTGAAGTAAAAAAGAAACAGGGTGAAGTGGATCAGAAGTGCCAGGGTAGGAAGAGCTATTTGATATGGAGTGATCAGAGACTGCTCTGATTGGATTGGATTGGATTGGATTGGATTGGATTGGATTGGATTGGGAAAGGAGCAGAGAAGTAGAGTATGAGCCAGAGGCTATCAAAGGAGGACCTTGAAAAAAGGGTGTGCTTGGAGTACTGCAGCTGCAGCCTGAAGGATCAGGCGGCTGGCCCTGGAGGAAGGAACGCTGTATAGCCAGATGGCCTTTCTAGTGATGCAATGAGAAACACTGCACAAAGACCTGGGTAGACATCAAGTTCTTCATATGTCATAGAAAAAAAAAATCAAGGAAAACACTCAGTAACATATAACGAGGTCAGCAAACTACAGTCCACAACCCACTATTTTGATATTGGCACACGGCATGACAATTCATTTACATATTGTTTGTGGCTGCTTTCAGTTTGTGACAGAAGCAACATGGCCCACAAAGCCTGAAATATTTACTATCTGGCTCTTTATAGGAAAAGTTTGGGGACCCCGGTAAATTCTGTTTCATACTATACTATCAGTATAGTACCTATAATATGCTCAGTATAGTGTATCTATAGTACATCAGTATTAAAACATGCGCAAAATGGAACTTTCTGTAATTGAAAATAGGTAATTATAATACAGCTACCTGAGACTTGAGGGACTGCAAACAAAAACATCTTAGTGAAGGATATACATTAAAGTACTGGAAACTGATTCAATTCTTCCCATTTTTTAGTACACAATAAGCCAGATCTCAGAAAGCCACAGAAAGGCAAGTGGAAGTGTGGGAAGTTGTGTGTGTGTGTGTATGTGTGTGTGTGTGTGTGTGTGTATGCCACTCACGCACTCACGTGCATGCACATGAATACACACACACACACACACAGAGCCAGATCAGAAGATTGACAGATACATGCTAGCCTTTTTCACAAGCTAACACACTGCCATTTAACCAGCGAGCATGGAGCACGTGTTTGTGTTCCCAGTCACTATTAAGAGACAAGGTTAACATTTTAAGTGATGGACTACAACATGTTATTTCCCCATGCAATGGACCCATGACGGCACTGCCTTCGAAAACACTTAATTTCGGTGATTGAATACACAGGAGCGTACTTTCCCTGCTATGAACGTTTGACAGCTCCGCAGTTTCATACACCAGGAAACCTTTTTTTTCCTCCTTTGCTTTTTTCCTGTCTTTACACCTGAAGGGAAGCAAAATGGATATGTGGTGGCAGAGGAAAAAGGAAGAAGCCCAGAGAATGAAAACCAGCTTATGAGCTTCAGTGTATTTTAAAATAAAAGTATTCACTGCCATCTGCTCTAATTACTTCTAATGTTTGGGCTACCATCTTCATACAATAGAAATAATGATCTCCTCAAGGGCAAAAAAAAATTTTTTTACAGAAACAAACAAAAGTTGATTACATTTAGCTCCCAGGCTAAAGAAGCATCAAGCTACTTTGTAGTGAACAATCAATTAGGAGAATGGGTAGGCCTCCGATTAACACTAACAAATTAGGTCCTTTTGGTGGTTCCCTCCCTTTTCTTCTTTTCCTGCCTCTTTAGAGGAGCTGTGCTCACAGCTCACTGAGGGCAAAGAGCTGACTAGGCATATTTCTGGATCTAGGGTTATTCCACACAAATTCCTTACATTTTGATCAGAACCAGATAAGGCCAAGTCTTCTCCCTGTCTTCTTGTTGACATCAGACATGTCCCAGCTTTAATACTGAATATAGGGCTGGGTATTCTACCAAGACTTCGGATTACTTCATGGAGTGAACTGCTTAGGGGCCACCCCAGACTTGAACTCCTCTAAGGAAGCTAAAGCCCACTTAGCCTCAGTAAAGTCTCCAGGAACAGACATGATCCAGGCCAGGTCCATTCCTTAGACTTAAGTGAAACACATGGAGCCCAGAAAAACATGGAACAGACTTCTACAATGCCAGCAGGAGAAACGTTGCTTTCACAAAGGCTGAGTCTAGTGACCTTCTCAAATCCTCAAATTCAAACATATTACTTGTATGAAGCAGAATTCTGAGATGTCCTAGGATTCTGAACCCCTGGTGTACACACCCTGTGTAGTCCTCTCCCCTTCAGCAGAAGTAGAGCCTGTGAATATGATGGGCTATCACTCCCATGATTAGGTTATGTTATATGGTAATGATGATAGAATTATGCAGATATAATTAAAGTGAGAGATCAGCTGACTTTGAGTTATTCAAAAGGGAGATGGCCTCTACCTAATCAGGTGAGTCCTTAAGAGAGAGATTCTCCCACTGGCCTTGAAGGAGCAACCTGCCATGTGGCTTGGAGGAGACCATGTGGCTAGAACCCAAGAACAGCCTTTAATTGCTGAAAGTGGTCACAGCCAACAGCCAGCAAGAAAATGAAGACCTAAATCCTATATTCACAATGAATTGACTTTCACTGACAACCTGAATGAACTTGGAGGTAGACCTTGAATTCCAGATGAGAATGTAGCCATGCTGACACTTTGATTTCAGCCTTGAGAGACCTTGAGCAGAGAACCCATCTACTCTGTGCCCAGACTTTTTAAAAAATTTTTTTAATAGATTTAGAGGGTACAAGTGCAGTTTTGTTACATGGATAGATTGCATAGTGGTAAAGTCCGGGCTTTTAGTGTAACCAACATCTGAAGAGTGAACATTGTGCCCATTAAGTAATTTCTTGTCCCACCTTCTTTCCACCCTCCCACCCTTCTAAGCCTCCAGTGTCTATTATTCCACTATATCCATGTGTACACATTATTTAGCTCCCACTTATAAGTGAGAACATATGGAATTTGACTTTCTGAGTTACTTCACTTAAGATAATGGTTCCATACAGGTTACTGCAAAAGCCATGATTTCACTCTTTTTTATTGCTGAGTAGAATTCCAATGTATGTGTGTATATATATGTGTACACACACACACACACATATATATATAAATACATACACACCATATTTTCTTTATCCAATCATTTGTCATTGGAAACTTAGGTTGATTCCATATCTTTGCTATTGTGAACAGGGTTGAGATAATCACCTGAATGAAGGTATCTTTTTGATATAATAATTTCTTTTCCTTTGGGTAGATACCCAGTAGTGGGATTGCTAGATCAAATGGTACTTCTATTTTTAGTTCTTTGAGAAATCACCATACTGTTTTCCATAATGGTTCTACTAATTTACATTCCCACCAACAGTGTATAAATGCTCCCCTTTCTCAGCATCCTCACCAATATCTGCTGTAGTTTGACTTTTTAATAAGAGCCATTCTGACTAATATAACTCGGTATCCCACTGTGGTTTTAATTTTCATTTCTCTGATGATTACTAATGTTGAGCATTTTTTCACATGCTTATCTGCCATTTCTGTGTCTTCCTCTAAAAATGTCTGTTTGTGTCCTTTGCCTACTTTTTAATAGGGTTGTTCTGGTGTTTTGTTTGTTTGTTTTTATTGAGTTGTTTGAGCTCCTTGCAGATACTGGATATTAGTCCTTTGTTGTATCTGTAGTTTGCAAATATTTTCTACTGTTCTGCAGGTTATCTGTTCATTATGTTGATTACTTATTTTGCTGTGCAGAAGGTTTTTAGTTTTACTAGGTCCCACTTGCTTATTTTTGGTTTTGTTGCATTTGTTTTTGAGGTCTTGGTCATAAATACTTTGCCTAGGCCAATATCCAAAAAAGTTTTTCCTAGGTTTTCTTCTAGGACTTTTATACTGTCGGGTGTTACATTTAAGTCTTCAATCCATCTTGAGTTAATTTTTGTATAAGGTTAAAGATAGAGGTCCAGTTTCATGTGCCTGCATATGGCAGTCCAATTTCCCCCGCACACTTATCGAGTAGGGTGACTTTTCCCCACTGTATGTTTTTGTTGGCTTTGTCAAAGATTAGTTGGTTGTAGACATGTGACTTTATTTCTGGGTTGTCCATTATATTCTATTGATCTATGTGTCTATTTTAATACCAGTACCATGCTGTTTTGGTGACCATAGCCTTGCAGTATAATTCGAAGTCAGGTATTATGATACCTCCAGCTTTGTTCTTTTTGCTTAGGATTGCTTTGGCTAGTTGGGCAGTTTTTTGGTCCCATATGAATTTTAGGATGGTTCTTCTAACTCTGCAAAAAATGATGTTGACATTTTGATAGTAATTCCATAGAATCTGTAGATTGCTTTCAATCCGTGAGCATGAGATGTTTTTTCCATTTGTTTGTGTCATCCACAATTTCTTTCATCAATGTTTTGTAGTTTTCCTTGCAGAGATCTTTCACCTCCTTGGTTAAATATATTCGTAAGTATTTTATTTGGTTTTGCATGTGCCCAGACTTCTGATCTACGGGACCATAGATAATAAATCGGCATTGTTTTAGGCCACTAAGATGGTGGTCATTTGTTATGCAGCAACAGAAAATTAATATGCCACTATAAGGACCTTCTTGAGAGAACAGTTTTCACAGAGACCATGTTTAGATTTTTCCCTCTTTATTAAAGTTACTGCTCAAAAGCATAAATAACAGCAAGAAAGGTGGGATGCCAGTGCCAGGCAGAAGGACAGGTTATTCGCTCACTGCATAAACTCTCCTCACACAGGACATGCAACATGGAATTTTTCAATTTATGATGCCAAAAAATGTAAAGTAAGACCTGATGCAGACCTTTCTTTTGCTCAGGAAGAATTATGACTACCAAAGATATACAGTAAATACCACAAGGACTTCTATGTAGTCACCAATACTTACTATCTAGGCTGAAGAAATGAAAACTTTCTGATCCTGAACATGGCCAGGATATGTGTGCTTAGGGGGATAACGAAGTTTTTTGTTTGTTTTTTGGGTTGGTTTTTTTTGCTTTTTGTTTTGTTTTGTTTTGTTTTGTTTTGTTTTGTTTTTTGAGACAGGGTTTTACTCTGCACCCAGGCTGGAATGAAGTGGTGCAGTCTCAAATCACTGCAGACTCGACCTCCTGGGATCAAGCAATCCTCCCACCCCAGCCTCCTGAGTAGCTGGGACTACAGGCATGCACCACCACACCCAGCTAATTTTTGTATATTTCTGTAGAGACAAGGTTTTGCCATGTTTCCCTGGCTGGTCCCAAGCTCCTGAGCTCAAGCAATCCGTCCAGCTCGGCCTCCCAAAGTGCTGGGATTACAGGTGTGAGCCAACCACACCCAGGCCAACATGAAGAATTTTTAAAGGCCCGTATTCTGACTCTATGTCTGAGAATGATATTTGACTATGATTGGTATTAAAAATTCTACTCTTCCACTAGCATTGCTTCCTGAGAAAAGAGGATTTTCTTTTTTTTATTTCTCATTTTAAAAAAAGAAAGATAAGGCAACAAGTTTCAGGGAAAAACCAAGCTCAGGAACAAGAAAAACTCATTCTGTACCTATATCTTCACTAGCCTTGACTAAATAACTTTTTCCTAGTTCTTTAAGCTTCACGTTTGAGGTACTTTTTAGAGAGAAAAAGAAATTCATTTGTTTATCCTCAAAGCAGCATCATGTGTTCTTAAGCTTTCTGCATGTATTGCCTGGTATTTGATAATGTGCAAGGTTATTTGTGTTAATGCTAATACCACAAAATTATCAATTGTACCTGAAGAATGAGGAAACCCAGGAAGATGTTTCAGAGGTGGGGATGAAATCTCAATAACCTAGAATTTGAGAAACTTGCCTATGCAATCTGATGCAGATGCTTTCCTTGTACGTGCAGATTTTGTAGAATAAAACCATCACCCTCATCTTTGTGAACATTTACTGGGTGCTCACTCTGAGCCAGGAACTGTGGGACCTAGCCTTGTCTGCATGAAGGCATAATTGAATTTCTAAGCTCTTAGAGCCCAGTTTCAAATGCATTGTTCCCTTTAGCCCAAACACATCCGCCACACATTGTCCCTTTTCTGCCAAACCCTGTTTATTGGTTCCAAATGCAATGAATCATTTACTGACTTGAGCAACATTAGAGGTAAACACCAAGGTTAAAACGTAGAGATAATTGAATAACACACCAACTACCAGTAACAGCAGTCCAGGCAAAAGAGGAAATAGATCCAGAGATTTCAGAAAGGGCAATCTGATAGGAACCCTCCATGTCAGGATCAAAACCGCATGCCACTTTGACATGACAGAAAAAACATCTGCATTTTATTTTTTTCAAAATTGTATGTGCCAGTTATTAATATGGGAAGAAGCAGAAAGCAAGCAGGTGGTAACATAACTTAAATACCCCAGTGATTAAAAATAAACCATCCAAAAATCAACTATCATGTATTTAGTATACCAAAACAGTGGTGTAAAGCTGGGTTTTTTAAAAAATATATGTGTCTGATTTATTGCTTTCACTGTTGATGAAGAAGATTAATAAAATATATGCATTTCTTTTGCAGTACACTTTTCTCTGGAGAAAACTCCAGAAAGCAAACATTGTCCAAAGCCCTTCCAAAAAATCATAAAGCTCAATATAACTTCCATATAGCAAAATGCACTTTAATCATTTACTTTACAGTCACCTGGAATTCATTGTATGCAATTCACATAATGTCTAAACTTGGGCATATAACATATACACATACGTTTATACCAAATTTCCTTTTTACGTGTCCTCAAAGGCAGAAAACTCAGAATCTTTGGTGAATACTAAGCAATCCACAGGCACAGTTTTTTCCCAGGAAGTCCCTCATAGTTTGGAAATCCAAAATCCCCAAAGACCCTCATGAAACAAGACTTCAAGTGCAATAGTTAACTACCTTGGGATTCAAGGCTGAATTTACTCAATAAACCATACTAAAGGTTTATCAAAGACCACAACACCTCTCAGAAACATGTGCAAAATACATTTTCCAGAATTCTCCCAACTTTGGGGAATTACACCCTTGCCAAAAATGAATTGTTCAACTTGCTGAGGATTAATTATTTATGTGGCTCTGTTTTGCTTTAAGAAAATAGAGATTTCTTTTTTCCCCGTTTTCCCAACTAGAAGAAATATAGCTCCCAAGAAGCCTCTGTGTTATAGTTCAGGGATAATGAAAGCTTAGCTATTGGTTCCAATATCTCATTTTATAAATGTGAAACTCAGTGACTGATACAAGATTACCCAATGAATTGAATAGGGGTAGGTCAGGACAAACACCAAATCAAAGTGATTTTTGGTCTTTTAAAATTTTCTTGATAGAGCAATCACTATTCATCCCAGTACGGGTGAATCACATCACAGACCCCATGAAAAAGGGGGCAAGCAAGAAGCACAGTTTTCTATTATTCTACCATTTCCCACTCATTGATGACCTTCTGATAGCCCCCTCTCCAGAAGAAGTTTCCCTTACCTGGGATGTACCTAAAGTAGTGTTTGTTTGTTTGTTTGCTTGTTTTAGAAAATTGAGAAAGAAAGAAAAAAAAACATTTTTTAATCAATCACCATGAACCAGAAAGAATTAACTTACCTTCTTACTCCCTTCTTATACTCAGCCTCTCTCAAGTCTTTAAGCTTCTCATCTGGGCAAACCAAAGCAAACTTAAACCATGCTTAGTTTAAATAATTATTTTAAACCTTTTGAACAGTTTGAGAATATTTAATGACAATGTAATAGGCATAGACTGTTGAAAGCTTGTCCTGTTCCCTAAGCAACCAGGATGATAAGAAGACACCCAAAGTATGTTTAGAGGATAGGAGGTCAATGTAGAAAATAAATGAAGCTTAACCTGGATGGAGTTGGAGACCATTATTCTAAGTGAAGTAACTCAGGAATGAAAAACCAAACATTGTATGTTCTCACTCATATGTAGGAGCTAAGCTGTGAGGACTCAAAGGCATAAGAACGACACAATGGACTTTGAGGACTTGGGGAAAAGGGTGGGAGGGAGTGAGGGATAAAAGACTATACACATTGGGTACAGTGCACACTGTTTGAGTGATGGGTGCACCAAAATCTCAGAAATCACCACTAAATAATTTATTCATGTAACCAAACACCACCTGTTTCCCAAAAATCTATTGAAATAAAAAATAAAAATAATAGAAAGAAAAGGAGATTAGGACACAGATACAGAAGAAAGACCATGTGAAGACACAAAGAGAGGCAGTCATCAGCAAGCCAAGGAGAGAGGTTCAGAAGAAATCAACCTTACTAACACCTTGATGTTAGATTTCTAGCCTCCAGAATAGTGAGAAAATAAATTTCTATTATTTAAACAACAGAAAACTAAATAAATAAAATTTAAAAATAAAACATAAAAAATAAAATTAATGAAGCTTCATTACATTTTGCATATTAAGCAAGAAAATTGAATTTTAAAGATAGAACTTAGGCTAATTTATAATTCACATAAAAGACGTTTCTTTGTTTTTACTTAGGAGAAATATTAATGATATTGTATTTGACAATGATTTCTTGGATATGACACCAAAAGCAGTACAAAAAATAAATAAATAAATTGGACTTCATCAAAATTAAACTCTTTTGTGTATCAAAGGAAATCATCAATAGAGGGAAAAAGCAACCCAGGGAATTGGAGAAAATATTTGCAAATTATACAACTGATAAGAGATTAATATCCAGAATATACAAAGAACTTCCATAGCTCAACAACAACCATAACAACAAAACCTGATTTTTAAAGTGGGCAAAGGACTTGAATGGACATTTTTCCAAAGAAGATATACGGATGGCCAATAAGCACATGAAGATGTTCAACATCACTAATTATGAGGAAATGTACCTCAAAACCACAAGATAATACTTTACATCCATTAGGACAGCTATCAGCCATAAAAAAAAAAAAAAACAAAAAGAAAAAGAAAGTGAAGTGCAGTGTTGCCTATAGTCCCAGCTACTCAGGAGGCTGGGGCAGGAGGATTGCTTGAATCTAGGAGTTCTGAGCTGTAGTACTGCACTATGCACTAAGCATGTCTGCACTAAGTTCAGCATCTATATGGGACCTCTCCAGAGCAGGAGACCACTCCATTGCCAAAGGAGGGATGAATCGACCCAGGTTGGAAAAAGAGCAGGTCACAACTCCTGTGCTGATTACGAGAGTAGCTGGAGCCTGCCCATGAATAGCCACAGCACTCCAGCCGGGATAACATAGCGAGACCCTTTCTCTAATTAAAAAAAAAAAAAAAAAAAAAAAAAAACAGAAAACAACTGTTGCCAAGACTGTTGAGAAATTAGAAATTAGAACTCTTGTGTATTGCTGGTAGAAATGTAAAATGGTGCAATCACAGGGGAAAACAGTAGGACAATTCCTCAAAAAATTACATAGATTATAATTCAGCAATTCTGAGTATATGCTCAAAAGAATTGAAAGCAGGGTCTCAAAGAGACATGTGCACAGCTATGTTCGTAGCAGCATTATTTACAATAGCCAAAAGGTGGAAGCAACTCATGTGCATTGACAGAGGAGTGGACACACAAAATGTGATATATACATTCAATGAAATTTTATTCAGCCTTAAAAAGAAAGGAAATTCTGACAAATGACACAGCATGGATAAATCTTAAGGACAATATTATGCTAAAAGAAATAAACCAAACACAAAAGAACAGATATTGTATAATTCCACTTGTATAAAGTGCCTATTAGTCAAATACACAGGAACAGAAATTAGAGTGGTAGTTGCCAGGTGCTGGGGGAAGGAGGACTAGGGAGTCATTGTTTAACAGATTCCAGTTTGGGAAGACGAAAACATCCTTGAGACGGATGCTCGTGACGGTTACGCAACAATCTAGATGTACTAAATGTACACTTAAAATTAGTTAAAATGGTAAATTTTATGTTGCGCATATTTTACCACAATTTTGAAAACTGAAAGGCCAGGCACGGTGGCTCACGCCTGTAATCCTAGTACTTTGGGAAGCCAAGGTGGGTGGATCACAAGGCCAAGGGATCGAGACCATCCTGGACAACATGGTGAAACCCCGTTTCTACTAAAAATACAAAAATTAGCTGAGTGTGGTGGCACATGCCTGTAGTCCCAGCTACTCGGGAGACTGAGGCAGGGGAATCACTTGAACCCGGGAGGCGGAGGTTGCAGTGAGCCGAGATTGCACCACTGCACTCCAGCCTGGGTGATAGAGTGAGACTCCATAAAAAAAAAAAAAAAAAAAACCTGAAAAAAGATGTTTCTCCATATTTGATAAAATCAATATTCTTGGGTTCTGTAATTCTATAGATCAAACCCTCAGATTAAAAAATTAAACTTACTTAGTTTGTTCAGTGCTTCTCTGTAAAGCCTATTTGGAATTGGGGAATTTTAGAACATCTAACATCCTCATTTTTCAGATGAGAACACTGAAGCCCAGAGAGGTAAAGTGTCTTTCTCAAGGTCCTAAACCCAGGTGAAAGAATGAGAAAACAGAAAAGAAGGCAACCCTCAGTATATATGCTTCCCTCATTGCTCTGTGAAGGGTGGGTTTGCACACCTTGTTTCTGTGTGTGTGCATGTGTGTATTCACAAGCCCTGTTTACCTGTCCACGCTACTCCCCTACTCCCAACCTGAAAACTTACAGAAATCACCTGTAGTCTTCAGATACACTCTGCTATTTCATGTCCCATGCCTTCATTTACAGAGCTTGCCTCCATTAGCTTCATCGAGAACAGCCTTTCACCCCTGTTCTACCAGACAAACTCATTCTTTCAAAGCCAGGTCATTCCTCTTTCTTCCAGAAGCTTTTGATATTGTCCCCTCACCCCAAAGCAGAGCTACCCTCACCCTTCTTACTGCTTCCACCAGGCTTTGCACATACTGCTGTAGTCCTTACCCCACACTGCCTTACGAAGTTTAGTATATTGTAGTATTTTCTATTTCCACTCTCTAAGCCAGCTCCACTACCTAAGCCAGATGAGTGGAGCTGCAAGAGAACCTATGGGAGAGCTTAATGGAAAAGGCACTAGTATTTGATTCCCACCTGGAAAGTCTAAAGACAAGAGACTGGCTGGAGCTGCCCTTGCCCAGTGGCAGAGGGAAGAGGGGGCACTGGTTTGGGGGCAAGCTACATGTCACCTCTGGAGAGACAGGCAAATGTAGATCCCACCAAAGGGAACAAGCTGATATGACTTAAAGAGATCTTTCCCAAGAGGCAGACTGGATTGGTGAGGGAGAAGCAAAGCTCCTCACCACCATCCTCCCCGCAAAAAAATGGGCCAGCCATTCAGAGAGAGTTGCAGACCTAAGATCCCAGCAGGAGGATCTATAATGAAGCCACAGAAAATCCCATAAGAGAGAGCTGCACCTGCCACACATGATGTCTCCTTTGGCCCTACTCATCTCTCCTCTCAGGCCAACTCCTAGAGGAAGGAAGGAAGGAGATGGAGAGAAGAGAGAAACAGCCATTCCCCACCCCACCCCACACCAAGGTTTCCAAGCCATCTAGGGGTGAAGGAGCCTTTTAAAATTAGATAAATTTGGGGGTTTCAAAATTATATTGGACTGAATTGGAGTTAAGAGATTATTAGAGCCCATCAAGATTAATGTGTTCAAAACACATCATAAGATAAGGACTTCAAAGTAGTCTTTGAAGACTACCTCAGCCAGGGGCATTTCAGTGTTCAAGGGCTGTCAAAGCCAAGGAACTTGCAGGGGATGGACTAGAGGTGAGGAACAGGAAACACCCAATGTCACTAGGCTTTCAACAAACATGGGCTGTGAGGGAAGAAGAAACTCAGTTACATGCTAAAAGGGGCCATAAAGTCAACAGAGGATTAGGGGAAGTTTGGGGTTCTTTATTTAAGATTAAACAGTTTATGAACTGAGAGAAATGCAGAAAAGAGATGAGGCCGTTTTGACATCAGGTGCTACCAAGCAGGAGAGGAGGTAATCTAGAATACAAGTAGGGATCAGCCCCCTTCTCTGCTCATCTCACAAACACTGTAAGTCCCAGGCATACGTCCTCTTCTTCCTCATCTGCACATTCTTCCTGGATCCTGTCACCTCCTGTGGCTTCTATTATCACCTACCTCATAACAATTTTCAAATCTGTATCTCAAACTCTGAACCGAAAGGTTTGAACTGAAGGAGAAAGTGTCTCAACTCTCTCCTAAACTCTAAATGGATGGATATCTCCATTTGTATGTTAACTGGAGCACTCAGCCATAACATGTGTATAATGACATTCATTATTTTCCCCTTTCTACAAACTTATTTACTTAGCCATTAATATCAAGTTTACAGAGTTACCAAACACCAAAAATAGAATCACCTGACTTGTCCCGTCCTTAATCCCCAGCGTCCAATAGGTAACCAAGTTGTGTCCATGACCTCATAAATGCCTCTTCATTCATTCTTTTCTTCTCTATGTATGCAGTTACATAGAGAAGAAAAGACCATACAGAACATACAGAGTGTGTCTGAAGACTACAGGTGATTTCTGTACATCCTCATGTAGGCCTTAGTTTAAGAGCTGCTCATCTCTCACCAGGATCTTCTTGACTGTAGGCTCCATGAGAACAGACAGCATGTCTGTTTATGCATCTAGGGTTTATTGCAGCACTTGGTACATGGTAGGTTTTTAATAAATATTTATTAAATGAATGAATAAATGTTAAATGGACGACCATTGATTGCAACAGCCATTCTGATCTCTCTGCTTCCAATCCCCCCACATCCTTTCATTCTCCTCTGCATTGCTAATATTCTCTTCCTAGGAAAATTAACCTCACTCATTCATTCTCTCTCTGTCTTTCTCCCTCTCTCTCTCCTCCTCCTCTCCCCCCAACACATAGTCACCCACACATACAGTCACCCACCTGACCTGCCTCCCACACACACTTAGAATACACAGAGTGTAGAGCTTAGAAAAGAGCTGACTCCAGTGCCTAGAGAACAAAGTCCAAATTCAAATAAGTATCTAATCCTCTACCCTACAAGTGGTCTCCCAGCCTCATCCCTCGCTTCTCCCCATAATTCTGCTGGATCATGTGCCATCCTCAAGCTATACCAAAAGCCACAGTGTCCCCTAACATACCCTGACTTGTATGCACGTGTTTTTTCTCTCCTGAGCAGTCCAGTTGTTTTCCAAGGACTGTCTCCATTTAAAATCTCTCCAGAATGATCTTCTTGGACCCTGGAGAAGCTATCTTCTCTCAGTGCTGCCCTGCGCTCAGTGCCCACTGCTTTTGTGCTCCATATTTACATCAATGTTTCACCTTGCTAGAGTGTGAGTTTTAAGGACAAGGACTATATGGTAGTCACATGTATATTACAAGTCACTAGCACCTCTCCTGGTACATAATGAGCACTTGCCAAATTAATTAGACCAAATTCATGAATTAGACCCATTTATTACCCGTATGTAACAAGCAACAAACAAATGGGGGATGTCAGTGACACCAAAATGCTTTCTCTTGCCTGAAAGTTTATAATTTCTTTGCACTCTGTTAAAACTATTTCGTGGTTTTTTTCAAATATTATAGAAAATATTCATCAAGGTATAACTCAAACTCCTGCCACCATGTCTGCCAGCAGAATGTCAGTAGACCTGCTTCAATAAATTGATAGCACTTATTTATAATTTGCAGCCCCCATTTGCATGCAAATAATGTGCTACAGTTCATAAAGTTGATTTTTCTCTTAAGTTAAATATTCTACCTACAATGTTGTTCATGTATCAATTAATGAAGTTTTACTATATTCAACCCATAAACATTTATTGAGCCAGGTACTGTGCTAGACCCTTAGGATAAAATGACAAATAACATAATTCCCTGCTCTCAAGAAGCTCACTGTTGAAAAAAACCAACACACAAGCCAAGCATTACAATGAGACAGGCTTGTTTCTTTTCTTACAAGGGCAAAATGTGGACGTTTACAAGAGAAGGTAGAGAAAATGAAAGCTAAAAGGTAGCAGTTGTAGGAATACTTATCAGACTATGATCTTACTTGCAGAAATATCTCATTACTTGGCTTTTAAAAGCAATCATGCAAACTTTTGATACTCTGAACAGTACAGACTACTCAACATGATCCCTATTATAACCCTTTATCTGTGAGCCAAATATCATTGAAATCTATGAACAATAACAATACAGTCCACTTGAAGAAAGTAACTAGATTCCTTTAAATATCAAGATGGTAGAATGTTTACAATTAACAGCCTTTAGTAGCATAGCAATATTTGTCCAAATCAGTCAGCTTTTTAAAATGTCTAAATAAACTGTTGGAGGAAAAAATAAAAAGTTAAGTTCCTATATTTTGGTCAAAAATGGGAAAAAGCTACAGCGTTTATAACCTATTTGGAACACATGCCTGCCTCTAAAAAGGAATCACTATAAACCCTCACAAGAAACCTCTGACACAAGATCCCCTGATAAACACTCAACCTGCATGCTCTTCCCACTACACTCTACCTCTACTCCGATTGCACAGAGTCTTGCAAAAACCTCTGTGCAACCCAAGCTCAAATTCTTCAAAGGCACTGCGGTACAGAGCCCTTTTAGAGAGGCTCCAAAGCTCAAGCTCTCCCTCTCCCTCTCCCTCTCCCTCTCCCTCTCCCTCTCCCTCTCCCTCTCCCTCTCCCTCCACGGTCTCCCTCTGATGCCGAGCCAAGGCTGGACGGTGCTGCTGCCATCTCGGCTCACTGCAGCCTCCCTGCCTGATTCTCCTGCCTCAGCCTGCTACGCCTCACTGGTTTTCGTTTTTTTTTTGGTGGAGACGGGGTTTTGCTGTGTTGGCCGGGCTGGTCTCCAGCTCCTAGCCGCGAGTGATCCGCCAGCCTCGGCCTCCCGGGGTGCCGGGATTGCGGACGGAGTCTCGTTCACTCAGTGCTCAGTGGGTGCCCAGGCTGGAGTGCAGTGGCGTGATCTCGGCTCGCTACAGCCTCCACCTCCCAGCCGCCTGCCTTGGCCCCCCAAAGTGCCGAGATTGCAGCCTCTGCCCAGCCGCCACCCCGTCTGGGAAGTGAGGAGCGTCTCTGCTTGGCCACCCATCGTCTGGGATATGAGGAGCCTCTCTGCCTGGCTGCCCAGTCTGGAAAGTGAGGAGCGTCTCTGCCCGGCTGCCATCCCATCTAGGAAGCGAGGAGCGCCTCTTCCCCGCTGCCTTCCCATCTAGGAAGTGAGGAGCGTCTCTGCCCGGCCGCCCATCGTCTGAGATGTGGGGAGCACCTCTGCCCCGCCGCCCTGTCTGGGATGTGAGGAGCGCCTCTGCTGGCCGCAACCCCGTCTGGGAGGTGAGGAGCGTCTCTGCCCGGCCGCCCCGTCTGAGAAGTGAGGAAACCCTCTGCCTGGCAACCGCCCCGTCTGAGAAGTGAGGAGCCCCTCCGTCCGGCAGCCACCCCGTCTGGGAAGTGAGGAGCGTCTCCGCCCGGCAGCCACCCCGTCCGGGAGGGAGGTGGGGGGGTCAGCCCCCCGCCCGGCCAGCCGCCCCATCCGGGAGGTGAGGGGCGCTTCTGCCCAGCCGCCCCTACTGGGAAGTGAGGAGCCCCTCTGCCCGGCCACGACCCCGTCTGGGAGGTGTGCCCAGCGGCTCACTGGGGATGGGCCATGATGACAATGGCGGTTTTGTGGAATAGAAAGGCGGGAAGGGTGGGGAAAAAATTGAGAAATCAGATGGTTGCCGGGTTTGTGTGGATAGAAGTAGACATGGGAGACTTTTCATTTTGTTCTGTACTAAGAAAAATTCTTCTGCCTTGGGATCCTGTTGATCTGTGACCTTATCCCCAACCCTGTGCTCTCTGAAACATGTGCTGTGTCCACTCAGGGTTAAATGGATTAAGGGCGGTGCAAGATGTGCTTTGTTAAACAGATGCTTGAAGGCAGCATGCTCGTCAAGAGTCATCACCACTCCCTAATCTTAAGTACCCAGGGACACAAACACTGCGGAAGGCCGCAGGGTCCTCTGCCTAGGAAAACCAGAGACCTTTGTTCACTTGTTTATCTGCTGACCTTCCCTCCACTATTGTCCTATGACCCTGCCAAATCCCCCTCTGCGAGAAACACCCAAGAATGATCAATAAAAAAAAAAATAATAATAATAAATAAAAAATAAAAAAATAAAAAAATAAAAATAAAATAAAATAAAATAAAATAAAATAAAATAAAAAAAAGAGAGGCTCCAAAGTATCCACATCTTAACCACATCGGACGCCTTTGCCCAGCCTCCCTGAGGCTCCCACAACACATTCTGAAATCTCAGACATTGCTTAAGCAGGGCCCAGGAAGCCTTTGCAAGACAAAGGAAGGAAACACAGTGAAGTGTACCGTTAACAAAACCCAAAATCAAAAGGAAGTCCAAGTCGTTGTCAAATTTGTAATTGGTAGCTCCATTATTAATTAATTTGTCAGAGAATTTAACACAGCAGGACTATCCACAGTCATAACTGCACAAGTAAATTGAGACTAGGTTAAACAAAATTTTTTTAAATTTAATTTTCTACGTACCTACAGAGGTGAGAACTGCCTAGACTACAAAAAATAAGGGGGCTTGCTTGTATTGATATTTTAATCTGAAACATCATTATTGTGTAAACGGAATCTCCTTTTACATTAGTTTTCAGAGACAAGACTGGAAACAGCATATGAGCACATAATCATATCACAGTGTGTTTCTCTCTCAAAAGCCGAACCTTCTGCCTTAACACTTTCACAGACTCCTCCAGGCCTGCTTCAAACAGACAAAACACTCCTCCTAAAACTCAAAGAAACATCGCAACACCTTTGTAATAGGCCTATTTCCCAAGAGGGGGCAGATAAAAGGACAAAGCAAATTAAGGGAAATGCGGAATATAAACTTGAAACCTACTGTCAATAAAACCCAAAACAAACTCGAAGCGGAGGTGAAGAAAGCAGGGGGAGGAAAAGCAATGTTAAATGGTCATCTTTCTTCTCATTTTATTTGAGGAAGTTAAGTTTGCACAGCTCCTTACAAGCTGTCTTTGGCTAAAATCACTATTAATGAGCTTTGACGTTTGAAATTTAACTGAGCACAAGCTAACAGCTTCCAGCACTGCACCACCCATGAAGTCAACTGGAAATATTTTGCTAGGGCCTAACGGTGTGTTTATTGAAAAGGCACAGCTTTCAAGAGAAAGTGTTTATAGCAACCACTTTACCTGCTATCCCTGCTCTGTGATGTCTGTTTGGTTTTAGGGTTTGGGGGGTCCTCTTTAACTCTTTCTAGTCACACTGTTCTAATTGTTTTCAAGTCTAGCAGGAGAATGTTAATGAAGTTCTTTGCTCTACAGCAACCTGGATTATAAGGACAGATTTGAAAACTCTGAGTTATGACAAAGGGGCAGGCCACAAGGCAAAAAGAAAAAAGCCCATAGAGAGGCTTCAGCTCTAGCATTCGCTCATTAGAAAGACAAGATAAAAACACGTATTCTTTATGGGTAATGCCATTAAAATTATCCTTTCCCAAAAGAGAACACAGTGACTAGATCAATAAACCTGAAAGATTGCATGGATTCTTCTTAGCTAAAATCCTGGTTCATTGAATGAAAGTGAATTCATTATTAACCAAGTAGTTTCCCCAAGAGAAAGGCATGGAAGGAAGCTATTCACTTTACTCCTCAACAAAGAAGGCTTTAGGCATTCTGACTTGTTTAAGAAGTAAAATGAAAAAGAGGGATTGAGTCTGAAAGAAAAGCATACTCACACATACCCTGCTCTTGCACAAAATTTACATGTTGTCAGTTTCTACCTCTAAAATTTATTAAAACAAAGAGGGAGCATTATTTTGAATCTCATGCCACAGTCCTAAGAACAATGGTCTGTGTTCAGTGATCCTGTACAGATTCTTGACCTTGAACACACCTGGATGCCAATATCAGTATGAAATTCAGAACTGCTCCCCTTTCCCTGAAGCCAGTGTTACACTGGAGAATGTAGGAGTATCCTTTGCCTGAGGCATTCCTGGACCAAGTAAAAGTAAAAGCAGAAATTATAACCTAATCTGGAATGCCTCTAAGGAATGGAGAGGAAATCTCAGTTACAAAGAAAAGGAAGTTCAGAATCTGCGAACTAGAAATAACATAATTTCAAGGTTTTTATTCACCAAATTAACGTTGGGTTACCCCTACAATACCAAGGAGAAAACGTCCAAGGATGGTGCTAAATCAATGAAGACAATTCAGACATTACAACTAGAGAAAAAATAAGGAGAAAGCAAGAAAGTTGGATTCTTTGTCCAAAGATATTTTTGTCATTACTAGATATTTTTCCATAGAAAAAAAAAACAATTACTAGATCATCAATTATTTTAAAATTAAAATGAAATCTTCATATGTTCCTTTTTTAATGGAAATGTGTAAACTGGTACAACTATATTATTTTGCAATATGCATGATCTGTGAAAAAAATTAGAAAAAAACTACATACAATTGAAGGCTATCTCTGAGTTTCATATACTTTCTCAAAATATGTGGAAAGATAAATGTGGAAGATGTCTGTTGCAGTATTGTTTGTAGAAATCAACTTCTTGAAATATTTATTGCAAAACAATTAACACATGTTTATTGATTCTTTATTTTGGCCTACTTTGTAAGAAAAATCCAATAGTGAATAAACAATAGTTTCTGGGTTTATGGAACATTGTTTAAGAAATATACAACAACGAAAAATTTAAGAGGAATGAATGTTATAAAAAAGAAAGCAGGCCGAGCGCGGTGGCTCATGCCTGTAATCCCAGCACTTTAGAAGGCTGAGGCGGGCGGATCACTTGAGGCCAGGAGTTCGAGACCCACCTGGCCAACGTGGCAAAACCCTGTCTGTACTAAAAATGCAAAAATTAGCCAGGCATGGTGGCAGATGCCTGTAATCCCAGCTACTCGGGAGGCTGAGGCAGGAGAATCGCTTGAACCCAGGAGGTGGAGGTTGCAGTGAGCCGAGATCGTGGCACTGCACTCCAGCCTGGGCAACAGAGTGAGAATCCATCTCAAAAAAATAATAATAATAAAGCATATGCTACCCTAAATGATAAGACACAGGGATATCTTTTAAAATAGAAAGGTTTCTTTTTTACTGATACATAATAATTATACATATTTAAGGGATACATGTGATATTTTGATACTACATTCTCACATGCTATATGAGTTATTTATTTCTAGAAGTTATACAATGGAAAGTAATTTTTAAAATAATTTATGTAACCATTTGTGAATAAGAATATATTTGTGATAGTTATTAATTCACAAATGGTACCGGTCATATTAACAACTTATTTATAATCAGCATATTTCCAGTTAGCAAAGTGAGAATGTAAGGTAAAAACGTAATGGGATTAATAGGAATAATTTTGCTATGGGGATCTGTGTAGTTATAATGATTTCAAGTTAAAAAAACAGAAATGTAAGTAATATATAGCATTTGTCTCTAATATTATAGAAATGCCATATTCAGACCTGTCGTGGAGAGGGACATAGCTGTTCTCTTCACAATCTCAGTCATGAATATGACTAATGAGAAATGAAGGGGAGAGGTGGGGAATTTATCACAATATCCACACACCAAACCTCATGTACTTCTTCAAGATGTGTCTTTCAAGACTGCACTCAGAATCGTATATATCTATTAAAATTTTGTTATCTTGTCAGTTGCTGAAGAAAACAAAAGGATCAATTAGAAGGAAGTAGGGGCTACTGACAGCATCCAGATGTGAGACTTGCAGTCTGACAGCAAAGGAAGGGACGAAATACATCAATACAGTCATGGGCCATTTAGCAATTTCAATAGCACCACCTGGGATAGAGTTATTATTTTTTTAAAAAGTGAAACAACTGAAGTTTGTGCTGATGATCCAGAGGTATCAACAAAATATTTGATACTACCACCTATGTTCAAGTAAAAGGACAGAAAAGCCTTCGCAATGTTTTAGAAGTTAATATCAAAAATAAACATGGCTTGGTATTTTGACGGAAATGTTTCAGTTGCCTAGCAAATTAACTCCTGTGGTATTTCTCATTCCCCAAGCAAAATAGAAAAGTGAGATATTAGGAAACTTTAAAACTGGAAAAATATATGACACCGCCAGGAGTTTTGTCCAGAAATGAAATTTGGAAATGGCCTTTATCCAACAAATAGCGTGGCAGCATTTGCTAAACCCCAGGCACAGCAGTAGGTGCTCAGACTACCTCTGGCACACACATAATCTAGCAGGAAACAAGTATAATAGCCGATACTAGGTAGAGCACATAAATAGCATGGCTTTAAAGAAAGCGTGGGTACAGACGTGTAGAAATGCTAGGTGTGGTTGATTAATGCCGATTGTGACTACTATTAGGTACACAGGATATGAGGACATCAAGATAGAACACCAACCAGCAAGGCTGAGAGAGCCCTCCAGGGTTGAGGGCACAGCAGAATCTCAGAGTCCAGTTGTTTTCTCACTCACTTCAATACCCCCATTTTGGTAGCACATTAAATAAATTGATCTGGATTTGGAAAATAGCAAACTGAAAACCAGAACAACAATTAAAATATTCAAAGCTGAAGGTATGAGGCTGGGAGAAATGATAATAATAACAAGAATAATAATGATAAACACTGAATGAGCATTTATTAGATGTAGGACACTGCATAAAAACCTTCACTTCTATACCCTGTTTGAACTTCACAATGACCTTCCAAGAGTCTACCTTATTAGCCCTATTTATGATGAGAAAACTGAGAAATGCAGAGGGAAAGTAACATGACCAAAAACAAAACGCTGGAAAGTGGTGGAACCAAGGCTTTGAGAATCTGTTTTCAGACTTTAGCAGCCCATGCCCTTAAGCAATATTAAAAACTTGTCTCAAAAATAATAAAAGTTTCATAAATCTGAAATGATGAGGAAAATATAGCCTCAGAAACAGAAAGGTTAAATCAGACTGAATCTCCAGTCAAAAGGTGAGCCCAATCAGTTTTGTCCTCTCACAGGAAAGAAGTTCTTTTTCTAAGACCTTTTTTTTTTTTTTCTGAAACTGAAACTGTGAACTTTTGGTATTCTCTGATTCTCCAGAAGACCCTCAAGTCCCTAAGCCCTAGCAATTGTTTTATTTTACTAGTTGAATAAAATGGGCTCTGGAGGCAGTAACACAAATTCAAATCCTAACTCTACCACATAGTCACTCTGTGACCTTTGGTAGTCACCTAATTTCCCTGAAGCTCAATCTCTTATCTTAAAATGGAGATTTTTTGAGGGCTCTTAATGAGTTAATTAGTATACATAAAGGCTAACTCAGTGCCTGACATATAACAGGTGTTTGGTAAGTATCATTGTTCACTTCTTGCCTTTCTCAACTTTTCCTTAAACTAAAACAAGGAAAAGATAGATTTCTTAAGATTTAGTTGTTGCATCACCATTTATGGAAAAACAAAGAGAAATGAAAACAAAATCAACTTTCCTTGGTGATGAAAACGCCCTATGTCTTCAATTTGATTCTGGGCTTCACAGTATATACATATATTAATAAGCTATACACTTAAGATCTGTACATTTCATTATAGGTAATTTATGCCTCAATATATAAGACAAATTCTTGACAAAATAAATTTTTATTTTAAATATAATATCTCAAACATAATAATTAATTCTATTGGCAAACCAAATTATCCAGCATATATTTTATGTCGCCAATTAGAAACTTAAAAGTACAAAAAACACATACTACATATTTTTCATCTAGCCCTAATATTTCATTCCCCCACCTTGCTCCCACTTTAAACAATCCTAAGGAAATTTCCAACAGCCACTGTTTTATTTCTGTACTCTGCAAGTAGCACGTTCCAGTTTTCTATGCGAGCCTTTTGGCCACATTACAGCCAACTACCACCACCATATGCCACTGGAGTCCACATTGATAAAAGATCTAAGAGTTGAATGGCACTTTCATACTTAGAGAGGGCTTTACACCTGTAGATCCATTTAAAACTCAAAAACCTTGCAGGAAGATATGGTTAAGCACTATCACCATCATTGAGGGGAAATGATGGCTCTGAGAAATTAAGTCAAGGACCCAGGACCTTGGCGTTGTTAGGGACTAGGACCCAAGTCTTCCAGCATCAAGACTCACAGCTTTTCCATTACTCTTATACCTTTGACAGAGGAAGAGATGACAAGACAAGTCCTCCAACTTGTGCCAACTAACGATGAGCCTGCACAGCACTAGCTATAGAAAATCAACAACATAAGGCCAGGGGCTCACATTGTTAAAGTCTGTGGCTTTAGAAAAGGATGAAATCTGCCTAAAAAATATTTCTCTACTCTTCCCAGAGTTGCTTTTGGAAGCGATATCTTTATATCCAATACGATCCTTCTCAAAGGTGAGTATTCATGCTGCGAATCCACTCCAGTCTCCAGGGCCTTTGCCCTGGTACTGACATTTTACCTTCTACAAAAACTTCATGAGAGAAAGGAAAAAAAACAAAAACTAGATTTTTCCAGGTCAAATAAAAAGAAAAAACTTATACTAATTAAAGCCATACTCTTTTAGACAAAAACACTATTTCAGTTCTCCCTTCTTTGCTTTTTCTGCTGCAAAACATGTTTCAAGGCTAAAAAGGAGCCAATTAAAGTTTCTATTATCATGAAATACAATTCTGTTGGTGCAGTGATACTGAGCAAAAGCAATTTTATTCCTGCCTTTCCAAAAATACGTATAGGTACATGTGAAAACAACTATGCATGCAGGCACACCTGCAGGGGTGTCTCTATGTGCACGTGTATGTGTGTAGAAAGGAAGACCAGAGAGTTATCACAGAATTGAACCTGCACAATTCACCACAAATAAATTAATAATGGCATATTATGAAGATATATTTTCCCATTATCTAGAGGAACTTTGTTTTGCCTGTTTTTGTTATTATTTTTCACTCGAGTCATCATTATCCTACAGAGAGGAAGGCTAACAAAGGCCTTTGATTTCACCACTTCTAGAGATTTAAACAAAAGACTTAACAATCCCAATTAGACCATTAAAATACCTCAAGAGAAAAACAAAGAATATACAGCTATATCTGCTGAACTCCCAGTAATAACTCAAGGTCTGTCTTAATTTTTTTTAAACCAGAGGAAATGAAGGGATAGGGGGAGGGAGGAAACAAGGGAGAAAAGGAAGGAAGGAAGGAGGGAGGAAGGAAGGAAGGAAGGAAGGAAGGAAGGAAAGAAGGAAGGAAGAAAGGAAGGAAAGAAGGAAGGAAGGAAGGAAGGAAGGGAGAGATACAGCAATTTCACTATTCCACCCATGCACCTAGCAGCTGCGTTTATTGTTATTTATTTATTTCCTCCCTTTTGAGCTAGATCCTTTTTTTCTCATTTAGTCCAACAGAGATTGTCCTCCTGGTGTGACCTTTTATTCTTCCCTTTTCCTTCACCCCTCCAGGCTATTGCCCTCATGCCAGTAACTAGATAACACACTCTATCAAAGATTTTTTTAAAAAATCATTGGGAAGGCACTAGGGCTGATAGTGGCATCAATCGTAGCCTGACACGAGCTGGGGTCAACCATTTATCTCTTTACATAGCCTGTGGTTACTGCAGTGGCCATCTTGACTTGCTACATCTTAACAACCTTGTGCAGATGTTGCCTCTCCCAACACTGATAATATCTGCTCCCCCAGTCCTTTTGCTTTCCTTGTTTGGCATATTTCTTTGTTTTATTCTGGTGGACATCTTTTCATAATAAATCAGGGCAAGAATAAGTGAAGCCCCTCCCGTGTTTCAGAGCCCTTCCATATTTCAGGGCAAGGGAGATAATTATGGGCTATACAAAGAATCTTGCTCTTTGTACCAATATTTTCAAACTAAAATCAAAACACTTTTGTTCCTTAGTAAATAGTCATATCCTTGAAGTTAAAGTGAATTCATGTAGCATTGCTCTTATTTCACTGGATATGAGATTTTATCAAAAGTTTTTTATGAACTCATTTATTTTCCATTCTATCCCACTCTTTTCCCATCTCTCTCTCTCTCTCTACCCCCAAAATACCATTCACTAGCTTTTTTTTTTGTAACTTATTCAGCAGGCAGCATCATGATTAAGAGAAAGTTGAAAGTTAGGCAGACTACATTTCAAACTCATAGCTCCAACATTATTAGCCACAGGGCCTAGGGCAAGTCTCCTAACATTTTGAAGCATCCGTTTCCTTATCTGCAAAATGGAGCTAATACTATCTACTCAGAGTGCTATGAAAATAAGTAGAAAAAATACTTAAATGCCATGTGTCTGTCACATATAAATGTTCAATGTATTTGAGTTGCCACTTACTGTCTTAAAGTTAATGAAGAGTTAGTTGCTCAGACAATGGAATCTGGTGCCAAGCATCATGGACAACCCTATATACAAAACTCATCTTTACTGCCACTTTTTCTACCACTGTAACTTCACTTATTTGGGTCTCCAAGAAATCTGTTTAAAAATGGAAATACACTTGGGAAGTTTTAGACCTTATAAACATAAACTTTAAATAAGACTGGAATGGAAGATAGAAACAAAAGAAAGAGAAAATAAAAGAGACTCAAAGGAAAACTTGGTTTATGTGTATTGTGCTCTAATTTTTAATACAAACCCTAGATGCCTCACGCCTTCTAGAAATTCAAATAAATGTAAAATATAGCCACTATGAGAGATACCCAAGTTAAAACTCACCTTCACCCTTAAAATTCCCATTAGCAGATTCTTCTTTTCAAAGGATAACCTACATAACATAGTCCTCACTTAAAAAAATAAAAGTAAATAAGCTGATAGCTGTTGAAGGTAGACAATGGGTACACAGGGCTCATTATGCTATTCTCTCTATTGTCACATATTTAAAATTGATTATTTTAAAAGTTAAATAAAATAGGCCCCAATAAATACATTGCCTTAAATAGGCTAATTGTGATGTATTTCCAGTTGTGCCAAAGCCCAGTAAAGAATAGGGTCAATATCCCCTGATGCTGAAAGGGATTGTTTCTTAAGACTTCACAGAGAAATCTTAAATTGTACTTTAATGATGGACTTTATGGATAAATATATAGTCATAGAAATAAATATATCACTCCAAGCATTGCCAATGTTAATCTTATGACCATTCCAGATTTATTCACTCAACATACAGATAGCATTTTTAAATTATTTCATCATATTCCTATACTTCTACACCCAATGCCTGTAGATACTGAAATTAGGAGTTACTATCTCTAAACTCTCCAGCTTGAAGATTATGGGGCAAGAGTGCCAAAGAGCACAGGCTCTGGAATCATTATGTCTCAATTTGAGTCCCTGCTCTGCCACTTTCCAGCTGTGGGTCCTGAGACAAGCTTCTAAGCATTTCTGAATGGTTATCAACCTGTAAAATTGAGATGATAATAGTCATCACTTTAAAGTTTCATTCTGAGGATTAAATGGGCAGTTCAAGTAAAGGGTTTCACACAGTTCCTGACAAGAAGCAAGCATTCAATTAATGTTACCCCTTCCCATTATTATTAGTAGTAGTAGTAGTTCTTTACAATAAAATACAGAAATATGCTTCTCTAGGTGGCATCATAGCAAGTATTGAATACCCTAATATGTTTTTCTTTCCATTTTTCTCAATCTTCCCAAAACAGCGATTACATACTTGGTTGTTTCATTTTAATGTTTGAAAAGTATCAATTTATCCAAGTGAAGTTATGAATTCTGTGAGCAGAAGAGATGAGGCAAAGAAATCAAGAATCACTCCCTGATTCAGTGGTGCCTGGATTTGAAAGGGTGCAGTATGAAGATGAGTTTAAACGCTGGCATGGCTCTCCCAATTTCCACACAATTTCCTTGTGGAGAAGCCACCAGTACAGGGAAATTTTAGAACAATTTTACCAAGAGAAAAGAACCCAGACCCCTGCTTTCTTAGTCTCCCCTCAGGCGTGGGCACTGAAGGCTTCAATGAGAGGCTGGAAGACTCTAACTGTGGCCCAAATTTCATGCCACATGGCAGAGCAAGGCTTTTTTCCAGGAGCAGTGCATTGTTAACTTATCAGACACATTAATAAATTCCTATCTCAAATGTGCAGAAAACTCACACAAAAAGAGAAGCAAGCTTGTCTTCTTTCTGCTCCATTCCAGCTCTGGGTTAAGAAGGTACTACCTTCAGTATTGCTGGTACAAGGGTCCTGGTTCAAACCTTCAGTCCCTGCCCCCATTAAAATGTAAAACTAGATTCAACCATCACGGAGTGGCACCAGAGGATTGCAATTTCATCCAGCATGATTTTTATTAGCCTTGCAATTTCTTAATGGGCTCCCCTGAGGGCTGGCTGGTAGAATCCTGCACTACCAGTCCGGATTTGCTACAGGCAGCTTAATAAACATGGTATCTTCCCCGTGACAATTGTCATAACATCTGACCAGGGTGCAGAAGGCAGAGCTAAAGGTTAACAAAACCACTGCTCAGGTGGCAGGGAGGTGAGTGGGGAGAATGTTGGAAATTGTAATCTGAAGGCAAAGGCTGCCTGCTGGGTTGGTGATTCTTCCAGCCTGGCCAGAGCTCCCAGGAGCCGAGCAGGCAGCTTGCTGCCTTCTATAATCAGCATCTTTTACACATCTCATCAGTGTCACTGTTCCTGACGTCTCATTATGCACCAGAGGTGGAAGTGGACAGGTACCGAACACTTGAACTTTTACTTTTCTTATTATTTCCATGGAGCACCATGAAGCTGGGAGTTAATTAAGTCCCGTGGGACAGGCAATCAGTGTCTTTTTTGCTAAGTTAAATTACATTATACACAGATGCAAAAAAGAGGAGAAAAAATAATCCCTCAGCTGTTTCCTAGTTAATAGAGTAAGTTAGAAATATGATGATGCCAAACTGGAAGCTGAAGTTGATAGCTCCTTAGCATACGAGGTGTCTAATGAAGTCATATGACAAATCCACCAGGGATCTCCTTCCTTAAAGGATCTCAAAGCACTTTTACAAACACTTTTAAAGAACTTCCTGCCTCAACTCTGACAAAGTTAATTGGGGGATGATAGTCAATTCGATAGTTTAGGGAGGAAATTGTACTCAGCCAGACTGGAGAAGAAAACTTCCTTGGATGTATAAGATGTTAGACTGAAAAGAAACCTTCAGAGGTAAGACAGAATCAGACAGTGTCAAAGTGGAAAGGGAGCTAAAAATGACCTAGCCCAAAATTTCCCAAAGTGTTCCACAGAGAGCCAATAGGTGTTGTATGGAAGAAAAAAAAATAAGATTTTTATGACCAAATAAGCTTAGGAAAGACTGGTTTCAACAGAGTAAAACTGCCTTCCTTCCTGCAGGACTCTCCAAGCTTTTAATGTCTGACTGGACATCGATAGAATCGAGTCTGCAGCATTCACCAAACTTACTTCACTACAGAACACTTTTTTTCTTTCTTTTTTTTTTTTTTGAGACACAGTCTCGCTCTTTCGCCCAGGCCGGAGTGCAGTGGCACTATCTCGGCTCACTGCAAGCTCCGCCTCCCGGGTTCACGCCATTCTCCTGCCTCAGCCTCCCGGGTAGCTGGGACTACAGGCGCCTGCCACCGCGCCCAGCTAATTTTTTTGTATTTTTAATAGAGACGGGGTTTCACCGTGTTAGCCAGGATGGTCTCGATCTCCTGACCTCATGATCCGCCCACCTCGGCCTCCCAGAGTCCTGGGGTTACAGGCGTGAGCCACCACGCCCAGCCCAGAACACTTTTTTTTCTAATGAGACATGTTTCTTTACTAATTGCTTACAGAATTCACATTGGAACATGTTGATTTTGTCCAGTTACAGATGGGGAAACTAAGAGGTTCTTTGGTTTTGTTTTTTTGGGTTTGTTGTTGTTGTTGTTTGTTTTTTTCCTTGAGACAGAGTATTACTCTGCTGCCCAGGCTGGAATGCAGTGCAGTGGCATAATCATGACTCACTGCAGTCTCCATCTCCTAGGCTGAGGCGATCCTCCCACCTCAGACTCCCGAGTAGCTAGGACCACAGGCACACGCCACTATGCCCAGCTACTTTTTTGCATTATTTGTAGAGATGAGGTCTCCCTATGTTGCCCAGGCTGGTCTCAGACTCCTGGGCACAAGTGATCCAACTGCCTCAGCCTCCCAAAGTACTGGAATTACAGGAGTGAGCCATCTCGCCCAGCCATGAGGTTTTCCCCAGACGTGCCTCCAAGCACACAGGTAGGTAACACCCAAGCCTTGAATTAGGACTTAGATCAGCCAATCTCAGACCACTATATCATACCACCTCCCTCTGTAACTTACCAGGAATCTAAAACACCCTACAAGAATCAGGTATGCTCTCTGGTCACCCTGCGTTTCTTTGTATTACTTTCAGAATACTCATCCTTCATCCTTTTTCACCTGCAGTCTTAAGACACCTCATTTCCTTATGTTCTCACCCCTCGTGGAAGCACTGCCTGTCATGTAATGGCATCTGAGCTCCAAGAGAACAGCAGCTACATGTTTTAGAACTCACCTTACCTGCCATCAGGCCACAGCTCAGCAAGACTAGAGTTCTGACTCTGATATGGGATCTAAGGAGCATTTTATGAGACACAGTGGTGGCAACAAAATTTATAAAGCCTCTAACAGCTTTATTTTCCTCCTGAATTAAATCTACACTCCTTAGTTTGGCACTCAAGATTGTACATGATGTTTTCCAACCTTTGTTTCTAGTAACTGCCTTCCTGGTTACTTTCTTTCAAACTTTACACTCCAGCCAAATAAAATCACTTAAACGTAAACCATGTTTTCCCATCTCTGGGACTCTGTAAGACTAGTCTCTTAGCTAGTAGACCTTTGTTCCTTATCTTCCCTTATCCACATCCTGGTAATCCTTTTAGGCCCTAATAAAATGCCACACTCTCTAGGGAGTTTCCAGGTAATTTTTCCACCCAGAAGATTTCTTTGCCTTCACTGATTTTCCATAACAAAATACACATATCTTTATTATCACATGATTATATTTTGCTTATAGCACAGTTAGTGAGTTTTTATATCTCCCCTATTAAATAGTACATTCTACGAGGTAGGAGTTGTATTTTATTTCTCTGTAGACTTAAAGCAACCTCCCAAAGTCCAAAGGGATGGACTAGTTCTAACATTCTAGATATTGAATGCATAATTTTATCTAGGCCCTTCATAACTTCATAGTTTTTGGTTGTCTCTCAAAACAATCATCTGAAAATCCCTGGGAGGGACTCAGACAATGCCTGGGACCCTCTGAGTGATCTGTAAATCATGTTTCAGAAGGATTAAAGAACGGCAATTTTTTTTTTTTTTTGAAATGGAGTCTCGCTCCGTCGCCCAGACTGGAGTGCAGTGGTGCAATCCTGGCTCACTGCAAGCTCCACCTCCTGGGTTCACACCATTCTCCTGCCTCAGCCTCCCAAGTAGCTGGGACTACAGGCGCCTGCCACGACGCCTGGCTTTTTTTTTTTTTTTTTTTTCAGTAGAGATGGGGTTTCACTGCATTGGCCAGGATAGTCTCGATCTCCTGACCTCATGATCCTCCCGCCTCAGCCTCCCAAAGTGCTGGGATTACAGGCATGAGCCACCGCTCCCAGTTGGGAAGTTTAATTAATGTTTGTATAGTATTTGGGGAGATGAATTATGAGAAACCGACACTGTAACAGACTATTTCTTTCCCTAGATTGCTCTTTTCTTTATTATTAGAGGAAGGTTCTCTTGCATAGAACTGAGTGATCAGCCATCCCCGTTGGGAGCTGGTACATCATAAAAATAGCTGCTGTCATTTTGAAACAGGAAGACGCACATCACAAAAGAAACACCTAACTGACTTTAAAGTCCTGCGGGCCACTGAAGATATGTGTGTTTTATGTAGTCATTATGCTTTCTCATTTGGTTGTTTGTTTGTTAAAAGCAGACATTCCTACTGAATTCTAAGGGAGACTTACCAAACTGTTTCCTTTTCATTTACCTGACTTATACAGAAAAGGTGACTTGTTTTCACCCCCTCAAAATCTCATGCAACAGCAAGGCCTTAAGTTAGCAAAAGGAGAAGTGAGGAGCATCAGAGGAAGTGGCCTTAGTGTAGCTATAAAGAGAAAAGCAAGGTCATTGAGGTCAAGTGTTTGCTGACGGCAATGTCCATTCTCCAGCTTTCCACTTATCAACAGCTTCAAGACTTACCTTCCAGGCATCACTGCTACCATATTTTTACCCAGGTATTTGGGATGGGATTAGCTCTATTCTATAAGTGCACAGTGATCACTCATTGGCCAAAACCAATCAACAAAGCCCATTACCCTGAGCAGAGGGAATTTTGCCCAATTAACTCAAGTTGGATCA